>NC_000006.12:57808204-58453888 GCF_000001405.40 Homo sapiens
ATGAAGACTCATCATAAAATCAGTTGGTGATATTTTGAGGGGACTATCTCAGGTGACATAAGTGGAAATGCAAATTTAAATTAAGAGAGGTAAGTGTAAACTGCAGGCATGTTTGGGAGCTTTTCATTCATTCAACTAGCATTTAGTGAGAGCCCGCTATTCCAACTAACGGAACTGGACAGTAAATATTGCCTAATATATCTGAGGGGACGAAGATCCAGATCAATAGAAAATGAGATCAGGCATAATTGTTCAGTACACTATGGCTTCCGAGTGTGCGGTTCTTCCTATGGGCTAAAAAGGATCCTACGCGTGCCTATTGGAAATAATCTTGGAAAACTAGCGACCTTGGGCGAATAAAACTGAAGTACCAAAATAACCCGCCTGGGGAAAGAAATTAGGAAATTCCTGTGGAAGCTGGCGCGCCGTTGCACTTCGTCGTCTTCTTAGCGCAGTGAGCAGCGCGTCAGTCTCATAATCTGAAGGTCCTGATGTTCGAGCCTGAGAAAAGGCAGCTTTTGCAAGGAACGCTTACCTTCCCGGTACTTGTTATAGCTGTAACCCATATTCCCTTTACAGCTGGGGTATAATTCCTTCTTTTCTGAAATATCAAGCAAGTGGAATCGTGTCGGGCCCAGAGCTTCTGTGGGTGCTCGTTTGACACGCGCTCCCGGCTCCGCGCAGTGGCTGTTTCTGGATGAGTCTGGAGACTCCGCCTGCAGTCCTGTGCTGGCTCCACCTTGGCAGGGATGGAGCTCAGGAATGTTGAGTGGTCCCGAAAAACCAGGTGGAACACAAGACTTCTAGTCCGGAAAAATCCCCCACATGCCTCAAATAGCCAATAGCGGGGTAGGGGGCTGAGGTTAGCGGAATTTGTAACCCGCTCACTTGGGAGGCAGCGGCCTGCAGGGTCTGCGTCCGCATCCTCCGGCTTTGCTCCTTTCTTCCCTCTGGGTGGGCAACAGTCGCTTCCCAGTTGATCATCTGAGAGCTGTACGCCTGGGTGTAGATGTCGAATACATTGATCTTCTTATTTTTATCTGTTTTTATTTTTATGGTACACAGACGACAGGGAATCATTGGGCATCTTTGAAGTATAAATAAATCAGGTCTGTTTTTCCCCAAAAGGTTCCCATGGCAGGGGCTGGGTATACCTTGACCGACATCCAACAGACTCTATGTAGGCAATGAGGGAAAACCAAGGAGTGACGAGGGGCGGGAACTCCGAGCAGGTGCTCAAAGACGAAGAAAATCTGTGCTGGGCTGGGGTGGTCACTTTCTTCTCAGAGATGCAGAGTGCTACACGGCGAGTGGGAGGGTGGGCTCCCACTCCCTGTTACAGGAGCCGCTTGGAACTGGGGATTCAACCTGGGAAACAAGGAAAGCCTAGAGAAGCTAAGAAGAGAACCTAGAGAAGCTAAGAAGAGAAGCTAGAAGCATGAACGAGAGAATTTTGGGGAACAGATCCGGGCTTGGAGGGGAGACTGCGAAGCGCCAGTCAGCCTAAGGAAGGTTCTGATACCCAGTGGAATTTATAGAAAATGAATTCGGAAAGAGAGAAAGAAAGAGAGTGGTGGGCAGTCTGTCCTTAACGAGGCGTTATGTCCGCCTGCCAAGGATCCCATCGTCACTGGTCCTGAATCTATATTTCATCTGTAACGCCAGTCCTGAACAATAGTCTCAGAAATCCTTCAAACTCATGTGCCACACACAGAACCCGAGACAGTTTTTTCTCTTTTGTTATAGAGGCTCCTTGAGAGAGAAATGAATGTACAAAAATATCTCAGCAGAAAGTACTGAAAAGCCATCCCACCCCATCCATTCTCAGAGACTAAAATCAAGCTAGTCAGAGGAAGGGATTTACAAAGCAGGACTGCACTGTGGGACAATCCCTGCATTTTGGCTTTCCCTCACACCCTCTTCAAATTGAGCCCAAGCCCCACATTCTGAGGATGATACTCAGGACGTGAGGGGGCTCTGAAAAAGGGCTGATCCCTCCGCAAACTCAGGGTGATGCGCACAGCCTGGAGGAAATGAGAAAATTATCACAAGTCTTTCAGATTCACAAATGCCATATTCCCTTTGTTTTAAGGCCACGAAGATCAAGTAAGGACCCAAATAACTACCAAACATCTCAGAGAACGCTTTGGGCAAGAGTGCGGAGACAATCAATTGCCTTGTTCCCATTACAGTTTGCAGTTATTAATTTCATGGAAGAGAGCACGTCACACCTGGGGCAAGACACAGTAGGAACTGCCAGATTAAGTAGCACAGATATCCCGGAATGTTCTGCGGCTCTTGTATTTTAAGGAAGTTATGATTACTGACTGACTGTTGATGAGTCAACAGTTGATGAGGAGGAGGTTTTGGGGCTGGCCATTCCAGGCTCCACGTTCACACCACGGCACCACCATTCCTAGGGTGTCTAGACATGTATACTTGCAAAAATCATGTATATAGAGAAAATGATGTATTTATATGTGAGAGCACTTTTAAGTTTAAAACTTTCAATAAAGACTTTTTTTTTTTTTTTTTGAGAGTGCAGTGGTGCGATGTCGGTTCACTGTAACCTCCACCTTCCAGGTTCAAGCGATTCTTCTGCCTCAGCCTCCCGAGTAGCTGGGATTACAGGCGTGCACTACCACGCCCAGCTAATTTTGTATTTTTAGTAGAGATGAGGTATCGCCATGTTGGCCAGGCTGGTCTCAAACTCCTGGCCTCCAGTGATTTTCCCCCGCCCCCCGGCTCGGCCTCCCACCGAGCCTGGCCTAATAAACACTTTTTTAAATTTTATCATTTTAATTAAATATTTCAGACTTTAGATAGGAAAGGGAATGAGATAATTTTTGTTCGTTTTTCCAGGTTGCTGAACAAAATAATTACCAGAAAGAAATCAACATTTAGCTTTAATTTTTGATGCTACAAGACCCCTCTGGAGACAGTGTTCACGCAGTATCTGGAGAGTGTTGTTTAGGCTCCTGCTTCCTCACGCAGTCCCCTCCAACAATACTGTTGGTCCATTGTGCTTCCCACTGTCCTTAGTCCATCTCATCCATGAATAGGCCATCAGCTCCCCCAGACCAGCAGCGGTGGGCTTTCCTTTGAAATCTGGAGGGTCTGGAGGGCTGCACAAACTTCCCTCGACTTCGTTATCTCAGAGCATTGTGATGGAAAAGAAACATCCCATGCAAGTGGACAGCACTAGGTTGTGAACTGGAAGGAAGGTTGGAAAGGAGAGATACCCATTACACATTTCACTTTCTTGAACTCAGCAGCAGAGATAAGGATGAAATCAATAGCTTGAGAGAACTAGGACATTTTAGGGCCGTGTTTTGCATGTGTGTATGTACTTGTTGTTAATAAATTGGTAATAGATCATAAATATGATCTAATATTAACTTTTTTTTCTGATTGTCACCCATACAAAAAAAATTTCTCTTAATGGCTGATTATAAATAATAAAGTAAAATCTACAGATTTTTATGTTTTTTAAGACTCTTTTCATCCATAAAAGGTCCCTGGTCTTTCTTTTATGGATATTATTTTTTTAAATTGATAGACTTTTTTTTTAAATTGATAGACATTATTTTTTAGAGAAGTTCTGGGTTTAAAGAAAAATTGATCAGAATAGATAGAGTTTCCATAAACTCCATCATTCTCCCTCTCTTACAATTTTCCCTATTATTAACATCTTGCATCAGTATGGTACACTTGTTACAACTGGTAAACCAGTAATTAGTAATACATTATTGTTAACTGAAGTCCACAGTTTACATTATAGTTTGCTCTTTGTGTTATACATCCTGGGTTTTTTTTTTTTAACAAATATATAATGACATATATTTATCATTATAGTATCATAAAGAGTTAATGCCAGTTAATTGTTGAAGGAACTGGGCCTTTTATCCTTAGAAACACCTCTATGTTGTATTTATTTCATTGTATCTATTTCCTGCCCCTTGACATGTTTTTTAATCTACTCTATTTCTTGTAAACTGGTAGTTACAAGTAGAGGCTCACTTAGATTCAGCTTCAAATCTTTTAACAAGACAATTTGATAGGTGGGCTTGTGCACTTTCCATTGCTTCGCTTTATGAGGTACATAATGTCTGGTTCTCCAACTTTTAGTCACCAATATTAGCACTAATGTGTGGTTCAGCTGCCGTTCATAAATACATGTATATATAACTCGTATACTTATGTGAATGTATATATTTATGTGTTGATAAATAAAATGATACACAAAAATTAGAAAATAACATTGAAAGACTGAACATAAAAGTAAACAAGAAGAGATTAATTCTCGAATGCACAGTTTAAAAAGAATCAAAAGTATATCTTCAAGCTCCTTAGAATATAATGAAAATGGGGACTTATAATGACATATTTCTAAGGATTCTGTAGAAACTGCTTTCTCATTTTAAATTACACCTTGAATACCCAAGTTACAAAACATTAGAAGAAATCAGTGCATTAAATATAAGAAGTAAGAAGAAGAAGAAGAAGAAGAAGAAGAAGAAGAAGAAGAAGAAGAAGCCGCCCGAAAAAAAAAAAAGAAAAAGAAAAAAAAAGAAAATAGAATGGTGAAGGAAACACAGGAATTAACTAGAAAATTGCAAAATCTGATTGGTCATTTGAAAAAGAAGTGTAAAATGGTCAGCCAAATGTAAAATAATAATAATAATGATAAGGGGATATGGAGAAAGCACAAAGAAAAACCAAAAACATTAGTGAATGCTATTATTAAGATTTTAGAAATGTGGCAGGATAATGTTTTTAAGTATTGCTCTGTCTTTGATCTCCCTGTTTCCTTATCTGTTCAAGGCAGTAACCGTATTTTACAGAACTTTAACTCTACACATGGGGATGAAGCGAGTTGAACACAGTGTACATAGACAGCGTTTCGGTACTCAGGAAGCTCCCACTCTAGGGGAGAGAAAAACAAACCAGTATCTTAAAGACATACTTTCTGGAGGAGACGATATTTGTGAAGATGTAGTAGGAACTGAGAGATCGTGTGGGCATCACTTTTAGCTGTACTTGTCTAAAGACGGGAAATTTGCATTAAGACCTGAGTAGCTAGAAGTGCCAAACCTGTGGCAGGAGTGGAAAAGATGGGAGGATGGAAGCAGGGGCAACAAGACTCTTACATGGGGAGCAGTAAAACACGTGCTTGGGGGAGGCGGCAGTTTCCTCTGATCTTCTCCCAGATAAGAGGCACAGATGTCGTCAACAGGAGAAACAACGGGGAATACAAACTAAGAGACATAAACCAGATAAGAAACTGGAGAATGCGGGCGTCGATCCCGCTACCTCTCGCATGCTAAGCGAGCGCTCTACCGCCTGAGCTAATTCCTCACTGAGGAGGCCCGCCACCCCACCCATTTTCCTGGTTATCAGGAGCCTGCCGGTACTTTGGGCCGCCAAATCCCTGGCAGGACAAGATTGAGGGCGGAGCTTCTCAGATACTGCCTTGGGCAAACTTCTACGAGCCTGAGAGTGTGAAGAATACGGATTTCCAAAATAGGTCATGAGGGAGACCTCTCTCCTCACTTCCCAATTTCGCCTTCTTCATCTCTCGGAATTAGAGAGCACGTTCCAGTTGGAGAAGCACCACCTGGAACTGCCTGGCTTGCGGGCACAGCTATTCCAGCCCGCTCTAGAGTTGTGATCCTCACCTGCTCCCTGCAGGCAAGGCCACCCGGAAGTAGCGGGGCAGCTTCTCCCAGCCCCAGAACTTCACGCCATACGCGCCTCATCTTCAATAGCACTTTCCTCCTGTAGGACTCAGAAAGTGATGGAGAACCTTGGAGGAGTTGAGAAAGAGAAAGCTTGTGAATTTTCATCTCAATCTGTGGATTCATTCCTGAAGCACTTCTTCAGCACCAGGCACAGTGGATGAGGCCAGTGATCCACACAGAAAGTGCCACAACAATAGCAAGTAATAGTACTGTGCAATTGCCGTCTAGGCCCTATTTTAGATGCTGTACACATATTAATAGTAATGCAGGTAAAATGCCTAGAAATAGTTTATAATCTTCATTTTTTATATGAAAAATTATGGAAAATTGTCACCACAGAGCTCAGGGATCTCTCAGCCAAAAGGAAAAACAGATGCAGGTTATACCGTGTCTGCTGTGTAGGTGCTTCTCCTGCCATTTCCCTTCCCTGTCACCTTCCTCCCCCCTTCTCTTGCTCCATTGGGCACCACACTTGTCCTTCTTATGCCTGTCTAGTTCTTCAATTCCCAGGCCCACAGAAGAAGGCTTCCCCTGTAGCCCAGGGGAGGCTACATTAGCTCCACTGCCTTGGAGTTGTAGTGGATTCCAAATCTGCTTTCCACCTGTGAAGAATTCTCATTTAAGACAGGAAAATAGTTATTTTACTCTGAGTATAACTAGCGTCAAGTAGGATTTTTGCCTGATGAAAATTTGCTGAATGGAGAAAGGCTATACAGATAATTTAGAAGCCTCAAAGGAGAGAGTGGCTTCAGATCAGTAAAGACTGAAGAAAGGATTAGAAGCTAGGGTCTAACAAACCCATAGAAATGTTTTTGCCTGAAAAGGAAATGTGGTTGGGGAAGAGTGGAGGGGCACTACTTTCAGAGTGATTAGTGGGTGGAGGCATGGCCTTCATGGACCTGCAGGTGGTTTGGGGCAGCTTCAGGTCCCTCCTTCACGGTCCCAGTTTATTAGGAGAGCACATCCTGAGAATGAAAGAGGCTGCTCCTATGGGACAAAAATTCAACAACATGTTTATTATTTATGACATTCATTTTTGAGATCATTTATGAATAAGAAGATAAAATAGAAAAACATGTAATCAATAACATTGTCTTTCTATTACGATTAACAAAGGGCAATGCTGAGAAGTCAAATGGTGTCAGAGAGAGATTTGAGTGATGGGAAAGAAAGAAGGATGGAAAGAGGGGCACGTCCCAGGGACCTACAAGAGCTTCCTGGAGTCATCTATCCAAAGACCACTCTCTCCAGCATTCTGAGCTCTGCTTGGGCCAGTTGAGCTAGTCAACATATGTGTTGTTAATACAGCGCCTCATGTAGTTTCTTTAAATAGGGGATAGTGTTGCAATTTCAAAAATACATTTTTTTACATTTTGGTTCATCTTGGAAATTAGAGGAAGACCTAGGTCCCCATTTATTTTAAGCACATTTTTGTCAGAACGAGCTTTCAGAGAGATGAATAGAAGGAATAAATGTCACTTTTCTTAGTGAGAGTGTATCCGACCACTAGAGTTAATATGCTAGCTCCCACCTTCACTTATACTCCTTCCTTACCTCTCTCCTTACCTCTCTTACCTACACAGGAGAGAGGTAAGGAAGGAGTATAAGTGAAGGTGGGAGCCTGGCCAACTCTCAGATAATCTGATAGAAGACACGTTTTCATCCTCTACCTGACCATGTGTTGTCAATGTGAATAAAAGCAAAAGGTTGGCACATTCAAGTCTCCTGCTTTTGCCTCCTGACACTATTTCTAGGCTGTTTCTCATATTTTGTACCCAAAAGGCTAAAGTTTGATTTCCCCACAAAAATACATTGTATTAACTTCGAGCTGAAGCCCCAAAACCTGTATTGGCAAAACTCACTTGTGACTAATCGCTTCCTTTTTTGCTTTCGCATGGAATACTATGTATAATTTCCTTAAAAAAAAAAAGATGTACATAACAAGATGAAACTGAGTTAAACAAAGAGCGGTAAATCCGCTGAAAGTATTTACCAGATACCATTGGTAGCCTAGGGATTAAAAGAAGCTGGAGAATGCAGGCATCGATCCTGCTACCTCTTGCATGCTAAGCAAGCGCTCTACCGCTTGAGCTAATTCCCCCACACCACCTTTGTCTTTTCTGCCTATTTTTATAACTGGGACACAAATATCGTTCCATGTCCCACTTAAGTTTCCAGCTTTTCAAACACCTCCGGGAACTTCCCTACCAAGGCGAAGCGAGGAATGAAGTTTCTGGGAGACAGCCTCAGACCTGGAAGGCAGTGACCATCCTCTGCTTTTTCAATCTGAGTCGGGATCCTGAGAAAGAGAGAAAAGATCTCATTAGGAAAGCACTAGTTCTAATCTGATTTCACTCTCCCATTAGATGAAAGAGAAGGAAGTACCGTCCCTAATTAGCAGTTACCTCAAATGCTCTGTTGAATGCATCACTTTTTAAGAACACAAACCTGGAAATAAGCCCAAGTATCTTTTTATCGATTGATCCTTCAAGTAACTTATCTAATATCTGTGTTACTAATTGTTTCTCCATTCAGGGGAGTTGAAATCTGTTGTTACCTATTAATCCTTGATAGATTTAATTTGCATTTTTGTACTGATTAATGTTGTTGAACATCTTTTAGTGTGCCTATTGGCCATATAAGCATCTTATTTTGTGAAATGCCTGCTCAAGTTTTTTGCCCTTATCCTTACTGAGTGTTTCTATCACTGAGTTCTAAAATGTGTTTTATATTCTCCATAAAAGTCCTTTGTTATATGTGTATCCATAACACATATGTTGTATAACAACTATGTGTGCATATGACATATATTACATTTCTTTTCAAGTCTATGTCTTGCCTTTTCATTTTCTTAATATTGTCTTTCAAAGAAAAAGCATTTTAATATTTTATGAAATCCAGTGTATCTTTTTTTGTAAGGGCTCATGCTTTTCTGGTTCCTTCTGAAAAAGCTTTGCCTACATCAAATATGTGCAGACTTCTTTTCTTCTACAAGTTTGATATCTTTAATGTTAAGCTTTACGTATATAAACCATTTTGATTTAATTGTTGTATAGGATGTGAGGTAAGGGTAGGGAATCCTTTTTTCCATACTCAGTTGCCTGGGATCATTTGTTTAAAAAACTCATTAAATAACATTTTACCTCTGTCATAAATCAGTTGACCACATACGTTGGTCTATTTCTGGACTATCTATTCTAGTCCATCAATCTGGGTAAGTATCCTTGAGACAATACCACATTATTTTGATTACCTTAGCTTTATAATAAGTCTTGACATCACCTGGTGTAAGTCCTCTTTGTTTTTCTTTTCCTAATTATTTAGGTTACTCTAGGTCCTTCAGAATAAGCTTGTCAATTTCTGTAAAAACAAACAAACAAAAAGAAAAGAAAACAAAACAAACAAAACAAAAATCTCCTACTGGGATATTTGTTGTGATTGTAGTAAATCTATAGATCAACGCAGAGGGAAAAAAATGATATCTTAATAATATTACCTTTTTCAATCTGTAAATATGTCAAACAGCACCAATTATTCAAGTTTTCCTGAGTTTTTCTCAGCCATCTTTTGTAGATTTCTAGGTACAAGTCCTGTGCACATTGACAAGTTTATCTCTAAATATTTCATTTGTTTTAAACCTATTGAAAGTGGTAATTTAATTTTCCATTTTTTTGATGCTAGTACATAGAAATACAATTAATTTTTGTATATTGTAATCTGTGACATAGCTGCATTTACTTATAATGCTTATTTTTGTAGATGCACTAGGATTTTTTGTGTATCTGATCATGTTGCTTGCAAATGAATATATTTTTCTTATTCTAAAGTGAGTATGCCATTTATTCTTCATTCATGCGTTCCTTACTTTCTGGCACTAGCTAGGACTTTCAGTAAAATGTAGAAGTAGTAAGAACAGATATTTTGCACTTTTCTCCAATATTAAAGGGTACATATTTATTCTTCCACTATTAACTCTATTGCTAGTTGTAGGAATTTCTTAAACGCCCATTATTCATCTGAGGAATTTTCCTTCTATACGTAGTTTACTGGGATATTTTTTAAACACCACGAATGAATGGCAAATTTGGTCCAATATTTCTTCTGCATCTAGTGAGATGATTACATGCGTTTTTTTTTGTTAATGTAGTATATTACATTTAATTGACTTTTCAATGCTTAACTAATTTTTTATTCCCGAGGCAATCTCCCCTAACTCATGGTGCGTTATGCTTTACAGATAATGCTGGATTCAATTTGTTAATATTTTAATCCAGTATCTGTTGGTAAATGTGTCAGAGAAGGGTCTCCAAGTGTGGAACGCACCGCTTTCACAGCTCAGAGAAACATGGTGAGCACCGTGCTCCCTTCTAAGTGACGGGAGCTTCGAGATACAACAATGAGACTTTACTTTGGAGGAAATGTCTCAGAATTTCACAGATCCTAAAAACTTTCATTCACGAACCAGGTCGATGAATGGTTTTTGTGTTTCTCTCCCACCCTCTGGAGCATGCAGGGCTTAACAAAATCTATAACTTACTTGACACTTCTTGCTCATTGAAGATTTAAATGATACTATCAATACAGTGTACCAATGTTTTGCTGATGGTCCAGACAGTTCAATTCTCTTTGGACTAGATTAGGAAAAATTGGGGGACTTGATATACCTCTGGAGTAAGCACATAAATGCATACTTTTGTCTAGTCCATGTGAATATGAACTGTTTCTGTTCTTTCTTCCTGATAACAATAGAAAAAATGTATTCCCCAAATCAAAGACTGCATGCCAAAGACCATGCAATTTTTGCTTCTATGTTCATATTGTTTATAACATGATTAATTTATTAACTTTGCATTCCAATTCTATTTTCTTATGTATTCAAGTGAAAAGTGTTAATTATGAGAAATTCTGCACTATGGCACTGCTAATATTGCAATCTATATCCCAGACTTCGTTTTACCGACAGAAGAAAGAATACCCTCATCAATTTCTCATGTCTTCGGAAGAAGGGACATGGGTTTGTAGTGGAATTCATGACTTTTTCTGCCTGAATATTAATTAGCAGAAGCACGTTCCATTTCTTTATATAAACCCACTCTTAGAACCAAGGTGAACTGAGTGAAAAAAATACTTGCCTTTATATTTCTCTTATCAAACTAACCATAGTGGAAGAAACTGTGAAAATGGCTGGTGTCACTTCAGACGCAAAAGGAAAAGTGGCACATCATGTTCAGAATCCGATTAAATAGTGTCAGTAATTATTACCTCTGCTTAAAGGATTCAGAGCTGAGTTTGTTCAGCTACCCTGCCCTGACTAATGGCATCATGCAGGTGTACTTAGAAGTAAATTTAAAATTCCCCCTTACTTTAGGATCACACATCTCCTAGGGTAATTGCAGGAGTGATTGGGAAAGAGCAGTCTACTCTGAGGAGGTCAGATGGAGACCAAGTGAATCCTGTAGAATAGAAGTAGTGTCATATGACAAAAATGCAAATCCAACACTACTACGTCTTGGATTTCTTCTTTGTTTCCTTGATTAATTTTCTTGCTTCACTCCAAAAATCATAGCATAAAGCAAATTATTGTTCTACCTATTGCTTTCCACTTTACTCATCTTTCGTCTGGTGTCTGTGTGATTATGTCTCCATTAGAGACTGAGATCTGTTATTACCTATTAAATCCCTTCATTCCAGGATGTGGAACTAATTAGATAAGTTTCAGATTGTTGAATTTAGTGGTTATTTTAGAGGTAATTAGATAGTTAAATTTAACACTTGTAGCTCCACATAATGATGGAGTGCAAATATCTATTTATTCATAAATATCCATAGGCAGGGATCAGAATCAACATTTAGAAGACCTACTCCCTCAAAACAAGACGACCAAGAAAACAAATTGATTCTACTACCTTGGATTTATTAAACTTGCTGAGCAAAGAGCCGTACCTCTGTGGAGTCCCAGTACTGCCTAAAACAAGGGTGAGTCAGAGACCAGAATTTAAAGGGTTTGGGGACTGGAGCTATTCATAGGACACTTTTAGGGGGAAAGTTAGTAAGGTCCTTCTCAGGAGGGACTGGACAGAATTTCTTTTTCTTTTTCTTTTCTTTTCTTTTCTTTTTCTTTTTCTTTTTTTTTTTTTTTTTTTTTTGAGACGGAGTCTTGCTCTGTCGTCTTGGCTGGAGTGCAGTGGCGCGATCTCGGCTCACTGCAAGCTCCGCCTCCAGGATTCACGCCATTCTCCTGCCTCAGCCTCCAGAGTAGCTGGGACTACAGGCGCCCGCCGCCACGCCCGGCTAATTTTTTTTGTATCTTTAGTAGAGACGGAGTTTCGCCGTGTTAGCCAGGATGGTCTCGGTCTCCTGACCTTGTGATCCGCCCGCCTCGGCCTCCGAAAGTGCTGGGATTACAGACGTGAGCCACCGCGCACGGCCAGAATTTCTAAACTAGGCGAATCATAGGTTTATTCAGTGGAACTTAGCTGCTGGAACATGAAGATCTGCGCAGAGTTGCTGGATCCGTTTGGCTTTGGTCTTATCTTGGATCATCGGGTCTGAGTAAGCTGGTGTTAAAACAATTAGAGCTTAGTGTAGCATGGCAGGGTTTGTAGACTTGTCCTGTGCTGTAAGTCACAGGGCTTTTGCAACTTCTGTGTTTGTTCATTTCTCAATTTGCCCTCTTTCCTCACCAACAGAACTGCCCAAGAAATCAACTTACAGTATAGCTACTGGAACTTAGCTCCGAAAATGTCCTCTGCAAATCTAGAACACTTGTTTTTTTTCCAAATAAGAAAGTTGAAGAGCAAAACGACGTGTCTAACGTCACACATTGAGCTAAAGACAGATGGGATCTGGCATGCGTTTGTCAGTTAACAGTGCTAGCACAAATACAACTCTTGTTAAAATCGTAAGGATTTTATGTCGTGAGACACTCAGGACTCACCTGATCTCGGTGTTCAGTTGTGCGTAGTTTTTGATTTGCACCTCGCCCTTGGGCAAGTGCAGAATCCTGGGGTTATACAAAGCGCATCACAGTTAACCCCTTTGTCCCAGTCCGCAGAATGAGAGCTCAGAGCCCGGCCATGGGAGGCTGGGTTATATAGGCAGGAAAATCAAGGAACCCAGGTATGAGCAGGGGCGTTTGTGGCGCGGAGAGAGCTCCTATCCCTGCCGTCCATCTACGTCTCAGGCTTGGCCCCTGGCGTGCAGAAAACCGCATCTCCCGAAATCCCAGAACGTAAACGTCGCCCAGGTACTCGCTCTCTTGTCATTCTCCGGGATGTAAAAGACTCGGGGTCTCTTCACGGATCACTGAAACCGCCTTCTCCGAGGCCTCCAGGGTGACTAAAAGAAAGGGTGCGTGTTCTGTGTTCTCCCGCCGGTGTGTTCCTCTTCATGTCCAGCCGCTTGTGTCTGTGCCCGCTAGGGTCTCGGGAGTTTTTATAGGCACAGGATGGGGGCGTGGCGGGTCAGGGTGGTCTTGGGAAATGCAACGTTTGGCCGCGGAGGAAGGAGTGCCCGTCCTCACCTAGGTCCATGGGCACAGGCCCGGCGGCGGAGCCCTGCTCCCCTCCCTTATCAGTACCGCGGTTAGTGCTCTGCTTTATGGCCGCAGCAATCTCAGACACTTTCGGAGCGTGTTTTTTTTTTCTTGTCCTTTCGCTCCCCTTTTCGGGCGCCAGCTTTCAAACCAGACCAAAGGTGTGCTTTCCCCCATTATCTCCCAGCCTTCTTTCCTTTTCGCCTCTACTCAAGGCTGTGTCCACAATTAAGCTCTCAGGGGGAGGAGGCCTCCAGCTGCCTCAAGGAAGGGCATTTCTCGCAGTGCAAAGTGCGGAAGAGGGGAGCCATACCGACTGAAATCTTAACCAGAGTCGGTTTGCATAGAGGCTGCAATGGATAGAATCTCAGAAGTGAGGCGGAAAGACAGGCCAGCCCTGCGAAAGATGGATTGGAGAGAGGTGAGAATCTAGTTCAAAAGCCGGGAGAAGGAACAGGACATTAGCACAGTAGTCTAGGCAGAGAGCTGGACCATCTGTAATACGGCAAGGGGGTTGGTTGAGATTTCCTTTATTCAGTTATTCGAAATGTATCTATTGAGCTATTTATTAGTCCCTGGGTGCTGTGGGTGTTCCTGCGTATTCAACCACCTTGTCGACGCTGCAGGATGCGGCCCCATTACCCAGGACCCAAAGAACTTCCAAAAATGAATCCCGAGGAACAGCTGTTTCTCTACCGGAGAAGTGGGCAGCCAGGCGGAAACACGCAGGGAAATAGTTCTGTTTGGGACAGAAGGCATCAACCTCGTAAGACCCAGCGATCAGCAGAGCTCCCGGAGAGTGTTTCTTAATCTAAAGGTCATGAGTCGGGCTTCAAAGTTGTCTTGTCGTGCGTAAAATACCAATGGACTTACACCTGTTTCATCGAGAAGGAATACAATGCGAACACAAAGACTGTAATGGAACGTATTTCTCTAAAGTGTCCTTTTCAGATAGAAATACGAGAGCGTTTTCCTGAGCTTTCTAAAAATGGGGTGGGGTAGGGATCAAATACTCACTTTTGGGAAACATGGGCGAATACAGTGGGAGTCGTGCTGGAAGTTACGAGCAGAGGAGCCTGGGTGGGGACTTATATTGGCCTTGACGGCCCGTGGAAAGGAACTGGCGGCAATTCCTTCCGTTTTCCGTCAATTTCTTCACGGGTTGCTCGGAAGCTACGGAAGCAAAGTAGAAAGGAGTGATAGGGACAGGCCACAGTACCGGCGGACGGTGATGGCGTTGCGTTTAAAAGGGTGGTCACTGAAACCCTTTGTCATGAAACACTGAAGCAGGTGACATTTGAACTTTCCTTCCGCAGAATTGTATTTTAACTGAAATTTCCAGGTTAGAAGAAATTTGCCGAGGATCGTAACCAAGTTAGCAAAGATCGTAGGTTCTTTCCAACTCCAAGAACTTCAGAAAAGTTTCTTTGGTGATTGGAATAACGCTCCCCTTTAAACTCCTCAAGAGAGGTAGGGTCCGTTCCCCCCGGCGGGGCCGGTTAGCTCAGTTGGTTAGAGCGTGGCGCTAATAACGCCAAGGTCGCGGGTTCGATCCCCGTACGGGCCACAGGCTTTTCTAATGTTTATTTCACAGTAACAATTATGTTTCACAGTAGCAACTGTGGGCAGTGATACAGAAAGTCATGAGAGAACACGAAAGTAAATGTATTTGTACCCAGTAATCTTGATGGGACGTAGTCCGCTGAATCGTACGGTTGCGTTTGCAGTTTAGTGTTCCTGCAAGAGCAGATGACGAAGAGAGCTAAGATTCGAGAAAGAAATTGAAATCCGGGAGGAACGTGAAAAACAGAGGCGAAAACACGGAAATAAGGACCTGGGCTTTTCATTCCTTTACGATTTCCAAAGCGTACAAATCTTTCTCTGTCGTGACTAACTCCTGATATGGGCTTTCCTAACTGTGCATCTGCTTACTTCCCGCAGACCTGTCCTTGGCTTGTGCAGGGTAAGTAAAGCCTCTCAAAAACTCCCATTTTTCATTTCTATTTCCTCTCTTTTAGCTTCCCTCACTCAACTCTAGAGATACTGGACTTAAGGAAATGTCCCCATAGAACGCTGAGCCTTTCACCTCCTCTTTGCTCGTCTCACGGCTTTGTTAGACACGAAACCATCTTCTGGAAAATGTCTTCCCTGACACCTCTCCTACTTTTCTGAGTTTGGGTTGCTTTCCTCCTAGCACTCACGGAGATCCAGGTACGCATTTGTTTTAGCGGCATTCACCATGTTGGGATTGTCTGTTGCTTGGCCATCTTCTCCATGAGATCATAAGCTTCTTGGGGGTAGGATGCTTATTGCTAAATACTTTTAAAAGTCTGCATGTATCAATGAAGAGTGAAGGATAGGTGTGCAGGCATGATGGAAAGAGTGTCTTGTGGTCCAAATGGGCTTCACGGGTCTGTAGAATCCATGCTATCGCAACATAGTGCATTTTGGTCAGACGAACAATAGGCTACACTATATGGTGATTGGCTCCATTTCACTGAACGTACCTCTAAGGCTCTGAGTGGCTCTATATGCCCCCCAGGATTGGATAGTGGTAAACGACAGAGCATGCGCAATAGATCCAAAGTCAGGAAAGGTCTGAAATGTTTAACTTTGCTGAGGCGAGAGACAGGAATGAACCCTCTCCCGCGATGGGAATTTCTACTCCACTGATCCATAGTAAATAAAACAGTGAGCCAATGCACCTCAAACCTCTATTTTCTATTACATTAATGTGATTGGTTTTGACATTTTCAAAATTCAAGTGATCAGAATGATTTAGAACTAATGTTTACAAAGCTATAATTTAGGAAATCCTTAGCTGTAAGCAGACACACCTACACAGAATAAAGAGAGTGATATGCCCTTTACTTCAGTGTCATTTATAACACTGGGGTAATAATACTTGGGGAAGCTGAAAAACTATATTGACCGACTTACGTAAAAATTAAGAAACATTCAGTATAATTTCTAGCACATAGTGCTGAAAACCTCCTTGTATGTGGAATATTGTTCACCTTTAAGGAAAATGCTTTCAAGGTCTGAGGAGAGATAGTAACGCATTTCTGTTGCTACTGGCTGTTTTGCTCATGTAGTTGTAGCAACAAGCTTCTGTGAACATAAAAATGAAATAACGCTTAAAAAATAAAATAGATGGTGGAGGAACACAATAGGGATGCAAAGTAAGGTATGATTTTCTAGGCAAAAATTGAGTTGTACAAAATAATGTAGTAAAGGATTTGTGCCTGATTCTTTTTTGTATTCCCTTTGAAGCTTATTTAGCTTATATTCCAAGGCCTCAATTGTCATCCTTCTCCCAACAAGACTGTTTCTCTGTACCACGAACATTCCGGTCAGATTCTCTGCTTAAGCGTCTTGACCTCTTGAGCACTCATCTTTGTACTGAGACCCCGATATATGCCCAAATTATGCCCTTCCATAGGAGGGTTTCTTGTTTTGCCCAAAGAGCAATCAATTTTTCAAGCAATTTAGGGCTCTTTCCTCACTCGGGGTCTATGTGAAACCTTAGAGGGAAGCCTGTTCTTTCCAGGAAGAGAATCCCGGTGGGTTCTAACCTCAACCTGTAAATCCACTAAGCAAGCTCCTTCTGAACACCTATGATGCAAGCTCAATCCAAGAGGCCAGCACTCCGCAAGGGGAAGGCAACCAAAGCAATAGGTAATGCTTACTGAGCAGTTCTTATTGATCAGATCCCTCTCTAGGTGCTGGGATCCAGCCAGATTATCCCACAGTCCTCATTTCCCACGTGAAGAAAGATGATTGAAGGAAGGAGCAGGAGTGGGGAGTGGGGAGGGGGTGGAGGGTGGGTAAAGGATGTCTTCAATGTGACAACTTCTCAGATTCCTCTCCTAAAAGCTTCTGAATGGGCCATCTCCACACTCCCAAGTCCCTTACTGCCTATGGATTCCTTCCCAGTAGACATTGTCGCATAACATCTTATGTATTTTTCTTGTTTGCTTCTGATCTGTTTCTCCTCACCCCTATCAACTAGAAAGTAGCTTCGCAAAGGTGAAGAATATATGCGTTTTTTCACTGTTGAATGGCTGTACCCCGAACAGTCTCTTAACAAGATACGTGCTCGAGAAATACATGTAGGATAAAAGAATAAATGACTTCACCCACTCACCTCATAATTACAACTGGGTAACCTTGAGAGCAGAAAGCTCGACAAAAAATTTCCCGTTTCTTCCATCAGCTAGTGAGAAAGACCAATTATATGATATAGCTTGCAGTTTCTTCTGTAATCTATATCCCTTTACCACTCATTTTACTCAAACCACTGACAAGCCAAAAAACAAACAAACAAACAAACAAACAAACAAAAAAAACCCAAAAAACCTAAATGACTTTTCCATTCTAAGCTAATGTTGAGTCAGCCTTCAAACTGTTATCTCATAGCATTTGCATTTCATTATTTAGTGCACCCATTTTGTTTCCCTCAACTGAAATAGCAGCAAAAACTGTATCCTCTCTGATGTTCAAACTCCAAACCTTTAGATTATGAGATTGATGTGTGGCCTGCTGCAGAAAGAGGGCAGTTCTCACCCAAGAGTTGACATCCCACATGCTATTTTCCCAAGCACTGCTGCTTTATCAGTTCTTAACTTTCAAAGAACACAATCAATGGTGCTTGGAAATCACTCTTTATCAGCCATTCCTGCACCCAAAGAATTTTATCCTCAGGACAGGTGGAATCTACCCATTTCTAGTATTCATCTAACAAGACGACCATCTTGAGGCAAGAGGCCAAGAACAATTGTACCTGTTTTGCTGACTTTTTCCCTCTTGTGGCCCAGTGATCTGACTTCTCCCTCCTTCAGAGATCTTAATCACTCTCACACCTCCTATGGTGTCCTTTTTTGAAAAGACACACAGGACATGTTCAGTCCATAATAGTTCACTGACTGACCAACTGAACGAATGAAGGAATGAAAAAATAGTCTTTAAAGGTGTCTCCTGTCCATACTACTGTGTCTTACTCTCTATCTCCACTTGCATCTACACGACTGGAGACAATCCTGCTACAAAAAGTGTAAAGCAAATCTTGTATGCCATTAATTACACTAAGAGATTTATTGAATTTACTTCATGTAGTCCAATAGAGTTTCACCAACAAAACTATGTGTCCTAATCTGCACTTCCTAGAAGTAATGGAACCTCAGATAAGTTTTGTTTCCAAGGTGCCAGAGCTGCTAAGTGTCAAAGCTTGAACTGAGAAGATGTTTTAGATTTTAAAACGTGATTCTTTCTCTGCTCCAGTTCACAATCTTACTCCCTACTCCTCTCCACAGCACCCCATTCATTCAAACACCAAATATCTCATTCCCCAAATCTTGGGCTTTGTTTCCAAGTCAACTTTTGACACATTTTTCTCCTTCAAACACCACATCCAGTGATTTGTCAAATAGTAAACATTATTCCTGCACAACATTTTTGAACCTGTCAATTCCTTTCCATTGATTCAGTACACATTCACAGGGAAGATGCTTTGTGCCAGATACTGTAGTAAGTTCAGGAGATTCTAAAGATTCAAGCGGCCCAGACCTCAAGAGAAGGCAGGACAAATATGGAGAAGGGAAGATCCACGTCCAGTTTTACGATTTCAGTCTCCGTGTCATGTCATTTACAGCTAAATAACCCTTTCAAAAATGTCAGTTTCAATATATCACTCTTTTGCACTCTGAACATTCCTGATTTCCTAGTTATAACATGATCTTGTTTTTCTTTTATTTTTTTTCTCTTCTTTCTACCCAAATTGTGATTTTGCTTTAGAAAGTTGATTGATTAGATCCATTGCTGTATGGATGTTGTTCAGGTCTCAAATGTGTTTACTGATTTATTGTCTACTGGATCTATCAGTTACTGAGAGGGGACTGTTAACGTCTGCAAATGTAATTGGATTTTTCTATTTTTATCTGGATTATCCAATTTTGCTTACGAGTTTTGAAGCCCTGTGTCCTTATATGCATTTGGGACATTATTTCTCTGGTGTGTTGACACCTCTAATTATGTAACAGCCCCCTTTATCCCTGGAAGTTTTCTACAATTTAAAATCTGGTTTGTCTGATTTGAATATATCCACCACAGCTTTCTTTGAGTAATGCCTAAATGACATATCTTTTCCCATTCTTTACTTTCAATATGCTATATAACTTTTAATCTCACATATAAGTATATTACTAGTGACTTTCCTGTAGTCAGCATATTCATTTATAATACATTCTGACAATTTCTGGTTTTCAATTCATTGTTTTAGATCATTTACATCTAATGTTTTTATAGATAAGTTTTTAAGTAGATCTATTGTTTTTCTTTCTGAGATGGAGTCTTGCTCTTGTCACCCAGGCTGGAGTGCCATGGTGCAATCTCCCCTCACTGCAACCTCTGCCTCCCAGGTTCAAGTGATTCTCCTGTCTCAGCATCCCAAGTAGCTGGGACTACAGACACCTGGCTTCATGCCTGGCTAATTTTTTGTATTTTTAGTAGAGACAGGGTTTCACCATGCTGGCCAGGCTGGTCTCAAACTCCTGACATAAGGTGATCCAGCCACCTCGGCCTCCCAAAGTGCTGGGATTACAGGCGTGAGACGCCGTGCCCAGCCAATAGATCTACTTTTTAATAATTTATTAATCATTTGTTCCCCTTGTCTTAATTCTTCTATGTTCTTCGTCCTAGTTTATTTTGGTTTATTTAAATCTGGTTCCTAAGTGGTCTAGGGATCACCATATACATATATAACCTTTCACAGTATACGTAGAATCAATATTTTACCATTCAAGTTGAATATAGAAACTTCATCAGCAGTTAGACCCTTTACCTTTACCCTTTTATGTTATGTATGTAGCACATCTAGATACAATGACAACTGCATCAGATAAAGTTACAATTTTTGCTTTCAATCATGAAACATACCTTAAGGAACTCAAGAGAAGAATAATAGTCTGTAATGTCTACCCAGATATTTTCTATTTCTGCTTTCGTTCCTTCACTGATGGTGTCCTGTTTCCTTCTGGTATCACTTTTCTCATCTTAAATCTTTGCTAATTCTTGTCCAGCAGTTCTACCAGCAATGAATTCTGTCAGTTTACCTTCCTGTGAGAATGTATTTATTTACCTTTAGTCTGAAAGATATTTTTGCTCTACATAGCATTCTGGGTTGACAGGTCTTTTCTTTTGGTATTTAGTAAATGTTTCCTTGGGCCCCTATGGTTTCTGATGAGAAGTCCACAGTCATTCAAGTGGCAGTTTCCCTTTTATTTTCATTTGGCTGCCTTCAAGATTTTTATGGTTTTCCTTAGTTTTCAGCAGTTTGATTATGATGTGTCTGGGTATGGATTTCTTTGGGTTTAACCTACTTGACATTTATTGAACTTCTAAAGTGTTTTGATAAATTTGATATGTTTTCAGCCATTAATTCTTCGGAGTTTTCTTTCTGGAGGACCTCTTTCTCTTCTTCCTGCAGGATTACAATGATGTGTTAGATTTTTCTTATTTTTCTGTTTGTCCCGGAGGCTCTGTTCATTTGCAAAAGCACTCATTTTTCTTTATTGTTCAGGTTAGGTTGGTATTTTTGTTGTGTTTTCAAGTTCATTGACTTTATTCTGAGTGTCTCAATTTTGTTATTGAAATAACCCATTGAAGCTTTTTTTCTCCTAATAGTTTTGATGAATACATTTTTTAATTTTTAAGTTAAAATCAGTGTTTAGAGCTTCCAGATACTTGCTAAGACTTCCCAATTTTCCATTCACTTCAAGAGTGTTATCCTTTCATTCATGGATCATTGTTGTAATAACTATTTAAAAGTATGTGTCAGATGATTGTAACATCTGTGTCTTCTCAGTATTGTTATTCGAGGATTCTCTTTGCCAAGTGAATTAAGATTGTCCTGGTTCTTCATATGCTGAATATTTTGGGGTTGTACTTTGCATTATGTGATGAGACACTGTGTCTTGTTGAAATCTTAAGGATAATATTGCTATTTTTGTTTTTGCAGGCACGTGCTTGCCTTGTATTCAAGTTCCAATAACCAGCCAGCCTTGTGTGTTGTAGTTTCAAAGTCAATTCTATTTTCAAAGCCTTAACACTGCTATTCAGAGACTCTGGAGTATGTGCAACCCAGTGGCCAGTGAGGACTGGAAAGTAGGCTATCACTTAGTTCGATTCTCAGGCTCTTTTTAGATAAGTTGTCTTTGATCAGAGCCACTTATTCACAGCTCACAGGCGCATCCAGGAGTTCACATACAACTTGACAGGTTTGCTCTCCACAGTGTCTTTCCTGGTTACTTGGCAACTCCTAGTTTCGGTCTCCTGATCAGAAAGCTGGGGCTGTATTTACCTGAGTGGCTCTGCCCTGCGCTTTCCATAATTATGCTGCATTTAGGACCAAGCTGCAGGAGGAAACAGGGAGAATAAGTGCAACTGGATATGTCCCTTTGTATCACAGCTCATCAAAGAAACAGAAAACTAATTACACACTGATAGATCTATACTATACCACATACCAGTAGAATCTTAGTCAAGCCTGTATTGTTGCTGCCCTTACATAATGAGCCAAAGAAGTGTCCAGGCTGCTACTGAGATCAGTGTCTAACCTACTGTTTTCTGAGATCAGTGTCTAACACATATTTTTTTCCACTGTAACCTGGAGACCTGAGGTCCGACTAGTGAAACCTGGAGAATGTGGGCATCAATCCCACTACCTCTCACATGCTAAGCGAGCACTCGACCACTTGAGCTACTTCTTCATCTCACAGCATCTTTTTTCATCCTTAGTGGGCAGTCTAGAACACACGCGACTTCAAGGCCTTCACCGCGAAAGCAGGGCTCCACTAAGAGCAGATCTTCTCATTGATGGCCCAGGGCAAGAGTGCAGTGGGTACTTATTCTCTGTGAGGAGGGAGGAGAAAAGGGAACAAGGAGAAAGTCACAAAGGGAAAACTCTGGTGTTGCCAAAATGTCAAGTTTCACATATTCCGAGACGGAAAATGACATGTCCCACAGAAGGACCCTGCCCAGCTAATGTGTCACAGATATCTCAGGATGCTTAAATGATTTTTTTAAAAGAAAAGAGATGGCATTGTCACTTGTTTCTTGTAGCTGAGGCTGTGGGATGATGCAGATTTCTGGAAGGCAAAGAGCTCCTGCTTTTTCCACACCGAGGGACTTTCAGGAATGAGGCCAGGGTGCTGAGCACTACACCAGGAAATCCCTGGAGAGTGTTTTTCTTACTTACATCTGAGACATGTGTTGTCTTCTTGCTAAGGTGTGTCATGTAAAAGTTACATATCCAACTGCATGGCAGAACAATAATAACAAAAAAATGCAGATAAGAGGCATAAAGAATAAGAGACAAAGATCATATCAGAGTGAAAGAATAAAGAAAACACATTCAGCAATGCAGAGAAAGAGTGGACATAGGGTGGAGAAAACCTAGGGTAGGTATAGGGTGGAATGTTTGTAGGAATTCCTGTGTAAAGAAATATGCCTGTTCAATTTAAGTGGAGTGTGTGTGTGTGTGTGTGTGTGTGTGTGTGTGTAAAATATACACAGAGGGAAGTAGTGATTGAAAAGCCTGGATGCTTGGAGATATGTTGGGAGAATATTATAAAAGCTAAAGACT
Organism: Homo sapiens; assembly: GCF_000001405.40. Taxonomy (NCBI): domain Eukaryota; kingdom Metazoa; phylum Chordata; class Mammalia; order Primates; family Hominidae; genus Homo; species Homo sapiens. The sequence goes on from NC_000006.12 coordinate 57,831,120, forward strand.
CATTGAAAAAATTCCAGGTAGAAAAGCAGCATTTTAGGGAAAGGTTTTTAGTTTTAAATGTTAAAGAACTTGAAAACGGAAAAACTGGATCTGGGGAGAAAGAGAAAGAAGTCATAAAGATATTAAAGGATTGAGATTTATCCACATTGACTGTGTCAGTTCCTGAGGTGAACAGCATGAGTCTTTCTGCAGCTTCAATCCCCTTCACACTTCATGGTGAAGAAAACATCCTCCATGAACATCATAGCATGGATAAAGAAGGAGGTGAGTAAAACAGAAGAAAAAGATTCTGCAGAGTTTATGCAGGAAGGATCTACAGTATTTGTCAAGACATTGGGTGGAGAGATTTGAGGGAGAGGAGACAAAGGCACTGGCAAGTCTTGAGCCCGGTGTGGCAGACACAGAAGAGATTTTGAATTCATATCTGATCGATGCAAGAATAAATCCACTCATTTATCTGTATTTGGTAAATGAGTGAATGTTACATTCGTGAGCTGGTGTGAAGAAAACAGATAAGACTATGTGCTAGACTAAAGCAAGAGCTTATGATTTTTTCATTGAGAAAGAAATCTGCTTTTCATATCTGGTTTCCCTCTTTAAAGTTATGTGATCTAAGGAAAATGGTTTAACTGCTCTGAGCTTCAGTGTCATCTGTAACACTAGGGTAATAATACTTGGGGAAGCTGAAAAACTATATTGACCAACTTACATAAAAATTAATAAACAGTCAGTATAGTTTCTAGCACATAGAGCTGAAAAATTCTTGAACGTGGAGTATTGTTCACCTATAAGGAAGATGTTCTGAAGGTCTAAGGAGAGAGATCAGTGCAGTTTTGTTGCCATTGGCTGATTTGCTCATTTATTTTGTAGCAATAAGCTTCTGTGATGATAAAAATGAAATAAAGTTTAAAAAGTAAAATAGATGGTGGAGAAACACAATAGGGATGCATAGTAAGGCATGATTTTCTAGGCAAAATGGATTTGTACAAAAGAATGTAGTAGTAAAGGATTTGTGCCTGATTCTTGTATTATTTTTGAATCTCATTTAGCCTGTATTCTAATTCCCCAATTGCTGTGATCCTTCTCCCAACAAGATTATTTCTTTGCACCGTGAACATTCTGGTGAGATTCTCTGCTTAACCATCTTGACCACGTGAGCACTCATCTTTGTACTGAGACCCTGATATATGCCCAAATGATGCCCTTCCATAGTGGCGCTTCTTGCTTTGCCCAAAGAGCATTCAATTTTTCAAGCCATTTAGGGGTCTTTCCTCACCCGGGGTCTATATGAAACCTTAGAGGGAAGGCTGTTCTCTCCAGGAAGAGAATCCTGGTGAGTTCTAACCTCAACCTGTAAATCCACTAAGCAAGTTCCTACTGAACATGTATGATGCAAGCTCAATCCAAGAGGCCAGGGAGAAGGCAACCAAAGCAGTAGGTAATGCTTACTGAGCAGTTCCTATTGCCCAGATCCAGCTCTAGGTGCTGAGATCCAGCCAGAGAATCCTAGAGTCCTCATTTCCCATGTAAAGAAAGACTATTGGAAGAAAGGGAAGCTAAATGATATCTTCAAGGTGACAACTTCCCTGATTCTTCTCCTGAAAAGTGAATGTGTCACCTCCACACTGCCGAGTCCTTTACTGCCTAGTGACTCCCTCCCAGTAGATAACATCACATGACTTCTTGTTTATTTTTCTTTTTTGCTTCTGTCTCTTTCTCCCCACTCCCCCCAAAATTGACGTAGTATCACAAAGGTGAGAATATCTGTATTTTATTCACTGCGAATTGCTATACCCAAAACAGTCTCTTAACAAGATATGTGTTGAGAACTATCTGTTGGATGATTAAAAGAATAAAAGACTTCACCCACCCCACCCCATAATTATGTTTGGATGACCTTCAGAGCAGGCAATTGGAAGAGAAATTTCCCCTGCCTCCCCTGTCAGCTAGAGAGGCAGACATATGACATAGCTTGCAGTTTCTGGTGTAATTTATATGTCTTCACCACGCCTTGTACTCAAGCGACTGAGAAGCCAAAAGAAGGAAAAAATAAATAAAGACAGAAAGAGAAAGGAAAGGAAAGAAGGAAGGAAGGAAGGAAGAAAGAAAGAAAGAAAGAAAGAAAGAAAGAAAGAAGAAAAGAAAACTCACTTTTAAATTTTAAGCTAATATTTGGTCTGTCTTGAAATCATTATCTCATAGCATTTGTGTTCCATTATTTATCACACCTATTTCATTTCTCTTAATGGAAATAGCGGCATAAGCTGTGCCTTGTCTCATGTTCAAACTCAGGACCTTCAGAATATGAGATTGACAGGTGGCCTGCTGCTCTAAGAGAGCAACTGTTCCTAAGAGGTGACATCCAGATTATTAAATCTCATTTCCCACGCACTGCTGCTTTATCAATTCCTAGCTTTTAAAGAACACAATCAATGCTACTTGGAAATCACTCCTTATCAGTCAATGCTGCACTGGAAGAATTCCCCACTCAGGACAGGTGGAGTCCACCCATTTCCAGTATTCACATAATGATAGGACCTTCTGGCTTGAGGGACCAGAAACAATTGTACCTGTCTTGCTGCTTTTTTTCCTCCTGTGGCCCAGTCATCTAGCTTTTCCCTTCTTCAGAGATCTTAGTCACTCTTCCTTTCCGTAGTCTCCTTTGTTGATAAGAAACAGAGGTAGTGCTCAATTCATGATAGTTCATTGAGTGACCAACTGAATGAATGAAGGAAGAAATAGCCTTCCAAGATGTCTGCCATTCATACTACTCTTACTGTGTATCTACACTTGCATCTATAGGACTGCAGACATTCACTCAACAAAAAATACAAACTGAACTTTTAATCATATCCTCCCTGTTTTTCCTCATATTTTTGTGCCATGAATTATACTAGGAGACTTAGGGAGTTTACTTGATGTAGTCTGATTGACTTTTGCCAACAAAATTATGCCTTAGTATGCACTTTTTAGAAGTAATAGAGAATCAGATAGGCTAAGTGCGTTTTTGTTGTTGTTGTTTGTTGTTTGTTTGTTTTGTGAGACGGAGTCTCGCTCTGTCTCCCAGGCTGGAGTGCAGTGGCCCGATCTGGGCTCACTGCAAGCTCCGCCTCCCAGGTTCAGGCCATTCTCCTGCCTCAGCCTCCCGAGTAGCTGGGACTATAGGCACCCGCCACCATGCCCGGCTAATTTTTTTGTATTTTTTCAGTAGAGACGGGGTTTCACCGTGTTAGCCAGAATGGTCTCTATCTCTTGACCTCCTGATCCGCCCGCCTCGGCCTCCCAAGTGCTGGGATTACAGGCGTGAGCCACCGTGCCCGGTCAAGTGTTTTTTTTTTTTTTTTTTAAGGTGCCAAAGCTGCTAAGTGGGAAAGCCCGAATTGAGAAGCAGATATTTTTAGATTTTGCATGTGATTTTTTTCCCTCTGCTCCAGCTCACGGTTATTCTGCCCATTCTTTTGCACTTTAGCTCATGCACTCATACACCAAATATGTAATTCCAGACCTCCTCTTTACTTACCTTTTGGGCTTAACTTTTTTAAAATTTTTTTTAAAAACTTTTTTTGAGTTAGAGTCTCACTCTGTTGCCCAGGCTGCAGTGTAGTGGCACAATCTTGGCTCACTGCAACCTCTGCCTCCTGGGTTCAAGTGATTCTTCTGCCTCAGCCTCCTGAGTAGCTAGGACTACAGGTGCCCTGCTAATTTTTGAATTTTTAGTAGAGACGGGGTTCCACCATGTTGGCCAGGCTGGTCTCAAACTCCTGACCTCAGGTGATCCGCCTGCCTTGGTCTCCCAAAGTGCTGGGATTACAGGTGCGAGCCACTGCGCCCGGCCTGGGCTTAACTTTTATATTTTATTTTATTTTATTTCATTTCATTTCATTTTATTTTATTTTAAGACAAGGTGTCACTTTACTGCCAGGGCACTGGTGTGATCTCTGTTCACTGCAACCTCCGCCTCCCGGGTTCCAGCGATGCTCCCACCTCAGCCTCCTGAGTAGCTGGAACTACAGATGCATACCACCACACCCGGCTAATTTTTGTTTTTTTTGTAGAGACAGGATTTCACTGGGTTGCCCAGGCTGGTCTCAAACTCCTGGCGTCAAGGGATCTGCCCACCTCGGCCTCCCAAAGTGCTGGGATTACAGAAATGAGCCACCACGTCTGGCCTTGGGCTTACCTTTCAAGTCAACTTTGATTCATTGTCTTCCATCAAACACCACATTCAATGATTTGCCAAATAATGAACATTATTCTTGCACAACTCTTTTGAATCTATCAATTACTTTCCACTCATTTAGTACATATTCACTGGGGAGATGCTCTGTGCCAGACACTATAGTAGGATCAGGTAATTCAGAGGAAGTATAGACACCCTAGACCTCAAAAGAAGACAAGATAAATATAGATGAGGGAAGATCCACCTCCAGATTCACAATTTTCAGTCTTTCTGTCATTTCCAGCTAAATAATGCCTTCAAAACTCTTTCAAAATAACTAAGTCACTATTTCAAACTCTTTCAATAATAGCACCCTTCTATATGATGGACCACTCTTAATTTCCTGGTTATAACATGATCTTACTTTTCTTTTAATTTTTGTCTTTGCTTTCTGGCTAAATTTTTATTTTGCGTTATGAAGTTGATCAGATCCATTGGTGGATGGTGTGGTTCAGTTCTCCAATATGTTGGCTGATTTGTTGTCTACTAAGTCTACCAATGACTGAGAGAGGAGTTTTAGTGTCTTCAACTAAAATTGGATATTTCTATTTTTACCTGGCTTATCTAATTTTGTTTATGAGTTTTGAAAATCTGTGTCCTCATATACATTTGGAACAGTATTCCCTGGAGAATGGACAATCATAATTATTTAGCAGCCTTCATTATTCCTGAAAAGTTTCTCTGCTTTCAAATCTACTTTGTCTGATTTTAATGTATACACCACAGCTGTCTTTGATTAATGCTTGCATGAGGTATCTTTCCCACTCTTTTCCTTCAATCTGCTATATAACTTTTATTCTGATATATAAGTGTATTGCAGGTGGCTTTCTTACAGTCTGCATATTTACTTTTAATACATTCTGATGATCTCTAGTTTTTAATTAAGGATTTAGATCATTTACGTGTAATGTTAATATAGATAAGTTTTTAGATAGATCTATTTAATAATGTATTAACCTTTGTTCCCTTTGTTTTAATTCTTCTATGTTCCTCTGTCTATCTTGTTTTGGTTTATTTCAATCTGGTTAGTAAGTGGTCTAGGGATTACCATATACATATATAACTTTTCACAGTATACTTAGAATCAATATTTTACCATTCAAGTTGAATATAGAAACTTCATCAAGAGTTAGGTCCATTACACTTACCCTTTTATCTTATCTATGTAGTACATCTCGATACAATGACAACTGCTTCTGATAAAGTTACAATTTTGGCTTTCAATCATCAAACATACCTTAAGGAACTCAAGAGAAGAAGAACAGTCTGTTATGTCTACCCAGACATTTTCTATTTCTGCTTTCGTTCCTTCATTGATGATGTTCTAAGTTTCCTTCTGGTATCACTTTTCTTATCTCAAATCTTTGCTAACTCTTTTCCAGCATTCTTGCTATGAATGAGAATGTATTGACTTACCTTCCAATGAGAATGCGTTTATTTGCCTTTATGTCTGAAAGATACTTTTGCTCCACATAGCATTCTGGGTTGATAGGTCTTTTTCTTTTGTTACTTACTGAATATTATGACATTTTTTTCTGGCCGCTATGGTTCCTGATGAGAAATCTACACTCATTCATATGGTAGTTTCTTTTTCATTTTCCTTTGACTGCTTTCAAGATTGTTTTGTACTTTCCTCGTTTTCAGCAGTTTGATTATGATATGTCTTGAAATGGGTTGGGTTTCTTTGGGTTTATCCTGCTTGACCTTTGCTGAACTTTAAAAACTTGATTTATATCTTTTGACAAATTTGATACATTTTCAGCCATTAATTCTTCAAAGTTTTATCCCACAAAGACCTTTTTGTCCTCTTCTTTTCAGATTACAATAATGTGAATGTTAGATTTGCTATTTTTTATTTGTCCCTGTGCCTCTGTTCATTTACAGAAATACTCCTTTCTCTCTATAGCTCAGATTATGTAGGTATTCTTGTTCTGTTTTCAAGTTCGTTGACATTTTCTTAGTCATCTGCATTCTGTTATTGAGATCATCCAGTTAAGCTTTTTATTTCCCCTAAGAGTTTTGGTTAATACATTTTTTTAAATTTTTAAGCTTAAAATTGGTGTTTATATATTCCAGATATTTGCTGAGACTTTCCAACTTCCCATTCACTTCATGAATGTTATCCCCTAATTCTAGGAGCATTGTTATCATAACTGCTCTACTCTATGCCTCAGATGATTTTGACATCTGTGTCCTCTCAGTATTGCTATTCGAGGAGTCTCTTTGCCATGTGAATGAAGATCTCCCTGGTTTTTCATAATGCTGAATATTTTGGGGCTTGTAACCTGGACTTCTTTGGATTATGTGATGAGACGCTGTGTTTTGTTGAAATCTTAAGAATAATATTGCTATTTTTATCTTTGCAGGCACAAAATTGCCTTGTATTCAAGTTCCAAGTACCAACCAGCCTTCCACGTGTTGTTGTTTCAAAGATAACTCTATTTGCAAAGCCTTTACGCTACTGTTCAGAGATTTCCGGAGTGTGTGCAACTTCAGTGAGGACTGGAAAGTGGGCCATTGCGCAGTTCAGCTCTCAGGCTCTTTGTAGGTAAGCTGTTTGGGATTAGAGCCACTTATTCACAGCTGGCAGGTGTGTCCACAATCTCATGAACAACTTTATGGGTTTGCTTTCTACAGTATCTGTCCAGGCACATTCTAGTTACTTGACACATCCTGGTTTCAGTCCCCTGAGCAGAAAGCCGAGGCTGTGTTTACCCAGGTGGCTCTGCCCTGCACGTTTCACGATTGTCTGACGTTTAGGACCAAGCTTCAGGCAGAAACAGGGAGAAAAGAGCAGTTTTATATGTCCCTTGGTTTCACAGCTCCTTGAAGAAACAGCAAATGAATTACACAGTAGATCTACACTATACTGAATGCCAGGAGGGAGTCATCACCAGCCCTGTATTGTGGCTGCTCCTATGTCTTGAACCAAAGCAGCATCCTGCTCTCAGACACTAACTTGGGTTTGGATACTTGAGTGTTTGGAGACCCAAGGTCCAAATAATAAAGCTTGGAGAATGTGGGCATCGATCCCACTACCTCTTGCATGCTAAGCAAGCGCTCTACCGCTTGAGCTAATTCCCCACGTCAGGGGAGCTTTATTGATCCTTAGTGGGTGTCCTGGAACACAGGGGATTTCAGGGCCTTCAGCAGGAAAGCAGGGCTCTACTAAGAGCAGATCTTCTCACTGATGGCCCAGGGCAAGGCGCAGTGGCTACTCATTCTCTGCAAAGAAGGAGGAGAAAGGGAACAAGGAGAAAGTCACAAAGGGAAAACTCGTGCTGCCAAAATGTCAAGTTTAGGGTATTCCGGGACAGAAAAAGGCACATCCCAGCAAAGGAGGACATATCTAGACCTGCCCAGCTAAAGTGTCAGAGATTTTTTAAAAATGATTAAATGATTAAAAATGATTAAATGATTTTATGTGTGTGTGTGTGTGTGTGTGTGTGTTGTGTGTGTGTGTTTATAAAAGTGGGATGGAATTATCACTTTTCCTTGTAGCTGAGACTGTCTGGGGGTTGTGAGATGGTCCAGATTTCTGGAAGGCAAAAAGCTCCTGCTGTTTTCATAACTAGGCCGTTTCACCAATGAGGCCAGCGTGCTGACCACTCCCCTAGGAAACCCCTGGAGAGTGCTTCTTTCACTTACATCTGAGATATGAGTTGCCTCCTTGCTAAGGTGTGTCATGTACAAGTTACATGTCCAACTATATCTCGGAACAACAACAACAAAATTACAGAGCAGAGCCATAAAGAATAAGAGACAAGATCATATCAGAGTGTAAGAATATGTAAAATATAGTGTAAGAATCAAAATTGAGCTATGCAGAGAAGGAGTGGACATATGGTGGAGAAAACCGGGCTGTTTTGTAGGAATTCCTGTGTAAAGAAATAAACCTGTTCAATTTAAGTGGAGAGTGTGTGTGTGTGTGTGTGTGTGTGTGTGTGTGTGAAATACACATGGAGGCAAGCAGTGATTGAAAAGCCTGGCCACTTGGAGATATATTGGGAGAGTTTTATGAAAAATCCCATGACTAATTGAAAATATCCCAGGCAGAATGCTTAAATAATTAAAGCAACATGTTAGAGAAAGGTGTTTGGTTTTGAATGTCAGAGCTTGAACATGAGTAACAGGAACTGGGGAGAAAGGGAAAGAAGTCATAAAGATATTAAAGGATTGAGGTTTACCCACATTTATCGTGTCAGCACCTGAGGTAGACAGCAGAAGTCTTTCTTCAGCGCTAGTGCTCACCACACTTCATGCTGCAGAATACATCCTCCATAAACATTGTAGCATGAATGATGACAGAGGTGAAAGAAAAGGAAGAAAAGATTCTGGAGATGTTGTACAGGAAGGATCTACTTTATTTGTCAAGACATTGGGTGGAGAGATTTGAGGGAGAGGAGACAAAGACACTGGGAAGTCTTTAGTCTAGTGTGGTAGACACAAAAGAGATTCTGAATTAATATCTGATTAATGAATCTGCTCATTTATTTGTATTTGTTATGTGAATGAATGTTACATGAATGACCTGGCGTGGAGAAAACAGATGGCGAGACTATGTGCTAGGGTAAAGCAAGAGCTCAAGTTTTTTTGTTTTTGTTTTTTAATTTAGAAAGAAATCTGCTTTTCATATCTGGTTTTCCTGTTTAAAGCTACGTGATTTGAGGAAAATGGTTTAACTCCTCTGAGCTTTACTGTCATCTACAAAATTTAGATAATGTTACTGAGGGAAGCTGAAAAGTCATATCAACCAACTTATATAAAGAATAATAAACATTCAGTTCCATTTCTAATGCATACTGCTGAAAAGTCCTTGTATGTGGAATATTGTTCACCTTTAAGGAATCTGCCGTCAAGAGCTGATGAGGGACTATTTAAGTGCAGTTCTGTTGTCACTGGCTGTTGTGCTCATTTAGTTGGAACCAGCAAGTCTCTGTGAACATAAAAATAAAATAAAGATTGTGGAGGAATAGAATATAAACACATAGTAAGGTAAGATTTGCACAACAGAATATAGTAAAGATTTGTGCCTGATTCTTTTTGCATTCTCTTTGAATCATTTTTAGCCTTTATTCTAAGTCCCCAATTATGGTTATCCTTCTCCCAACAAGATTGTTTCTCTTCACCACGGATATTCTGGTGAGGCTCTCTGCTTAACCATCTAGACCTCCTGAACACTCTTGTTTGTCCTGATAACCTGATTTATGCTCAGATGATGCTCTTCCACAGCAGGGCTTCCTGCTTTGCCCAAAGAGCATTCAATTTCTGAAGCCATTTAGGGCTGTTTCCTCACCCAGTATCTATGTGAAACCTTAGAGGGAAGCCTATTCTTTCCAAGAAGAGAACCCTGCTGGGTTCTACCCTCAATCTGTAAATCCACTGGGGTAACTGGGATTAGCTCAGATTAGCAACTGGGGTTAGCTCAGCTACTCCAGAGCTTGCTCTCTGGGAATGGATGCTGCTGCTACTTCCCATAAAGGCTGACTAAAAAGAGGCATCTGCAGGCAGGAGAAAGCGCTATGGCAGTTGCTGGAAGATTGCTTCTGACCATTGGCTATCTCTCTGACCTGATGGGAGAAGGGTGACAAAAATTGGAGACTTGAAAAACAGGCCAAAAAAACAAAATTCAAAGGAATTTTAAAAGAACCAGGTACAAATTCTTAATTAGATTCTTTTATCCAAATCCATTTTGTCTGGGAAATAATACCTTACTATGTATCTGTATTCTATTCCTCCATTATCTATTTTATTTTATTTTATTTTAGTGTTCACAAGAAGCTGGATGCTAGCTACCAAATGAGCAAATCAGCTATGACAACAGAACTGCACTAAAGTCTCCCATCAGATATTGATATAGTCAAGACCCTCATGAGTGCCTATGATACAAATTCAGTGTGAGAGGCCAGCTTTCCACAGGGAGAAGGCAACCAAAGCAGTAGCTAATACTGAGCAGTTCCTACTGCCCAGATCCATCTCTAGGTGCTGAGATCCAGCCAGAGAATCCCACAGTCCTCATTTTTCATATGAAGAAACACATGAGGGATTGACAACCCCAGTCCTCATGTATCATCAGTTTTCCAAGGAAGCCAACTAGCCTTCTGGGCAAAAAGCTCTCCTAACCCCCAGTTGCCTTGATAGGTAAAAGTACTCTTATGACAGTGTTAGAAAAACATGGGCACAAGTGTTCCGGCAAGATGGCTAGAAGAAGGCAAGGCTAAAGTTGTCAAGGTGACAGAGTCCCTGATTGTCCTCCTGAAAGCTGAATGTGCCACCTCCACATTCCCACACCCTTTACTGCCTAGCGATTCCCTCACAGTAGACATCGTCAAATCACGTCTTACATATTTTTGATTGTTTCCTGTCTGTTTCTCCCCACGCCTCCCAAGTATGATGTAGTTTCGCAATACTAGGAATATTTGTGCTGTATACACTTTCACCCCACTCCTCCCAAGTAGGATGTAGTTTCACAGAGGTAGGAATGTTTGCGTTGTATTCACTCTTGACCCCAGTCTCTTAACAAGATATGTGTTGAAGAAATATTTGTTGGATGATTAAAAGAATAAATGACTTCACCCATCCACCCAATAATTAGTGTGAGGTGACCCTGAGAGCGGGAAGCTGGAAGAGAAATTTCTCCTGCTTCCTGTGTCAGCTAGAAAGACCAATTATATGACATAGCTTGTAGTTTCTGGTGTAATCTACTCTTCTGTTTTCACCACTTATTTTACTCAAACCACTGGAAAGTCGAAAAAACAAGAAAACTTAAATTATGTTTCCATTTTCTACAAATATTGGGTCAGTCTTCAAATCCTTATCTGCTATAGCATTTGCGTTCCGATATTTAGTGTATCCAACTTCTTTGGCAAAAGTGATGCCCTCTCTGAGGCTTGAACTCAGGACTTTCAGATTATGAAACTGACGCGCTGCCAGCTGCACTAAGAGGGCTTGCTGTTGAGCTTGGGCAACATCCATTTTGTCGAAGTGTATTTCCCACCTACTTTACGGTTTCAGCTTTCAAAAACTACAATCAATCCTACTTGAAAATTACTCTGTATCAATCAACGCTGCACTAGGAAGATTCCATACCCACGACCAGAGGAGTCTACACCTTTCCAGTATTTCATAGGACCGTCTGGGTTCTGCGTTACCAGGATCAATTGTACCTGTCTTTTGCTGCTCTTTTTCCCTTTTCCTTCCCTCAGAAACCTTAGTCACTCTTACACTTTCCATGGTCTCCTCTGTTGAAAAGAGACAGGAGGTTCTCAGTTCATGATAGTTCACTGACCACCTGGATAAATGAATGAAGAAATAGCCATCAAACCTGTCTCTTGATCATACTACTGTCTTCCTTCATATCTCCACTTGCATCTACATGACTGAAGACATTGTCGCTACAAAAAAAACACAAAATACTTATAATGGCACCCTCTTTGTTTTTTACCCCTTTGTTTTTTCTTGTGTGCTATTAAGTATACTACGAGATTTCTTGCGTTTACGTAGTCCAATTGAATTTCGCTAACAAAACGATGTATCCTAATGTGCACTTTCTAGATGTAATGGAGGCTCAGATAATTATTGTTTCTAAGGTGCCAGAGATGCTAGGTGGCAAAGCCTGAACTGAGAAGCACATTTATTTTAGATTCCAAAAGGTGAGTCTTTTCCCTGCTCCTGCTCATTATCTCTCTGCCTGTTTTTCTCCACAGTAGTCCATTCATTCATATACCAAATATCTAATTCTCAACCTCCTCCTGGGCCTAGATTTCCAAGTCAACTTTGACTCATTGTCCTCCTTCAAACACCACATTCAGTGATTTGCCAAATACTGAACATTATTCTTGCAGGTCTCTTCTGAATCCGTCAGTTCCTTTCTACTCATTCAGTACATATTTGCTGGAGAGATGCTCTGTGCCAGACACTGTAGTAGGCCCAGGAATTTCAGGAGGAATTTGGCCAGCCCAGACCTCAAGAAAAAGCAGGATACATATGGACAAGGAAAGATTCACTTACAGATTCGCCGTTATCAGTCTTCCTGCTATTTAAGTAACTGTTTCAGAAATATCAGTTTCAATAATGTCACTTTTCTGCACTCTGACCATTCATGATTTCCTAGTTATAATATGATCTTGCTTTTCTTTGATTTTTTTGGCTCATCTTTCTACATAAATTGTGATTTTGCTTTATAAAGTCTATTAGATCCATTGGTGGATGGTGTTGTTCTATTCTCTAATATGTTTGCTGATTTGTTTTCTCCTGAATCTATCAATTACTGAGAGAGGAGTGTTAATGTCTGCAACTGTAATTGGATTTTTCTATTTTCTTTCTGGTTTATCCATTTTGTTCATAAGTTTTGAAGCTCTGTGGCCAGAAACAGACATATTTAGGACAGTTGTGTCCCTTCGGTGAATAGATGCTTTATAATTATATAACATCTGTCTTTCTGTCTGAGGGCCTCATCTCGTGTTAAGCAAGTGAGTGAGATAACCTTTACACTACACTGAGGAAACCCTCAGACTTCCTAAATCTAAGATAGATATATCTAAGATATTCAAGGTATGTATATATCTTAGATTTCTAAGATATATAAGATATATTTATGTTAGATTTATATATATATATATACACATACTTATATTCAAGTCTTTTTAAGTTACATCATATAGAACTCACATATTCACATCACATAAGAAAACAGCAAAAATTACAAAAGTATTACAGACAAGAACCATGGGGATTAAAAGATCAGCTTGTAGTAAAGGGATAAATATGAACCTTGAAGGATGCAGATGAGGAAGAATGCACATGAGTTTGAAGGAACAGGCATAGATGTAGGAATTCCTGTGTGAGGAAACATGCCTGTTCACTTGGGATGTGTAGTGCACAAGTGCATGTGTGCCTGCTTGTGTGTGTGCCTGTTTACAAAATGAAAGGAAGTAGTGATTGAAATGCCTGTGCACATGGAGATAATGATTGGGAAAACATTGAGACTTAAGAACCCTTGAAAAAATTCCAGACAGCTTACATAACCAAATTAACATTTAAGAAAAAGGTGTTTAGTGTTGGATGTCAAAGAGCTTGGGAACAGGGAGACTGTAATTGAAGAGAAATGGAAAGAAGTTATAAATAGATTAAAGAATTGAGGTTTATTCACATTTATTCCGTCAGCTTCTGAAATGAACAGCATGAGTCTTTCCGTAGCTCCAGTGCCCATTATACTTTGTGGTGCAGACTACGTCCTCCATAAACGTGGTAGAATGGGCAAGAGAAACATGAGTGAAAGGTAAGAAAAACATTCTGGAGAGGCTGTGCAGGAAAGATCTATGGTATTTGTCAAGACATTGGTGTAAACATTTGAGGGAGAAGTCTTGAAACTGTGGCACACAAGAGATCCTGAATTAATGTCTGATGAATGGAACAATAAATCTAGACATTTCTAAGTATTTGTCAAATGAGTAGAAGGATGAACAGATGAGCTGGTGTGGAGAAAAACAGATGATGAGACTATGTGCTAAATTAAAGAATGAACAAGAGTTTGTGTTTTCTTATTGTGGTAAAATATACTTAACCCATTTTACATTGAAAATTCTAAGTGTTCAATTTAGTGGCATTAAGTACATTTACAATGTGAGCAACTATCACCACTACCCATTTCCAGAAGTTTCTCGTCATCCCAAACAGCAACTCTGTACCCATTAAACAATAACTCCACATTTCCCTCTCCCCAACAACCTCTATTCTTTCTGTCTACATGAATTTGCCTATTCAAGATATCTAAAGTAGAATCACAAAACATGTTTTTAAATTGGGAAAAAATAAGCTTTCTGTATTTGGTTTTGCTCCTTACAGCTACATATTCGCAACTCAGGGGTGCACTCGGTGAGTTGACAAACCACTTGTGGGTTTGCTTTCCACACTATCGGCAGGACTTTCCGGTTACTTGGAACTCCACTTTACAGTGCCCTGACCAGAAAGAAAGCTGGGGTTTTACTCATCCTGCTCTGCCCTGCATTTTCCAGAGCTGTGCTGCATTTTGGCATTTTGGGTCAAGCTGCAGGAAGGAGAGAAAAGGAAAAATTGGGTATATCCCACCCTCTTGGGATCTCTTCTTTCCTCTGAATAAAGAGAAAACAACTTAGAGAATGGGTACTGTCCACTGAACGTTTTAGGGGCTATTATTAGCACTGTTTCTTTATGCCCATAGGTCTTTTACCAGTGAAGCATTCAAGATGGCTGGTACTTCCTCGTTTTCTTCGACAGGTGACTAATGAAGCCGTTCTCCACGTTGTACTGTATGGACATGCGGCCCCAAGTGACAACATCGATCCCACTACCTCTCACATGCTAAGCGAGTACTCTACCACTTGAGCTCATTCGTCACCTACCGCAAAACTTTCTGCCCTTTCCTTTATTCAGGAGTAGATGTGCGCGATTACCACCATTTCTTGCGTCTCGGAACAAAGGAAATGTCTGGATTATTAATGGGGAACCAGGACTCGACCTAAGGCGAGTCTACTCAAAAATGGCCAAGGGCAAGGGCATGATGGCTATTCCTCTGCGAGGGAGAGGGGAAAACGTAACCAGGAGAAAGTGGACACTGGAAAAGTCTGGTGCTGTAAGATTTCACGTTCCAGATTTTCAGGGAGAGAAGCGAGCACGTCCCAGCTGGGGAGCGCCCGCCCAGAGCGGCCTGCTAATTTGGCACAGCTATCCCAGGATGACGATCTTTCTTTTAAAAGAGGCGGGATAATCACTTGTTCCTTGCAGCTCTGGACTCCCGGGAAGAAGCGGCCACTCCCGGTCAGATTCTGGGAGACCAGAGAAACCTGTTGTTTCCGTTGAGTTTCAAATAGAGGACCTTCCATGTGTTAGGCCAGCGTGGTAACTACTACACCATAGAAACCCTTTGCATCACAGGCTTTTTATATTTTGAGATGAGCATTAAATACTTGTTTTTACAATTTTTTTAGTTGACAAATACAAAATGTATATATTTATGATGTACAACATGATGTTTTGATATATGCATACATTGTGGAATGGTTAACTCAAGCTAATTAACGTATCTATTACTTAGTGTGTGTGTGTGATGGGAACACTTAAATCTACTCTTTTAGCAATTATAAAGTACAGAATACACTTATTATTAACTGTAGTCACCATACGGCACAGTAGATCTGACCTTATTCCTCCTGTTTAACTGAAATTTTGTGTCCTTTGACAAACATCTCTCTAATTCCATTCCTACCTCCCATCTCCTCCCCTAGCCCCTGGTAACTACCATTCTACTCTCTGCTTTGATGAGTTTGACTTTTTTAGAGTTCACATTTAAGTGAGATCGTGCAGTATTTGTCTTTCTGCTCCTGGCTTATTTCACTTCACACAATGCCCTCCGGGTTCATCGACATCGAAAATGACAGGATTTCTGTTTTTTAAAAGACTGAATAGTATTTCATTGTGCAGTTGTAATATTTTCTTTATCCATTCATCTGTTGATAGACGCTTAGGCTGATTCAGCTACTTTAGTAGTAATTCTGCAATGAACATGAGAGTGCAGATATCTCTTCAATAGACCGATTTTTGAACATATACCCAGAAGTGGGGTTGCTGGATCATATGATAGTGCTCTTTTTAGTTTTTTGAGGAACTGCTGTACAAAACAGCTGCACTAATTTACATTCCTACCAACAATGTACAAGGATTCTCTTTTCTCCACATTCTTGCCAACACCTGTTATCTTTTGCCTTTTTGATAGCAGCCATTTTAACAGGTGTGGTTTTGATTTGCATGTGCCTGATGATAAATGACATTAAGCAAGTTTTCATATGCCTGTTGGCAATGTGTCTTCTTTTGAGAAATGTCTATTAAGGTCCTTTCTCCATGTTTTAATTGGGTTATTTGTTTTTTTGCTATTGAGTTGAGTTCCTGATGTATTTTTTATATCAACCACTTACAGAAGTATGGTTTGCAAATATTTTCTCCCAATCTATCGGTTGTCTCTTCACTGTTGATTTTTTTTGGGGGGGCTGTGCAGAAGTTCTTTAGTTTCATGTAATCTTATTTATCTATTTTTGTCTTTTTGCTTTTGGGGGGGTTCATGTCCAAAAAATCATTGCACAGACCAATGTTATGGAGCATTCCCCATATGTTTTCTTCTAGAAGTTTTAGAGTCTCACATCTTATGTTTGTCTTCAATCAATTTTTAGTTGATTTTTGTATATGGTATGAGATAAGGGCCTCCTATCATTTTTCTGCATGTGGATATCCAGTTGTCCCAACACCATTTATTGAAGAGACTATCCTTTCCTCATTATGTGTCTAGGCACGTTTGTCAAAAATTAATTGACTATAAATGTGTGGATTTATTTCTGCCCTCTCTATTCTGTTCCACTGGTTTATATGTCTGTTTTTCCACCAGTACTATGCTGTTTTGATTGCTATATATTTGTAGTATATTTTTAAAGTCAGGTAGTATGATGCCTCCAGTTTTGTTTTTGCTCAAGATTGCTTTGGCTATTTGGGGACTTTTGTGCTTCCATATGAATTTTAAGGGTTTTTTTTCTATTTCTGTGAAAAATGTCATTTGGATTTTGATAGAGATTGCGCTGAATCTGTAGATCACTTTGGGGGGGGTATGGACATTTTAATAATACTAATTCTTCCAATCTATAAACACAGGATATCTTTCCATTTGTGTCTTCCTCAATTTCTTTCATCAGTGTTTAATAGTTTTCAGTATACAGACCTTTCACCTCCTTGGTTAAATTTATTTCTAAGTATTTTTTGTAGCTATTGTAAATGGGATCTTTAAAATTTTTTATTTTGGTTAGGTTGCTGTTAGTGTATAGAAATGCTAGCTTTTGTATGTTGATTTTTGTATGTTGTTTTGTATTCTGAAACTATACTGAAATTGTTTTTTATTTCTAACAGTTTTGATTTTTGGTGAGTTTTTAGGGTTTTCTATATATAGGATTATGTCATCTACAAACAGGGACAATTTAACTTCTTCCTTTCTAATTTGGATGTCTTTTATTTCTTTCTCTTGCCTAATTGCTCTGGCTAGGACTTCCAGTACTATGTTAAATAGAAGTGGCAAGAGTGGATATCCTTGTCTTATTCCTGATCTTAAAAGGAAAGCTTTCAATTTTTTTTCCCACTGAGTATGATGTTAAATGTGGGGTTGTCCTATAAAGGCCTCTATTGTGTTATGGTACATTCCTTCTATACCTAATTTTTGAGAGTTTTTAACCATGAAGAAATGTTAAATTTTGTCAAATGCTTTCTCTGCATCTATTGAGATGATGAGATGGTTTTTGTCTTTCATTCTGTTAATACGGTGGATCACACATTTACAGATTTGTATAAGTTGAACCATCTTTGTATCCCTGTGATAAATCCTGCTTGATCATGGTAAATAATTGTTTAAATGTGCTGTTGAATTCCATTTGCTAGTATTTTGTTGAGTATATTTGCATACATGTTCATCAGGATATTGGTTTGTAATTTTTTTTTTTTTTGTAGTGCTCTCCTCAGGCAATGGGTTCACGGTAATGCTGGCCTTGTAAAATGTGTTTGGGAGTATTTCCTCTACTTCAGTTTTTTGAAAGAGATCGAGAAGAACTGGTATTGCCTCTTTAAATGTTTCATCAAATTCAGCAGTGAAGTTGTCAGGTCCTAGGCTTTTCTCTGATGGTAGATTTATCACTGATTTAATCTCCTTACTTGTTTTTGCTCTGTTCAGGGTTTCTGATTCTGTCTTGCAAGTTGCATGTCTCTAGGAATTTATCCAGTTTTTAGGTTATCCAATTTGTTGGCATATAATTGTTCATAGTAGTTTTTAAATAATCCTTTGTATTTCTGTGGTAACAGTTGTTACCTCTTCAATTCATTTCTGATTACATTTCTGATTTTATTTGAGTCTTTGCATTTTTTTTTCTTAATCAGTCTAGCTAAAGGTTTGTAAATTTTATTTACCTTTAAAAAAAATTCTTAGTTTGGTTGATCTATTTTTTCTATCTTCTGTTTACTTCTTCTGATCTTTATCATTTCCATCTTCCTACTAACTTTGTAACTAGCTTAGTTGATTGTTTTTCCAGTCCTTGAGGTGTAATGGATGCTAGGTAGTCTATTTGTGATCTTTCATCTTTTTTGATGAAAACTCTCTTAGAACTGCTCTTGTATCCTGTAAGTTTTGGTATATTGTATTTCCATTTTCATTTGTCCCAAAGTATTTTTTCAATTTCCCTTATGATTTCTTCTTTGACCCATTGGTTGTTCAGGAGCATGTTGTTTAATTTCCACATAGTTGTGAATTTTCAAAAATTCCTCCTGTTGTTGATTTCTTGTTTCATGCCATTGTGGTCAGAAAGGATACTTGATATGATTTCAGTCTTCTCAAATTTGTTAAGACTCATGTTGTGGCCTTATATATGGCCTGTCCTGGAGAGTGTTTCATGTGTACCTGACCAGAATGTGTATTCTGGCTAGGACTTCCAGCACCATGTTAAATAGAAGTGACATTCTACTGTTGTTGGGTGGAATATTCTGTATATGTCTGTTAGGTCCATTTAGTCTAACGTATATATCAAGTCCAATATTTTCTATTGATTTTCTCTCTGGATGATCTGTTCATAGTTGAAAGTGGGGGACTGAAGTCCCCTCATATTATTCTATTGCAGTCTATCTCTTTCTTTAGATCTATGAATATTTGCTTTCTATATTTAGGTGCTCCAATGTTGGGTGCATATAAATTAATAATTGTTATATCCTGTTGATGAATCGACCTTTTTATCATAATATAAAGACCCCTTTCTCTCTTTTCACAATTTTTGACTTTAAGTCTACTTTATCTGATATAAGTATATCTGCTCTCTTTTCGTTTCCATTTGCACAGAATGTCTTTTCCCACCTCTTCACTTTCAATCTGTGTGTCCTTAAAGGTGAGGTGAATTTCTTGTAGGCAGCATGTAGTTGGGTCTTTTTTGGGATATATTTTTAAAAATCCAGTTAGCCACTCTATATCTTTATATTGAAGAATTTAATCCATTTACATGACGGCAATTATTGACAGTTAAGGACGTAGTATTGACATTTTGTTAAGTATTTTCTGGTCGTTTTTTAGGGTTTTTTGTTCCTTTCTTCCTCTCTTACTGTTTTGATTGGTGATTCAATTATTTTCTGTGGTAGTATGCGTTATTTGTTTCTCTTTATCTTTTGTGGATTTACTATAGGTTTTTGTCTCATGGTTATCGTGAGGTTTACCTAAAACATTTTATAATTATATAACTATAACCGGCTATTTTAAACTTATAACAACTTAAATTTCAATCCCTGTTTATGTATTTCATATGTAGTCACATAACCATACCATATAAGTGAATAGCAAAAAACCAGAAATGTATTACAGAAAGGTGGCAAGGGGCAAGGCCATATTAAAGAGAAGAAATATAAATAGATATAGCTGAGAAATGAAGATGAAGATGGCACACAGGACAGAAAGAACAGTGATGGTATAGAAATCTTTTAGTGTGTATGTGGGACATACCTATTTAATTGGTGGGGGTGTGTGTGTATGTTTGTAAAATGCGTATTGATGGAAATAGTGTTGGGAAAGCCTAGACATTTGCAGATATATTGAGGAGAGGATTAACTCCAGGCGGATGGCTTATGTAATCAAAGTAACATTTTAGGAAGAGGATTTTAGTTGTGAATTTTAAAGAGGTTGGAATTGGAGAGAAAGCGAAATAAATTATTTAAAAAATTAAGGATCCAGGTTCATCCTCATTTATTCTGTCAGGTCCTGAGGTCAACAGCATGAGTCTTTCTTCATCATCAGCACCTAATTCAAAATACACTCTAAATAAATGTTGTAGAATGGATGAAGGAACAGACAAATGGGAAAAGAATATTCTGGAGAGGTTGTATAAGAAGGCTCTACAGTATCTATAAACACCCTAAGTATAAAGATTTGAGGGAGGAGAAGTCAAGGGCAATTGGGAGTTTTGAACCTGGGTGGCAGACACAGAAGAGATTCTGAATTAATGTCTGATAAATAGAAGAACTATTCCACTTATTCAGAGGTTCAAATGTAGATAGTAATGGATGTTCGGGTTTTTGGTTCTTTCTTCATTGGGCATGTACAGGTTGGGCTTGGCAATTATTTCACTAACACTCCAAGTAAAGGACTGTAAAAGGTAAAGAAAACCAAGAGAATGCAGGCTGCATTACAGAGGGTTGGAGCAGACATCCATTCCCCATACTCTGGGCCCAAAATAAGGTTATTTTAGTGGTGATGGGAAGAGCTTTTTGCTAATTGAGACTGAGATTTATGTGGAGATTTAGCCTCAAAAATAAGAAAGGCTGATATCTGACACTGGAGATGACAGACAGAGAGAAAGCCAGAGTCAGGGAATGAAACATTTGGCATAAACTAAATCCTTAGAAAAAAGTCTCACAGGCAGATCAGGAATAGGGTGTATGTGGCAGCAGGCAGTTAACTGTGGTTATTTCCATCTGCCTTGGGCCTCACCTTTGCAGTACTCTGTCTACTGTTTAATGTAATAACATCCAGGGAAAATTCCTCTGGATAACCTACTAAATTACAAACAGAAGAAATGAGGACATTTTTCAAGGTCACACATGAAACCTGGTAGATTTTTTTTTCTGTAAGTGCACAGTGAGCTGGAGATTGACCTAATCATGCAATAAATGCTCAGCAGAAAATGCTGTAAAGCAATTCCTTCCTCATCAGTCCTCAGAATCTGGTGAGGGTGAGCTAGAAGGGAAGGGCAGGAAGGTCATGATCCACACTGAGCTGAGCAGTGGGACTGTCTCTGCATTTCACCTCAGGAAAAGTCTGCTTCACTTTGAGCCTATGCCTTAGAGACAACAAGGAACTGGAAATGGAGTTTCCTTGATTGCTTGGGACTTTGGAGTGCAGTCTCGAGGCTTGAGAAAAAAGAACATTTTCATATTTGGCTCTGCCGTCAGTCTGGTAAGTGGGGTACTCTATTGGCTCGTCTTCTGGCTGCCCACAGAGGCCCAGACCCCAGCTGTCCGCCTCTGAACTCCACCACTTTTGCTCCAGACCCAGAACAGTGGACTCATTTTCAACACTGAGGCCACAACTCAAATGTCACTGTCTCAGAGAGCCCTTCTTTGACCTCTCCAGCTGAATCAATGTCCTGTCTCTCTCTCCATCTTTTAAATAAAATTTTTAATAAATTGGAAAACATATTAAATTATTGTTTTATTTTCTATCTCTCCCCTAGAATATAAGCTTCTTGAAAAGCTGACAATCTAGACCCCCCAGTTTATACCCAGTGTCTACAGTTATGATAATACTTTTCTTGTATTTTCCTGTTCAGAAATCAGTGACATGCAGAGGGAAAGCTTTCTTCTGTGTGTTTTCTTTCACAGGGTAAGTTCAAAAGGAATTCTTAAACTAAGATAAGATGGCAAGCTGTGAGCCTTTCTGGTTTTCTGGAATGAGCAAGATAATTAGCCACAGGTGAAAATAAGCAAGATTCATCTACCCATGAAGATTTTGCAAAGTTATTTCTACTTTGTAATCATAAAGTATGCCCTTTTGAGCTATTACTGGTTTGATGAAAAGGCAATTGGCATGACAAATTTGTAATAAATAGAAGTCATCAGCTTTTCCCAGTGGCCTGTCATGATCCTATAGTGGTTAGTATTCTGCATTGTGGCTGCAACATCTGTGGGAATCTGAATATGACAGCCTGAAATCTACTGCTTTTTTAATTAATCCCAGAAACGAATTCTAAGGCTTTAATGCAGAGCTAGGTTTTGTGTTATTTAGAAGATATATAAAGAAAACCTTCTTTGACTCCTTTCTAGGCACTGATTATCAAACCAGACAAGAATGAGAAAGCATGAATTTTTACAATCCATTATCCTTCAGCTTCCCTTTTCTTTCCATCTCCACTCAAGGTATCCACAGTTACATTTAAAAATGAGGAGCTATCCAGATGCCTTGCTCAAAGGTATTTGCAAAGTCTCAGAAGAATAAAACAACAGGTTTTGAAGGTGAATTAACAATGATTTTGTTTTCTGAGAGTGTGCATAGGATTGAATTCCAGGAGTAAAGCTGCGAGAGAGGCCAGCTTTTTATGAAGGGCTTTGAATGTCAGGATAAAATGTTTAAGCACTGTAAGCAAAGTTTGCTGGTAAATGAATTTAGGAGACACTGTAACTGAATTTGCATTTCAGTACCATTCCAATAGGGCACAGAGTTGAGAATTGAGTGCAAAGATCATGAGGAAGGTCAGGGTATTACCATAATGGTCTAGGCAGAGAAAGTATACATCTTTAATAGGGCAAGACAATGGAGTTAGACACCTTCATTCATTCAACAAATCTTTATGTGGGGGCATATGGCATGCCCCTAGGCTCTGGGGATGCAGAGTGCCTGTCTGAGGATTCAGCCACTGAATGGTTGCTAGATGGTCACGAGTATGAGGCGCTTTAAAAATTTAATCTCATGTGGAATTACATGGGGGAGATTCCAAGGAACCACTTGCGCTGGTGCGTCCGCGGCCGTCGCGAGGCGTCCGTCCTTCCCCGAGGGCGAGCGCCGGGCAGGCAGGGACTCGCCACCCGCAGCCCTGGAGCCGGGCAGTGAGCGCCTGCGCGGCGCTGCGTCGCTGTCCAGGAGATGTCTGCGCGGGAGACCCAGCTAAGCCTTGTGCGGCTACCTCCTCCTGGCTGATCCCAACCCGGTCCCCCAGCCACTCGATAGAAACACGATTCACATCGTCCCCGTTCCTGAGTGAAGGTCTCGTCTCCCACGACCTGCTTCGCCTCGCTCGTGATGATTTCCTACACTTGACTAGGGTTCCCGGTGCATTCGGCCCTCCCTCCTTAAGCTTCTGTCCTCTATCCGTTATGAAATCGTGTAACTTGTTTGGTGTGAACTGAGACAGCTGAACTTCGGAAGAAATTAGGCAGGATTCCCTGAAAAATGTGTGTGTGTGTGTGATTATATATATATAACTGCTCCTTGCGGAGCAGGGCTAATCTGGTAGCGTGCCCAGAGTAATCAAAATTTTTGTTAATTCTCAGGAGGGAGCATTAAAACAAAGAGCCAAAAGTTCTAAAACGGGGGACTTTTCACTCGAAATGGGCAGATGCAGAAGATACCATTAGTCAATTTGTACCAGATTCTTGATTTATTCCCTTGTAAATCTTTTCCAGCCTTCTTCACCTTCCTCCACCCAATCTTTCTCAGGTGTGTTATGATCCAACAAGAGTAATAATGCAAGTTTTATGAAGATCTCCTTATAAAGAAAAGGTTTCAGAAATATTGCTGTTTACTTTTTGATATGTGGATGATAAACAACACCCCATCTTTCCAGAACACAAGTAGGGGGGACTTCAAGCTAGCAGTTGAATCAGGAATCTTCTGATACATTATGCTTTGCATCATTGGCTCTGCTTAAGTCAACATGGTTTTTCAAAAAAATTGTTTTGTGTTAAATTTTATTTGTAAAACTTTCTACCAAATTAAGATGTGCAGATTAAATAAAATTTCTAAATGTGGTTGATAGCACTTGGCCTCCCTGCCATTTGTCTGCTCTCAGCTTTCCAGCTGAAAAAAATGAAAAGATTCATGGTCTTCTTGAAGTGTCATTCGTTCAATTTCCTGCCAGCCTCGGGTCCTTGACCTCAGTGGTGAGGAACGTGAAAGCAGCAGATGATGGAGATTTTAGGATTTTGTTGCTTGAAAAGGAAACCAGGTGTCAGGGACCGGTATGAACAAATGAAATAACAGAAACACTGGCAAATCCTATCAGGCTACTCATTCTCAAGAGTAGTGTTCCTTTCTGTACTTTTAGTGTACAGAGTATTCATCTCAATTGTGACTTTTATCAGAATTGTAAACAGCTGTTTGCTCAACTGTCTTCCCTACTCCATTGTAATATTCCTTGAGGGCAGCACATTCAGTGTCTACAAAAACTAATTTTACCTTAAAATTATGCACACATGCATGTAGGGTTGAGTGAGAAAAAATGCTTGCAAGAATCAGGAAAAAGTTTTAACTTGTAAAACAGGTAGGCTCACAGGTGTATGATCCTATGCTATTCCAACCCATATGTTTAAATGAAAAAACAGCGGACTGCTATATACAAAAGTGGTTTTCTGGGTTCTTGGATATAATAACTTTGTGGCTCACAATGGCTCTTATATCCTTAAGGCAGGAGAGAGTTGGGGCTGGGCATGTGTCAATTAAATCTAAAGCCACTGACAGACCATAGGGCTAGGCTGGAGCCAGTGGCTGAGAAGTTGGCCTCCTAAGTGAGGAGAATGTCTAATTTGCTGACAGGAAAGCAAAAGCTCAGTGAACCAAGTGCACGCCAGACAGACATTTTTCATACCTTTTATATGGCTGGTTTGAGTTAATGCCAGTGATTAGGATTTAGAACACAAAACCCACCAAACTTCTTTATGAAATATTTAGCACAAAGATCTCTACATTACTAGAAAAAACTCAGGAAACTCTTAGCAATAGCTCCACAACATTAAAAACACTCAACTGGCTTTTAAAAAGTAAATTTATTACCACACATAATCAGTCCAGAGAGTAGAGAGATTCCATCATGTCATCAAGACCCATGATAAATCTTTAAACATTTTGATTTTTTTGAACTTTACACTGTCACTCTCAACATATGGGTCTCATACTTTGGCTGGTTCCTCTGCAGTGCCTCAAACTCTGTCCCCTGAGCAGAAAGCCGGGGCTGTATTTACCCAAGTGGCTCTGCCCTGCACTTTTCATAATTGTCTCACATTTAGGACAAAGCTGCAGGTAGAAACAGGGAGAAAAGAGCAGTTGTATATGTCCCTTGGTTTCACAGCTCCTCAAAGAAACAGAGAATTAATTACATGGTAGATCTACACTATACTGAATGCCAAGAGGGAGCCATCACCAGCCCTCTATTATTGCTGCTCCTACGTCTTGAACCAAAGCAGCATCCTGTTCTCAGACACTAACTTGGGTTTGGAGACCTGAGTGTTTGGAGACACGATGTCTAAATAATAAAGCTTGGAGAATGTGGGCATCGATCCCACTACCTCTTGCATGCTAAGCAAGCGCTCTACCACTTGAGCTAATTCCCCACATCAGGGGAGCATTATTTATTGTTAGCGGGTGGCCTGGAACACAGGTGATTTCGGGGCCTTCAGCAGGAAAGCAGGGCTCTAAGAGCAGATCTTCTCATTGATGGGCCAGGGCAAACAGCAGTGGCTACTCATTCTCTGCAAAGAAGGAGGAGAAAAGGGAACAAGGAGAAAGTCACAACGGGAAAACTTCACGCTGCCAAAATGTCAAGTTTAGAGTATTCCGGGACAGAAAAGGGCACGTCCCAGCAAAGGAGGACCTGCCTAGACCTGCCCAGGTAAAGCATCACAGATTTTTAAAAAATGATTAAATACTTAAAAATGATTAAATGATTTTGTGTGTGTGCGTGTGTCTGTGTGTGTGCGTGTGTGTTTATAAAAGTGGGACCAGAAACAACTGTAACTGTCTTGCTGCTTTTTTTCCTCCTGTGGCCCAGTCATCTAGCTTTTCCCTTCTTCAGAGATCTTAGTCACTCTTCTTTTCCGCAGTCTCCTTTGTTGATAAGAAACAGAGGTGGTGCTCAATTCATGATAGTTCACTGAGTGACCAACTGAATGAATGAAGGAAGAAATAGCCTTCCAAGGTGCCTCCCATTCATACTACTCTTACTGTGTATCTACACTTGCATCTATATGACTGGAGACATTCACTCAACAAAAAACATAAACTGAACTTATAATCATATCCTCCCTGTTTTTTCCCCAATTTTTTGTGCCATGAATTATACTAGGAGACTTAGGGAGTTTACTTGATGTAGTCTGACTGAATTTTGCCAAAAAAACTATGTCTTAGTCTGCACTTCATGCACTTTTTAGAAGTAACAGAGGCTCAGATAAGTTAAGTGTTCCTAAGGTGCCAAAGCTGCTAAGTGGGAAAGCCTGAACTAAGAAGCAGATATTTTTAGATTTTAAATGTGATTTTTTCCCTCTGTACCAGCTCAGTTATTCTGCCCGTTCTTTTGCACTTTAGCCCATTCATTCATACAACAAATATCTAATTCCAAACCTCTTCCTTACTTACTTTTTGGGCTTAACTTTTTTTTTTTTTTTCAACAGAGTGTCACTCTGTTGCCCAGGCTGCAGTGCAATGGTAAGATCTTGGCTCACTGCAACCTCTGCCTCCCGGGTTCTAGTAATTCTCCTGTCTCAGCCTCCAGAGTAGCTGGGACTACAGGTGCCTGCCACCATGCTTGGCTAATTTTTGTATTTTTAGTAGAGACGGGGTTTCACCATGTTGGCCAGGCTGGTCTCAACCTCCTAACGTCACGTGATCAGCCTACCTTGGCCTTCCAAAGTGCTGGGATTACAGGCATGAGCCACCCCTCCTGGCCTGGGTTTAACTATTTTATTTTATGACAGGGTCTCACTTTGTTGTCCAGGTACCGGTGCGTTCTCTGTTCACTGCAACCTCCACCTCCTGAGTTCAAGCGATCCTCCCACCTCAGCCTCCTGAGTAGCTGGAACTACAGATGCATACCACCACACCCAGCTAATTTTTGTATTTTTTGTAGAGACAGGTTTTCACTGTGTTGCCTAGGCTGGTCTCAAACTCCTGGTGTCAAGGGATCCACTGATCTCGGCCTCCCAAAGTGCTGGGATTACAGAAATGAGCCACCACGTCTGGCCTTGGGCTTACCTTTCAAGTCAACTTTGATTCATTGTCTTCCTTCAAACACCACATTCAGTGATTAGTCAAATAATGAACATTATTCTTGCACAAGTCTTTTGAATCTATCAATTACTTTCTACTCATTTAGTACATATTCACTGGGGAGATGCTCTGTGCCAGACACTGTAGTAAGATCAGGTAATTCAGAGGAAGTACAGACACCCCAGACCTCAAACGAAGACAAGATAAATATGGACAAGGGAAGATCCACCTCCAGATTCACCATTTTCAGTCTTTCTGTCATTTCCAGCTAAATAACGCCTTCAAAAATGTTTCAAAATAACTAAGTCACTATTTCAAACTCTTTCAATAATAGCACCCTTCTATATGCTGGACTACTCTTAATTTTCTGATTATAACATGATCTTGCTTTTCTTTTAATTTTTGTCTTTGCTTTCTACCTGAATTTTTATTTTGCATTATGAAATTGATAGGTCCATTACTGGATGGCATGGTTCAATTCTCCAGTATGTCTGTTGATTTGTGTTCTACTAAATCTTCCAATTACTGAGAGAGGAGTGTTAATGACTGCAACTATAACTGGATTTTTCTATTTTAACTTGGCGTATCCAATTTTGTTTATGAGTTTTGAAGCTCTGTGTCCTCATATACATTTGGGACAATATTCTCCTGAAAAATTGACAATCATAATTATTTAGGAGGCCTCATTATTCCTGAAAAGTTTCTCTGCTTTCAAATCTACTTTGTCTGATTTTATATATATACACCACAGCTGTCTTTGATTAATGCTTGCATGAGGTATCTTTTCCCACTCTTTTCTTTCAAGCTGCTATATAACTTTTATTCTTATTTATAAGTGTATTGTAGGTGGCTTTCTTTAGTCAGCATATTTATTTTTAACACATTCTGATGATCTCTAGTTTTTACTTAATGCATTTAGATAATTTACGTATAATGCTATTATAGATAAGTTTTTAGATAGATCTACTATTTAATAATTTATTAACCTTTTTTCCCTTTGTTTTAATTCTTCTATGTTCCTCTGTCTATCTTGTTTTGGTTTATTTCAATCTGGTTGGTAAGTGGTCTAGGGATTACCATATACATATATAACTTTTCACAGTATACTTAGAATCAATATTTTACCATTCAAGTTGAATATAGAAACTTCATCAAGAGTTAGTCCCATTACATTTACCCTTTTATCTTATGTATGTAGTACATCTAGATACAATGACAACTGCATCAGATAAAGTTACAATTTTTGCTTTCAACCATCAAACATACCTTAAGGAACTCAAGAGAAGAATAATAGTCTGTTATGTCTACCCAGACATTTTCTATTTCTGCTTTTGTTCCTTCACTGATGATGTTCTAAGTTTCCTTCTGGTATCACTTTTCTTATCTCAAACCTTTGCTAATTCTTTTCCAGCAGTTTTGCTAGGACTGAGAATGTATTTATTTACCTTCCAATGAGAATGTATTTATTTGCCTTTATGTCTGGAAGATACTTTTGCTCCACATACCATTCTGGGTTGATAATGTATTTTTCCTTTGGTACTTACTGAATGTTATGACATTTTTTTCTGGCTCCTGGGTTCCTGATGAGAAATCTACAATCATTCATTTGGTATTTTATCTTTTATTTCCCTTTGGCTGCTTTCAAAATTGTTTTGTATTTTCTTAATTTTCCGCAGTTTGATTATGATATGTCTTGCAATGGGTTTCTCTTGGTTTATCCTGCTTGACATTTACTGAACTTTAAAAATCTGGTTTATATCTTTTGACAAATTTGATATATTTTCAGCCATTAATTCTTCACAGTTTTATCCCACAAAGACCTCTTTGTCCTCTTACAATAATGTGAATGTTTCCAGATTACAATAATGTGAATGTTAGATTTGTTATTTTTTATTTGTCCCTGAGCCTCTGTTCAGGGACAATAAAATCCTCCTTTCTTTCTATAGGTCAGATTATGTAGGTATTCTTGTTCTGTTTTCAAGTTCATTGACTCTTTCCTTAGTCTTTTGCATACTGCTATTGAGATCATCCAATTAAGCATTTTATTTCCCCTAATAGTTTTGGTTAATACTTTTTTTAATTCTTAAGTTTAAATTGGTGTTTACATATTCCAAATATTTGGTGAGACTTTCCAACTTTCCATTCACTTCATGAATGCTATCCCGTAATTCTAGGAGCATTGTTATAATAACTGCTTTAATGTATGTGTCAGATGATTTTGACATATGTGTCCTCTCAATATTGTTATTCAAGGATTCTCTTTGCCATGTGAGTTAAGATCTCCCTGGTTTTTCATAATGCTGAATATTTTGGGGCTTGTAACCTGGACTTCTTTGGATTATGTGATGAGACACTGTGTCTTGTTGAAATCTTAAGGATAATATTGATATTTTTGTTTTTGCAGGCACACAGTTGCCTTGTATTTAAGCTCCAAGTACCAACCAGACTTCCATGTGTTGTCGTTTCACAGATAACTCTATTTGAAAGCCTTGACACTGCGGTTGAGAGATCTCTGGAGTGTGTGCAACCAGTGGTCAGTGAGGACTGGAAAGTGGACCATTGTTCAGTTCAGTCCTCAGGCTCTTTTTAGGTAAGTTGTTTGGGATTAGAGCCACTTATTCACAGCTGGCAGGTGCATCCACAAGCTCATGAACAACTTTATGGGTTTGCTTTCTACAGTATCTGTCCAGGCACATTCTAGTTACTTGACACATCCTGGTTTCAGTCCTCTCACCAGAAAGCCAGGGCTGTATTTACCCAGGTGGCTCTGCCCTGCACTTTTCACAGTTGCCTCACATTCAAGCTACAGGCAGAAACAGGGAGAAAAGAGCAATTGTTTATGTCCCTTGGTTTCACAGCTCCTCAAAGAAGCAGAAAATCAATTACACGGTAGATCTACACTATACTGAATGCCAGGAGGGAGCTGTCACCAGCCCTGTATTGTTGCTGCTCCTACATCTTGAACCAAAGCAGCATCCTGCTCTCTGACTTGGGTTTGGAGACCTGAGTGTTTGGAGACCCAGGGTCTAAATAATAAAGTTTGGAGAATGTGGGCATCGATCCCACTACCTCTTGCATGCTAAGCAAGCACTCTACCACTTGCGCTAATTCCCCCACATCAGGGGAGCTTTACTGATCCTTAGTGGGTGGCCTGGAACACAGGGGATTTCAGGGCCTTCAGCGGGAAAGCAGGGCTCTACTAAGAGCAGATCTTCTCACTGATGGCCCAGGGCAAGGTGCAGTGGCTACTCATTCTCTGCAAAGAAGGAAGAGGAAAGGGAACAAGGAGAAAGTCAAAAAGGGAAAACTCACGCTGCCAAAATGTCAAGTTTAGGGTATTCCGGGACAGAAAAAGGCACATTCCAGGAAAGGAGGCCCTGCCTAGACCTGCCCATCTAAAGTGTCACTGATTTTTAAAAAATGATTAAATAATTAAAAATGATTAAATGATTTTGTGTGTGTGTGTTGTGTGTGTGTGTTTATAAAAGTGAGATAGTATTATCACTTGTTCCTTGTAGCTGAGACTCTCTGGGGGTTGTGAGATGGTACAGATTTCTGGAAGGCAAAAAGCTCCTGTTGTTTTCATAACTAGGCCCTCTCAGGAATGAAGCCAGCGTGCTGACCACTACCTTAGGAAACCCCTGGAGAGTGCTTCTTTCACTTGCATCTGAGATATAGGTTGCCTCCTTGCTAAGGTGTGTCATGTACAAGTTACATGTCCAACTATATCTAAGAACAACAACAACAAAATTACAGAGCAGAGCCATAAAGAGACAAAATCATATCAGAGTGTAAGAATATGTAAAATATTAGAGTGTAAGAATCAAAATTGAGCTATGCAGAGAAGGAGTGGACATATGGTGGAGAAAACCGGGCTGTTTGTAGGAATTCCTGTGTGAAGAAATAAAGCTGTTCAATTTAAGTGCTGTGTGTGTGTGTGTGTGTGTGAAATACACATGGAGGGAAGCAGTGATTGAAAAGCCTGGCCACTTGGAGATATGTTGGGAGAGTTTTATGAAAACTCCCAAGAGTAATTGAAAAAATCCCAGGCAGAATGCTTAAATAATTAAAGCAACATGTTAGAGAAAGGTGTTTAGTTTTCAATGTCAGAGCTTGAACATGAGAAAATAGAAATTGAAGAGTAAGAGAAAGAAGTCATAAAGATATTAAATGATTGAGTTTTACCCGCATTTATCGTGTCAGCTCCCGAGGTGGACAGCAGGAGTCTTTCTGCAGCGTCAGTGCCCATCACACTTCATGCTGCAGAATACATCCTCCATAAACACCATAGCATGGATGATGACAGAGGTGAATGGAAAGAAAGAAGAACATTCTGGTGATGTTGTGCAGGAAGGATCTACAGTATTTGTCAAGACATTGGGTGGAGAGATTTGAGGGAGAGGAGACAAAGACATTGGGAAGTCTTGAGCCTAGTGTGGTAGACACAAAAGAGATTCTGAATTAATAGCTGATGAATGAATCCACTCATTTATTTGTATTTGTTATGTGAATGAATGTTACATGAATGACCTGGCGTGGAGAAAACAGATGGTGAGACTATGTGCTAGGGTAAAGCAAGAGCTCAAGTTTTTTGTTTTTTGTTTTTTTTAATTTAGAAAAAAATCTGCTTTTCATATCTGGTTTTCCTATTTAAAGCTATGTGATTTGAGAAAAATGGTTTAACTCCTCTGAGCTTTAGTGTCATCTACAAAATTTGGATAATGATACTGAGGGAAGCTGAAAAGCCGTATCAACCAACTTATACAAAAAATAATAAACATTCACTTCCATTTCTAATGCATGGTGTTGAAAAAGTCCTTGTATGTGGAATATTGTTCACCTTTAAGGAACCTGCTCTCAAGAGCTGATGAGGGACTTTTTTTAGTGCAGTTCTGTTGTCACTGGCTGTTAGGCTCATTTAGTTGGCACCAACAAATCTCTGTGAACATAAAAATAAAATAAAATAAAGATTGTGGAGGAATAGAATACAAACACATAGTAAGGTGAGATTTGCACAACAGAGTATAGTAAAGGATGTGTGCCTGATTCTTTTTGCATTCTCTTTGAATCATTTTTAGCCTTTACTCTACAGTCCCCAATTATTGTCATCCTTCTCCCAACAAGATCGTTTCTCTCCACCACAGATATTCTGGTCAGGCTCTCTGGTTAACCATCTTGATGTCCTGAGCACTCTGTTTGTACTGAGACTCTGATTTATGTTCAAATGATGCTCTTCCATAGCAAGGCTTCCTGCTTTGCCCAAAGACCATTCAATTTTTCAAGCAATTTAGGGCTCCTTCCTCACCCAGTATCTATGTGAAACCTTAAAGGGAAGCCTATTCTTTCCAGGAAGATAGTCCTGTTGTGGTTTTAACCTCAATCTGTAAATTTGCTGGGGTAACTGGGAAAGAAGTCATAAAGATATTAAAGGATTGAGGTTTATCCACATTTACTGTGTCAGCTCCTGAGGTGAACAGCATGAGTCTTTCTGCAGCTTCAGCCCCCATCACACTTCATAGGTGAAGAAAACATCCTCCATAAACACTGTAGCATGGATAACAGAAGGAAAAGATTCTGGAGAGGTTATGCAGGAAGAATCTACAGTATTTGTCAAGACATTGGGTGGAGAGATTTGAGGGAGAGGAGACAAAGGCACTGGGAAGTCTTGAGCACAGTGTAGCAGACACAGAAGCGATTTTGAATTAGTATCTGATGAATGCAAGAATAAATCCACTTATTTATCTGTATTTGGTAAATGAATGAATGTTACATGAGTGAGCTGGTGTGAAGAAAACAGATGATGAGACTATGTGCTAAGTGAAAGCAAGAGCTCATGATTTTTTCATTTAGAAAGAAATCTGCTTCCCATATCTGGTTTCCCTCTTTAAAGTTATGTGATCTGAGGAAAATGGTTTAACTGCTCTGAGCTTCAGTGTCATCTATAATACTGTGGTAATAATACTTGGGGAAGCTGAGAAACTATATCGACCAACTTACATAAAAATTAATAAACAGTCAGTATAGTTTCTAGCACATAGTGCTGAAAAAGTCCTTGAACGTGGAGTATTGTTCACCTTTAAGGAAAATGTTCTGAAGGTCTAAGGAGAGATATCAGTGCAGTTTTGTTGCCATTGGTTGATTTGCTCATTTATTTTGTAGCAACAAACTTCTGTGATGATAAAAATGAAATAAAGTTTAAAAAGTAAAATAGATGGTGGAGAAACACAATAGGGATGTATAGTAAGGTACGATTTTCTAGGCAAAATGGATTTGTACAAAAGAATGTAGTAGTAAAGGATTTGTGCCTGATTCTTGTTGTATTATTTTTGAATCTCATTTAGCCTGTATTCTAATTCCCCAGTTGTTGTAATCCTACCCCCAACAAGATTATTTCTTTGCACCATGAACATTCTGGTCAGATTCTCTGCTTAACCATCTTGACTTCCTGAGCACTCATGTTTTTACTGAGACCCTGATATAGGCCCAAATAATGCCCTTCCATAGGAGGGCTTCTTGCTTTGCCCATAGAGCATTCAATTTTTCAAGCAATTTAGAGCTCTTTCCTCACCCAGGGTCTGTATGAAACCTTAAAGAGAAGCCTGTTCTTTCCAGGAAGAGAATTCCAGTGGGTTCTAACCTCAACCTATAAATCCACTAAGCAAGCTCCTACTGAACACCTATGATGCAAGCTCAATCCAAGAGGCCAGCACTCCACAGGGGGAAGGCAACCGAAGCAGTAGCTAATGCTTACTGAGCAGTTCTTATTGATCAGATCCATCTCTAGGTGCTGTGATCCACCCAAAAATATCCCACAATCCTTATTTCCCATGTAAAGAAAGAAGATTGAAAGAAAGGGAAGCTAAATGATAGCTTCAAAGTGACAACTTCCCTGACTCTTCTACTGAAAACTGAATGTGTCACCTCCACACTGCTGAGTCCTTTACTGCCTAATGAGTCCCTCCCAGTAGATATCATCACATGACTTCTTGTTTTTCTTCTTTGCTTCCTGTCTGTTTCTCCCCACTCCTTGCAACTATGACGTAGTATCACAAAGGTGAGAATATCTGTGTTTTATTCACTGTGAATTACTGTACCCAAAACAGTCTCTTAACAAGGTATGCGCTTGAGAAATATTTGTTGGATGATTAAAAGAATAAAAGAGTTCACCCACCCCACCCGATAATTATGTTTGGATGACCTTCAGAGCAGACAGTTGGAAGAGAAATTTCCCCTGCTTCCCTTGTCAGCTAGAGAGGTAGACATTGACATAGCTTGTAGTTTCTTGTGTAATTTATATCTCTTCACCACGCCTTGTATTCAAACCACTAAGAAGCCAAAAGAAGGAAAAAGAGAAAAAGAAAGAAAGAAAGAAAGAAGAAAGGAAGAAAGAAAGGAAGAAAGAAAAAGAAAGAAAGAAAGAAAAAAGAAAGAAAGAAAGAAAGAAAGAAAGAAAGAAAGAAAGAAAGAAAGAAAGAAAGAAAGAAAGAAAGAAAGGAAAGCTCATTTTTAAATTTTAAGCTAATATTTGGACTGTCTTGAAATCATTATCTCATAGCATTTGTGTTCCATTATTTATCACACCTATTTCATTTCCCTTAACGGAAAGAGCGGCAAAAGCTGTACCTTGTCTGATGTTCAAACTCAGGACCTTCAGAATACGAGATTGACAGGCGGCCTGCTGCTCTAAGAGAGCAACTGTTCCTAAGAGCTGAGATCCAGATTATTAAATCTCATTTCCCACGCACTGCTGCTTTATCAATTCCTAGCTTTTAAAGAACACAATCAATGCTACTTGGAAATCACTCCTTATCAGCCAGTGCTGCACTGGAAGAATTCCCCACTCAGGACAGGTGGAGTCCACCCGTTTCCAGTATTCACATAATGATAGGACCTTCTGGCTTGAGGGACCAGAAACAATTGTACCTGTCTTGCTGCTTTTTTTCCTCTTGTGGCCCAGTCATCTAGCTTTTCCCTTCTTCAGAGATCTTAGTCACTCTTCTTTTCCGTAGTCTCCTTTGTTGATAAGAAACAGAGGTAGTGCTCAATTCATGATAGTTCATTGAGTGACCAACTGAATGAATGAAGGAAGAAATAGCCTTCCAAGGTGTCTGCCATTCATACTACTCTTACTGTGTATCTACACTTGCATCTCTATGGCTGGAGACATTCACTCAACAAAAAACACAAACTGAACTTATAATCATATCCTCCCTGTTTTTTCCCCAGTTTTTGTGCCATGAATTATACTAGGAGACTTAGGGAGTTTACTTGATGTAGTCTGACTGAATTTTGCCAAAAAACTATGTCTTAGCCTGCACTTTATGCACTTTTTAGAAGTAATAGAAGCTCAGGTAAGTTAAGTGTTCTTTCTAAGGTGCCAAAGCTGCTAAGTGGGAAAGCCCAAATTGAGAAGCAGATATTTTTAGATTTTAAGTGTGATTTTTTTCCTCTGTACCAGCTCAGTTATTCTGCCTGTTCTTTTGCACTTTAGCCCATTCATTCATACACCAAATATCTAATTCCAAACCTCCTCTTTACTTACTTTTTGGAGTTTTTTTTTTTTTTTTTTTTTTTTTTTTTTTGACAGAGTGTCGCTCTGTCACCCATGCTGTACTGCACTGGTGAGATCTTGGCTCATAGCAACCTCTGTCTCCCGGGTTCAAGTAATTCTCCTGTCTCAGCCTCCTGAGTAGCTGGGACTACAGGTGCTTGCCACCACGCCCAGCTAATTTTTGTATTTTTAGTAGAGACGGGGTTTCACCATGTTGGCCAGGCTGGTCTCAAACTCCTGACCTCAGGTGATCCGCCCACCTCAGCCTCCCAAAGTGCTGTGATTACATGTGTGAGCTACCCCTCCCGGCCTGGGTTTAACTATTTTATTTTATTTTATTATTTTATTTTATTTTATTTTATTTTATTTTATGACAGGGTCTCACTTTGTTGTCCAGGCACCGGTGCGATCTCTGTTCACTGAAACCTCCGCCTCCCGGATTCAAGTGATCCTCCCACCTCAGCCTCCTGAGTAGCTGGAACTACAGATGCATACCACCACACCTGGCTAATTTTTGTATTTTTTGTAGAGACAGGGTTTCACTGTGTTGTCCAGGCTGGTCTCAAACTCCTGGTGTCACGGGATCTGCCCATCTTGGCCTCTCAAAGTGCTGGGATTACAGAAAAGAGTCTGGACTTGGGCTTACCTTTCAAGTCAACTTTGACTTATTGTCTTCCTTCAAACACTACATTCAAGGATTTGTCAAATAATGAACATTATTCTTGCACAACTCTTCTGAATCTATAAATTACTTTCTACTCATTTAGTACATATTCACTGGGGAGATGCTCTGTGTCAGACACTGTAGGTAATTCAGAGGAAGTATAGACACCCTAGACCTCAAAAAAAGACAAAATAAATATGGACAAGGGAAGATCCACCTCCAGATGCACCATTTTCAGTCTTTCTGTCATTTCCAGCTAAATAACTCTTTCAAAAAATGTCTCAAAATAACTAAATAACTCTTCCAATAATAGCACTCTTCTATATGCTGGACTACTCTTAATTTCCTGGTTATGACATGATCTTACTTTTCTTTTAATTTTTGTCTTTGCCTTCTACCTAAATTTTTATTTTGCATTATGAAGTTAATAGGTCCATTACTGGATGGTATGGTTTAATTCTCCAATATGTTTGCTGATTTGTTTTCTACTAAGTCTACCAATTACTGAGAGAGGAGTGTTAGTGTTGGCAACTATAATTGGATTTTTCTGTTTTTACCTTGCGTATCCAATTTTTTTTATGAGTTTTGAAACTCTGTGTTCTCATATACACTTGGGACAATATTCCCCTGGAAAATTGACAATCGTAATTATTTAGCAGCCCTCATTATTCCTGAAAAGTTTCTCTGCTTTCAAATCTACTTTGCCTGATTTTTTATATATACACCACAGCTGTCTTTGATTAGTGCTTGCATGAGGTATCTTTTCCCACTCTTTTCTTTCAATCTGCTCTATAACTTTTATTCTTATATATAAGTGTATAGCAGGTGGCTTTCTTTAGTCAGCATATTTATTTTTAACACATTCTGATGATCTCTAGTTTTTAATTAATGCATTTAGATTATTTACATGTAATGTCATTATAGATAAGTTTTTAGATAGGTCTATTATTTAATAATTTATTAACCTTGTTTCCCTTTGTTTTAATTCATCTATGTTCCTCTTTCTATCTTGTTTTGGTTTACTTAAATCTTGTTAGTAGGTGGTCTAGGGTTTACCATATACATATATAACCTTTCACAGTGTACTTAGAATCAATATTTTACCATTCAAGTTGAATAAAGAAACTTCATCAAGAGTTAGTCCCATTACACTTACCCTTTTATCTTATGTATGTAGTACATCTGGATATAATGACAACTGCTTCTGATAAAGTTACAATTTTTGCTTTCAATCATCAAACATACCTTAAGGAACTCAAGGGAAGAATAATAGTCTGTTATGTCTACCCAGACATTTTCTATTTCTGCTTTTGTTCCTTCACTGATGATGTTCTAAGTTTCCTTCTGGTATCATTTTTCTTATCTCAAATCTTTGCCAATTCTTTTCCAGCAGTCTTCCTAAGAATGAGAATGTATTTACTTACCTTCCACTGAGAATGCATTTATTTGCCTTTATGTCTGGAAGATACTTTTGCTCCACATAGCATTCTGGGTCGATATGTCTTTTTCTTTTGTTACTTACCGAATGTTATGACATTTTTTCTGGCCCCTATGGTTCCTGATGCGAAATCTACAATCATTCATATGGTAGTTTCTCTTTCATTTCCCTTTGGCTGCTTTCAAAATTGTTTTGTATTTTCTTAGTTTTCAGCAGTTTGATTATGATATGCCTTGCTATGGGTTTCTTTGGGTTTATCCTGATTGACATTTACTGAACTTTAAAAATCTGGTTTATATCTTTTGACAAATTTGAACCATTTTCAGCTATTAATTGTTCAAAGTTTTATCCCACAAAGACCACTTTGTCCTCTTCTTTCCAGATTACAATAATGTGAATGTTGGATTTGTTATTTTTTATTTGTCCCTGAGCCTCTGTTCAGAGACAATAAAATCCTCCTTTCTCTCTATAGTTCAGATTATGTAGGTATTCGTGTTCTGTTTTCAAGTTCATTGACTTTTTCCTTAGTCTTCTGCATTCTATTATGGAGATCCTCCAATTAAGCTTTTTATTTCCCCTAAGAGTTTTGGTTAATACATTTTTTTAATTCTTAAGTTTAAATTGGTGTTTATATATTCGAAATATTTGGTTAGACTTTCCAACTTTCCATTCACTTCACCAATGTTATCCCCGATTCTAGGAGCATTGTTATAATATCTGCTTTAAAGTATGTGTCAGATGATTTTGACATCTGTGTCCTCTCAATATTGTTATTCGAGGATTCTCTTTGCCATGTGAATTAAGATCTCCCTGTTTTTTCATAATGCTGAATATTTTGGGGCTTGTAACCTGGACTTCTTTGGATTATGTGATGAGACACTGTGTCTTGCTGAAATCTTAAGGATAATATTGCTATTTTTGTTTTTGCAGGTACACAATTGCCTTGTATTTAAGCTCCAAGTATCAACCAGACTTCCATGTGTTGTCGTTTCGAAGATAACTCTATTTGAAAGGCTTGACACTGCTGTTCAGAGATCTCCAAAGTGTGTGCAACCCAGTGGTCAGTGAGGACTGGAAAGTGGGCCATTGCACAGTTCAGCTCTCAGGCTCTTTTTAGGTAAGTTGTTTGGGATTAGAGCCACTTATTCACAGCTGGCAGGTGTGTCCACAAGCTCATGAACAACTTTATGGGTTTGCTTTCTACAGTATCTGTCCAGGCACATTCTAGTTACTTGACACATCTTGGTTTCAATCCTCTCACCAGAAAGCCGGGGCTGTATTTAACCAGGTGGCTCTGTCCTCCACTTTTCACAATTGTCTCACATTTAGGACCAAGCTGCAGGCAGAATCAGGGAGAAAAGAGCAGTTTTATATGTCCCTTGGTTTCACAGCTCCTTGAAGAAACAGCAAATGAATTACACAGTAGATCTACACTATACTGAATGCCAGCAGGAAGCTGTCACCAGTCCTGTATTGTTGCTGCTCCTATGTCTTGAACCAAAGACACTGAGAGCAGTGTCTTGCTCTCAGACACTGACTCGGGTTTGGGTACCTAAATAATAAAGCTTGGAGAATGTGGGCATCGATCCCACTACCTCTTGCATGCTAAGCAAGCGCTCTACCACTTGGGCTAATTCCCCATATCAGGGAAGCTTTGTTTATCCTTAGTGGGTGGCCTGGAACACAGGTAATTTCAGGGCCTTCAGCGGGAAAGCAGGGCTCTACTAAGACAGATCTTCTCATTGATGGCGCAGGGCAAGGCACAGTGGCTACTCATTCTCTGCAAAGAAGGAGGAAAAAAGGGAAGAAGGAGAAAGTCACAAAGGGAAAACTCACGCTGCCAAAATGTCAAGTTTAGGGTATTCCGGGACAGAAAAAGACACGTCCCAGCAAAGAAGACCTACCTAGACCTGCCCAGCTAAAGTGTCACTGATTTTTAAAAAATAATTAATTAAAAATGATTAAATGATTGTGTGTGTGTTGCATGTGTGTGTGTGTGTGTTTATAAAAGTGGGATGGCATTATCACTTGTTCCTTGTAGCTGAGACTCTGGGGGTTGTGAGATGGTCCAGATTTCTGGAAGGCACAAAAGGTTGTGAGATGGTCCAGATTTGTGGTAGACACAAAAGGGATTCTGAATTAATATCTGATGAATGAATCCACTCATTTATTTGTATTTGTTATGTGAATGAATGTTACAGGAATGACCTGGTGTGGAGAAAACAGATGGCAAGACTATGTGCTAGGGTAAAGCAAGAGCTCACGTGTTTTTGTTTTTGTTTTTTTAATTTAGAAAAAAATCTGCTTTTCATATCTGGTTTTCCTATTTAAAGCTATGTGATTTGAGAAAAATGGTTTAACTCCTCTGAGCTTTAGTGTCATCTACAAAATTTGGATAATGATACTGAGGGAAGCTGAAAAGCCATATCAACCAACTTATACAAAAAATAATAAACATTCACTTCCATTTCTAATGCATGGTGCTGAAAAAGTCCTTGTATGTGGAATATTGTTCACCTTTAAGGAACCTGCTCTCAAGAGCTGATGCGGGACTTTTTTTAGTGCAGTTCTGTTGTCTCTGGCTGTTTTGTTCATTTAATTGGCACCTACAAGTCTCTTTTAACATTAAAATAAAATAAAGATTGTGGAGGAATAGAATACAAACACATAGTAAGGTGAGATTTGCATAATAGAATATAGTAAACGATTTGTGCCTGATTCTTTTTGCATTCTCTTTGAATCATTTTTAGCCTTTATTCTAAGTCCCCAATTATTGTCATCCTTTTCCCAACAAGATTGTTTCTCTCCGCCACGGACATTCTGGTCAGGCTCTCTGCTTAACCATCTTGACCTCCTGAACACTCTGTTTGTCCTGATAACCTGATATATGCTCAAATGATGCTCTTCCATAGGAGGGCTTCCTACTTTGCCCAAAGAGCATTCAATTTTTCAAGCTGTTTAGGGCTCTTTCCTCACCCAGGGTCTATTTGAAACCTTAGAGGGAAGGCTATTCTTTCCAGGAAGAGAACCCTGCTGGGTTCTAACCTCAATCTGTAAATCCACTGGGGTAACCCGGGTTAGCTCAGTTACTCCAGAGCTTGCTCTCTGAGAACTGGATGGTGCTGCTACTTCCCATAAAGGCT
This sequence comes from Homo sapiens, assembly GCF_000001405.40. Lineage (NCBI taxonomy): Eukaryota > Metazoa > Chordata > Mammalia > Primates > Hominidae > Homo > Homo sapiens. The sequence continues at coordinate 57,871,921 of NC_000006.12, forward strand.
GAATAAAAAGAGGCGTCTGCAGGCAGGAGAAAGCGCTCTATGGTCATTGCTGCAAGATTCCTTCTGACCATTGGCTATCTCTCTGACCGGGTGTGAGAAGGGTGACAAAAATCGGAGACTTGAAAACAGGCCAAAAAAAAAAAAAAAAAAAAATGGATTCAAAAGAATTTTAAAAGAATCATGCACAAGTTCTTAATTAGATTCTTTTATCCAAATCCATTTTGTCTGGAAAATAATACCTTACTACGTATCTGTATTTTATTCCTCCATAATCTATTTTATTTTATTTTAATGTTCACAAGAAGCTGGATGCTAGCTACCAAATGAGCAAATCAGCCACGATAACAGAATTGCACTAAAATCTCTCATCAGATATTGATACAGTCAAGACCCTCATGAGTGCCTATGATACAAATTCAGTGTGAGAGGCCAGCTTTCTGCAAGGAGAAGGCAACCAAAGCAGTAGCTAATACTGAGCAGTTCCTATTGCCCAGATCCATTTCTAGGTGCTGAGATCCAGCCAGAGAATTCCACAGTCCTCATTTTTCATATGAAGAAACATGTGAGTGATTCACCATCCCAATCCTCATGTATCATCAGTTTTCAAACAAAGCCAAGTAGCCTTCTGTGCAAAAAGCTCTCCTAACCCCCAGTTGCCTTGATAGGTAAAAGTATTCTTATGACAGTGCTAGAAAAACACGGGCACAAGTGTTCCGGCAAGATGACTAGAAGGCAAAGCTAAAGTTGTCAAGGTGACAAAGTCCCTGATTGTCCTCTTGAAAGCTGAACGTGCCACCTCATGTGTATATGTGTATGTGTGGATGCATATGTGTATGTTGTGTGTACACACCTACACATATATCTACAAATGCATGTGTGTATGCATGCATGTGTGTACACGTGCATGCACACATGTATCTGTATACATGTATTATGTACACAGTATGCATGTGTACATGTATGTGTGTCTGTGCATGTGTAGATGTATAAATGCATGTACACATGCATCTACATATGCATGTGTATGCCTAAATGTGTGTGCACAGGCATGAACATGTGCATTATACATGTGTACATGTATGTATGTTTGTACACATGTATCTGCACATGCATATGTACATACATGCATGTACATGTGAATACACGTGTATGTATACATGTATGTACACCTGTGTGCACATGCCTCTACATATCTGTATAACTATATGTGTGTGTACCCATGTGTACATGCATCTGCGGGTATGCATTTGTGTACACATATGTCTGCACATGCATGCCTGCAGGCATGGATGCATGTGTGTGTGTGCATGTATGCATGTGTATCCATGTATGTGTGTACACAGAATGTTTGTATGTTTGTGTGTAGGTATTCGTGTATGCATAAATGTGCACATGCATGTTTGCATGCATTTGTTTACACATGTATACATGTGTGTGTATGCATGTGTGTATACACATTTGTATACACATGTACGTTTGTGTGCATGTGTATGCACATATATGCATGTGTACATGTATACATTGTGCTCATGTGTGCCTACATGTATGTATATATTGTACATGCATTATGTGTGTATGCACATATGTATGTGCACGTGTGTGCATGTGTGTACATGCATGTATGCACACGTTATTTATGTGTGCATGCATGTATTTGCATACATATTTGTGTGTGCACATGTGTGCACACATGCATGTGTGTAGGCACGTGTGTGGATGTGCACACGTATGTATGGGCACGTGTATTCTTGCATGCACGTGTACATGTATGTGTGCACACATGCATGTGTAGGGATGTATGTTGTATACGTGTATGTGTGTACATGTATGTGTGTACACAAAATCTGTTTGTATGTACACCTAGATCTGTATTAGTCAGGGTTCCCTAGAAGGACAGAACTAACAGGATAGATGTGTACATGAAGCGGAGTTCATTAAGAAGTATTGACTCACACAATCGGAAGTTGAAGCCCCACAATAGGCTGTCTGCAAGCTGAAGAGCAGGGAAGCCAGTCCGAGTCCCAAAACCTCAAAAGTAGGGAAGCTGACAGTGCAGCCTTTAGTCTGTGGCCAAAGGCTCAAGAGCCCCTGGCAAACCACTGGTGTAAATCCAAGAGTCCAAAAGCCGAAGAACTTGGAGTCCAATGTTTGAGGGCAGGGAGCATCCAGCATGGGAGAAAGATGGAGGCCAGAAGACTCAGCAAGTCTTCCTTTTCCAAACTCTTCTGAGTGTATGTATGTATACATGCATGCATGTATACATGTATGTTTTCAATATTTATACACATGGAATCATTTAGGATATTATTAGATCTGGCTTCTTTGATATTAACTTTTCATTATGTTTTTAAATTCCATCTATGTTGTTGGATGACCACTTGCCTGATACTGTTCATTGCAATACAGACTTCCATGTATGAACACATCACAGTTCGTATAACCATATTGCCATTGATAGCTATTACATTATATCTATCCTTCAGTTATTACAAATGATGCCACTCTAAACATTCCTGAATGTGTATCCTGGTACACATAAGCATGCATTTTCTATGCAAAAATGAGTGGAATTGAAACCATCTTTGCAAAAATTATGACAGTGAGAAAAATCTAACATAGCTGACTATCTTGCTTCTAACTTCACAAACTGTCCTTGTTCATTCCTGGGCATAGGCCAAGCTAACTATGGAGGAATTCATAGTTTAATTTTAAAACAAAGATGATAATAGCTGCTTCCCAAAAGTAACCCCTCCCTGCTAAGGGACTGAAACTACCTTTGTAAAACTAACAAATTAGGCATAAGGTTAAAAGTATGGTTCAGGAATAATGTAGCTGGAAGTCACAAGATTGTAGCCTCCTCAGTTGCTCCTATAGATAACATCACTACTGTAAAGCCTAAGATTGGTGCTTGATGTATTTTTTAGACCCTGTATTTTGATGGACCAGCTGATGTCACCTGGACAGGTAACCCATTAAAAAACAAACAAACAAACAGACAAACAAACAAAAAGCCGCCAGCCTGACCAACATGGGGAAACCCCATCTCTACTAAAAACATAAAAATTAGCCAGGCATGGTGGTGCTCATCTGTAATCCCAGCTACTCAGGAGGCTGAGGCAGGAGAATCGCTTGAACCCAGGAGGTGGAGGTTGCAGTGAGCCGAGATTGCACCATTGCCTGGGTGACAGAGTGAGACTCCGTCTCAAAAAAACAAAAAAACAAAAAGCAAACAAAAAAAAAAACTGGCTCAGCTGGTCTCATGAACCCCTGATCCAGGAACTGACTCAGTGCAAGAAGACAGCTTTGACCCTTTATGATTTCATCCCTTACCCAACAAATTAGCATTCCCCAGTCCCTACCCCCTGTCCATCAAACTATCCTTGAAAAACTCTGGCCTCCAAATTCTCAGGGAGGTGGATTTGAGCATTATCTTTCATCCTTCCACTTGGCTGGCCCTGCAATTATTAAACTCTTTCTTTGCTGCAAAACCTGCTGTTCTCACTGCATTGGCTTTTCTGCGCGGCAGACAAGAAGAACCTGTCAAGTGATTACAGAATTGCTGGTAAGAAAAGTGTATCTTTAACTAGATACTGCCACACTCTTTTCCAAATTTACTGCATTCGCTTGCACTCGCAGTAGCTGTATATTAGTGTTTTTCTTGCTCTACTTAGTTGAAGTCACTGTAATGTTTCTCATTGTGATTACTATGCATGTTCTCAAACCATTTCCCTGTTTATTTCATTTTAATCTATTGATTGTATTTAAATGTATACTCTGTATTGTAGCCTCTGAAGTTATCTTAAAAACACAGCTTTTTTTTTTTTTTTTGTGGTGCCACTGTTTACAACCCTTCAAGCACTTCCTAATGTTGTCTTAAAAGTCAAAGCTTCTTAGACTTTCATGTTTGGTCTGATATGGTTTGGCTGTGTCCCCACCCAAATCTCATCTTGAACTATAGTTCCAACAACCCCCACATGTCTCAGGAGGGACCCTGTGGGAGGTAATTTAATCATGGGGGTCAGTTACCCTCATGCTGTTCTCATGATAATGAGTTCTCACTAAATCTGATGGTTTTATAAGGGGCTTTTTCTCCTTTTGCTTGGCACTTCTCCTTGCTGCCACCATGTGAAGAAGGGCATGGTTGCTTCCCCTTCTGCCATGATTCTAACTTTCCTGAGGCCTCCCTAGCCATCCTGAACTGTGAGTCAATTAAACCTCTTTCCTTTATAAGTTACCCAGTCTCAGATATGTCTTTATTAACAGCATGAGAAAAGACTTACACAGGTCCAATGCTTAACTCTCAAATTTTATATCCCTCTCCTCCTACATTTGAACTCATACTAAACTATTTTTAACTTCCCCCTAAAAATGAAATTTGTATGTCTCAGTTTAATCACAGTCCTGTGAATTAATGACTCCAATCCTCTCTTCCCTTAACTTTCACAAAGATAACTACTACACATTCTTCAAAAACCTATTTATGACATCCATTGTCTATAAAGCTCTCCCCAGCCTGAAGCCTATGTTAGATTTCCTTACTGTGAGGTCCATGCAACTGTCCATAGTGCTTTCCAGGCTGTATTGCCATGTTTCCATATGGAAATTCCTTCCTGGCATTTCTTGGGAAATTTATAATTTTCCAAATCGTGACAAAAATCAGTCAAGAAAGAAGGAAAATGGGGAAAGTATAATTAAAATTCTGCATAGGCAGAATAATGCCCCCCTCCAAGATATTCGTATTTTAATCCTCAGAACCTGTGAATCTATTACTTTGCATGGGAACAATGACTTTGCAAATGTGATTAAAGTTAGGAGTTTGAGCTAGAGAGATTATCCTGGATTATCCAGGTGAGCCTAATTTAATCACATGAATCCTTAAAAGTAAACAACCTCTCTCTGCCATTTCAGAGAGCAATTAAATGACAGAGGATTAGAAGGAAGTGACATGAGAAGGAACTATTTGAATGTGTGTGGCACTTCCCGTTTTGTGCTCTCTCCTGTCACTATGTACCTTGCTTTCTCTTTGCCTTCCGCCATGATTGTAACCTTCCTGAGTCCTCTCCAGCCATGAACTATGAGTCAATTAAAACTTCTTTTTTTTTATAAGTTACCCAGTCTCAGGTAGTTCTTCATAGCAATGTGAAAATGGACTAATACAGAAAACTGGTACCAGGAAAGTGTGGCACTGCTACAAAGATACCTGAAAATGTGGAAGTGACTTTGGACCTGGGTAACGGGTAGAGGTTGGGAGAGTTTGGAGGGCTCAGAAGAAGACGGGAAGATATGGGAAAGTTTGGAACTTCCTAGAGACTTCTTGAATAGTTTTGATCAAAATGTTGATAGTGATATGGACAATAAAGTCCCGGCTGAGGTAGTCTCAGATAGAGATGAGGAACTTATTGTGAACTGTAGTAAAGGTCACTCTTTCTATGCTTTAGCAAAGAGACTGGTGACATTTTGCCCCTCTCCTAGAGATCTGTTAAACTTTGAACTTGAGAGAGATAAGTTAGGGCATCTGGCAGAAGAAATTTGTAAGCAGAAAGGCATTCAAGATTTGACTTGGTGGTTTCTTTTTCTTTTCCTTTTTTTTTTTTTTTTTTTTTTGAGATGGAGTCTCGCTCTGTCACCCAGACTGGAGTGCAGTGTTGTGATTTTGGCTCACTGCAACCTCTACCTCCCAGGTTCAAGCGATTCTCCTGCCTCAGCCTCTCAAGCAGCTGGGATTACAGGCATGCACCACCACGCCCTGACCTGGCAGTTTCTAAAAGTGTACAGTCACATGCATTCACAAACAGATGGTTTGAAATTGGAATTTATGTTTAAAAGGAAAGAAGACATTAAAAGTTTGGAAAATTTGCAACTTGACCATGTGGTTAAAAAAATAAAAACCCATTTTCTGGGGAGAAATTCAGGCTGGCTGCATAAATTTGCATAAATCAAGAGGATCCTGATGTTAATCTCCAAGAAAGTGAGGAAAAAGTCCCCAGGGCATTTCAGAGATCTTCACGGCAGCACCTCCCATCACAGTCCTAAAGGCCTAGAAGGGAAAAATTGTTTCTTGGGTTGGGCCCAGGTCCTCGGTCCTCTGTGCAGCCTTGGGACGTGAAGACCTGTGTCCCAGCAGCTCCAGCTCCAGCCATGGCTCAGGCCACTGCTTCAGAGGGTGCAAGCCCCAAGCCTTGGCAGCTTCCACATACTGCTGGGCCTGCAGGTGTGCAGAAGACAAGAATTGAGGTTTAGGAACCTCCACCTAGATTTCAGATAATATAGGGAAGTGCCTGGATATCCAGGGAGAAGTGTGCTGCAGGAATGGAGCTGTCATGGAAACCTCTATGAGGGCAGTGCACAGGAGAAATGTGGGGTTGGAGCCCTCACACAGAGTTCCTACTGGGGCACTGCCTAGTGGAGCTGTGAGAAGAAGGCCACAGTCATATAGAACCCAGAATGATAAATTCACCGATAGCTCGCCCTGGCTGCCTGGAAAAGCTGTCGGCACTCAATGCCAATCCATGAAAGCAATCAAAGGGGCTGTATCTTGCAGACACACAAGAGTAGAATTGCCTAAGGCCTTGAGAGCCCACTTGCTGCATCAGCATTCCCTGGATGTGAGACATGGAGTCAAAGGAGATTATTTCAGAGCTTTGAGACTTAATGACTGTCCTGCTGGGTTTTGGATTTGGATGGGGCCCATAGCCCCTTTGTTTTGACCAATTTCTCCCTTTTGGAACAGGAGTATTTACCCAATGCCTGTAACCCCATTGTAACTAATCTGTTTTTTATTTTACAGGCTCATAGGTGGAAGGGACTTGTTTGTCTCAGAAAGACTTTGGACTGGACTTTTGGTTTAATGCTGGAATGAGTTAAGACTTTGGGGAACTCTTGGGAAGGCATGATTGGCTTTGAAAAGTGAAAAGAACATGATATTTTAAAGGGGCCAGGGGCAGAACACTATGGTTTGGCTCTGCGTCCCTGCCCAAATCTTATCTCAAATTGTAATTCTAACATGTTGGGGGAGGGGCCTGGTGGGAGGTAACTGAATCATGGGGGCACACTTCCCCTTTTCTGTTTTGTGATAGTGAGTGAGTTCTCATAAGATCTGGTGGCACTTCCCCCTTCACACTCTTTCTCTCCTGCCACCATATAAGATGTATCTTGCTTCCCCTTTGTCTTTTGCCATGATTGTACCTTTCCTGAGGCCTCTCCAGCCTCAGGAACTGTGTGTCAATTAAACCTCTTTTCTTTACAAATTACCCAGTCTCAGGTAGTTCTTTATAGCAGTGTGTAAAAGGACTAATACAAAGACATTATGCTAAGTGAAATAAGCCAGGCACAGAGAGACAAATACCATATGTTCTCACTTTTATGTGGACTCTATAATAGTTGAATTCTAGAAGTAGAGAACAGAATAGTTACCAGAGATTTAGGAGTGAGAGGAATGAAGAGATATTGTTGAAAGAGTACAATGTTTCTGTGAGACAGGAGAAATAAATGGTAATTATTAGAGGCGATGGGTATGAACTTGATTTAGTCATTCCAAATTGGATGCATATTTTAAAGCATAACTCTATACCCCATAAATGTAAGTGATTATAATCTGTCAATATTCAATATAATATATATACACATATATGTAATTATATACAGATACCTATAATATATAGAAAATGCATCTACTGAGACTGATTGAACCTTTATTTAAACTGGAAGCTGTAAAATTGATCAATATAAATATATATAATGATATATAAAGGTTATAGTGGGCCTATTGGGTCTTCTAATAACAACCTCTATATTTCTCCCCACTAAATAATGAGTATTAATCAGAGTGCCTAATGGAATAATTTTAGTCCAATCAATTATTTTCTTCAGCATCTAATTTTCTCATATTCCATAATGTCTTGTTTTCATGCATAACATTTTTTTCCTTCATGGCCATTATACTAAATTTTAGTTATTTTATGTGCACTTGTTCCAAGCACATTTTCTTAAATATCTGTTCCTTATCTATTGATTTCTATGGAAATTTTTATTTTCCTCCAAGATGGCATCTGGGAGTTCATATGATTGGACTATTTTTATCCTCATTGCTGTTTGTCTTCATTTGTCTTTTTCTCTGATCACTATTATATATATATATACACACACACACACATACATACATATATAAATATATATGTGCATATATATTTCCCAGCATTTAATACATTTAATATCCCTTAGTGGATAGGGATGACAATTTACAAATTTAAATACTTTTTTTTATAAAAGAGTCATTTTTTTCTATTGAATTTAAGCTAAAACGTGATCCCTCAGTTCTGTAGGCCATTGCACTTTCAATATAGCATTATTAAATCCAAATCATTACATAGCAATAAGCAAATAACTACACCCATAAGAAGAATGCCCATATAATTGAGCAAAAGAACACTTTGCCCTGGAGCCTGTGCTTTCAAGGGCTCCACTATGGTCCTCTCTCTGGCCACATTCCTCCCCAAAGTACAAGGAGTTTACCAGGTCCAAGGGGATGAGGTTAGTTGGAGGTGATGCTGCTCACCCTGACCTACCACCTTTTAGATCATGCTGTAGAACATAAAGACTTAGAATTCTGTCTTCAAAGGGTTTTGAGACTGCTTCCAGCGTCCATGGTCCTCTCCACCAGTTCTGTCTTTCATGGTGAACCACGTATACAGAGTGCACAACTAGAGGCCCTGTGGGCCAATGGGAAGCTTTTTGCTAGAGCTACAGTGGTAGACTGAGTTTCAACATATCAACAGAGGTACCCAAAATGTATACACAGAAGGCCTCTCATGGTGTGAGACCAGATCAGGGCACCGGCTCTCTCTATGTCGTCATATTCTGTGCTGGATGTTGACGGCCCAAGAATTCTAGTTCCAAACCTGAATTTCATTGAGAAGGTATATGTGTCAAAGTGAGAGAACACAGCATACTTTATTTAACAGTTTGTTAACTTGATTTATAACTTTTAAATATGCAAACATACACTATATAGGTTTTGATTATTATTCTTGCCCTAGGCCTTAAGAATGTTAAGTTTAAGACAACTGAATATTTTATTAGATATAAGAATGCAACCACATATACTCAAAAACATAAATGTCAAACTAGTAGTCCCTACTTCTAAAATATAATGAAATATTCCATTTAACATTATATTTAGAGTGGATCCCTTATGGAATCATGACATCTTTGCTGATTTAGTTACAGTTGAACTAAGTATTTTGCCTGAAATCAACACTTTATTTTTCAAAACTCCCAAGATATAGTGTGTGACAGATATGTCTTCCACTTATTTTTTTAACCTAGGCTTTATTAATAAGACAAATTATTAGTCACAAATAAAACCTTAAAAATACAGTTCAGCCTTATTTACAACTATTTAGTTGTTTACCTAAAATATCCTACATTATACACACACAGGCGCACACACACATATTTCTAATAGAAACTATAAGAAGCAGCCTCGACAAATCAAGAGGACATTATGTTACGTAAAATAAGCTAAGAACAGAAAGTTAAACACTGCATGTTCTCACTCATACGTGGAAACTAAAAAAAAGTTGATCTCAGAGGAGGAAAAAGTAGAATGGAATATACTAGAGACAGGGAAGGGTGGGATGAGAGAAGGATAAAGAGAGATTTGTCAAGGGATACAAAATTACAGCTAGAGACAAATAAGTTCTAGTGTTCTATAGCATTGTGGGATGACCGTAGTTGACAATAATATATAGTTTCAAATTGCTAGAAGGGGTATACTGAATGTTCCCATCACAAAGAAATAATAAATTTTGACATGATGGATATGTGAATTACACGAATCTGTTAACTATTCATTGTATGTATCGAAATATCACTACATACCCCATAAATATGTACAATTATCACATGTCAATTTAAAAAATATAATAATTAAGAAAAAATACAAAACATTAAATAACGGTGATAGTAGATTTGCCCTCTCAAATATTAAAACATTCGATAAATTTACATAGTTAAAATAGAGGGTAAATGTAGAAAAATAATAAAAATTGTGATGAAATCTTGGTGATAACTTGACAGTGCTACTTTGAATATTAAGAATAGTGTAGCTGGCTGGGTGCAGTGGCTCATGCCTGTAATCCCAGCACTTTGGGAGGCTGAGGTGGGTGGATCACCTGAGGTCGGGAGTTAAAGACCAGCCTGACCAACATGGAGAAACCCGTCTCTACTAAAAATACAAAATTAGCTGGGCATGTTGACAGATGCCTGTAATCCAAGCTACTTGAGAGGCTGAGGCAGGAGAATCACTTGAACCCAGGAGGCGGAGGTTACGGTGAGCTGAGATTGTGCTACTGCACTCCAGCCTGGGCAACAGAGGGAGACTCCATTTCAACAACAACAACAACAACAAAACAACAACAACAACAACAACAACAAAATATATATATATGGTGTAGCAGAACCAAAATTTAACAGGTGCAAACCTTTAAATAAGTGTATCCTCTCTAAATGATTTGAACTTGCTTATGGATAATCAAGGTCATAATGTTTGGGACATAAATGCCTATATACTTATACCAAAATATATCAGCAGTTACAATTAAAATGATCTTCCATATTATTTGTCATATCAGGACTATTACTATTACTATAATTACTATTTTTATTATGCTGAAGGTATATGATAAATTTTGAGATGTGATTGATGGATGCTTAGGTTTGAAGAAGCAAAATTAGAGAAAGAGCTTAAAGGTGTCTCTGATATCTTCCTTTCTCCCTGGATATGGGCTCTGTAACTACTACATTCAAATATAATCTGGAATATCTAAGGTCCTTTCTTCACAATCTTCCACAAGGGACTGAGAATCATAATGAGACACATTAATGAAGCCTAGTTATCATCTGATAATACTGTCATTAACATTTATTATCACATAATTAGATTGTGCATTAGCCATTTCTCAGAGCCACTTTAAAAGGAAAAAAAAATACGAGGACATATATGAGAACAAACACTGTAAGGAGTGCCTGTATAGTGATAATGTTTCAGAGTGAATGAGACATTTTATCACCTGGCATATTAACAGTGTGAAAGGACAGGGATCATATCAACCTCTCCCCTTCTTCTCTCTATCCTTTACATATTAGTTACTTGTTAAATCTTCTACCTTCTCAAACTGGAGCAATTATCTTAGCAATGACAGTTTTAGTGATGGGAGGAAATCATAATAGCTGTGGGTAATTGTTAGAAAGAATCAACACAGCTCTGAACTTTATAGGTCATGATATCTCTGTAGCTTGTGGGTTTAGCTGCATTTTGAAAAAGATAACTGTGTCTCCCTTAGCATCTTCCTTTTTCCTATTTTTTCTTGTAAGTTTACAAAGGTCAGATGCCAGTATGATCTAGAATAAGAGGTTTTGTGGCTGACTTTGAAAGGTTACTTTAGAGAAAAATCTCATGAAGCAGCAGTACTCCAAAGTGCTGTGGGGAATGTGGCTAAAATCTTGTTACATCCTAATGGAGCTTCTAACACATTAGACATATAGAGCATCGGATTCCAGAATGTGTCTGAGGGATTTAGTCTCTAGTTACTAAAAGGAAACAAAGAGGCATCTCAAGGTTAGAGTTACACTGACGAGGTCATGTTCATGGGACATCAAAGCAATGTGGAAATCAATTCTACCATCATAGCAAAGCCTGAAGTGCCTGTTTAATGATTAATTAGAATAATAATTGAAATGCAACATAATTATGATAAAGAAGGAAATGCCAGAGGCTTCTTTTCTCCATGGACTACAATACCATAGTGAATTGGGCCTTTCAAAATCCAGAAACTTTTTATTGGCTGTTTGTTTCACGAAAGCAGAAATACTCCAGGATGTGTTTTCAGTAATTAAGGTAATCTTTATAATACGTATTTTTCTTTAGCCCAGCTGACTATCCAAATGAGTGAGTGTTTGGTGACTAATGTAAATATCTGTATGAACCAATTCCAGATATTTTAGCTGTGAATGTCTTGATAATAATTATAATAGAGCAAAATGAGTGTTCCTCATTTTAATGTGACCTAATAACACCATATCATTTAAGACAATATTTATTTTTTAGTATAATATGAACTGGTCCTAATACTGAGGTATGCTCATACCTTAGAGTATCAACACTAGAGAGTTATTACAATTAATGACTGGCTTTCTATTGTGTTACAGCCAGTTAAATTTTTTTTTTCAAAATTCTCTTCTGCAAGTCATTTCTGAGGTCTTCTTGCAAACCAATTGCACAGTCATAACATCTATACAAGTATTTGCTTATTACCTTGGCCAGAAAAATCTCTTTTCAAGGCTGCTTCACAGGGTTTCTTGAGTATGCATGAGTCAACACACATGTTCATAGAGGAGAAGATTGTGCTGATTTGCTCTACACCAACGTTCTGTTAAAGGTGGAACCAAGTCACTTCTGTCACTGATCAGAACACCGCTTATAACCAAATAAAATAAAAATAAAAAATTTAAAATACTTAGCCTAGACCTGACTGCAATATCTAACAAAACTTTCCTGGATGCTTAAGTATTAAGCGAAGTACAATACAGAAAGTGACTTCCTTGAAGAGATCCTTCACAACCCTTGTAAGTTGGATTCCTAGGTATTTTACTCTCTTCGTAGCAATTGTGAATGGGAGTTCACTCATGATTTGGCTCTCTGTTTGTCTGTTATTGGTGTATAGGAATGCTTGTGATTTTTGCATATTGATTTTGTATCCTGGGACTTTGCTGAAGTTGCTTATCAACTTAAGGAGATTTTGGGCTGAGACGATGAGGTTTTCTAAATATACAACCATGTCATCTGCAAACAGGGACAATTTGCTTCCTCTTTTCCTAATTGAATACCGTTTATTTCTTTCTCTTGCCTGATTGCCCTGGCCAGAACTTCCAACACTATGTTAAATAGGAGTGGTGAGAGAGGGCATCCTTGTCTTGTGCCGGTTTTCAAAGGGAATGCTTCCAGTTTTTGCCCATTCAGTGTGATATTGGCTGTGGGTTTGTCACAAATAGCTCTTACTATTTTGAGTTACGTTCTATCAATAACCTAGTTTATTGAAAGTTTTTAGCATGAAGGGCTATTGAATTTTATTGAAGGCCTTTTCTGCATCTATTGAGATAATCGTGGTTTTTGTCATTGGTTCTGTTTATGTGATGGATTATGTTTATTGATTTGTGTATGTTGAACCAGCCTTGCATCCCAGGGATGAAGCCAATCTTATTGTGGTGGATAAGCTTTTTGATGTGCTGCTGGATTCAGTTTGCCAGTACTTTATTGAGGATTTTCGCATTGATGTTCATCAGGGATATTGGTCTAAAATTCTCTTTTTTTTTTGTTGCATCTCTGCCAGGCTTTGGTATCAGGATGAGGTTGGCCTCATAAAATGAGCTAGGGAGGAGTCCCTCTTTTTCTATTGATTGGAATAGTTTCAGAAGGAATGGTAACAGCTCCTCTTTGTACCTCTGGTAGAATTCAGCTGTGAATCTGTCTGGTCCTGGACTTTTTTTGGTTGGTAGGCTCAAAATACCAATGACTTTCTTCACAGGATTGGAAAAAACTACTTTAAAGTTCATATGAAACCAAAAAGGAGCCTGCATTGCCAAGACAATCCTAAGCAAAAACAAAACAAAATAAACAAACAAAAAACAAAGCTGGAGGCATCATGCTACCCAACTTTAAACTATACTACAAGGCTGCGGTAAACAAAACAGCATGGTACTGGTTCCAAAACAGAGATATAGATCAATGGAACAGAACAGAGCCCTCAGAAATCATACTACACATCTACAACCATCTGATCTTTGACAAACCTGACAAAAACAAGAAATAGGGAAAGGATTCCCTATTTAATAAATGGTGCTGGGAAAACTAGCAACCCATGTGTAGAAAGCTGAAACTGGATCCCTTCCTTACACCTTATACAAAAATTAATTCAAGATGGATTAAAGACTTAAATCTTAGACCTAAAACCATAAAAACCCTAGAAGAAAACCTAGGCAATACCATTCAGGACATAGGCATGGGCAAGGACTTCATGACTAAAACACCAAAAGCAATGGCAACAAAAGCCAAAATTGACAAATGGGATCTAATTAAACTAAAGAGCTTCTGCATGGCAAAAGAAACTACCATCAGAGTGAACAGGTAACCTACAGAATGGGAGAACATTTTTGCAATCTACCCATCTGAAAAAGGGCTAATATACAGAATCTACAATGAACACAAACCAATTTACAAGAAAAAAACAAACAACCCCATCCAAAAGTGGGCAAAGGAAACGAACAGACACTTCTCAAAAGAAGACATTTATGCAGCCAACAGACACATGAAAAAATGCTCATCATCACTAGTCATCAGAGAAATGCAAATCAAAACCACAATGAGATACCATCTCACGCCAGTTAGAATGGCAATCATTAATAAGTCAGGAAACAACAGATGCTGGAAAGGATGTGGAGAAATAGGACCAATTTTACACTGTTGGTGGGAGTGTAAATTAGTTCAACCATGTGGAAGAGAGTGTGGCGATGCCTCAAGAATCTAGAACTAGAAATACCATTTGACTCAGCAATCACATTACTGGGTATATACTCAAAAGATTATAAATCATGCTACTATAAAGACACGTGCACACATATGTTTATTGCAACACTATTCACAATAGCAAAGACTTGGAACCAACCCAGATGTCCATCAATGACAGACTGGATTAAGAAAATGTGGCACATAGACACCATGGAATACTATGCAGCCATAAAAAAAGGATGAGTTCGTGTCCTTTGCAGGGACATGGATGAAGCTGGAAGCCATGATTCTCAGCAAAGTATCACAAGGACAGAAAACCAAACACTGCATGTTCTCTCATAGGTGGGAATTGAACAAGGAGATCACTTGGACACAGGGTGGGGAACATCATACACCAGGTCCTGTTGGGGGGTGGGGGCCTGGGGGAGGGATAGCATTAGGAGAAATACCCAATGTAAATGACGAGTTGATGGGTGCAGCAAACCAACACGGCACAGGTATACCTATTTATCAAACTTCCACGTTGTGCACATGTACCCTAGAACTTAAAGTATAATTTAAAAAAAAAAAGTGACTTCCCCTAGTAACAAAGGTGATTACTTTCAGGGCCCAAAGGTCCAAGACAAATATCAGGATCCCTGAAAGTTTTCATATGTTCGAGGTCTACTTAATCACAATCTATCAAAATTTTCTGGTTTTATTTTGCCTTAGTTCACCAGATTTCTGCCTTAGTTCACCAGATTCTTCATTTCTACGTCCTGATTCCAAAAGCTTCAATAGTCATGAAAATGTCATCTTCCTTCAAATTCAAGGATTGTTACCACTCAAAAGTTAGACACAGCACACATATCCATTTATTTATGTGTGAAGTCCTCTCTCCTATCTGCTGTGGATCATTCAATCTCCAGGTCTCCCAGAGAATATCACAGTATTTTTTCAAAGTCTGAAATAATTCATCACAAAATACAAAACACTATATGTGGGCAACCAGCAGTCTAGTCTAACTCCATTTGAAAACTTAAAATGATTTTCTAAGTCTTTGAAAATGCACATGCATTTTGTTTTCACATGCACACACATATGAGTGCTCTCATACAGGAATAAGTAAATTAATTTATATTTGTATAAACATAGTACTGTTCTGCTGGTTTTCTATTAAGTAAAGGAAGACTCCTAATAGAATGGATGCTTTCTTTGCTAGAAAAAGAATTCATGTGATATTGGCTGATTTGTGTTCCCCCCAATTCATATGTTGAATCCCTAAATCTGAGTACCACAGAATGCAACCCATTTGGAGACAAGATATTTAAAGAAGCAATTAAGTAAAAATTAGGTCAATAAGATGAGTTCTAATCCAATATATCTGGTGTCCTTTTAAAAAGACAGACAGAGACACCAGACAAATGCACACACTAAGAGACAATCACGTGAACACACAGCAAGAAGGCAGCCATCTGCAAGCCAAGGAGAGGCCTCAGCAAAAACCAAACCCGCTGACACCTTGACGTCAGATTTCTCAACTCCAGAACTGTGGGAAAATACATTGCTGTTGTTTAAGCCATCCAGTCTCTTGTATTTTGTTGTGGCAGCCCTGGTAAAATAATACGTGGCGCTTAATAGATTTTGAATTAAAATGATCTTAACAAGCATAGTAATACTAACGTGAACACTATTTTTTTTCCACCTGGTACCTATTACCTTATGTACAGATAATAATATATACAACATATAAAATAATTACTCCATAAATTACAGAAAAATATCACTATCATTGAATCATGTACTTTAACATATGAGTGACTATATTGTAACTTTTTCTTATAGCTTAGATAGAAACTTGAAACCTAGAAAGGTTTGAGTATTTGTTTTTTTTTTAATTTAAATTTAATTGACTTTCTGAAGTTCAAAGTGATGCTTTATATATGACATAATTAATCTCTCATTTGAATTCTATGATGTTGGCAGGGACAATTTTACTTTTCCCATCATGAATTTTTTTGGTGTGAATTTAAAATAAATAAAATCACCAAAAGAAAAACTGAGAAAAAATTACCTACACAGCTGAATCTTTGAGGTACACTAATCAATTTGATTTTGTTTTATAGAGTGCCTTTTGTATTGAATAGTCACATTACATAATTTTTGAAAAAAATACTTTTTTTGAGCACTTCCTGTGTATAAAGTCTTATGCTAGTTACAACACAAGCATCATTGTTTTAAGCATCACAACACACGCATCATACCTGTGTCTTCCTAATTTACAGACAAAAGGTTCAGAAAATTAAATAATTTGCCTAAGATTGCAAAACTAGTAATCAACAAAACCAATGTTAGGGATTATTCAAATTCTAAACCAAGGCTTCTAAGTGTCACACAATATTTTTAAGAAGGGTTAGCCTGAAGGAGGATTCCCAAATGATGAAGCTTAGACATATTGTATGTATCTAAGTATGTTTGTATAAACACATTGTACACATTTCTATATATGAAGGTATTCATAATATATAAGCATATGTATACATATATTTGAATGTAAATATGTGTGTATATATACACATATGCATACATATATGTGTGCTTATATATACTTACACATACACACACGGACTTATTTTTCTATGTAATCATGATACATTTTGGAGAAGTGTGGTAAGTTAAAAGTAAAATATTATAGAATATTAAAAAATAATTAAAAGTAAATTTAAGTATTTTACCCAATTTCTTTAAGCACATTAAAGTATACTTCATAAAAAACATAGCAAAATTTCATCACCCTATCCTCCCCTCTCAAAATTAGTAGAATCCCTAAATTACTCTTGAAATTTTCATAGATAGAGTAGGAAATAATGAACTTAACCACTTTAACCAATTAAAAGGAAAAATACAATCAATTCAACTATCATAGAAAATATCCTTTGATAAAGTTCTATACAGATCTTGGTATAAAATGTTTGGATTACTAGAAACAATATATATATTTTTTTACTTGACAAACTGCATCAACTAAAACTTAACATCGCTTCAGAAATAAAATGATAGAACTAATCTCATTAAGTTAAAGAGTACAATAAACTGACCTAGAATCACTATTTCTCTCTGCATCATCTAGGAGATCCTAGGCACCCAAAATTAAAAGAAATTAGCAAGATCTGATTATCCAGTGATGTATTAGAGTCTGTTGACATGGGTTAACATTAATAAATGAAAAGAATATGTTTATCTGAAGTACCATCTTATTTCTGGTCAGAAAATGAGCAAATCACGTACGTGCTTACACTCGCTAAATTGGACACCACAGACCAAAGCTGGGACATAAATCTAGTAGAACAAAATGTCAATATTCATTATTGGTTATAGCTTAATCTAGAAGTACAGACACCCACTGATTTTACTCTCTGCACCAGCACATCCTCAACAAAGAATTCAGGGCACACTGTCACATTGGAGGATATAGCCATTGAAGTTGTGCGCAATACCTATGACTCAGCGGAGAGTTGAAGATTTGAGGAGCTTTCTTTTGGGAGAACCAGAGCTATATGAAATGAAAGGAGAAATAAAAATGTCACTGGAGAAGGAAGAATTAGAATCTTTATTCTAGGATTGGCAGACTGTATCAGTAATTCATGAATATTGTTTGGGAGATGCGTGTGCTTCCAGTCTGAGCCAGCTGGGAAATCATCTGGGTTTTTCTAAAGAATACTGTCCCATTGTCCTCAGAGTGAATCATGAGGACTCTGAGTTCTTAGAGAGGAAAGGAGATTAAACAGCATTAGGATGACATAAATTTTGTTTGAGAATATAGAAATATTATTAATTCCAAAGTTATTAACACTGTCCAATACATTAAGAATAAAACTTGTTCAAGATGATAAATTATTGATAAATATTCGTATGAGAAATAAGTCAGACAACTAGAGATAATATGTGTAGGTGGTTGTTTGTTGGTCAAAATTGTGAACACTTGTTAGGATGGATAACTTTATTTGGTGTTCTCAGGACATCCCTATGGGGATTAGAAAGTCTGCATTTTGAAGAGGTGGTAAAATTAAAAAAATTCTTCTTTCATGATAGATTTCTCACCTGCAGGGTATTAGCGAACATGCTTTAGATTGGAAAGATGATACACACATGCATACACACACATGCTTTCAACTTCACAGACTCAAATGATTTCACAAACTGAAAACTTGTAGCACTCTAATAATGTTTTAGGAAAACTGTATTCTAAAGAAAACAAAACAAATAAATCAATATGTTGCTTGGGTCATAATTACAATGCTTGTCAATTATAAATTCCTGACCTCCATAAATGTCCATTTTTGGTTAATGGACATAGACTCATAAAGGAATTATGTCATTTGTGTGCTGACTTGCTAGGACTGGCATGACAAAGTATCACAAAGTGAGTGGATTTAATAACAGAAATTTATTGTCTTTTAGTTCTAGAGGATAGAAGTCTAAGATGAATGTGTTGGCAGGGTTGGCTCCTTCTTCTTTTTTTTTTTTTTTTTTTTTTAATTGAGTCTCACTCTGTCACCCAGGCTGGAGTGCAGTGGCGCGATCTTGGCTCACTGCAACCTTTGCCTCCCAGGTTTAAGCGATTCTCCTGCCTCAGCCTCCCGAGTAGCTGGGAATTCAGGCGCCTGCCACCAGGCCTGGCTAATTTTTTGTGTTTTTAATAAAGATGGGGTTTCACTGTGTTAGCCTGGATAGTCTCGATCTCCTGACCTCGTGATCTGTCTCCCTCAGCCTCCCAAAGTGCCAGGATTACAGGAGTGAGCCACCGCCCCGGGCCCGGGGTTGGCTCCCTCTAAGGGCTGTGAGGAAGAATCTGTTTCATGCTTTTACCATTGTTTCTAGTGGTTTTCTGGCAATCTTTGCTGTTTCTCCACATCTTTGCCAACACTTGTGTTATCTCTTATCTTTTTTGATAGTAGCCATCATCTCAGGTATGAAGTGTTATCTCATTGTAGTGTTGATTTGCATTACCCTGATGATGAGTCAGACAAAAAAAAGACTAATATTGCAGAATCTCATTTATATGTGGAATCTTAAAAAGTTAAACTTATAGAAGTAGACAGCGGAATGGTGGTTACTAGGGGCATGGACATATAAAAAAGAGGGTGGGTCAGTCAAATGGTATAAATTGCAGTTATAACACCAAAAGCTCAGAGTGTCTGGGTGCTTTCTTGCATTTGAGTACTTTCCTGGTGGCCTGAGAGCATTTCAGATCTCCTAGTGCACCCAGAAGCCAACCCAAGGATCTGGAGAATGGAACCACAAGCCAGTCTTGTTGTCCCAGGAATTCAGCATGCAGCTTAGGAGTGCCGAGCCAAGATCTGTGGCCATTACTCAAGCAGGGGAGGAGCCTACACTCAGAATAGGTGGGGATTGATGGGGTGGCACAGGAAATGGTTATGTCCCCCCTGACCGGGCCAGTTCAAAAAGTGTGTGGCTTATCCCCATAATACAGCATCTGCCCAAAGGAGCCCCACAGTCCAGAACAGCTAATAAAAGAAACAGAGGCAGCTGGGCGCACTGGCTCATGCCTGTAATCCCAGCACTTTGGGAGGCCGAGGTGGGCAGATCACCTGAGGTCAGGAGTTCGATACCAGCCTAGCCAACATGTGAAACCCTGTCTCTACTAAAACCACAAAAAATTAGCTGAACGTAGTGGTGCGCGCCTGTAGTTCCAGCTACTTGGGAGGCTGAGGCAGGAGAATCGCTTGAACCCGGGAGGCAGAGGTTGCAGTGAGCCGAGATTATGCCACTGCACTCCAGCCTGGGTGACAGAGTGAGACTCCATGTCAAAAAAAAAAGGAAAGAAAAGACACAGAGGCACAGTGCCAATGATGAGAGGAGCTCCCCCAAGGACCAGAAGTTGACCTGCTGAGGGGGTCACTTCTCTCCCTCTCACACTGCAGAGCATGGCTGCAAATGCAAGAAAAGACAAAGGAGCTGTGTGACTGAGTAAAGAGCCTATCTACTGTCATTACTCTTATGTCTCTTATGTGTCATTTAGTGGATCACAGCCCAAACTAAAACATCAAATATCTTTTGCTAATATACTTCCCCGTGAAACCAAGAGCAAGAAGTCAGCCACAAATAAAGACCTTGTACGGAGGTCTGGCCCTCTGAAAACACCCAAAAAGAAAAGCCAACTGACCGTACTCAACTTAGTCACCTTTAAAAGAACACCAGCCCTCTCAGAGGAGAAAGAATCAGCACAAGTACTCTGGCAATTTAAAAAGCCAGAGTGTGTACTTACTTCCAAAAGAGTCCACTAGCTCCCCGGTAATGGTTCTTAACCAGTCTGAAATGACTGAGATGATGGACGTAGAATTCAGAATTTGTATAGCAAGAAAGCACATCAAGACTTAGGATAAAATTAAAACCCAATCCAAGGAATGCAAGGAATATAGTAAAATGATGGAAGGACTGAAAGATTAGTAACTTTTAAAAGAAAGAACGACACTGAACTTCTAGAGCTCAAAAATTCACTACAAGATATATAATCGGAAGTATTAACAGCAAAATGGACCAAGGTGAGGAAAGAATCTCAGAGCTCAGTAACTGGTCCTTTAAACCAGGCTTAATTAGACAAAAAATAAATACAAAATAAGTTTAAAATGAACAAAACCATAGAGAAATATGGGATTCTATAAGGAGATCAAATATATGACTCATTGCAATTCCTGGGAGAAAAGGAGAAAGAATGAAAGACTTGTAAAATACACTTGAGGACATAGGCCATGAAAAATTTCTTAATCTTGCTAGTGAAATTGACTTGCAAATTCAAGAAATAGAGAGCATTCTGGCCAGATGCTGTAAAAGTCAACCATCCCCAAGGCTTAAAATTAGATTCACCAAGGTCAACACAAAAGGAAAAATCTTAAAGGCTGCCAGAAAGAAGAGTCAGGTCATATATATTATATACAGACAGAACCCCATCAGGCTGGCAATGGACCTCTCAGTAGAAGTTTTACAAACCAGAAGAGATAGGGCTTAGTTTCAGCAACTTAAAAAAAGGAAATGCCAATGAAGACTTTCATATCCCACCAAACTAAACTTCATCAATGAAGAAATAAAATTCTTCTCAGAAAAGCAAATACTGAGGAAATTTGTTTCCATTAGACCAGCCTTACAAGAGGGCCTTAAGGAAATGCTGAACGTGAAATTGAAAAATGACACCTGCTACTGCAAAAACACACTTAAGCACATAGCCCGCAGACACTGTAAAGCAACTACATGTTCAAGTCTACATCACACTCAGCTAACAACATGATGAAAGGATCAAAATCTCACATATCAATACTAACCTTGAGTTTAAATGGATTAAACACCCCACTTAGAAGACACAGAGTGGCAGGCGGGATAAAAAGACAAGAATTAACTGCCTTTTGTCTTCAAGAGACCTATAATGAAATCCACAAGCTCAAAGCAAAATGATAGAGAATGATCTACCAAGCAAAAGGACAACAACAAAAAAGAGCAAGAATCACTATTCTTGTATCAGATAAAACAGACTTAAAACCAATAATAATTAAGAAAGGCATTACGTAATGATAAAGGATATAATCCAACAAGAAGACATAACTAACTGTCTTAAATATATATGCACCCAACATTGGAGCACCCAGATTGATAAAACAAGTTCCTCTTTATCTACCAAAAGACTTATTTAGCCACACATTCATAGTGGAAGACATCAACACCCCAGTGACAGCATTAGACAGATTATCAAAGCAGAACTCTAACAAAGAAACTTAACTTTGACACTTGACTTAAACTTGACACTAGACCAAATGTATCTAATAGGCATCCAAAGAACACTCCACCCAGCAACCACAGAATATACATTCTTCTGACCTTCACACAGAACATGTTCTAATATTGACCACATGGTCAGTCATAAAGCAAGTCTCAATAAATTCAAAGAATTAGATATCATACCAAGCACACTTTCAGAACAGAATGCAATAAAAAAATAGAAGTGAATATCAATAAAATCTCTCAAAATTACACAAATACATTAAAATTAAACAATTTACTCCTGAATAACTAACTCTTCAGGGAACATCAAAATTAAGGCAGAAATAAAAAATTCATTGGAATTAATGAAAATAAGGACAAAACTTATCAAAATCTCTGGGATGTAGCTAAAGCAGTGGTAAGAGAAAAGCTTATAGCCCTAAACACCTTCATCAAGAAGTTAGAAAGCTCTCAAATTATCAGTAAAAATAACTAGGCTCATGCCTGTAACCCCAGCACTTTGGGAGGCTGAGGCAGGTGGATCACGAGGTCAGGAGTTTGAAACCAGCCTGGCCAACATGGTGTAACCCTGTATCTACTAAAAACACAAAAAATTAGCCAGGCGTGGTGATGCGTGCCTGTAATCCCAGCTACACAGGAGGCTGAGGCAGGAAAATTGCTTGAACCCGGGAGGCAGAAGTTGCAGTGAGCCAAGATTGTGCCACTGCACTCCAGCCTGGGCGACAGGGTGAAACTCCATCTCAAAAAATAAAATAAAATAAAATAAAAATAAACTAGAGAAGAACTATATGTAATTGAGGTGCAAAAATCCATACAAAAGATACATGAAACCAAGAGTTGGTTATTCAAACAAATAAGATTGATAGAGCACTATCTGAATTAACAACAACAGCACAAGAAGAAAATCCCATCAGAAATTAGAAAGAAAATATTACAAATGATTTTTCAGAAATACAAAACATCTCAGACAACTATGAACAACTCTATGCACAAAAATTACAAAATCTGGAGACAATATATATATATTTCTGGAAACAGATAATACCTCAGAATTGAACTAGGAAAAAAAATAAAATCCTGAATAGACCAATATCAAGTTCTGAAATTGTATCAGTAACAAAAAACCTACCAACCAAAAAAAGCCCTGGACCAGATGGATTTACAGTCAAATTCTCTCATATGTATAAAAAAGAACTGACATCAATCCTACTGAAACTATTCCAAAAAATTGAGGGAGACTCCTTCCTAACTAATTTTATGAAACCAGCATCAACCTGATACCACAATCTGGCAGAGACACAGTGAAAAAAAAAATCAAAAACAAAACTTCCTGCCAGTATCCCTGATGAACATAGCCATAAAAATACTCAACAAAATACTAGCATACTGTATCCAGCAGCACATCAAAAAATTAATTCACCATGATCAAGAAGGTTTTATTCCTGTGATGCAAAGTTGTTTCAACCCATACAAATCTATAAATATGATTCACCACATAAACAGAATTAGACAGTAAAACCATATGATTATTTCAACAGATATAAAAAAAGACTTTTGATAAAATCCAACAGCCCTCCATGATAAAAAAACTCTCAACAGAGTTGGCATCACAAAACATAGGTCAAAATAATAAAAGCCATCTATGGTAAACTCACAGCCAACATCATACCAAATAGGCCAAAGCTGGAACCATTCCCCTTAAGAACTGCAAGACAAAGGTGCCCACTCTCACCACTCCTATTCAACATATACTAGAAGTTCTAGTCAGAGTAATAAAGTGAAAGAAAAAAATGAAAGGCATCCATATAGAAAAAGAAGATGACACTAATAAATGGAAAAGCATTACATGCTCATGGATAGGAAGAATCAATATCATAAAAATAGCCATAATGCCCAAAGCAATTTAAAGATTCGACACTATTCCTAGCAAACTACCAATGTCATATGGAACCTAAAAAGATCCTAAATAACCAGTGCAATTCTAAGCAAATAGAACAAATCCAGAGACATTGTACTACCAAAGCTCAAACTATACTGTAAGGCCACAGTCACAAAAATAGCATGATACTTGTATAAAAACACACATGTAGATCAATGGCACAGAACAAAAAACCTGGAAATAAAGACTCACACTCACAATCACCTGATCTTCAACAAGGTGGACAATAATAAGCAATTGGGATAGGACTACCTATTTAATAAGTAGTGCTGGGATAGTTGGCTAGTCACATACAGAAGAATGAATCTGGACCCCGAACTTTCACCGTATACAAAGCTAACTCAAGATTGATTAAAGCTTTTAAAATAAGTCCTCAAACTAAAATCCTAGAAGAAAACCTAGAAAATACCCTTCTTGATGTTGGCTATGGCCAATAATTTTTGGCTAAGTCCCCAAAAGCAATTTCAACAAAAACAGAAATTGACAGGTGTGATGTAAACTAAATTGCTTCTGCACAGAAAAATAAACTATTTACAAAGTAGACAACCTATAGAGTGGGAGAAAATATTCACAAATATATACAAATCACCTTGTATCTGACAAAAGTCTGATATCCAGAATCTATAATGAACTTAAACAAATCAAGAAACAAAAAACAATCTCATTAATAAATAGGTTAACAGACACTTCTGAATAGAAGACATACAAGTGGCCGAAAAGTTCAACATCACTAATCATCAGAGAAATGCAAATCTGTACCACAATGAGATACTATCTCATGCCACTCACAATGGCTATTACTAAAAAGTGAAAAAAGTAATAATAATAACAGATGCCAGCAAAGCTGTGGAGAATAGGGAATGCGTATACACTGTTGCTGGGTATATGAAGTAGTTCAGCCACTGTGGAAAGTAGTTTGGAGATTTCTCAAAGAACTTATCATAGAGCTACAATTTGTCCCAGCAACCCTATCATTGCATATATGCCCAAAGGAAACATAGATCATTCTACCACATGGACACATGTACCTAAATGTTCATCATCATGCTGTTCACAACAGCAAAGACATGGAATCAACTGAGGTGCTCATTAGTGGTGGTGGATCGGGTAAAGAAAATGTGGTATAAATACATTATGGAGTACTACAGAGCCATAGAAAAAAGAACGAAATCAGGTCCTTTGCAGAAACATGGTTGCATTTGGTGGTCATAATAATAAGCAAATTAGTGCAGGAACACAAAACCAAATATGGCATTTCCTCACTTATAAGTGGGAAATAAATACTGAGCACACATGGACATAAACATGGGAAAAATAGACACTGTGGACTACTAGATGGGGTAGAAAAAACAGGTGATGTGAACTGAAAAACTACCTATCATGTACTATGCGTACTACTTGGGTGATGTGATGCATACCCCAAACCTCAGCATCACACAACAGACTCGTGTAACAAACTTCCATATGTACCCTCATATCTAAACTAAAAGTTGAAATTTAAAACAAAAACAAAAGCAAAACAAAGCAAACTAACTAGGTGAGATTATAGATGTGTTAACTGACTTGATCGTTGTTATCATTTCACATAATATACACATACCAAATAATTAGATAGTATGCATTAATCACACAATTTTTGAATTATACTTTATTAAACCTTCAAAATAAAAAAAAGAAAATGTCATTTGGTATAAATAATGCAAGGTCTATCTATCTAATACCAATGAGAGTTGTTTCCTGTTAAGTACAGAGTTTTTGTGAATTATTATGGAATTTTTCCTGCATTTATTGTGAAGTAGTAGTAATCATCGGAAATTGAAATTTGTTAATATTTTTACTTTTGAATATATTTTGGAAATGGAAAGTATAATGAGTTTTTTTCTTTTTATAATTCATCACAATGTAATGAATCTGGGATGTACAAAATCAAATGTGTATTTACTTATTCAATCACTCAAATATGTTTGTAAAGCTTTCAAAATAGGCATTACTCCTTTTTTAATGACGATCACAATCTAGTGGGTAATACCCATTTATTTCCTGCTGTTAATTAGATTGATTAAATGTTACCCTGTGTCCTTGTCTCAAAATGCAAACTCTGTCTACGTCTTTAGTGGAAAATCTGTTAAAATGCTGAGAACTAGTTTTCAGTCAAGTCAGTCAGCCAATGGCTTACGTCTTTAGAGGAAAATCTGTTAAAATGCTGAGAACTAGTTTTCAGCCAAGTCGTCAGCCAATGGCTTACATCTTTAGAGGAAAATCTGTTAAAATGCTGAGAACTAGTTTTCAGTCAAATCAATTGAATAAATAAATACACGTTTGAAATGACTTTGTGGGCATTAATAATTCACTTAATCTTTCTGCTTGGTACATTCTCACCTAGATCAGCGTTTCTCAGCCTTGGCTGCAAATTTGTATCATCTGGAAGTAGGACATGATAAAGAGAGAGAGAGCTAGAGATACAGATAGATAGATACAGATAGAGATACAGATAGAGAGATACAGATAGATATACAGATAGTGAACTATCTCTGGGCATGAACAATCTCTGGGCATCAGGTAGAGATAGAGACAGACAGAAAATGAGAACCATCTCTGGGCATGAACCTGAGTATCTAAACTATTAACAATCTTGCCAGCTTACTCTGATGGACAGTTGAGAACCACTGGTCTACGCATGAAGCAATGCTAATCAATTTAAATAAAAATCCCATAAATATGTGTCTCCTAACACATTGCTATGGTCACATACTTCTTAGTTATCATTTATGGCTGTTAGTGACGATTTTCACCTACCTACCACAGATATCATGAGAATAATTAAAATAGCTTGTGGAAGTACATTTAGGGGATTTCTTTAAAATTACAAAATAGAACTTGGCTATAATCATCAAGATTATGACTAAAAAGGAGAAAAGAAATGCAAATTACGTTTTGGTCCTATAATTGGCTGTGTAATAACAATAGATTGACTCTACATGTACACAGCATAAAGGGACGGAAAATGAGAATCTTAAGCCTGTGTTATTTGACCGAGGCAGTTTCTAAGGAATAATGCACTTTATACACAGACATTAAAATACTTCTCAAGGATAAATAACCTACAAGTACTCCCGATTCCAAACGATGTTGCCAGGTACCTTTTGACCTTCATATCAGCTCTGAAGTGACTAGTAAATTGGATTACCCCACTGGGCATATTTATAGCAGTATTTAATTTTAACTACACAGAATGCACCTGTTTACTTAGACCTGATTTTAATATCAGAGTATCTGTGGAAGGCTTAATACAAATCCTTTTAAGAACTCTATTGACAGAATTTTCCAGCAGAAAAGTTGGTTTAAAAAAGTCAGAAGAGCAGGAACTACATCACTTTGCCTTGATTGGAAGAGACAAAGAGATTTTGAATTATTCTTAGGAAGATTTTTAAAAATCTAAAAATATTTGCTAAATATATGGAAGTGGTAGGTTTTCATTTAATCAACAAATTATTCAAGAAACTACAAATCTTGACTGTTGTTTTACATGAATATGGTACAGTAGGCTAATATATTAAACTATTATTATTAACAAATATGGCTCCTAAGTGACATTAAGAAGAGATAAAAGGGATGAGCAAACCTGTGTACTAAAATACTTTTAAATATATGATAATAAAGTCAAACTAATTTAGCTTACTTTTTGCTTTTTGATATTGCAATAGACTTAATTTCTCTGACATTTGAATTCACGCACAAAGTCATCATGTCTCTCCATCCCCATGTTGTGATGTCTCGACTATACCATGAGGAGTTTGATTTCTCCAAAATTTTTTAAATTATTTATTTATTTAATTTTTGCAACAGAATCTCGCTCTGCCACCCAGGCTGGAGTGCAGTGGCATGATCTCGGCTCACTGTGGCCTCTGCTTCCCGGGTTCAAGAGATTCTCCTGCCTCTGCCTCCCGAGTGGCTGGGATTACAGGCGCCCACCATCAAGCCCAGGTAATTTGTGTATTTTTAGTAGAGATGGGGTTTCGCCATGTTAGCCAGGCTGGTCTCAAGCTCCTGACCTCAGGTGATCCCCCGCCTCCCAAAGTGCTCCCAAAGTGCTAGGATTACAGGCCTCCCAAGTGCTGGGATTACAGGCATGAGCCACTACGCCCGGCTTCCAAGTCTTATGTAACAGTCTCTCATAAAAAATCTGAAGAATAAATCATAGTATTTATACTGTGATTATTCTAATTGCTCTGTAATTTCAAATGCAGAAAAACTGGTCAGTTAATGCAATAGCATGTCCAATACTATGTGGTTAACTAATTGCTCTCCCAACCAATATGTAATTGTATTATGAGAAATAAATCTATATATTTATGGGAGTGACAGAAACCTAAATGGACATTTCACTACTTTATTTGCACAGTTAGAATTTGTGGAATTCTAAGTACTAATATAGATTTAAGACATATGTCTTCCACATAGATGTTACTAGATATTATATGTTGTGGGGGAAAATTATTGACAATTAACCCAAATAAAAGCAAAACACTTAATAAAACTCATTGTGGAAGAAATTGAAGATGAGAAAAAATATGGAATATATACATGGTCTTAGTCACTTTTTATATCACTTTTTTCTAATTGTTTGAATGAGATAGTCATGTCTGACCTAGGAAACTCATTCTGTGAGTAAACTCCGAAATAGTGTTGCTAAATTACTTGTTCCTAGTCACAATTTCAGAAAGTGGTAATAGTGAAATTATGTTCCAGTTGTTGATTTCCTCTCCAAACCTCTTTTTGCTACAATTGGTTAGCATTATTCAAATCAAAACTTTAGAGTTTAGCCATATAAATATATAATTTTTATGACTATTGGAGTAATTTTGATTTATAACAGATAATTACTTAATCGCTGGGAATAGGACTTTTGGCAAATTTCATATGAACGTCTTCTGTTTTCAATTACTGAAACATATTTGTAGAATTTACTCAGATTACTCACGGCCAAGACATGCACGCTCCCAATGACTGCTGCTGAGCTTCCTATTTCACAGTAGCCACAACTGTATAAAATATGGCTACTGTGTTATATACCAAACTTTCCTAATCATGATTAAATAATCAAGTTTTATGACTCTCCTCTTTTAGAAGATGCAGTATGAACAAAATCATTATTGAGAAAGACCCTACTATGAATCTGTAGCTCTATTACTGACATCACACATTGTAGTAAGCTGAATGATGGCCCCCAAAGATGTTTGCGTTGTTGTCCCCAAAATATGTGAATATGCTACCTGCCATGTTGAATGAGATTTTGTAGATGTGATTAAGTACCTTAAGATGAAGAAATTATCCTGGTTATTCTGTTTGGCATGTAGTCGCATGGGTTCTTAAAAGCAGAGAATCATTCCTGGCTGTGGTCAGAAAGAGAGATGTGACTGTGGAAGAATGATGAGAGAGATAAAACTTTGTTGGCTTTGATGCAGGATGGGGACCAAGAGCTAAGGAATGTCGACAGCCTCTAGAAGCTGAAAAAGTCAAGGAAATAAATTATTTCTTCTAGCCTCTAAAGAGGAACACTGTAGCCCTTTCAACATTGGGATTTTAGTTCAGTGAGACCCATGTTGGACTCCTAACTTATAGATCTGTAAGATGATGAACTTTTGTCGTTGTAAGTTGCCAAGTTTGTGGTAATTCAATACTCCAGCAATACAAAAATAATACACAGCTCAAAAGCCTCAGCTATTCAAAAATCTACATTTCAATGTATTATTACCTTTCAGGATCCAGATTGTCAATGGACCTTACCACCAATATCCTCTCCATCTACTCATATATTGTTCAGATAAAACAAAGTATGGGAACTAATCAATCTAAGAGCATACTAAATCTGGGCAAAGGCTGCTTTTCTTTTTTTTTTTTTTTTTGAGACGGAGTCTCCCTCTGTCGCACAGGCTGGAGTACAGTGGTGTGATCTCAGCTCACTGCACCCTCCCCCTCCCGGGTTCAAGCAATTCTCCTGCCTCAGCCTCCCGAGTAGCTGGGATTACAAGTGCATGCCACCATGCCCGGCTAATTTTTGTATTTTTAGTAGAGTCGGGGTTTCACCATGTTGGCCGGGCTGGTCTTCAGCTCCTGACCTCAAGTGATCCACCCGCCTCGGCCTCCCAAAGTGCTGGGATTACAGGTCTGAGCCATCGTGCCCGGCCAAGCCTGCTCTTTTTCAGGTGGCCAAGGCAATTTTCAAATGTGATGTGATTTCTCTTATTTTTTACAAACATACAAACCTTGCCTATATGGAATTAGTGTCTATATTTCAGAAAAATTAAGTTTCTGATTTCATATATGGAAATTCATAGAATGCAGAAATTCCAAACCTGAATTTCCTAAATATTTTTCGTAAGACCTTCTACATAAATAATTCTGACCCATTTAGGGAATAATCTAATTTATTTGAATTTTTTTTCTGTTAATCTACTATAAAACAAAGAAATAATATGTGGATTAATTACAATCAGAGATTTTGGTTACAACCATGGATATATTATGAATGTTCACCTCTCAACACTAGATTATAGAAGAAATAAGACTGAAGTGAGGGATTTAGGAGAAATATACTTACATACACAAACAATCATATACATATATTTATAAACATACATATGTGTGTAACACATACATAGAGTATAAATAATAATTTTATCAATCGCATTTTCACATTTGTTCTTAAAAACACCAAATAAGTCAGTACCTTCTGTATCTCTTTACAATTTTTGTAGGTTTGATTTTAAATTAAATAACTATATATTTCAGTTTAAAGTTATCAAATCAATGTCTACTATCTGATCATATTTATTTCAGGAAAAAACTCTGTGTATTTGAAATTAATAAACAACCTATAATGTTGTTTACTATGTATTAATCACGATTTTAAAAACGTACAACAATAGCAAACTTGAACAAAGACATGCAACTCATTCCAGAGGAATGAGAGATGTTTTTTCCAAGAAACTAATTTTCATCTCCTCATTATTTATTTTAGTGTCTCATTTTTACCAAATTATACAAATAATATGCAAATAAGTGATTAAAATAACGTGACAAAATCATAATGACCTCTAAAAATTATGATGAGCTGCAAAAAGAATACTCATTAACAAGGTTGAACAATTAATTTCATAAAAATGTTCCAAATGCAATTTGGCAGAAGAAAGATGCACAGGTTCCAGAAACAATTTATAGTGTTTATTGAAACATGCATATTTCCCAATTAAAATCCACTGATGAAATTTTTAAAATTTAACTTTTGAATGTCTTTATTCTGTTTTATTAGATAGTTCTTTATCTTCAAATATAATACTGATAAATCTGAGGACTTGCCAAGTAATATGCTGTGATAAGTAAGAATATTGGAATTTGTCCCTGTACTATTCCAGGTAAACATTGATGAGAATAAAAGTTATATACAAAATTAAATAAATCAGATATTAAAAATTTAGATAATTAAAGAATTAAAAAAAAAACCCAGAAGTATAAACATAGAAACATGCCAAAGTTCTGTAAGAAAGATTCCAAGTAACACATTTGAGAATACATTAAGGAGCAATATTATGAGTACATAAATAATTCTAAACAAAAGATCATTAATGCAAGTGAAAATAAATATTAGGAAGTTTAAGTTCCTACCTTTAGACCAAAGAAGCTAACATAAATTAAGAAAAAATATACAAATGCAGATATAGGGTGTAGAGTTCATTAGGTAGCCCCTACCATCAGACTTGTGTTTATTATTCAGTACTGAGGGCATTAGAATCCACAATGGATGAGAGAAAAACATAAACAAAGGATCAGAGCAGTGTAGTCCTAAAGAAAACCTACTATAGATTTGCAAAGTTGCATTAAGTTAGTAGGTAGGGGAAAGGACAGAATACCTGTCTAACAGAACTCCTACCATCCCGTTTTTCTTTTCCTTTCTGTTTGAAATCATTAGTTTATTTCCACAATGCCTCACAAGGATATTGCCCCAAATGAACATACCTGGATGAATTTCATTAAATTATATAGACGTGTAAAGCATATTCATATACATTCTCCCTACATATATAATTATAATTTGCCCAATTCTCTGTGCCTGAATATTTGAAAAGGATATTTGATCATCTAATTGGACTATGAGGGAGCTGGTGATAGGTCCTACCGTTCACCAACACTGGGCTCCCTAAATTATAAGGGGATGCAGTGCGGCATAGCAGTTAAGAGTTCCGTTACTCTAGAGTCAGACAGACCAGATTGCAATCTCAACTGCACCACTTACTAAATGTGTGACCTTGGCCAATATTTACATTATCCAATTTACAGCTACTCTAACTGTTGTCAAAACAAAACCAGTTATGATAATGCTCCCTATCTGCTAAAACCACTGTGAAGGTTAAATCAAATAATCCCTGACCGATGACAGACTGATAATAATCCCTGACCGCTCTCAGACAAAGAGAGAAGGAGCGAAAGAGAGAGAGAAAGAATGCTATGTGAAACAAAATCTGCAATACTAGCAAAAGAAAAAAAAACCTTTTATATTGGGAAAAAAAGAAAGAATAAGAATTTCAGAAAAATACTGCTTATTTTTCTTAATAAGAGTCTCATAGTTTGGATTTTCTAGAAGTAGAATTTAAGACAGTGATTCATATGCATACATTTGATTGGGCATACTTCTGTCAGACAAGGCCAATTCTTTGGAGTGAGCTGACATCACTTGGCAGCTGGAGATTGCTCACTGACCCAGTAAAGAATATCTAGGTAGGGCACTGTCCAACCCTTGCAAGCCTCAGATGAATATGGCTCTCACATTAAGTTCACCATATCCATGGTTACAAAACGCTGCCCACTCATAGCTCAATGTGGGCAACTGTGCAATTGGCATTATGCTTCAGAGTCAAACTTTATGAAATACGTTTTATGTAGCCAAAGCTTCCACTAGGAGCTTTAAAAAAAACATAAAAATAAAAAGGTTTAAGAGGAAATTTTAATACACTAACAGGCCACTTAGAGAATATTTCAGTGTTCAAATGCAAATTCTTAGCATGGTATGGTTTTTCAATTGTTAAAAAAATTGAATTCAAAAACTGTATATATAAAATGTTATATTTTTCTCTAAATTAAGAGTCTCAAACTCCAGTGAAATTAATTTTAAAATTCTTAATATCAAATACGTATATTAGCAGTTTTTTTAAGATTAAACATAGTCTATTTATTTATGAAGCTGTTTGGACATTTTACTATTTTTCAGGTGAACTATCTGGATTCTGCTTACCTAGACAATGTCCATTGGACTTTTGACAGGAATTATTACACTCTTTATCTTTCATGGTGAAATAGTTCTTATTACATTAGACTACTGGTTTAAATTTTAAAAATATTGTAAATGTATGAAACAACAACATATATGGAGAGTTCTATAAATTATATACAATGACAAAGCTTGGGAGATAATTATTGACAATGTTACTGATGCTATACATTAGTTGAATTGCTAATTAAAAATAAATGTCATGGTCAGTGAGGTTTCCCACTTAAACCATGCATTGTGTCTCCTTTGGGTACAACCATTTGATTTTTTAAACGATTTTTTTTTCTAATCCATGCATCCATTTTCGTTAATTTGATTTCTTCCTTTTATCCTTCATTACATAAAGTTAGTTTTACCCTGGACTGATTCTCTCTGCACTGGATAGTGAAAGGTAGTCTGAGAGATTAATCTGGTATTCATTTTTTCATATTGCACATTAGGGACTTAGTTCATTTTATACTCATAACAGACTCTCACAGACTTGTTAAATTTATAATGAACCATGGTTCATGGTTCTGGAGACTGGAAATTCAAATGCATAGCAACGGCATCTGGTGAGTGCCTACATTCTCTGTCATCCCATGGCAGAAAGCAGAAGGTCAAGAGTAGGCAAAAGCAAGCGAGCAAGAATGGGCCAAACTTGTCTTTATAACAAACCCATTCTCATAATAACTAACCCACTCCAAGGAAAATGATATTAGTCCATTCATGAGGACAGAACTCTCATAATTTAATCACCTCTTATTAGGCCCTAACTCCCAACACCATTACATTGAGAATTAGGTTTCCAACACATAAACTTTGGGGGACACATTCAAACCATAGCAGGTATATAATTAAATTAATGGTTTTGTCTAGCTCTGAATTACTAGATATGGCAGAAAATCATTTCTACAGTTGAGATTTTAAATGCAGAGCATCTTGAATTCCTCTATTGTTTTTATATGCAAGTTCTCTTTATGTATCAGTGAAGAGGGGCTAAAATATTACAGAAAATTGCTTCAGATTGATGATTAGTAAATTGCAAAGCTTGTAATGGTTTATCTGAGCAGGGTAAGCTATCCTAAGCTCACTACCTCTTATTAAATAATGTGGAGAGTTCAACAAAACAGAATTTTAATCAAATTATAAATACTTATGGGTAGTTGGCTCTCTTTCTCCCCTTAGTATTCATTTGGATTTTAAAATTGTTTTAATTGAGAAAAATTGACATTGCCCTGACTTGCCTACCCTTTTCTTTGCAGCTGAAATTTCAATGCTACAGAGAAGAGAGAACAAGATAAACATGTTTCTTCATCTTAATGTACCTCTGTATAAGTTCTTGCATTCAATTACACATAATCAATGTACAGAATGTTCCTCATACAATGGGCATTCCACCTTGTATGTGGACACATGGATTAAAAATATAAATTCTGTACAAATTATATTGACAGCTTCTGTGTCTTACCTTTAAAGACATGCACATGCTTGCATTTCCATTTTTGGAGGATGGACATTTAATTACATTTTAGATTTATGGTCCACCATAAGGGAAATAATATAGCTAAAAATGAAAGAAAAAGATTCCGAGCTTAATTTCTGGGTGATGTAATGTTATGTACAACAACCCCCCCATGACATGTGTTTATCTATATAACAAACCTTCGCATGTACCCGTAAACCTAAAATATAAACTTTTTAAAAAGATTGATTCCAACATAAGGAAGTCAATGTTTCTTCTTTAAATTGCAATCTAGAGAAAGATGCTACTATAGTTTTGCTTTATTATTATATTTGTATTTTAATATTTTACTATAAAATGTATTTTATTATGATTATGATAATTTTATTTTAATTAAAAATCTCAATAACAAAGCCCTCACAATTTCATATATGTCCGTGATATACTAAAGTTTCTGCAAGTATTGAAAAGTGCTTAAAATGAGAAGCAACATATATGTTGTTGATTATCATCCAAAGGCTATGGGTAAAAAAGCAAGGAGTGCTCTAGAAGGGCAAAAAAACAGACTGGACATAGAAAGACTCTCACCACATTGACAAAAGGTCCCTATTATATTTTTAAATTAAAAATAGCAATAATTATTATATGCATTCATTCTTAAATACTACCTAGTAAACACACATTTTTAATCAGTGATTGGATTCCATCATTCTCAACCCTTCTGTAACCTTTAAAAACTTAAGACGTGTTTATCTTGCCTATCCAAACAACGAGATGGTATCAATGGAGCATACAGAATACTTTGGTTTGTGTTGATATGTTAAAAACAAGAAAACAAACAAAAAACCAATTGATTTTTATTTTAGGACAGACAGTGGAACAAAGATATAAAATAATATATGCCATAAACCTTTGCACAGCAGTGCTGACGTGATCTTAACATCTGCCTATATTACAAAAGGGAAGTTAAGCTTGAATATGAAATGTGAAAAAAATAGCCTATTCAATTAAAAAGACTGATTTGGGAGGTGAACATTAAACACTAAGCAAATGCCCTTAGTGAGTTGGCAGGTGGTTAAAGAAATTACAGCAAAACGGTGGACTCCAGAGTCCTGAAGGGGTAATCAGCACAATGCCTGAGATGAAATGGTTAGGAAGCAGACTGTGATGTCTATTGCCAGAAAGATGATCAATGGTACAAGATATTTTGCACTCGAATTAGACAATAATTCCTTCCTACTAAAGCAGTAGAATAAAACATCATCTTTCACCTCAGCTCCTGGAGAAGATGATAATGTTTTTAGCAGAGTTCAAAAGGAATAGTGACTCAGGTTTTAGAGAGAGCTGCCAGGTGAAGCAAACAAGCAAAACAATTGCATGTTTAAAAAATTAAACAAGTAGCCAACATTTGGAAAATTATATTATGGAAAAGAAAAACCTTTCCAAATTTGCAGGATAAAGTCTCTGAAAGTGTCGAAAGGGACTTAAAATGAGAAGCTACAAATATGTTCATTATCAAACAGTGGCCATGGGTAAAAAAGCAAGGAGTGCTCAAGAAGGGAAGAAAAACAAAATGGAAGAGACAGACTAACACCACATGGATAAAGAGACTTTATTATATTTTAAAATTATATACAGTAATTATTATTATATACATTCATTAATTCTATATAAGTAAACATACATTCTAATCACAGTGTTTGAATTCCATTTTTCTCAAAACGCACACACACACACACACACACACACACACACACGAAAAGCCTGTAACCTTTGAAAGCCTAAAATGTAGGAGTTCCTCCAGGTACTCACTTCATAGTTCAGATGGATCTTACCAGATTATTAGCAACAAGAATTCAGTGCCTATATCACAGTTAAAATTATAGTTAAAATATTTAATAGAGGGACACCCACCCTCAATGCGGGTGGGCACCATCCAATTGGTCAGGGGTATGGATAAAACAAAAATGCATAGGAAAGCTCACTCTCTCCTGGACCTAAGACACCCTCCTTCTGGTGCTTTTGGACATCCAAACTCCAGGCTCTCTG
Organism: Homo sapiens; assembly: GCF_000001405.40. Classification (NCBI taxonomy): domain Eukaryota; kingdom Metazoa; phylum Chordata; class Mammalia; order Primates; family Hominidae; genus Homo; species Homo sapiens. The sequence continues at coordinate 57,909,014 of NC_000006.12, forward strand.
GCCTTGGGATTCCAGGAGTTGCAAAGTGGCTGTCTGAGTTCTCAGTCCATTGGCCTCTGACTGAGAGTTATACCATCAGTTTCCCTAGTTCTGAAGCTTCAGGACTTGGAGAAAGCTACTCTACTCTCTTCCCTGGTTCTCCAGCTTGCAGACAACCTATCCTGGAACTTCTCAGCCCCCATAATCGCATGATCCAATTCCTCTAATAAATGTAGAGATCTCTCTCTCTCTCTCTTTCTCTCTCTCTGTATGTGTATGTATATGCATGTGTATATATATATAAGTATACGTGTAGGTTCTGTCTGAGAGAACCCAGCCTAATACATCATGCAGCATATTATCAGAATAAAATTTGATAATGTATGTACAATGCTGAACACAGCATCTTGTATTTAAAAACATATTCAGCATCGAGTTACTGTAACTGCTGTCATTGATGCCTCTTCTTCTAAAATGAGATGCCATCACTTGTAAAATTATTTTTAAAAGATATATTTTTAAATGAAGAAGTCTTTTTATATGTCAAATAATTTACTTTAGATGTTTAAAATAGTATAGCTCACAAAAAATGTTGGCTCATAACAACTTCTACTGAGTATGTAAGAAAATGGTTTTGAAGTTCAATCTTTTTTTAAAAAAAAGATGTATGAATGTATTCAAAATTTACATGAACACTCAGCTATGTATACTATAAATATTTTCCAAACTCCATGAGCTGATTAATTAAAACAGATCCTCTAGCCAGGAAGACAAGCATATGAATACAACAGTCTTTCTTTTATCAATTCTCCTGAAATATCTAGTGTAGCACATAATAATTTTTATATATGAGTGAAGGTGGTTTCTATGTCCAATTAGCAATAACTGTGCCTCAGGTCATCTTCATTGACTATGATACTGCCACTCTGAAAAGCTGTCTACATCCAAATATTAATTTAATTTGGCAAAAAAACAGGCAGGCTTAGAAAGTGTTTTAGAACAGGACAATTAAATAATATAATATTTTCTATAATATTTCATTTTCTTATTTCTTCTCAAGATCCCACGACAATGGATATAGTTGCTTTTTTATCTCAAGAAGTATAAATTTTACAAACATAAAAGGTATGTCTCCCTTCAATATTTCCTCTTAATGCTGAGTGCAAAATTGGTTCAGAAAGAAAATTGCTGACATTAAGCTAGGATGTGACTTGGCAACTGATTGCAACATATTTCTATAGGATGCTGTGGGGTGTACTGAAAAAAGGATGTTTTAGACCCAGAAAGACTGTTGCTCTGTTCCCAGGGAAATGGAAAAAAAACAAAAAACAAAAATCTTAATCTTGAGCTCTAGTTCTTGACTTATATAGAACATGGAATAAAGAAAAAGTTTTCTCTTCATCTCTATACTTCAGTAAGTGGAGCAATATTATTGGCTTTGCATCATTTCATCAATTAAGGAAGATCTTATAATAGCATACTTCAACTCTTTTAAATATTAGACAATGGGTTTATTCACAAAGTATTTTTTATAAACATATGTTTTAGGCATAAAGTTTATTCATCCAAAATAAAGATTCCCATATTTCCATCTACTACGATTTTTCAATCATACTTAGTATTAACCAATAATAATTTATACTCCACTACTGATACTTGCTAATTGAATTACACTTCTGATGATCATTTTTTTTTTCAAATGACATAGTGAGAGTTATGATCGGTTATTTGGGTTGTAAGGATTGAAAACATACCTAGATCATATAAATTTGTGAAGGTTTTGCCATCACAAGTGTTATAGGGAATAATGAACATCAACTATCCTACAGCTAAACCTAATGAAGACCAAATTGCCTCCAAGGTCAAAACAATAGTTCTTTGTGCTCAAAAGTGGTTCATATAATTGATGCTGCATTGACGCTGTCTATAGAGATTCTAGTTTTCTCCACATTTTCTCTATTTTTCAATTTCCTTTCTTTTCACTGGGGTCTATTGTTCTTTAACAGAAGTAATGGCCTTTTATAAATATATAATTTTCACGTTGTAAGCATTCTTTCCAAGCTAGCTGCCCATCATCACGTTTTGGCTAGTCCCAGTCTCTGCTCATAGAACACTTGTCCACACTCTAAATTCTCTCTGTTCTCCATAGCCCCCACTCATCTAATTCCTATAGTCTTTTAACTCAAAGCCTTCAACTTATGTACAGCTTTCTCTGCCTCACGTTTCAAGCTTAATGCATCATCTTAATTCATCTTTCGACATCTATTTCTACTACATGCTGCTCTCTTTCTCTATCTTATATCTCCCAGAATATGTTTTATTTCAACACATCGCTAATCTGTGCCAGGCATTGTTATTAGCAAAATGATAAGCCCTGCATGTAGCAAAGTTCCTGCCTTCACTGCATATGCATTAATAGCTCTGATTAGTCCACTTAAAAACCATTGTTCCTGTCATGCAGAACTCCATTGCCAAGCCACACAACACCCAGCCAGTAGGTTAGCAGCTCCGTGGAGCAAGGTAAACATGTTGATTCAATTGACTTTGGGCAGAAGGGTAAGATTTTGTCTTCAGCTTTTCTCATGAGGAACATATACAACCCAAATGGAAAAACCCTGTATCCTCCTGCCCAAGCAAATAATTCGATAATAAATAATAGCTTCCACTAAAATATAATGAAGTGGTTACTTTGATAGGTAATAAAGTATGTGTTGTTTTCCTTTAGTTTTCTTTTAAAAATGTATGTTAACCTTGCTTCAGTTTGGTTTTCCAGAGTATCCTGCATAAATGGACACAAACCACATTCACTTTGCTATGTGGATGGGGGAGATGCAAAAGGTGTCTTCAGTGCATGCCCAGATATTCCCACATGTTCAACCTTCCACTTAGCTCCCAATAAAACATGTTTCTTTTTTCACAACTAGGAGAGCTCTCCTTTTCATACCTCTGCAGTGACATGAAGGCATACTAAATAGAGAAGTAAAAGGTTCATATGAAACTGTAATGTAAATATTATTCACATACTGAAATTCTGAAAACAGTATTAATATTTTTCCTGTGATGCTTTTAAATTTTAATATTCTGTAAAGTATATTTTAAGCATTCACAATTTGGATTTATTCGTGATAAGAGTATATTTTACCTATAATAGATTGGGAAATATATACATATGTGTGTGTGTGTGCATGCATGTGTGTGTGTGTGTGTGTATTAATATATTTTCCTTGAGACTAGTAGTGAAGGCAAAGTTCTGAAACTGAATTTGCCAAAATGGGATTAGATGTGTGAGGGATTTATTTGGATAAACACTTTTGCAAGGTGAGGTGGAGGAAGCAGGAATAGACACAGCCTTCAGCCACAATACTTGTAAACCTTATGAAGGAGGAAAGAAAATAAAAAAGGTTAGGTAAAATGAGTTTCAGATAGTAGCACAATACTTAACATATTTTGGCAGGCCAATGGAGAGTTATCAAGCCAAAGTTTTCCTCCATATTGAGCAGGAACAGCACCTCACTATGCTTTGTCATTGGCTGACAACAGCTGTGAGATGGGGATTTTGGACTATAGGTAGTGATGGATACAAAGATGAACCCCAGGAGCTGTCAGTCAACTGTGATAGTCACTAGGGGAGATATACATGAAGCAGTCTCATGACAGTTACAAGCCTTGACCTTTTATTTTATACTAAAGTAAAATATAACTTTATTATGAAGACCATCAGGCCACCTAGTTACTATATACCAGTTGCTATGGTTTGAATGTGTCCCTCAAAATTCATGTGTTGGAAAATTAATCCCCAATGCAACAGTGGGAGGAGGTGAAATCCTTTGGGAAATGATTATGTCATGATGGTGGAATCCTCATAAATGAATTAATGTCACTACAAAAAGGCTTGAAAGAGGGAGGTTGGTCCCTATTCCCACCTTCGGTTCCTTCCTTCATGAGAAGATACAGTATTTCTTCCCTCTGGCGGGTGCAGCAACAAAGTGCTCTCTTAGACGCAGACACTGAACTACAGGTGACTTCATCTTGGATTTCCAGCCTGCAGAACTGTGAAAAATCAATTTCTGCTCTTTATAAATGACCAGGTAGTAAATATTTTGTAATAGTAGCACAAACGAATTAACACAATTGTGAGGAAATTATTTCTGTAACATTTTACATAACAAAATTCAGCATTTTATAGGTTAGTCTGTGAAGTAGAGTTATTTATTTATTTACTTGAAAGTTCTACTAATCTGCATGCCCCTGATAATTAAAGATGTTGAGCATATTTTTTAATGTACCTGTTGGCCATCTGCATATCTTCTTTGAAGAAATGTCTGTTCAAATCCTTTGCCCATTTTTAAATCAGATTATGCATGTTTTGCTATTAAATTGTAGGAATTTCTTATATATTTTGAAAATTAATCCATTATCACATATATGGATTGCAAATATTTTCTCTCATTTTATAGATTGCCTTTTCATTCTGTTGATTGTATCCTTAGCTGTGTAGAAGTTTGCTTGGTTTTTGTTTTTCTTGTTTGTTTTTAGTTTGATATAGTCCAACTTGCCTATTTTTTGCTTCTGTTTCCTGTGCTTTTGATGTCATATTCAAAAAGTGATTGCAAATAGTAATATCAAAATGATATTACCTCACTCTTGTTAGGATGTTGATTTTCAAAAAACCAAAAGATAAATGGTGAGGATGTAGGGAATTTGGAACCTCTATACACTGTACATTGAGAATGTACAATGATACAGCAACTATGAAAACAGTATGGAGGTTCCTCCAAAAGCTAAAAATAATAGAATTACCAGGCGATCCAGCACTCTTATTTCTAGATACATATCCAAAACAATTAAAATCAGGATCTTGTAGAGATATCTGCACTCCCACATTTATAGCATCATTTTTCACAATAGCCAAGATATGGAAATGACCCATGTCTATGCCCATTGGCAGATGAATGGATAAAGAAATTGAGGTATATATATACAATAGAATATTTTTCAGTCTTAAGAAGAAAATCCTGCCATTGGTGACAATATTGATGAACCTAAGGGATCTTATGCTAAGTGAAATAAGCCAGTCACAAGAGGACAAATACTGCAGAATTCCACTTATATGAGGTATCTATAATAGTCAAACTCACAGAGGCAGAGAAGACCACAGTAGTTTCCAAAGGCTCTGTTGTGGGGTAATGGGAAGTTTTTCAAGGAATATGAACTTTGTTGTGCAAGATAAATACATTTTAGAGAGCGGCTGTTCAATATAGTGCCAATAGTTTATACTATAATATTGTGCATGTCAAAATTTGTTGAGGCTGGGTCTCAAATTCAGTCTTCTCACCACATACATACACACATAAGGGGTTTAAAATAAATTTCGGGGGGTCTTGGATATGTTTATGTGAATCATATCCAAGTGAGTGTGGTGACAGTATCGGGGGTGTTTGCAGATGTTTAAACTCATTAAAGTATACAAGTTAAATATGTGCAGTTCTCTGTATATAAATTACCCTTCAAATAGCTGTCAATAAAGTGCTCTTTAATATCACTGAAAGTGCATTAACTGAAAATTCAAACTTCAGAAAATATAATAATGGTATGCAGTCATTAGTTGGTATAATTTCCTACGGTGATAACATCTCTCTCCTTAAATTCAGTACATAAGAATTGATACCAACTGCAGTTAAACAGTGTCCACCTTATTTTGTTATATTTTACATATCAATGGGTTCAAAAACCCAGAATTAAAATTTAAAGAATCTTAGAATATTTTCTCACTTATTGACAGAATTAGATTCAATTTTTCTGATAGTTTATATTCAGCCATTGCTCCAACTATCCCAGAGATCGAGGGAGGTCTCAATAACTTATGAAGCATCATTATGTATTAGACATATGATGGTTAAAATGCCAGCTCTTAAATTTTTCCTTTATTTAAAATGGGTTCCAGGCACACACTGCTGTGACAGCCCTTCCTTTGTAAAGAATAGAATCTGCCAACCTTATTCTCAAATTTTAAACCTAGAGCTGTATCCAAAAGCTACCTATAAAGTCATTTATTATGGGTTTTGCTTGACTCATTCTGAATACCACAGGGTAGTTTTAGAGTTTAGGGTTTCCACCAAGATATTTTCATTAAGCATATACTAAAATAGAGTTTTCTTACTGAATTTTTTTCAGCAAGTTTATAAATCTCAAGTGCAGAGCTTTCTGTAAGTTATTAATCAAAAATTAACTTTGTGAATATATCTACAGTATAATATATATACATAAATATATTATATACTATAAATTCTGAATTCCTGAAATTAAATACTAGTTTTATTATTAAGTCAATTGTCTAATTTCCCCTGGTAGGGACATTTGTATATTTCTAAACCAAACATTCCATTTTGTTATGTGTATCAGTTAAGATGACCTATACTATACTGCAGTAATAAATAACTTTCACATCTAAAACCAATTCAGTCTCTATAATAAGTTTACAAGGAGACTTAGTCATTTAGGAAGACACCTGATAAAAACTCTGTCACAACTCATGCTAATACAGCTCATAAGGGACCATGGGAAGGCCTTGTAAAAATTCCTTCTATTCAAATGACATTGGTCAAAACAAGTAAAGTGGTTTCATTTACCTTCAAGCAGGATGAAATACTGCCATCTTATTATTTGTATAGTATGAGAAAAACTAAAGTATTTGTGAGCAGCCTAATAGTTACATGATTGATAACATTTGTATTCACAATAGTGCCAGCAATAGAACCCAGAAGTATATTATTTTTTCTTTCAAACTACCCATAAACGTACCCATTGATTAATCATTGTGGGTATATTTATTCAACCAAGGATATAGCACATAATACTTCCATCTGGTTTGATATTTTCTATGTGTGCATCAGAATTTCAAGAGATGTTGTCAAATGTTATAATAAAATTAATAAGCTCAAATCCCATGCATGACATTTAATCTATTCCAAAAGAATGCCATTATGAAACGTAGGAAATATAGTAATCCCTCTTATCCATAGAGGATACATTCCAAGACCCCCAGTGGTTGCCTGAAACTGTAGGTAGTTCAAATCCTATATATACTGTACTATGTATTTTTTTTCTATACATACATAGCTATGGTAAAGTTTAATTTATAAATTAGGCATAGTAAGAAACTAACAACAATAAAAATGATAAAATAGAACATTTATAATGTACTGTAATAAAAGTAGATGAATGTGGTCTCTTACTCTCTCTCAAAATATCTTGTTGTTATACACTCACCTATTTTTAGACCTCAGTTGAATGCTGGTTAACTGAAACCAGGGAAAACAGCCACGTACCCGGGGTGGGTGGGGTGGGGGGCAGGGGGAACTAAACATGCTTTCTTTATTCTGAAGTTCTCAAAATCCTAATAATTGAGTAACTTTATTCTTTCCCTGTGTAACTCCAGGCAATTTATTGAAACTCTATGCACCTAAGATTCAGGGATGCAATGAGAATGATAAAACTGCTCTATCAGCTGATTTATGTGAGAATTAAATCAGCCAATGCATGTAAATTCCTTAACTTGGTCCTACACAGAAAATTCTTTAATGTGTTAACCAATACTCTGTATGAAGTGAATGATATCATGTATATTATTTTGCAAACTCCTATTTTGCATATAGGTGCAGACATAGCTTCAGGTAAATACATGCAAACTAACTTATCTTTTAATATCTTAAAATTTTTCCATTACAAGGATACAAAAACTATTCTACCAATTACCTGTTGAAGAAACTCATGTTTAATTCCGGTTTATTTTGCCATCATAAACAATGCTGTGAAAGCATTCTTGTATATCGAGGATCACATATATGCCTTTACTTCTGTAGGATAGATTCTTTTTAAAAATATTTTAACTTTTATTTTAGGTTCAAGGGTGGACTTTTAATCTAGATGCTGAGACTAGCACATATGTATACTTTTGCACTATGAAAATATCAATAATTTTTTTCTCCAAGTGTAGTAACTTACAGTTGCACTAAAGTATATAAGATTTTCCAGGTTCATTGAAATTCCCTAAGAAATACTATATACTCTTATGATAAAAAATATATGTATAAAATTTATATTAGATTTCCGCATGTATGAATTTAATAAAGCAACTTTATAATTTTGCCAGAAGCCCAGCACAGTGCCTAGAATGTATAATTTCACAGTATATTTTAGTTAAAATATTATAATTATGCCAATTGAGGGATGTATAATATTAGTAATAAACACTGAAATTACAAACATACTACTTCTGATATTATCAGGCCTAACAAAAACAAACTTGGTTGAATGTTATAAAATCAGTTACACATAAAAACATTATTATTAGCTATTACCCACTACATATTTTTCAAAATTCTGTTGATTTAACTCATTTGCTAGATTAATATAATCATCTCATTCAAGACCATAAAATCAATTTCCCATTTGTTTTATTTTATCTATATCTATGACAAACACTTTAAACCAAAATTTGAAGTGAATGTATTATAAAATAATTAGTATAAAATAAAAGCTATTCAAAAGACATATACTTCTATTGTATGGATATGTAAAATGAGTAAGAATGAGTAAAATGAGTAAGAAAAACTTTTTGTGTTAGCCACTGGGATTTTTGGTTTGTGTATTACTTTAGCATATTATCTCATTTTGAATGCTATAGTTTAGGACACTAGTTTAAACTACTGAAGTTAAAATGTTCTCCTTATTTCAGAGGATAGAAGGATCTTACAGTGACAGACATCCATTAGTAAGAATTAATTTCTAGAGATAAAGTGAATTCAGTAACCAAAGTGTCAGTAGAGTCAGCATGGTCAAAATAGTCTACATGGGAAATGTTTGGTGGCTCTTAGTTGATCATGGAGTCTCTAGAACCAAAAGTTAGGAATGCCAGTTAAGTTTCGATTTGGCTTATATGATCTCAAATCTTCAGGTTTACAAAACATATCTTGAGCCACCACCCAGCTCTGTCACCCAGGCTGGAGTGCAGTGGCACCATCTCAGCTCACTGCAGCCTCCGCCTCCGAGGTTTAAGCGATTCTCATGCCTCAGCCTCCTGAGTAACTGGGACTACAGGTACTCACCACCATGCAGGGATTTTTTTTCTATTTTTTTGTAGAGACACGGTTTCACCATGTTGGCCAGGCTGCTCTCAAACTCCTGACCTCATGATCCGCCCACCTCGGCCTCCCAAAGTGCTGGGATTACAGGCGTGAGCAACTGCGTCCGGCCCATTTTTTCTTTTCACCCACCTCGGCCTCCCAAAGTGCTGGGATTACAGGCATGAGCCACTGCACTGAGGCTACAGCTCATTTCTTACCACATAAAGCTTTGCACCTCTCCACAAAACTGCCATCAGGGATGTCCCCAGAAACCATTCATCCCAGGTGCCACGCAGAGAAGAGTTTCTTGTTCTCCTTTTCCCTTTACCTCTTCCCTCTCACCTCATCATGTTCATTCATTCATCCCTTTTCCATTCTCACTTTTAAGCTTTAACCTTTCAAAAGCCTATCTTCCCCTATAAGTAATGTATTGTAACTCCCGCCATCACCATATCCTTCTCCAACCAACCAAACTGCCATCCTGAGTTTATGGAAAGTCCATAAACTAAGAAGAAATGGGAAACATTCATTGCTAACTTGGCAGCCCCTCATCCACCCTACGTGAGAGCCCAGATCTTATTGTCTTTGAAGACCCTTTCTTTTTTTTTTTTTGAGAAGCAGTCTCACTGTCGCCCAGGCTGGAGTGCAGTGGCACAATCTCGGCTCAATGCAAGCTCCAACTCCTGGGTTCACGCCATTCTCCTGCCTCAGCTTCCCGAGCAGCTGGGACTACAGGCACCCGCCACCACGCCCGGCTGATTTTTTTTGTATTTTCAGTAGAGACAGGGTTTCACTGTTAGCCAGGATGGTCTCGATCTCCTGACCTCATAATCTGCCTGCCTTGGCCTCCCAAAGTGCTGGGATTACAGGCATGAGCCACCGTGCCCAGCTCCTTTTTTTTTTTAAAGACAGGTCTCACTCTGTTGCCCAGGCTCAAGTGCAGTGGTGTAATCACAGCTTACTGCAGCCTCCAACTCCTGTGCTCATGCTATCCGCCTGCCTCAGCCTCCCAAGCAGCTAGGACTACAGGCACACACCACCACACCTAGCTAATCTGTTTAGTTTTTGTAGAGATGGGGTTCCTGCTATGCTGAACAGGCTGGTCTCGAACTCCTGGCCTCAAGCAATCCTCCCACCTTGGCCTTCCAAAGTGCTGGGATCACAGGCATGAGCCACCATGCCTGGTCTGAAGACTTTTAAATGCTGCCATATTCAAGACGCGTTGAAACTCACTTGTATTCGATGAGCCTGCTTTTCGCAAATGAGTAACATAAAACAGACTGAAATACCTTAAGCTTCTCAGCCTTTTACCCTCCTCTGGAATAATGAGTGTATCCCAAAAGTAAATCCAAAATGAGGTCCAGTTTTTCCTTCATCCTTGGCTATGAAATAGACAAGAAAAAGGCAAGCTAGCCATTTCCATCTCACTATAGCAGACTCTCATGTTTGCTTTTTGACCGTATGTGGGAAGCGGGGGCCTGACTGCTTTCCTACTTCCTAAGCACAACTTACTTTTCCTAGGAAATTCTCAACGCAACCTACATGGATTAAACCAGCTTCCCCCCTTTGTTTCCAATATTCTTACAGCCAAAATGTCCAGAATGGGCAAGGCAACCTGAAAAAATGAGGACGGGTACATTATCCCATGCGCTAAACTGCTGCTTACACTGGTTAGTCATGAAATCGGCAAAATTCCAGATGAGCTTTCCTACCACGTATTTTCTGCGTTTTTGATCCAGACCCAGATGGTACTGCTCTAGCAGACTTTTCTGGTACTCTTCACTGAACATCAGAGGTGGATCCTGGGATTCAAGGCAAAGAGAATTACGAGTAAGAACTGGCAGAATTGTAAATGTTAGATAAAAATAAAGATCCACTTGATGGTGACCAAAATATCTGTCCTCACTGGGGGATGTAGTGACTGCAGGACTCACTGATGCTAGGGTAAAGACAGCCAGGGAGAAATTGGAAATCATCATTCTCAGTAAACTATCGCAAGAATAAAAAACCAAATACCGCATATTCTCACTCATAGGTGGGAATTGAACAATGAGATCACATGGACACAGGAAGGGGAACATCACACTCTGGGGACTGTTGTGGGATGGGGGGAGGGGGGAGGGATAGCATTGGGACATATACCTAATGCTAGATGACGAGTTAGTGGGTGCAGCACACCAGCATGGCACATGTATACGTATGTAACTAACCTGCACAATGTGCACGTGTACCCTAAAACTTAAAGTATAATAATAAAAAAAAAATACAAAAAAAAAGACAGCCAGGGAATGATGTAACCCAGAATTAAAAAGGAAGTTTAAAAAAAAACATCAATTAGTAACTGCTTTATTTATAAATATAATCTGATACTCAATTTTTCTTACTTTTCCATCTCTATCTGCTGATACAGTCTTAAGGCTGAACTACACTAGAAGGAAAAATATGTCTTTAGGTCAGGCACGCTGGCTCCTGTCTGTCATCCAAGCACTTTGGGAGACCGAGGTGGGAGGACTGCTTGAGCCTAGGAGTTCAAGACTAGCCTACAAAAAGTACAAAAGTTAGCCAAGCATGGAGGCACACACCTGTGGTCCCAGCTACTTGGGAGGCTGAGGTGGGAGGACTGCTTCAGTCCCGGAGGTCAAAGCTGTGGTGAGCTGTGTTTGCACCACTACACTCCAGCCTGGGTGACAGAACAAGACCGTATCTCATGAATGAATGAATGAATGAATGAATGAGTGTAAAATGAAATTAAACTAAACCAGGCTGGGCATGGTAGCTCAGGTCTGTAATCCCAGCACTTTGGGAGGTCGAGGCAGGAGGATCACTTGAGCTCAGGAGTTCAAGATCAGCCTAGGCAACACAGTGAAACCCAGTCTCTATAAAAAGGCTAAATATTTGCTAGGTGTCGTGGTGCACGCCTGTGGCTCCAGGTACTTGGGGGGCCGAGGAGGAAGGATCACTTGAGCCCAGGAGGCTGAGCAGTGAGCTGTGATTATGCCACTGCACTCCAGCCTGGGCAACAGAGTGAGGCTGTCTCAAAAAAAATTTTTTTTTAATTAAACCAAATAAATTCAGTTAACCTAGTCATATATCAAGATCTCAATAGCCACATGTAGCTAGTGGCTACCATTTCAGACAGTGCAGACATGGGGCATTTCCATCATTGCAAAGGTTCTTTTTTGAAACAAGGTCTCACTCTGTCACCCAGGTGGGAGTACAGTGGTGCAATTATGGCGGACTGCAGCCTTGACCTACTGGGCTCAAACAATCCTCCTACCTCAGCCTCCCAAGTAGCTGGGACTAGAGGCAAGCACGACCATACCCAACTTTTTTTTTTTTTTTTTTTGAGACGGAGTCTTGCTCTGTCACCCAGGCTGGAGTGCAGTGGCACAATCTCGGCTCACTGCAACCTCCACCTCCCCAGTTCAAGCGATTCTCCTGCTTTAGCCTCCTGAGTAGCTGGGATTACAGGTGCATGCCACCACACCCAGCTAATTTCTGTGTTTTCTTAGTAGAGACGGGGGTTTCACCATGTTGGTCAGGCTGGACTTGAACTCTTGGCCTCGTGATCCACCCACCTCAGCCTCCCAAAGTGCTGGGATTACAGGCATCAGCCACTGCACCCAGCCACAACTCATCTTAAATATTTTGTAGAGATGGGGTCCATGTTGTGCAAACCGATCTCAAACTCCTGGGCTCAAGAGATCCTCTGACCTCGGTCTCCCAAAGGGCTAGCATTCCAGGTGTGAGCCACCACACCCAGCACTGCAGAGGTTCTATCAATGCTCACCTAGACCCTCTCGAGTTTCTTAAGAATTCAGAACTGGGGCTGGGCATGGTGGCTCATGCCTGTAATTCCAGCACTTTGGGAGGCCAAGGCAGGTGGATTGCTTGAGGTCAAAAGTTCAAGACCAGCCTGAACAACATGGTGAAACCTCATCTCTACTAAAAAAAAAAAAAAAAAAAAAAAAAAAAATTAGGTGAGCATGGTGGTGCATGCCTGTAATCCAAGCTACTTGGGAGGCTGATGCAGGAGAATTGCTTGAACCTGGGAGGCGGAGGTAGCAGTGAGTCAAGATTGCACCACTACACTCCAGCCTGGGCGACAAGTGAAACTCCTCAAAGGAGAAAGAATTCAGAGCTGGTTACGTTTTCAAAGAGAATGAACAAGGGTGCATATCCACAAACCATTTCCCCCTACTTGACTAGTTTGCAGAAGTGTCATTCTGTAAGCACGATAAATTTAAGGGTGCAAACAGAACAATGCAGTCCACTGTGGGTGGCTGTTCCCTGTGTGTCAGCGGGAGTCCCAGGAGCTGTGACAAAAGAGTGTGAGCTGGCTGGGGAGGGGACAAGGGGCTGGATGGGGTTCAGGAATCCACATGAAAAAAACCCCACAAGACAAAGCAACATATCTTTGGTGAGAAGGACAAAAAATGAGATGGATAAACAAATGAGGACAGGCCAGGCATGGTGGCTCAGGCCTGTAATCCCAGGATTTTGGGACGCCGAAGCAGGCAAATCACTTGACGTCAGGAGCTCGAGACCAGCCTGGCCAACATGGCAAAACCCCACCTCTACAAAAATACAAAAATTAGCTGGGCATGGTGGCGGGTGCCTGTAATCCCAGCTGCTTGGGAGGTTGAGGCAGGACAATCGCTTGAGCCTAGGATGTGGAGGTTGCAGTGAGCTGAGATCACACCATTGCACTTCAGCCTGGGTGACAGAGTGAGACTCCATCTCAAAAAAAAAAAAAAAAAAAAGACAAAGTGAGTGATTAAACATGGCTCTAAGATCTCACCCATGCCCTCAATAGGTATTATTTAGCATGTGCTGTGTCAGCTATTGCAGAGTACCTGGGAAACAACAATAAATAGGACTCCTGTCTCCTGAGCCCACAGTCCGATCAAAGAGAGAGCCAAAGAAATAACAACGGTGCCTGGCGAGAATGTTGGGAGAGCCAGGTTCCGGCTGCAACAGGGCAGAGCACGGGGAAGGTTCCCTCCGCCTGGGGCAGGCGGGGTAAACCTCCCCACAGAGGGGACAGCTATGAGGAGACTCAGACGCCAAATAGGAATCTTTTCGGCCACATGTCGTGACTCATGCCTGTATTCCCAGTACTTTGGGAGTCCAAGACAGGAGGTGAAGACCAGCCTCATAGCGAGACTGCATCTCTACAAAATATTTTAAAACTAGGCTGCACATGGTGGTGCACGCCTGTAGTCCCAGCTACTCAGGAGGCTGAGGCAGGGGAATCGCTTCAGCCCAGGAGTTCGAGGCTGCAGTGAGCTATGATGACACCACCACACTCCAGCCTGGGCAACAGAACAAGACCCTGTCAGGAAAAAAATAAAAAATAAAAAAAGGCTAGCACAGTGGATCACACCTGTTCATCCCAGCACTTTGGGAGGCCAAGGCAAAAAGATCAATTGAGTCCAGGAGTTTGAGACCAGCCTGGGCAACATAGCAAGACCCTATCTCTAAAAAAATAAAAAGAAAAGGATCTTTTAGTTGGTGATTATGGTGCCAACATGGGCATTCCAGGCAGAAAGAATAGCTCAAGCAAGAGCAGGAGAGCAAATGAGGGCAGTGGAAACAGATCAGTGGCCAGGAGTGAGAAGAGAAGAGGATGAAAACCCAGGAGAGAGCAGAGGACACTGAGTGTCCTGACTAGGGGTTAGGACTTTGTCCTATGGGCCTGGGGGAGCCAATGATAGGACTCAAAAATTTTGATTTGCGGCCGGGCACAGTGGCTCACACCTGTAATCCCAGCGCTTTGTGAGCCTGAGGCAGGAGGATCACTTGATCCCAGGAATTCAAGACCAGCCCGGGGAACACAACAAGGCCCCATCTCTACAAAAGTAAAAAAAATTAGCCAGGCATGTTGGCCTGTGCCTATGGTCCCAGCTACTCAGGAGGCTGAGGTGGGAAGATCGCTTGGGCCCAGGAGGTTAAGGCTGCAGTGAGCAGTGATCGCACCACCGCACTCCAGCTTGGGTGACAGAGAGAGAGGTGGTCTCAAAAACACACAAAAATTTGGATTTGTTAGAAAGACCACTTGGGCACGGGTGACAGGAGGCTGTCTGGAAACAAGGCCAGTAAGGAGTCCACCTTTGAGGACCAAGCGAGTGGGGCAGAGGCCTGGCTGCTGGTGAGAAGGGAACGTGGACAGGGAAGTGGGTGGTGAGCCCAAAGCTGAAGCGAGGGGAGCACTGCAGTGGGCGCACGGCAGGGTGGGGGAGGCAAGTGGCATCTCTGCCCAGAGAGAATACACAAGCAGAAAGTTCAACACCGCTTACCTGGTGAAACCCTACAAGCGTTTCCACTCCATACGCGCTCTGAATAATGGGATTGTGATGTCTTACACCAATTCTCAAACTGGGTGGCCAGCTGCAGCTGAATCAACTCCAGGTGCCCGTAGTTGCGATACCAAGAGTAGTAGCTGTTCACACGGATCACATCCACATACAGAGCCTAGGACCAGAGCAGCAGAGCCCATTCAGCAACCACAAGACCACATGACTCAGTACTCACATGCTGTGGGGGCTCCTCTGACAGAGAAGGTAAGAAGGGGATGTAATCCCAGCACTCTGGGAGGCTGAGGCAGGAGGGTGGCTTGTGGCCAGGAGTTCGAGACCAGCCTGGGCAACACAGCAAGACCCCAGCTCTACAAAAAATAGTATCAAGAAAATTAGCATGGCACAGTGGCTCATGCCTGTAATCCCAGCACATTGGGAGGCCAAGGTGGGAGGATCACTTGAGCCCAGGAGTTTGAGACCAGCCTAGGCAACATCATAGGACTCCATTTCTACAAAACAAAACAAAAAGCCTAGAACGGGAAGAGCTGCCTCTCGGGGCTGAGAACACCAACTGCACCAATTTAGATCCTGAAATTACCCTGCCCCACAAGCAAAAAACATGGTCACAAAGTGGCCCAAAGGAGGCAGGCCTGTGATTGCACACTGACGCTCACGACCTGTGCAGCTGGGAAGGGCTGTGAGAGGCAGAGCAGCTGCCAACACGCAGTCCTCAGCCAAAACCCAGGGCCCCCGCCACTGGAACTGACTCCTCTCCAGGCAGCACTCCCAGCACTGGGCATCCCCTCACCTTGCCCTGGAGAAGCGCTCCCACCCAAGGGGCCAATGCAGTCATTCTCGCAGATAATCTTTTTTCGCTTTGTTTGGAAGACAGAGTCTCGCTCTGTTGCCCAGGCTAGAATGGAGTGGCACAATAGTGCAACCTCTGCCTCCCACGATCAAGCGCAGGTGTGGTGGCATGTGCCTGTTATCCCAGCTACTTGGGAGGCTGAGGCAGGAGAATTGCTTGAACCTGGGAGGCGGAGGTTGCAGTGAGCTGAGACTGTGCCACTGCACTCCAGCCTGGGCAACAGAGCAAGACTCTATCTTTAAAAAAAAAAAAGAATGCTAGTATCAGCCAGGCACGGTGGCTCATGCCTGTATTCCCAGCACTTTAGGAGGCTAAGGCAGGAGGATCACTTGAGCTCAAGAGTTTGAGACTGGCCTGGGCAACATAGTGAGATCCCATCTCTACAAAAACATTTAAAATTAGCCGGGCACAGTGGTGTACACCCGGAGTCCCAGCTACTTGGAAGGCTGAGGCAAGAGGGTTGCTTAGGCCCAGGAATTCAAGGCTGCAGTGAGCTGTGATCACACCACTGCAATCCAGCCAGAGCAACAGAGTAAGACCTTGCCTTCACAAAAAAAAAAAACAAACAAACAGAAAAAACACCTCAGGTTCCAACCCTGGAGTTACTAAATCAGGATCTCAGAATGCAGAGATCTGGCATTTCAAAAAAACTTCCCCTGGAGATTCTGATCAGCCAGGTTTGGGCCAGATGAACTCTAAGCTCACTTAAACCTTTGACATTTTATGAGTCTATTAAATCGAGTACAAAAAATGCTGAGTCCAAACTGAGCAAACAAATCCCATCTCCCTACACCCAGCCTCCTTGGATTCAGAAAGCCACACTGCCTGGAGAGTAAGCAGAGAGAGAATTGTCATTAACCCAAAGACCATCTTTGAAAACAGACTGGCTGCAGCTGAGTGCGGTGGCACACGCCTGTAACCCCAGCCCTTTGGAAGGCCGAGGCAGGAGGATCACTTGAGCCCAGGAGTTCGAGACCAGCCTGGGCAACATGGCAAGACCCTGTCTCTATCTTTCTAAGTAAAACAAAATAAAAAGCTCAGACTGGCAGCACATGGTTCTTTCCAGCTGTTCCCATGAGCAGGCTTCAGGACAAGCCCAGGCAAAGGCAGGGAGAAATGGGGTGGGGACCCCCAGGCTCACCCCCTTGTCTGCTGCATAGGTGACGTTGGTCACAAAGGTCACAGGCTGGGAGGGGTCCAAGGCTTTGGTGTGAGCAATCACCATCCTGTCCACAAAAGAGAGAAGACACAGGTTCCGTCAGTCCGGGAAAGGCTCAGACACCCTCCCATCCTCTCTGTCCCATCTTCCCCTGCCAGAACACAACTGGGGGCCAGGCATGATGGCTCACATGTGTAATCCCAGCACTTCAGGAGGCTGAGGCAGGCAGATCACTGAGGTCAGGAGTTCAAGAACAGCCTGGCCAACATGGCAAAACCCCATTTCTACTAAATATACAAAAATTAGCCAGGCATAGTGGCACGCATCTGTAACTCCAGCTACTTGGGAGGCTGAGGCACAAGAATTGCTTGAACCCGGGAGGTGGAGGTTGCAGTGAGCCGAAATCACGCTACTGCACTCCAGCCTGGGCCACAGAGCAAGACCCTGCCCCAAAACAAACAAACAAACAAACAAAAAAAAAAAAAAAAAAAGAAAGAAAAGAAAAGAAAAAAAAAAACAAAGCACAGAGCCGCTGCTTTCTTCCCTAACTTGAGATGTGTTTTACATAAGGGCACGTTCCTCTAGTCCTAGACCAAGCTCTCTAACAACACTCTTTCTCCCCCACCCCTGAATCCAATTCCCCTAGAGGCGTAGCCACCCTGCCAGGTACACAGTGCTGAGGTCACTGGACTGAACACTGCCAAAAATGAGGTTTGCTTCCTGAAATAGCTCTTGAACACAGGAGTGAATGGGCTGTGGATTCAGGTGGAATATTTATTAATGCATCAAGCAAACAGGTAGTGCGAGGTGGGAGGTAGGCACGGGGCTGGGTGCTAGGTGCTCAGTAATGACTCAAATCTAAGTCCACAGGTCCTGGGCAGTGGGAGTGGAGATGCATGCACAGAAAAACGGTGCAAGTGCCAGGCAAGGTGGCTCACGCCTAGAACCCCAGCACTTTGGGAGGCTTACTTGAGACCAGGTGCTTGAGACCAGCCTGGGCAACATAGCAAGACCTTGTTTCTACAACAAATTTAAAAATTAGGGCCGGGCATGGTGGCTCAAGCCTGTGAGCACTTTGGGAGGCCAAGGCAGGTGGATCACGAGGTCAAGAGTTCGAGACCAGCCTGGCCAACATGGTGAAACCCCATCTCAACAAAAAATAAAGAAGAAAACTAGCTGGGCATGGTGGCGTGAGCCTGTAATCCCAACTACTTGGGAGGGTGAGGCAGGAGAACTGTTTGAACCCAGGAGGTAGAGGATGCAGTGAGCCAAGATCACAACACTGCTCTCCAGCCTGGGAGACAGAGCAAGACTCTGACTCGTGGGGAAAAAAAATATTAAAATTTAGCCTGGCAAGGCAGCGCATGTCTATGGTCGCAGCTATTTGGGAGGCTGAGTGGGGAGGATCGCTTAAGCCCAGGAGGTCGAGATGGCAACGAGCTATGATTGCACCACTGCACTCCAGCCTGGGCAACAGAGTGAGACCCTGACTCTGAAAAACAAACAATGAAAGAAATGTTGCGAATGGAAATGACAAGTGGTGGCAGGAATTGGGCACTCTATGAGACAACAGACACATCCCGGATTGGAGAGTCAGGGACAGGCTCTTAGAAGAAATGGCCTTTATGCTGAGTCAAGTTAACCAGGAGGGATGAAGGGAAGAGGCTCCCAACAGAGGGACCAGTCCGTGCTCAGAGCTCCCAGCATCTGCCCAAGGCCTCCACAGAACAGACTGTTGTGTTTTTTTGTTTTGTTTTGTTTTGTTTTGAGATACAGAGTCTCATTCTGTAGCCCAGGCTGGAATGCAGTGGCATTATCTCAGCTCACTGCAATCTCTGCCTCCTGGTTCACCTGAGGCGATTCTTCTGCCTCAGCCTACCTAGTAGCTGGGATTACAGACGTCCACCACCATGCCCAGCTAATTTTTGTATTTTTAGTAGAGACAGGATTCACTACCTGTTGACTAGGCTGGTCTCGAACTCCTGACCTCAGGTGATCCACCCACCTCAGCCTCCCAAACTGCTGGGATTACAGGCGTGACCCACCGCATCCGGCCTAGACTGTTGTTGAAGCTGGTTTTCTTCTTCTTTCCTCAGTTCTTTTCTTTTACATCTTCCCCCCATCATTGCTCTGCCCATCCGAAGGCTGTGGCTGGCACAGGACAGAACAGAACCTCCTAGCCTCAAGTTCCAAACCCACATTCTCCAATAGCCAGGCTCTCAGATGTGAAGCTTCAAAGCCTTGTGACAGCCTGGCTGAACCTCTCCAGCCTGGGCGCTACCTCCATTTCCTGCCCCGGAAACAGGCATCTCCTCTGGCCACCTCCCAAAGCCTGTCTGGAAGCCTCAGGCACCCGCTCCTGGAAGCCTGTACGATTCACAACAAAGGGCCTGTCCACCCAGTCATGCTGAGCACACCCCTATTCCCCCGAGCTCTGAATTGTCCTTTGCCCTGGCTAGGACAACATCTCAGAGCCTTCTGCCTGCTGCAGACTCGGCTCAGCCCAAATCACTCCATGAAATTGGGGTGTGGCATCTGCCTCAAGGAGCATTTCTACAACCTCTGCTGCCTCTACCGCAAATGAAACTGGCTCTCACCCACTGGCTCTCGGTGACGGGCACAGTGCGGAGCCCCACAGGGAGTGTGTAGAAGTCAAAGGCCCCAGTGACTTCTGTGCAGTCAGCCGCACCTATGACAGCCAAAGCGCCAGGTGTGAGCGCCCCGACAGCCTGAGCCCCATCTGGCCTGCCCTACAGCAGGAAGACCCCTCGTGCATGCACCCCAGCAGTCGCCTCTGGGCCTGCAGAGAAGCAGCAATCAGAGGCTCTGCCCTTCACTGGCTGACCCTGGGACCTGCCCTTCAAAATCAGGCCTTCTCCTTGACCAGACGAGGTGGCTCATGCCTGGAATCCCTACCCTTTGGGAGGCTAAGGCAGGAGGATCACCTGAGTTCAGGAGTTCAAGACCAGCCTGGGCAACAGAGTAAGACCCCAACTCTATAAAAAGGATTTTTTTTTGAGACAGTCTCACTCTGTCACCCAGGATAGAGTGCAGTGGCATGATCTCAATTCACCGCAGCCCCTGCCTCCTGGGTTCAAGCAATTCCCCTGCCTCAGCCTCCCGAGTAGCTGGGATTACAGACGTGCACCATCATGCCCTGCAAATTTTCATATTTTAGTAGAGACGGGGTTTCACCATGTTGGCCAGGCTGGTCTCCAACTCCTGGCCTAAAGTGATCCGCCTGCGTCAGCCTCCCGAAGTGCTGGGATTACAGGCGTGAGCCACCATGCCCGGCCTACAAAAAAAAATTGTTTAATTAGCCAGGCATGGTGGCATGTGCCTGTAGTCCCAGCTACTCAGGAGGCCAAGGTAGGAGGATTGCAGCTCAAAGCTGCAGTGAGCTGTGATCAGGCCATTGCATTCTAGCCTGGGTGACAGAGTGAGATCATCACAATAAATAAATAAATAAATAAATAAATAAATAAATAAATAAATATAAATAAATAAATAAAAAATCTGGGCCTCCCACCAAGGGTGGGAAACATCAGAAAGCTCAGAGGACCACACCTGCCCGTTCACCTGTCCTGGGCTCCTGCTGAAGCCAGGGCTACCAGATGGGGGCAAAAGACCTCCCTTAAGCAAGTCCCAAACCACCATTACCTCCCACGAGTACAGGTAGGCGGGGTGTTCGTGCATCAGGTACGGCCACCAGAGGTTGGCACCCAGCACCTTCAGCTGGCCCTGGGTCCCAGCCTGGTTGTCCACGACTTTGTTTTCTGCATTCAAAAGACACACTTCCAACTTGAACTGGTTACTGCACTTGATGGAGATCTGGTAATTCACCAGCCCTGCAGGAGGCAAGAGAGACCAGGGCTTAGGGAGGGACATGACCTGGGTCACACAAACGGGAATGCCCCACAATGACCACTCCCAGGCACTCTCATTTGCTTCTGTTGCTTTTTTTTTTTTTTTTTTTTTTTTTTGAGATAGAATCTCGCTCTGTCGCCCAGGCTGGAGTGCAGTGGCATGATCTGGACTCACTGAAACCTCTGCCTCCCAGGTTCAAGTGATTCTCCTGCCTCAGCCTCTGGAATAGCTGGGATTACAGGCACCTGCCACCACATCCAGTTAATTTTTGTATTGTTAGTAGAGACGGGGTTTCACCACATTAGCCAGGATGGTCTTGATCTCCTGACCTCGTGATCCGCCTGCCTCAGCCTCCCAAAGTGCTGGGATTACAGGCTTGAGCCACCGTGCCCGGCCCTGAACCAATGCGCCCGGCCCGCTTTTTTTTAATTTAATTTTTTATGTTATTATTATTATTTTTTTGAGATGGAGTTTCACTCTGTCACCCAGGCTGGAGTGTAGTGCTGCGATCCCGACTCACTGCAACCTCCACCTCTGGAGTTCAGGTGATTCTCCTGCCTCAGCCTTCCGAGTACCTGGGAATACAGGAATGCACCACCATGCCCGGCGAATTTTTGTATTTTTAGTAGAGATGGAGTTTTGCCATGTTGGCCAGGCTGGTCTCGAACTCCTGAACTCAGGTGATCCACCCGCCTCAGTCTCCCAATAGATTAGATATATTATTAATGAATTGCTTCCTTTAACACCCTATTCATTGAATTTTCCAGTAAACCACAATTACTAATTACTCCTGAAATCAGAAAAGAGGTTAAAAAGATTTTATAACAGTATCCTATGAAATCTACTACTTTCAAGTAATAGTAGTTGAATTACCAAAACCTGTCACTCAAGCCAATGACTACAATTAAGATATCAGTAACATTTCCTAGATAAATAAAGTCAATTAATTATATTTGCATCTGGGAAATAGAGAAAGTACATATAAGCCATGATTTTGAAGTCAAAAGAGAGAGAATATTTGGCAAGGAGGGGTGAGTTATAGTATGTAATTATAACATATAGTAGTTTTTTGTATGCTGGTAACTAATTTTAATTTCCTACATTTTTATGTACATTTCTGCTATTCTTGTCCTATTTTCCTAATCATCTTTCTATATGGATGACTACATAAGTCTGAGAATACCAAAAGAGACAGACACAGAACCAATCGGATTCCTTTCTTCTTGAAGCTTCTGCACAGCAAAAGAAACTATCAACAGAGTGAACAGACAACCTACAGAATGGGAGAAAATTTTTGCAACAATGCACGTGACAAAGATCTAATGTCCAACACTGATAAGGAACTTAAACAAATTTACAAGGAAAAAAAAATCTCATTAGAAAGTGGGCAAAGGACATAAACAGACACTTCAAAAGAAGACACACATGTGGCCAACAAGCATATGAAAAAAAGCTCAATATCACTGATCATTAGAGAAATGCAAATCAAAACCACAATGGCATACCATCTCACACCAGTCAGAATGGTTATTATTAAAAAGTCAACGCCGGGCATGGTGGCTCATGCCTGTAATCCCAGCACTTTAGGAGGCCAAGGCAGGCAGATCGCATGAGGTCAGGAGTTCCAGACCAGACTGGACAACCTGGTGAAACCCCGTGTCTACTAAAAATACAAAAATTAGCCCAGCGTGGTGGCGGGTGCCTGTAATCCCAGCTACTCAGGATGCTGAGGCAGGAGAATCACTTGAACCCGGGAGGCAGAGGTTGTAGTGAGCCGAGATCATGCCATTGCACTCTCCAGCTTAGGTGACAGAGCGAGACTCTGTCTCAAAAAAAAAAAATATTTGAATTTTGTTTAAATCGCTAACACATACTGGGCATTTAATAACAAAAAAAAAGGACATGAGATTGTGATCCTTATGAGGGTTTGAGAGGCATTTCACTAGGGTTCAACAGAGAGCAGTCTGAAACATACTGTAATAATTTAATCCAATGGCTCATCTACAGCACCTAAAAAGATTACAGCAGATTCTCATTATTCAGTGTAGTTACGGTCTAGAAAGTTCCATGAACAAATAAAAAGTTAGGTTTCAGCAAGCTACTGGTCACATTTTTGTAAGCTTACCAACACCTACTTTTGTTGTATGTGTGCTTATTTAATATATATTGTTGGCCAGGCACAGTGGCTAATGCCTGTAATCCCAGCACTTTGGGAAGCCAAGGCGGGCAGATCATTTGAGGTCTGGGGTTCGAGACCAGCCTGGCCAATGTGATGAAACCCCGTCTCTACTAAAACTACAAAAAAAAAAAAAAAAAAATTAGCCAGGCATGGTGGCGCATGCCTGTAGTCTTAGCTACTTGGGAGGCTAAGGCAGGGGAATCGCTTGAACCCAGGAGGCAGAGGTTGCAGTGAGCCAAGACTGCACCACTGCACTCCAGCCTGAGCAACAGAGTGAGACTCTATCTCAAAAAAAATAATAATAATTAATTAAATGAATGAATAAATAAATAATATACAATGTTTATTCATTAACATTAAACTCACAGCCAATGGCACTACAGCACTCACGCCTGGAGCTTATTTAATGCTTGTATTTTCTCTGTAAGGCACATCACAGACTTCTTGGACTTGTGAATGCTAAGCAGCACTTCAGCACTATGCTTGGGGGTTAATTTACATGGCAAAACAACCAACAAACAGCACAAAAATAGGAAAAGCATGGCATTAAGTAGACCACAAAAAGGATACCTGACTATTGTATGAGAGCTGAAAAAGGAGGCAGAATATCATCCTGTTCAAACTCAAATTCTTTGACACTCTACGCAAACACATGACTATGAAAGTGCTGTGAGTACTGATTTGGGGGTTACAAAAAATAGTAGGTGAGTTCACAAATACAAAAGCTGAAAACAAGGAGGATCGACTGTATTTTTGTAGACAATCTAATCTCATAGAAGATTTCAATTCAGACAAAAATCATGAGAATTACTGTATTACAAAAGGGCACTACATGGGGGAAAAGAGTAAAAATCAGAATTAAAACAAAGGTTCAAAATTCTGCATCAACCATATCCAGTTACACTTTAATATGTTTGTGGCAGACTACATTATTGTTCCCAACTCATCACCCCTCCCTATATCTACAACCTTTCCCCAAGACAATGCAGTTCCTCCTGCTAGAGATCAGGTATATTTATCTATACTATCAACGTTAGCCATGGACAAGGTATGTGCTTTGGCTGACTGAATGTTAGTGGACATGATAGAAGCAATGGCTTAAAATGTACTTCCAGAACTGGAGTTTCCTTGTGATTCCATCACTGTGACAAAAACACATTCTCAGGTAGTCCACTGATCCAAGGGGGAACAAACACACAGAAAACATACCTACACTCTATCTGCAGCTTGCAGCCTCACCAAGCCAAGAACAGTCAACTCACAGATATGTTAGCAAAAATAAATGTTTTTCGTACCTTAAGTTTTATATAATTATTGACCTATAGTTAACTGACATACAATATACATTAATCTTAAAATATCATTATCCCATTAAAAATATTTACATTAAAAACTGAGACCACTTTCTTTCCTCCTTTTTTTTTTTTTAAATTAAGAGACAGGGTGTCTCAATGTTGCCCAAGCTGGAGTTCAGTGGCTAGTGGCTATTCACAAGAACGATCATCCGATCATCGCACACTACCTCAAACTCCTGGGATCAAGCAATCCTCCTGCCTCACCTTTCCAAGTAGCTGGGACTATAAGTGTGTACCACAGCATGTCAGCTCTCTCTCTCCTTCTTGACCTAAAGCCTAGCATAAAATTAGCTAAGTAGAATGTTTCCAAAGATGCCTGCATCAGTATCTCCCATCCCACATAATTTCTGTTTGATTTTGCCATTCACCCATAAAATGGTGGGATCTACCTCCCCTCCTTGCAAATTTGAGCTGGCCCTCTGATCCTGTCTAAGATCTGAAGCCAGATATTAAGCTACTTCATTAATTTCCATGTTTGTCCTCTATGCAACCTAGCAATCAAGCAAGAAGTCAAAACCTACTGATATAGTTTGGATGTGTCCCCACCCAAATCTCACCTTGCATTGTAATAATTCCCACGTGTCAAGGGTGGGGCCAGGTGCAGATAACTGAATCATGGGGATGGTTCCCCCCATACTGTTCTCGTGGTAGTGAATAAGTCTCATGAGATCGGATGGTTTTATAAATGGGAGTTCCCCTGCACATGCTCTCTCCTGCCTGCCACTATGTGAGACATGCTTTTGCACCTCCTTGCCTTCCACCATGATTGTGAGGCCTCCCCAGCCATGCAGAACTGTGAGTCAATTCAACCTCTTTCCTTTATAAATTACCCAGTCTCAGGTATGTCTTTATTTGCAGTGTGAGAACAGATTAATACAATAAGTTGATACCAGTAGAGTGGGGTGCTGCTGTAAAGATACCCGAAAATGTGGAAGCAACTTTGGAAATGGGTAACAGGGAGAGGCTGGAACAGTTTGGAAGGCTCAGAAGAGGATAGGAAAATGTGGGAAAGTTTGGAACTTCCTAGAGACTTGTTGAATGGCTTTGACCAAAATGTTAACAGTGATATGAACAATAAGGTCCAGGCGGAGGTGGTCTCAGAGGGAGATGAGGAATTTGTTGGGAAATGGAGTAAAGTCACTCTTACTATGCAAAGACACTGCAGGCATTGTCCACCTGTATTAGAAACGGGCATAAGATAGGCGGGAAAGAGTGAAAATAAGAATTTTTTTCTAGAGTTCCCTAGAGATCTGTGGAACTTTGAACTTGAGAGAGATGATTTAAGGTATCTGACAGAAGACATTTCTAAGCAGCAAAGCATTCGAGAAGAAGCAGAGCATAAAAGTTCAGAAAATTTGTAGCCTGATGATGCAACAGAAAAGAAAAATCTATTTTCTGAGGAGACTGGGTTGTAGAAATTTGCATAAGTAATGAGGAGCCAAATGTTAATCACCAAGACAATGGGGCAAACGTCTCCAGGGCATGTTAGAGACCCTCACAGCAGACCCTCCCATCACAGGCCAGGAGGCTTAGAAAGAAAAATGGTTTTGTGGGTCCAGAAACCCCTGCTGTGTGCAGCCTAGGAACTTGGTGCCCTGCATCCCAGCTGCTCCTGCCATAGGTAAAAGGGGCCAAGGTACACCTCAGGCCATGGCTTCAGAGGATGCAAGTTCCAAGCCTTTCAGGTTCTAGGTGGTGTTAAGCCTGCAGATGCACCGAAGTCAAGAATTAACGTTCACGAACCTCCGCCTAGATTTCAGAAGATGTATGAAAATGCCTGGAAATCCAGGCAAAAGTTTGCTGCGGGGGGGAAGGGGGGCCCTCATGGATAACCTCTGGTAGGGCAGTGTCAAAGGGAAATATGGGGTTGGAGCCCCCACACAGAGTCCCCACTGGGGTACTGCCAAGCAGAGCTGTGAGAAAAGGGCCACCATCCTCCAGACCCCAGAATGGTAGATCCACTGACAGCTTGCACTGTGTGCCTGGAAAAGCTGCAGACACTCAATGCAGCCAGAAGGGGGGCTGTACCCTGCAAAGTCACAGGGGCGGGGCTGCCCAAGACCCTGGGAACCCACTTCTTGCATCACCTAGATGTGACACATGGAGTCAAAGGAGGTCATTTTGGAGCTTTAAGATTTGCCTGCTGGGTTTTGGACTTGCATGGGGCCTGTAGCTCTTTCGCTTTGGCCAATTTCTCCCATTTGAAACGAGTGTATTTACCCAATGCTTGTATCCCTGTGTATCTAGAAAATAACTCACTTGCTTTTGATTTTACAGGCTCATAGGTGGAAGGGACTTGCCTTGTCTCAGATGAGACTTTGGACTATGGAATTTTGAGTTAATGCTGAAATAAGAGTTTGGGGGACTTTGGGGAAGGCATGATTGCTTTTGAAATGTGAGGACATGAGATTTGGGAGGGGCCAGGGAAGAATTATATGGTTTGGCTCTGTCCCCACCCAAATCTCATCTTGAATTGTAACAATTCCCATGTGTCAAGGGTGGGGCCAGGTGGAGATAATTGAATCATGGAGGCAGTTTCCCCCATGCTGTTCTCATGGTAGTGAATAAGTCTCATGAGATCTGATGGTTTTATAAATGGGAGTTCCCCTGCACGTGCTCTCTCCTGCCCACCATGTCTGACTAAATTTTGTATTTTTACTAGAGACGGGGTTTCACTATGTTGGCCAGGCTGGCCTCCAACTCCTGATCTCGTGATCCGTCCACCCCGACCTCCCAAAGTGCTAGGATTATAGGCATAAGCCACCACACCCGGCCTCTTTTTTTTCTTTTTCTTTTTTTATCTGGAGACTGAGTTATGCACTCGTTGCCCAGGCTGGAGTGCAATGGTGCGATCTCAGCTCACTGCAGTCTCCACCTCAGCAGGAGAGCAGGAATCTTCAGTGATCCACGGGCAGATCTGCAGCCATTGTGGGCACCTGTTCCTCCCGCGACCTTTGTGCCCGTGTCTCTCTCTCCTGTACCTATTGCACGACCCCCCACGTCCGCCTCCTGTCATTGCCAGCAAGTGCCTTGCATGGGTACCTGGCTGCACTTATTAATCCATTACGGTCGCTCTGTCACTGGTGCCATTATGTGCTCACGCGCCCACTCCCTCAGGTTTAGAAGGCGTGTTGCCCGGCAACAGAAGAATCTGCTGGCTTAGCCTTTGGCCGAGTTGGCAGCTGGACGAGGACGCTCAGAGCCCAGCTCTCGAGAGTTCAAGCATCCGACGGTTCCCCACTGCTCCCAGGAGCGGTTACCCGGGCACTCTGTGCCCCTCATTCCTGTTTGGGCCAAGGCCGAGGACCTCCGAGTAGGGCTCAGTTGCCTGGAGCCCCTTCAGCCCATCCCCGAGTTCACTTTGCTTGTGGGATCTCCCCGTTGCTCCTGCCCCTGGACTGAGTGGCAGGCCATCCTACAAGCACCCGGACACTCGACATCAGTGGTGTCAAGACAACTCTAAGAAGGTTTTCCGTGATCCTGCAAAACCTGTGTTCCATCCTGGTGATTCTGCCTTCAATTTCACTGTACAGGTACCACAGTAAGCCAGTGCTGTCTGCTCCGAGTTCCAGGGCATCCCCCAGCTCAGCCACTACACTGAGCACAAGGACTCTGTGGGGCCCAGGAGCAGGTAGTCACCCCTTTGGGGTCCACAACACCCGGCTGTCCCCAGACTTGTGTCCAGGGAAGATAGTGTTAAGGGCCCTCAAGGAGAGCGGGGCAGGGATGCCTGAGCAGGACAAGGACCTTAGAGTCCAAGAGAATCCTGATGATCAGAGAAGAGTCCCCGAGGTCACTGGGGATGCACGGTCTGCATTTTGGCCCCTGCAGGACAATGGAGTCCTCTTTCCCTTTGTGCCCAGTCCCGGGCATCTGCAGACATACCTCCATGCCCAGAGGTCAGAAATCAGATATAACCAGACATCCCAGACCACCTGGACGAGCTCATGCACCAACCAAAATGCCATCTCCAGCTCCTACAGCTCTGCGGGAGGCTTGCTGGGGCTAAAGTGGAGGAGGGGGCCAGCGGAGCAAAAGAGCAGGGCAGGGATGCCTGAGCAGGACAAGGACCCCAGAGTCCAAGAAAATCCTGATGATCAGAGAACGGTCCCCGAGGTCACCGGGGATGCACGGTCTACAGTTCGGCCCCTGCGGGACAGTGGAGGCCTCTCTCCCTTTGTGCCCAGGCCCGGGCCTCTGCAGACAGACCTCCATGCCCAGAGCTCAGAAATCAGATATAACCAGACATCCCAGACCTCCTGGACGAGCTCGAGCACCAAACGAAATGCCATCTCCAGCTCCTACAGCTCCACGGGAGGCTTGCTGGGGCTAAAGCAGAGGAGGGGGCCAGCCTCATCCCGCTGCCAGCTGACCCTCAGTTACTCAAAGACAGTGAGTGAGGACAGGCCTCAGGCTGTCTCTTCGGGTCACACACGGTGTGAAAAGGCGGCAGATACAGCACCAGGGCAGACACTCGCCCCAAGGGGTGGCTCCCCCAGATCCCAGGGCTCTAGGCCCCGTAGACGCAAGATTGCCCTGCTGCCACACAGGTGAGGGGAGCCTTTGATGCTGCCACCTCCCTTAGAGCTGGGGTACCGGGTCACGGCTGAAGACCTGCACCTGGAAAAAGAGGGGGCATTCCAGCGGATCAACAGTGCGCTGCAGGTTGAGGACAAGGCCATCTTGGACTGCAGACCCTCATGGCCTTCCCACACTCTGTCCTCACTTGCAACAGGGGCTTCTGGTGAGCCTCCCGTTTCTAAAGCACCCACTATGGATGCACAGCAGGACAGACCCAAGTCCCAAGACTGCCTGGGCCTAGTGGCCCCCCTTGCATCTGCTGCAGAGATCCCCTCTACAGCTCCCGTGTCTGGGAAGAAGCACAGACCACCAGGACCCCTGTTCTCCTCCTCAGATCCCCTTCCTGCCACCTCTTCCCACTCCCGGGACTCAGCCCAGGTCACCTCGCTGATTCCTGCGGCCTTCACAGCTGCAAGCATGGATGTCGGCATGAGAAGAACAAGGCCTGGCACGTCGGCTCCTGCAGCTGCCGCGGCAGCCCCTCCCCCCTCCACATTGAACCCCACGTCGGGGTCACTACTCAATGCAGTGGATGGAGGCCCTTCACATTTCTGGGCCTCAGCCACAGCTGCAGCAGGTGCCCAGAGGTCAGAAGTGAGATATAACCAGAGATCCCAGACCTCCCGGACCAGATCGTGCCGCAAACAAAATGCCAGCTCGAGCTCCCACAGCTCTACGGAAGGCCTCCCGGAACGAAAGGATGCCGGCATGAGAAGAATGTTTTGTGTTCGAAATTGTTTGAGGGGTTTGGGTTTATTTTTGTTGGTTTTTTTTTTTTTGCTTACATGGGCATCCTTCAGCTTTTAATAATCTGAAAAATTCTATTTACCCATTGTCAATGTGTATAAATTAACCTGAGTCAATTTTATACAATAAAAGGTGAACTTTTATGCATGAAACAATAATTTAACAAAAAATGTACTGGGAGAAGAATGTTCATTACAAATATAGGAAACATAAATATTACCAAATATTGGCAAGCACTAAAATGTTCAGAAATATAAGTCTATTACAGTTATAGCTCTCTCAAGCAAAAAAATAGCAGAGAAAAACTTAGTTTACCTTAGGGGCTATTTATTTACTTAGAGATTTGTTAAAAGGTCAAATGGGGTCACACAGAATACTAAGAAGAGCTGTTCACCCAGGCCTCACTAAGAACTCTTCTTCATTCAGTAGCTATATGGTAATATGACAACTGCTCCTACGACCCAAAGAGGAACTACAGCAACTACTCTTTAGCATCTGTTGCTCCCAACTCTGCTTTGCAATTATATGACTCAAGCATTCTGGCTCCGTTAACTATTACTGCTGTTACTCCCAATTAAATTCCCTCTAAAAAATAAAAATTTTTAAAGCTGCAATTTAAGCTTTCTGCTGCCTCATGACTTCAATTCCATCAGAGTTATGCATTGTTTCCTCTGTACATCTTTGCTCTGCTTCCATTGCTAATTCCCTAGTAAAGTGTTGTATATTCAAAGTTCCAAAGAAACAGAATATCCAAGACATCACCAATCATCCAAAACACAGTGTAGGAGGCCACAGTTAAGAGAAGCAAGACCATTAGCTCTTTTTATAGGCTTGAGAACAACAGGATGCTTTGGTCCTGTATCAGCAGGATGCTTTTCGGGTAGATCCTACTGCCACCCTAGCTATGGGCACATGTCAGAGTCCCATGTAATAAAGGAGACAAAAGGAAACCACCATGAGTATAAACTAAGAAAAGTACTCCAAGGTTTCTAAGAATGGAGCTGTATAACTCACTTTGCCCCATTTGTTACTTCTCCACGGTACTTACCACCACCTATTACATATATTTTGTTTATAGTCAGTCTTCCCTCATTAGAATGAAAGTTCCGTGAGGACAGGACTATACAGTCAGCCCTCAGTATCCATGGGGGACTAGTTTCAGGATCTCCTGAGGATAACAAAGGATACTCAAGTCCCTGATATAAAATGACACAGTATTTGCACATCACCTTTGCACATCCTCCCATATACTTCATATCAACTCTAGATCACTCATAATATCCGATGTAAATGTCATGCAAATAGTTATTGTACTATATTGTGTAAGGGATAAGGAGAAGAAAAAAGTCTGTACATGTTCAGTACAGACGCAATTTCTTTTCCCAATATTTCCAATCCTTGGTTGGCTTAATAAACAGATGTAGAACCCAGGAATAAGTTCTGGTGTCCTATTGCATAGTAGGATGAGTATAGTTAACAATAACGTATCATATATTTGAAAATAGCCAGAAGAGTAGATTTTGAATTTTCTCCCTACAGAAAAATCATTATGCAAATTACCCTGATTTGATCATTACACATTGAGTACGTGTATTAAAACATCACATTGTACCCCGTATATATGTACAATTATTATGTGTCAATAAAAATTTAATGTCAATATGTGAAATAAAATGAAAAAATAAAAATTTTTAAAGCTGTAATTATCTCCATCTGGTAGGAATATATATAATCTGAAATAAAAAATATATTTGTAATTGTTAGGACAAAATAGATTATAGATTATTTTAAGTTTGCAAATTATAAATTATAAAATTCTCACAGAACCTGAAAAATTATTGGTATTGTTAAATATTTAAAAAGCTGTCCTTGGAGAGAAAGAAACTTATCAGATTTACATCAACAAGTGTAATATATCAGCCTATTACCATCTGCTACAGACTGCATGTTTGTGTTCCCTCAAAATTCATATGATAGGCCGGGCGCGGTGGCTCATGCCTGTAATCCCAGCACTTTGGGAGGCCGAGGCGGGTGGATCACGAGGTCAGGAGATTGAGATCATCCTGGCTAACATGGTAAAACCCCGTCTCTACTAAAAATACAAAAAATTAGCCGGGCGCAGTGGCGGGCGCCTTAGTCCCAGCTACTGAGGAGGCTGACGCAGGAGAATGGCGTGAACCCAGGAGGCGGAGCTTGTAGGGAGCCGAGATTGTGCCACTGCACTCCAGCCTGGGTGACAGACAGAGCGAGACTCTGTCTCAAAAAAAAAAAAAAAAAAAAAAAAAATTCATATGATAAAGCCCTAACCCCCAAGGTGAGGATATTGGGAGGCGTGGCCTTTAGGAGAGAATTAGGTTTAGATGAGGTCATGAGAATAGAGCCCCTATGGTGGCATTACTTCCTTTATAAGAAGAGACACTAGAGCTGCTTTTCTCCCTACCATGTGAGGATACTGAGAGAAGATGGCCATTTCCAATCTAGGAAGCAGACCCTCTTTAAGAAACGTAATTTGCCAACACTTTGATCTTGCACTTCCAGCCTCCAGAACTGTGAGAAATATCTCTTGTTTTTTTTTGTTTTTTGTTTTTTTTTTTTTTTTTGAGACAGAGTCTCATTCTGTCATCCAGGCTGGAGTACAGGGGTGCGATCATGGCTCACTGCAACCTCCGCCTCCCAGGTTCAAGCAATTCTCCCACCTCAGCCTCCCAAGTAGCTCAGACTACAGGCGTGCACCACCATGCCCAGCTAATTTTTGTAGAGACAAGGTTTTGAAATGCTGCCCAGGCTAGTCTCAAACTCCTGAGCTCAAGTTATCCACCTGCCTCGGCCTCCCAAAGTGTTAGGAATACAGGCATAAGCCACCACGCCTGGTCAAAATACCTACTGTTTAAGCTACCTAATTTATGGTATTCTGTTTTAGCAGCTGAAGGAGACTAAGATACCATCCTATAAGCTACAGACCAGCACTATCCAATAGAACTTTATATGAGGAGGAAATGTTTTATATCTGTGCTATCCATTATGTTAGCCACTAGCCACATGTATCCATCAAGTATTTGAAATATGGCTAGTGCAACTAAAGAACTTAATAATTTTTTTTTTTTTTTTTTGAGATGGAGTCTCGCTCTGTCCCCCAGGCTGGAGTGCAGTGGCACCATCTCGGCTCACTGCAAACTCTGCCTCCCAGGTTCACGCCATTCTCCTGCCTCAGCCTCCTGAGTAGCTGGGACTGCAGGCGCCCGCCACCACGCCCGGCTAATTTTTTGTATTTTTAATAGAGATGGGGTTTCACCATCTTAGTAAGGATGGTCTCGATCTCCTGACCTCATGATCTGCCCGCCTCGGCCTCCCAAAGTGCTGGGATTACAGGCGTGAGCCACCACGACCGGCCAGTTTTTATTTTATCGTATTTAAATAACCACATGTGGCTAGTGGCTAATGTATTGAACACTACAGCTGTAGACAATATGAAATAAATATAAAGCAGTCTCAACTTTGGAAAAACAGAAGACTCTTACTGCCTCATAATATAGATGAAAAATGAAATACTAAGTTAAGTAAAATGTTCTTTAAAGAACAAAAACAAAAGAAAACCTAATGAAAGCTTTAAAAGTCCATTGGATAATAATGCTACCAGTACTAAGGAAGTACAGCCCCTAAAAGTGACTTGCAGTCACAAATATAAAAATGACTATTCAAGTGAACTCCTAAGGTAAAAATTTGTTATTCACCATGCTCCAAAATGGTCTGTAATATTCTTCAGAGATGGCATGGTAAAGTACGATACAAGGGTAATATTAACAGTATGCTGTCACAGGTGCCATTCTCTTAAAAAAGAAATCCCAAAATAAATATAAATGGAAAGCAAATAATTAAACACACTAAATACAGATTATTACAAAAATCCATAAGGAATTCTGGTGGAGAAACAACTTAATAATCAAAATCCCAAATATAAAATTTATCTATCAAAAATGAAAATGCTGACATACAGTTTCTTGCAAAAAAAAAGTTTAGAAATTTTTAAATATAAATAAATAAGAACATCTTTTTAAACAAAATCTTAGGCTGTTGAGTCCCGTTTATTTTCTACACCTCTAATTCCAAAGCTGAGAAACAAACGGATACTTCAGGAAAAAAATAATAACTCATGACAATTTGTCTTTTGGACACAGAATATAAAGGAAAAATAAAATTTATGTCTATCTGGCCAGACCTCAATTGAATTTTTCATCCTAGCTGGATCCTAAATCCAAATCAGATACTTATCAATAAAACTGTTTTTCTGCACAGCTACTACTAGCTAGAAACTGCTTCTCCAAATTTATACTGACCATTTCTTCTAAAATGTGGAAATTCTAGCTGATAGTTTTTAAAAAACCATTCTTAATGTACTGATTCCAGAGTACTAATTCCAATGGCCAAGAAAATTCAAAAAGATTTGGAGTGGTCTCTGAGATTAGAATGTGTGACAATGTGAAGCATTTCACTACAATGTCCAAGATTAAAGTGTCAAAGCAGATGAGGAAATGAAGCTCCCAAAACAGATGCCCATGAGAAAGGAGCCCAGAAAAGCAAAAGGGGCCACAGCCCAGGACCTTACAATAAAGAAAAGTGGCTCTGGCCCCAGGGTATCCTTCCTGAAACACTGGGAAAGAATGAAGTCCTTAGCAAAATTCTGACCAGGATCCCAAATTTAAATGTAAGCTTGTAAGGAAAACACCTATGGACTTGTGTTTAATTTGTCCATCTAAGATATAAAATTACAAGTTTGACCAAATGTGCCAGTTGTCCACTTATTGTCTCTCAGCTCTGAATTCAACCTTTCATGTCTGCTCTGCAGAAATGAACTTGGACCCTTTAAACATTTTTCCTTTGCTAGTTGGCATGATCTTAGATCGACATTGTAAGAGGAGATTTTCCTCTTCTTTCCAAGAGTCTTGTGTGCTCCTCTTGGCAGGCTTCTGTACTGCAACACAGCTTCTCCAGTGTCCAGATCCAGAACCCGTGCAGTTTGCTCCATTGTCAGGCTCCTGAAGTGCATAGCAGTCAGCAGCACCGAGTATCTTCCACCAGTACCTCCACAAGGCAGTATTACAGCAGAGTGATTCTGATGAGACAGATTTCTACCACAGCAACTTCTCTTCATTCAGTGAGCCACAGCCATGCCCCCTCAAACAGGGTCTGGATCTGAATCCCAGAGGCCCTGGATGTTGTATCTCAACCCCAGGGGTTGACGCTCCTTTTATCTGTTATTCTTATATTCCTTAGAGTTCTCTTTACTTTTTACTAGCCAATCCTCATTGCTCCAAACCCTGTTATAGCTAGCAATTCTTCGTATTAATCTTTCCTTGTTCAAATTACATGTGATTTCTCTATTCTAATCAAACACTGACTGATAGATCAAATTTCAGGCAATTAATCAAGCAGAAAATTATAGGGCATTATGCCTAATTTGTTATTTTATATATTAGCAAACACATAAGATCTGATAATCAGAAAGTTTAGAGCACTAAACCAAAGTCTCTAAAGAAACAATGGAAGGAATCAGTAACGGTCTTTGCTTTGACTTATTATTTTCTATTGGTTAGAATCTAACACAGCCATGTGAGGGTCCCTGGTATTATAACATACACAACACTGACAGCAATCCCCATGAGTCTTATCTGGTGTTGACACAAAGGAACAACGCCCCGTGGACTTGGAAAGGACCGCAGCGCAAGCATCAGGGTGTCCTTGTATGACTGAATGACGTTCTTCCAAGGCTTCTGCGACCTCTTTCTGCACTCTGTCCCCATGCTGCTGCAGCCTCACTGTCTTGCTGGCTGTCTCATTGCATTAGAGAAATACATCTTTGACATATGCTCCGTATGTGTTTCTATGAAAGTCATGTTTTTAACTTTTTAAAAATGATACTTGGACAGAAATTTGGCAAATATATATCAAGGTTCTCAAGTGAATATCTCTTCTCTGCAACAGGAATGTCGCTTCTAGAAATTTTCCCTCTGAATAGAATTAGATAGAAGTTGAGGCCAGGCGTGGTGGCTCATGCCTGTAATCCCAGCACTTTGGGAGGCCAAGGTGGGCGGATCATGAGGTCAGGAGATCGAGCCTATCCTGGCTAACATGGTGAAACCCCGTCTCTACTAAAAACACAAAAAAATTAGCCAGGTGTGGTGGCGGGCGCCTGTAATCCCAGCTACTCAGGAGGCTGAGGCAGGAGAATGGTGTGAACCTGGGAGGCGGAGCTTGCAGTGAGCCGAGATCATGCCACTGCACTCCAGCCTGGGCAACAGAGCAAGACTCTGTCTCAAAAAAAAAAAAAAAAAAGAAGTGAAGAGACATCAGCAAGGAAGTTCAGGTGGCTTTGTCTTACAATGATAGTTTAAAAAAAATGCCACTGGTTCTCAACCTAGGGTGATTTTGTCCTCCAGGGGACATTTGGCAATGTCTAGTGACAGTGTTGATTACCACAGCTAAGGGGAAGGGATGTTTCTGGCATCCAGTGGGCAGAGACCAGAATGTGAAGCCACATCCTGCAGTGTCCAGGGCAGTGTCTCTGAAAAGGATGGGCTAACCCAAACTGCCCATGGTACCGAGGCTGAGAAACCCTCACTTAATGTACCACCCTAGGGATTAGGAGGAATGAATTAAAGTGGAATGTTTCACAACCATTTTAATTATGATTAAAAAAAAAACTATGATATTGTCCATGTATATTTATGTTTAAGACTTATTGTTAGGTAAAAAAATTATAAAATTATATTTGTGGTGTTCATATGATCAGAAAAAATACATTAATTAAATATGTAAAGAATATTACATCTTTCATGTTTTCCATAGAATGAATACATTTTTGTATGTATGTGTATATACACAGAGAGGGAGAAAGACAAAGTAGCACATAAATAAAAATACATACATTTTATTACCTATTACAGTATTTACTCTTCTACACACTTCTCAGTTCATGTATATACGGGAGCTTTCTTACATCCTGCATGGATGCCTGAGGTTCCACCACTAAGGAGTCTTGTCCCTAAGTGAAGAAGTCATTAAAGCTGTTTATGTAAAGCCTGTGTCTTGGAGACAGGGTGTTATCTCTTTATCAGTCACATGCATTGGGTATGAAATGGCCGATTGGATTGGCTGGCGTGCCTGTCACTCCACACTGCCCTGGGACCAGACAGCTTTGGTGACCGAGCTGGAGAGGGGCTCCAGAGCTGGACTGACCCTGAGAAGGCTCCACCTCAGAGCAGCACAGGGAGGAGATGAGGCCCCACTGGTTTCCCTGGGGCCAGGCCTCATGTCAAATTGCAGAAACAGCCTGAGGACAGAGCCATGGAGAGCTGAGGAGAGGGCAGGCTTGTCCATTCCAACTTCCATCTCTGCCTCTGACCCACATCTGTGGAATCAGGGCGGTGAACCAGAAGCCTCTGGAGTTTCTCAGTGCTCTGATCCCGTGAATTCCTCCTCTGTCCCCGTGATTTCCCAATGAATGGATGCTTCCCATTCTCACCAAGTGCCTGTTGAAACTTTCCTCAGCCTGACAGCTTTCTTCTGTTACTTTCAAATGATGACAGGCTCCCAGGAGGAAAGTTTAGGTAAACCTCTCTTCAAGTGCTGCGTCCCAAAAGTCCCAAAGAACTGTCTACCTATGAGGCGCTCTCAGGACCTGGGACGTGTGATCACGGTATCCGGGGAGCAGCCAGCGCTGCGCCCTGGGGAGGAGGAGGCGCCGGGTTACTGGCTCCGGGCTGCATCCCCTCGTCTGGGTCTGTGCTGTTCCTGCACTTCATAACATAATTTTCCTCTTATTCCTTAAGGCTCAACAAGTCTTCTACTGCTCTCAGTCACTTTATCCTGGGAGTCAGATGTTTGCCTGGTTTTTTAGTGCATGTGAATACCTACCCAAAATTGCTCTGTGATTTTCAAAATGCTAAATTCCGTAGATTCTTTGAGACCAGTGACTTTCACTCTTTCAATCCATTTCCATTGGGTTGAACTGTGAAGTATGATGGGAAGAGAAAAGAACACCTTTGTAAACAGCCAAAAAAATAAATAAATAAAACAAGAAAAACCTCCACAATGTCTTGAACTTCACAGACTTGTGCAAGGTTGGAGCCAGTGTTCTTAACCCTGGCACTATTGACGTTTTAGGCTGGACAATTCTTTGTGGTCAGAGACTGTCCTCCCTGTGGAAGAGTATTTAGCAATGTCCCTAGGCTATACCTACCAGATGCCTGTAGCTCTGCCCTTAACCCCCACTACAGGGTGAAAAGTCAAAAATGTAAAAATGTCCTATCTAGGGCAACACAGAGATCCATGTGCCCCGTTGAGCCTTCACTGTGAAGGTGCAGGAGCCCAGAGCTCGTCTCTCTTCTGTGGAGATGGATGCCTCCTCTTGGTGGCCTGCAAGAATGTGGTTGATCCCAGACCATACGTCTGAAGAGTCATCAGTCCCATTGAGCAGCAGACCATAGCTGGGATGGTTTATAAAAACTGGTCCAGTACATACATGCAAGTGTTACAATTCATCATGTTTGTGGTAGAAATTGTGATAATTAGGAATGATAATATGTTCTTCTTTGTATTCATTCATGCAACCTAAATTGTCTATGTTTATTCGTTTAAAATTTTTTAAAAGCTCAAGAAATGGAAGAAATGAGAGAGATGTTTCATGTACTCTTAGGTGATGTGGCCAACACACCCTAAGGTCACCCCTCCCCGGTGATCTATGTTTTGGATAATCCACTCCCCTGAGCATAAAGGGGCTTGTGACATAATTCTAGATAATAGAATACAGCAAATGTGATGGTTACATCTGATGTGAGATTCTGCCTTAGCAAGTGGGGGCAAGAGAGACTCCCTCTTGCTGACTTGTGTAAGAAGGGCTGCCGTCCTATAGGAAGGACTGTGAGAGGCCATGTGGCAGGAACCATGGCAGCCCCTGGATGCTGAGAGTGGTCCCCAGCTGATAGGTTTGGCTGTGTCTCCACCCAAATCTCATCTTGAATTGTAGCTCCCATATTTCCCACATGTTGTGGGAGGGAACTGGTGGAAGATAATTGATTCATGGGGGCAGTTTCCCCCATACTGTTCTCATGGTAGTGAATAAGTCTCATGAGATCTGATGGTTTTATAAGGGGAAACCCCTTTTGCTTGGCTCTCATTCTCTCTTGCCTGCTGCCATGTAAGGTGGGCCTTTTGCCTTCCACCATGATGGTGAGGCCTCCCCAGCCACATGGAACTGTGAGTCCATTAAACCTCTTTTTTTTTTTTAATAAAGTACCCGGTCTCGGGTATGTCTTGATCACTAGTGTGAAAATAGACTAATACACCAGCTGACTACCCCCCAAAAACAGGAACTTCAGTCCTACAACCACCAACAACCTGAGAGAGCCTCTGACAGGACCACAGCCCTGACTGAGCCCTGATTGTAGCCTGCTGAGACTCAGAGTGGAGGCCACAGCTGGTCTATGCCTGAACTTCTGACCTACTGAGAGCGGAGGTAACTGGTGTGTGATGTTTTGAGTCACTAGGCTGTGGTCATTTGTTATGCAGCCGCAGGTAACAAACACAGACAGCTTCCCTCTCCTTTGAAAACACATCAGCCAAATGCCTTTCATTCTTGCAGCCACCTCTAGGCTAAGAGAATGTGAACCCTTGAGTATTCAGTATCTGCCAGATCAGAACTTACAGGATATTGAGGGGGACATGCAGCCTGGAAGAGCCGGAAGCTGACCTGCCTTGCCGCTCTGCTTGCCGCTCTGCCGCTCTGCCTTGATGGACTCCTATGGACACAAGCAATGCCACACAGCACCAACACTGGACAGGGACACACTGTGATGGTGGGGGCGGGGGCAAGGCAAATCAATACCCCTCTGTAATCTGGTCTGGTCACAAACAAAAACAAGAACATGGTCAATACCACAAATACGCCTAGGCATCCTCCACCCCGGCTTATGTGAGCAGCTGCTGCTTTTACATCAATTGTAGCACCAGCCTCATTCCATTTCTCCCACCTTCCAGGACAATTAAGACATTCAACCACAGAATTACTCCCATTTCCAGACAGCACTCCATCTGAGCATGGCCTGTGTATTAGTCAGGGTTCTCTAAACGGATAGAACTAATAGGATAGATGTATATATGAAGGTGAGTTTATCAGGAGAATTGGCTCACATGATCACAAGGGGAAGTCTCACAATAGGCCGACTGCAAGCTGAGGAGCCAAGAAGCCAGTCTGAGTCCCAAACTTCA
Organism: Homo sapiens; assembly: GCF_000001405.40. NCBI lineage: Eukaryota > Metazoa > Chordata > Mammalia > Primates > Hominidae > Homo > Homo sapiens. The sequence goes on from NC_000006.12 coordinate 57,949,436, forward strand.
AAGGTAGGGAGGCTCACAGTGCAGCCTTCAGTCTGCGGCTAGAGGCCTGGGAGCCCCTGGCAAACCAATGCTGTAAGTCCAAGAGTCCAAAAAAAAAAAAAAAAGCTGAAGAACTTGGAGTCTGATGTTCGAGGGCAGGAAGCATCCAGCATGGGAGAAAGATGAAGGCTGGAACACTCAGCAAGTCTGCTCATTCCAACTTCTGCCTGCTTTATTTTAGCTGCTGTGGCAGCTGATTAGATGATGCCCACCCAGATTGAGGGTGGGTGTGCCTCTCCCAGTCCACTGACTAAAATGTTAATCTCCTTTGGCCACACTCTCACATATACACCCAGGAACAATCCTTTGCATCCTTCAATCCAATCAAGTTGACACTCAATATTAACCATCACAGCCTGTTTCCTTGACCCTCCCCAAGATCACCTTGTATAAGCCAAACCCTCCAAGTCTTTCCCAAGGCCCTCTCACTGCTGCTGCTGAGCTGCTGCTGGGTCCCAGTGGTGCACAGCCTTCCTTGTTGTGATGAGCCAGTCGATGGCCTCAACTTTGCTGGGCTACAGGTGTGTTCCTGGTGGCCTTTAGATGACATCATTGACAAGATTATGACCAAGATAATTTTGATGCATCCTAGTTTCAGCTTAAAATTTGGGAAAACATTCATTTAAAAATAACCCATACCAAGGTTTTCACAAAATACAATCAAAATCAGGGCATATTAGTAGGTAGCTCATATGTGTACCTGCTCGGTATGTGCTGTTGTCATTGATGTCTGGAATGAAGTAATGAATTAGAAAGTCTTCAAACACCAAAGAATGATTTAATGAACTATATTTACATAGTGTATATAACACATATAACATAATTACTTTTTCCTAAAGATAAGAAATTATAATTGTGCATTTTAGAAAGATTTGGTCAAAAGAGGAGGAGGTATGAGGATTTTATCATGATTCTCAATTTCACAAGCATTTCTGTAAATTAGGAGCCTACTGTACTAACTAGAAATGGTGAATGGGTTTTCAACTTCAATTCCATCCATCACGTCCCATCTAAATGCTCTGAGGTGGTAACAACAAACTGTGTCCTAGATCTTCTTCAAGCTGAAGTGCTTTGGGATGACCGCATATTCCAACAATACCCCCTGGAGGCCAGTTGGCCAGGGCCAGGGGACACTTGTCCTCACAGAAGCAGGTCTGTGCCACTTCTCAGCTGTCAGGATTTGGATTTCCACCCTGATCCAGCTGCTAAACTGTCCCTACCACGTGTCCCTCACCCACCACCAGCCAGTGACTCCTAGCTCATGCAATTTCCGGTGCTCACCTCTTGCTGTCCCCCACCTGGCCCTATCATAAGTTTGTGTCCATGTTGCATTCAGTGTATGAGACACTGAGAGTGGTCCCCAGCCGACAGCCACCCATGATTCATTGACAGAAGAGAAAGGGGACACAGGGAAGAAATCTGTTACACCAGCGAGACAGAAGCCGCCCCTTTACAAAGGTGCATGGTGGGAAAGACAGAGACATCCCAGCTGTACTGCAAAAAGACCACATTTTGAAAGATGGTTTCAAGGCCAGGCATGGTGGCTTATGCCTGTAATTCCAGCACTTTGGGAGGCCGAGGCAGGTGGATCACGAGGTCAGGAGTTCGAGGCCAGCCTGGGCAACATGGTGAAACCCCGTCTCTACTAAAAATGCACAAATTAGCCGGGCGTGGTGGCGGGTGCCTGTAGTCCCAGCTTACTCTGGAGGCTGAGGCAGGAGAATGGCATGAACCCGGGAGGCAGAGCTTGCAGTGAGTGGAGATGGCGCCACTGCACTCCAGCCTGGGCAACAGAGCAAGACTCCGTCTCAAAAAAAAAAAAAAAAAAAAAGAATGGGCCTGAAGCCAGGCGTGATGGTTCACACCTGTAATCCTTGCACTTTGAGAGGCCAAGGCATGTGGCTTGCATGAGCTCAGGAGTTTGAGACCAGCCTGGGCAATATGGTGAAACCCCGTCTCTACTAAAATACAAAAAATTAGCCAGGCATGGCGGTGTGCACCTGTAGTCCCAGCTACTCGGGACACTGAGGCAGGAGAATCGCTGGAACCCAGAAGGCGGAGGTTGCAGTAAACTGAGATAGTACCACCACACTACAGCCTGGGCCACAGAGTGAGACTCCATCTCCATGAAAAGAAAAAAAAAAAAAAAAAGAATGGGCCTGCTTAGCTCCTAGTTCACCCTGTTTTTTCAGCCAATCCCTCCAGACCTCAGGGGGTGGCAGCAGCATTTGTACTCTAGGCTCATCTTCTCCCTCAGGTCTTACAGTCAATTATATTACTAATCAGGAAAAGATATTGAGGCTGCCTACTCAGCTGCCATTTCCCTCTTTTTTACTATTATTTTTTTTAATAGAGACGGGGTCTCACTATGTTGCCCAGGCTGGTCTTGAACTCCTGGGCTCAAGCAATCCTCCTGCCTCAAGATTTACAAATGTGAGCCACCACACCATGCCAGTCCTCCCTCTTTTTCCCTTAGTTTTTGTTTTTGTTTTGAGACGGAGTCTCACTCTGTCGCCAGGTGTCAGTGCAGTGGCACAATCTCAGCTCACTGCAACCTCCACCTCCTAGGTTCAAGCAATTCTCCTGCCTAAGCCTCCCGAGCAGCTGGGATTATAGACGCCAGTCACCATGCCCACCTAATTTTTGTATTTTTAGTAGAGATGGGGTTTCACCATGTTGGCCAGGCTGGTCTCCAACTCCTGGCCTCAAGCAATCCACCTGCCTCAGCCTCACAAAGTGTACTAGGATTACAGACATGAGCCACTGTCCCCAGCCTAGTATAACACTTCTAAAAAAAAAAAAAAAAAAAGTCTGTATTTCAGCTGGGCGCGGTGGCTCACGCCTGTAATCCCAACACTTTGGGAGGCTGCGGCAGGCAGATCACGAGGTCAGGAGTTCGAGACCAGCCTGGCCAGCATGGTGAAACCCCGTCTCTACTAGAAATACAAAAAATTAGCCAGGCATGGTGGTGCACGCCTGTAATCCCAGCTACTCAGGGGGCTGAGGAAGAATTCCTCAAACCTGGGAGGCGGAGGTTGCAATAAGCTGAGATCGTCCCACTGCACTCTAGCCTGGGCGACAGAGAGAGACTCTGTCTCAAGAAAAAGAAAAAAAATCTGTATTTCATATGTCCTACACACACTTACAGCTTTCAAGAACATAAAAAACATTTAAAAAAAATTTGTACCATTATCATTTCCAGACCCTTCACAGCACATATTTTATCGGGGTTTTATAGTAATTCATCCTTTCCACTAGTGCACTTAGCAACCAAGACAGCTCATACCCCCACATACAGACAAACTTGCTATTAAAAGGGTCAAAGTCTTAGTTTCCTCAAGTGTACTATGAATACCCAGGGAAAGACTCCAATACCAAGCATGAGATAAATAATGCCCATATGAGAATTTTCAACTTTTAAAGAAAAGTAAGTCAAACTGTCTCATGGTAGGAAACTAGGGTTCCCGCAACCCCTCTCTTCAATTTCATAATTTGCTAGGACAGCTCACAGGGAATCACTTTTAATTCGACGGTCTAAATGTAATCTAATTGCCAAGTCTGGAAGAACACTAAAAAAAAAAAAAAAAAAATCTCTTATGAGTAACTTCCCATATAATGATGAATACTACTTCCATAAATTATCCCAATGGTATTTTCTATTTACGTGCTAAAGCTAAGTAGATTTTTCAAAGAGATAATCAATTTAGATTCATGTGTTTAGATCAGAGGTAGAAACTGCAGTCCAAAGATGTAATAGTAAATCAAGAAAGTTCAATAATTTGTCCACAAAAATCAAAGGAGATCATAGTCTTGAGACAATTTTTCAAAAATTTAAAAATTTAATAACTCCCCAAGTTCCTCTTAGGTAAAATGTATACATGCTTTACTAAGAAAAATTACAAGAATTTAAAATAATATTTATAAAGTACTTTGCTGTTTATAAGCTACTACACCCAACATCTTAATCTCTTCAAGAAACGTCCAAGGTAGATGATACACACACAACAGGGTTATGAAGGATCAGAAATTGGAAAACCCATCCAATGTTACTCATCTAGTAGACTGTGGGGCTGGGCCTTAAACCTAGGTCCCCCAATTCCAAATCCCAAGCTCTTTCCAACAGATTGTGCCCATTTTTTTTTTTTTTAGACAGAGTTTTGCTCTCGTCGCCCAGGCTGGAGTGCAATGGCACAATCTAGGCTCACTGCAACCTCCGCCTCCCAGGTTCAAGCGATTCTCCTGCCTCAGCCTCCCGAGTAACTGGGACTACAGGTGCCCGCCACCCACACCCGGTTAATTTTTGTATCTTTAGTAGAGACAGGGTTTCATCACGTTGGCCAGGCTGATCTCAAACTCCTGATCTCAGGTGACCCACCCACCTCAGGCTCCCAAAGTGCTGGGATTACAGGCGTGAGCCACCGTGCCCAGCCCAGATTGTGCCATTTTAAAACATTCTCCAAAGCAGCAAGATTTCATTTTTTAACAAGACAGTATTACAGGTCTAAATTCAATTTAATATTCTCAAAATATTACTGAGAACCTATTTTACAAAGCAAAGTACCAGGGGCTATAAAACTTACATACCCACAAATATATACATCTACTATGTACCCACAAAAATTGAAAATAAAAAAATTAAAAATAAAAAGCTTCACTTTGGGAGGTTGAGGCAGGCGGATCACTTGACTTCAAGAGTTTGAGATCAGCCTGGCCAACATGGTGAAACCCTGTCTCTACTAAAAATACAAAAGTTAGTCAGGTGGTGGTGGCACGTGCCTATAATCCCAGCTACTGGGGAGGCTGAGGCAGGAAAATTGCTTGAACCAGGAGGCAGAGGTTGCAGTGAGCCTAGATTACACTATTGCCCTCCAGTCTGGGCAACTCAAAAAAATAAATAAGTAAATAACAACAAAAAGCCGACATAGCCAAATAAGACAATCCTTGTTCAAAACATGTTGTATTATATGCTTAAAATGGCAAATACAAGGTACCTATACTGTGATAGTACAAACATTCACTAAATTGTTTAAAACATTTGTAAATGCCTCAGATAGCATGTCTTTGTCTATCGTTTGAGGATATTAAAATTGTTTTTTGATGTGATGATATTGTGGCATAATATGAAATATATTTGGCCAGGTGCGGTGGCTCACTCCTGTAATCCCAGCACTTTGGGAGGCTGAGGGGGGCGGATCATGAGGGCAGGAGATCGAGACCATCCTGGCTAACAGGGTGAAACCCTGTCTCTACTAAAAATACAAAAAAAAAAAAAAAAAATTAGCCAGGCATGGTGCCCGGTGCCTATAGTCCCAGCTACTCAGGAGGCTGAGACAGGAGAATGGCGTGCACCCGGGAGGCGGAGCTTGCAGTGAGTCGAGATCACACCACTGCACTCCAGTCTGGGCGACAGAGCGAGACTCTGTCTCAAAAATATATATATATATTTGGTCTTTGTTTCAGGTTCCTGCCACACAGCTTCTGAAACCCTTGGAATTTCCTGAGTGATAGGAGCTGTCTTTTGTTATTCATTAGAAGCCCCTTTGGATCCCACCTAAATTTATGCTATTGAAGTGACTTAGTGTGGGATCCCTAGGCCTCAGGATGGGACTGCTGCTCACTAAAAAAACTGACGGGTTAGATAATTGGAACTTTCATCCCCACCCACCAATCTCTGGGGAAGCTGGAAATTAAGATCTATAGAAATTTTTTTTTTTTTTTTTTTTTTGAGACAGGCTCTTGCTTTTTTACTCAGGCTGTGATGCAGTGGCATGATCATAGCTCACTGCAGCCTCAACCTCTGGGCTCAAGTGACCCTCTCACCTCAGCCTCCCAAGTAGTTGGGACTACAGGTGTGCGCCGCCATGCCCAGCTAATTTTTATAAGATTTTTTGAACGGGATCTCACTGTGTTAGCCCAGGTTTGTCTCAAACTCCTGGGATCAAGTGATCCTCCTACCTTGGTCCCCCAAAGTGCTGGGATTATAGGTGTGAGCCACTGCACCCAGCCTAGACACTCCTGAACCACTAGATGTGATTAGCTTCAGGGTAGTTGAACACAGGGGGATGCTGGGGAGTTGGTGCACCCAGAGAGGGCACAGAAGCTCTGCACCTCTCCCACCGCATACCTTGCCCAATGCATTACTTCATCTGGCTGTTCATCTGTATCATTTATAATATTCTTTATAATAAACTGTTAAACATAAGTAAAGTGTTTCCCTGTGAGCCGTCCTAGCTAATTATCAAAGCAAAAAGAGTGGTCATGGGAACCCTGACTTATAGCCAGTAGATTAGAAGCACTGGTCACAACCTGTGAATTGAGATTAGTGTCTGAGTGAAGGCAGTCTTGTGGTAGTCTCCAGGCAGACGGTGTCAGAATTAAAGTGAGTTACCGGATACCCAGTTGGAGAACTGGTTGATGTGTGGGGGAAAACTCCTACATATCTGGTGTCAGAAATAAAGTACTGGTTCACACCTGTAATCCTAGCACTTTGGGAGGCCAAGACAGGTGGATCACTTGAGCCCAGGAATTCAAGACTGGCCTGGACAACATGGTGAATTTTTTTTTTTTTTTTTGAGACAAGAGTCTCACTCTGTCGCCCAGGCTAGAGTGCAGTGGCAAGATCTCGGCTCACTGCAAGCTCTGCCTCTGGGGTTCACGCCATTCTCCCGCCTCAGCCTCCCAAGTAGCTGGAACTATAGGCACCCGCCACCACACCCAGCTAATTTTTTGTATTTTTAGTAGAGACGGGGTTTCACCATGTTAGCCAGGATGGTCTCAATCTCCTGACCTCGTGATCCGCCCCTCCCAAAGTGCTGGGATTACAGGCATGAGCCACCTCACCCAGCCAACATGGTGAAATCTATCTCAACTAAAAATACAAAAAATTAGTGGGGTGTGGTAGCACCAACCTATAGTCCCAACTATTTGGGAGGCTGAGGTGGGAGGATTACCTGAGCCCGGGAAGTGGAGTCTGTAGTGAGGCAAGGTCATGCCACTGCGCACCTGTCTAAGCAACAGCAGTGAGACCCTGTCTCAAATTTAAAAAAAAAAAAAAAAAAAAAAGGAGGGGAAAGTACTGAGAGGAGTGTGAGAGGATAGGAAACAACTTGGTTTTTCCTATCTCTTACACATATCTTGGCTAAGCTTTTTTTAAAACAATCCTTATCGTTTTAAGGTATATACAAAAATATTTATGAGTAAAATGATGTCCAAGATTTGCTTCGAAATCATCTGAAAGGGGAAACAGAAGTAACGCTAGCCATGAACTGTTACAGTAGTTAAATCTGATTGATAGGTACATGGTAGTTCGTGACTATACTTCCGTGTTTGAAATTTCACATAATAATGAAGGGTTTTGCTGGGTGCAGTGGCTCACACCTGTAATCCCAGCATTTTGGGAGGCCAAGGTGAGTGGATCACGAGGTCAGGAGATCGAGACCATCCTGGCTAACATGGTGAAACACCATCTCTACTAAAAATACAAAAACAAAATTAGCCAGGCGTGTTGGCAGGCACCTGTAGTCCCAGCTACTCCAGAGGCTGAGGCGGGAGAATGGCGTGAACCCGGGAGGCGGAGCTTGCAGTGAGCCAAGATCACACCACTGCACTCCAGCCAGGGCGACAGAGTGAGACGCCATCTCAAAAAAATAACAATAATAACAATAATAATAATGATGGGTTTTGGCCTGGCATGGTTGTTCACACCTGTAATCCCAGCACTTTGGGAGGCCGAGGCAGGCGGATCACCTGAGGTCACACGTTCGAGACCAGCCTGGCCAACATGGCGAAACCCTGTCTCCACTAAAAATACAAAAAATTTAGCCAGGCATGGTGGTGGTCACCTGTAATCCCAGCTACTCAGGAGGCTGAGGCAAGAGAATCACTTGAACCCAAGAGGTGGAGGTCACAGTGAGCTGAGATCGCACCATTGCACTCCAGCCTGGGCGACAGAGCAGGCCTCCGTCTCAAATAAAACAAATAATGAAGGGTTTTTTCAAAAAATAGTACATGTAGATGGCTTTCTTTTCTCCACAAAAAAGTTTTCTTCCAAAGACTGAAAATATTTTTTGTCAGGCACACTGCCAAATACTGGATATTGCTGCTGTACAACATTTTATTTTTTATTTTAGTTATTTTGTTTTATACTTTATATTTTATTTTATCTTATTTTATTTTAAGATGGAGTTTTGCTCTTGTCGCCCATTTCATTTTATTTTATTTTATTTATTTTGAGATGGAGTTTTGCTCTTGTCACCCAGGCTGGAGTGTAATGGTGCGATCTCAGCTCACCACAACCTCTGCCTCCCAGGTTCAAGCGATTCTCCTGCCTCAGCCTCCCTAGTAGCTGGGATTACAGGTGCCCACCATCACACCCGGATAGTTTTTCTATTTTCAGTCAAGACGGGGTTTCACCATGTTGGCCAGGCTGGTCTCGAACTCCTGACCTTAGGTGATTCACCCACCTCAGCCTCCCAAAATGCTGGGATTACAGGCATGAGCCACTACAACTGGCCCATTGTTGGTTTTAAAATGATAAATTGGGCTGGGTGCGGTGGCTCACACCTGTAATCCCAGCACTTTAGGAGGCAGGCAGATCACAAGATCAAGAGATCAAGACCATCTTGGCCAACATGGTGAAACCCCATCTCTACTAACAATACAAAAATTAGCTGGGCGTGGTGGCGTACACCTGTCGTCCCAGCTACTTGGAGGGCTGAGGCAGGAAAATTGCTTGAACCGGGGAGGTAGAAGTTGCAGTGAGCTAAGATCGCACCCCTGCACTCCAGCCCAGCAATAAAGCGAGACTCCATCTCAAAAAAAAAAAAAACCAAAAACCAAAAAGCCGGACACGGTGGTTCACGTCTGTAATCCCAGCACTTTGGGAGGCCAAGGTAGGCGGATCACAAGGTCAGGAGTTCAAAACCAGCCTGGCCAACACAGTGAAACCCCATCTCTACTAAAAATACAAAAAATTAGCCGGGCGTGGTGGCATGTGCCTGTAGTCCCAGCTATTCGGGAGGCAGAGGCAGGAGAATCGCTTGAACTGGGGAGGTGGAGGCTGCAGTGAGCCGAGATCATGCCATTGCACTCCAGCCTGGGCAACAGGGCGAGACTCCATCTCAAAAAAAAAAAAAACCCAACAGTGACAAGTAGCATAACAACATTCTTTTTTTTCTTTGTTCTCTGAGATGGAATTTCACCCTTGTCCCCCAGGCTGGAGTGCAATGGGGGGATATCAGCTCACTGCAACCTCCGCCTCCCAACTTCAACTGAAGCTACTGCCTCAGCCGCACGACTAGCTGGGATTACAGGCCCCTGCACCATGCCCAGCTAATTATTGTATTTTTAGTTGAGATGGGGTTTCACCATGTTGGTCAGGCTGGTCTCAAACTTCTGACCTCAGGTGATCTGCCTGCCTTGGCCTCCCTAAGTGCTGGGATTACAGGCGTGAGCCACGGCGCCCAGCCAACATTCTTTTCTCTTTTTTAATATACTTGCATGAGGTATAAATAGTACTTAAACCAATAAAACGACAAATATCTGAACTTCTTACCCAGTGTTTTGTGACTTCTTTCCACAGCTGTTCTTTGAGTTTGTTCAAACATTGCTTCCAAGTCAAATGTGTGAGCTTTTTTACCTAAAACATGAACAAATGGGAGACTGTGATTGTCTTGCAGTAAGTTGGCCAAACTTTAGGTGATCAATACTGATCAATAAACACTTACTTTGTCTAGTTTATAGCATGGCTCCAATATAACCATAAAATATCACAGAAGGAGTTTGAGTCACAGAAAACTTCTGATGACAATCCCTTCACTAAGTACTATTAACCAGGCAACTTTCCCATCCTCCTCTAGATCCCTACCCTACGAAACAACAACACTAATGTGGGAGGCAGAATGGAGAATGTCCCAAAAGTTACCCTTTGCAAATGTAATTAAGGTTATGGACTTTTAAATAGGGAAACTATCCTAGTTGGCCCTTAAAGGCAAAGATGCACAACAGCTATGGCAGAAGAAGTCAGAGAGATCCAATGTTTGAGAAGAATTTGAGGCATTATAGTTGGCTTGAAGACGAAAGGGGCAACATGAGAAGTAATGCAGGTACTTTAAGGAGCTAAGAGGGAAACAGAAATCTCAGCCCTATAACAAGGAACTGTATGAGCATGGAAACATTCTCCTCCTCCCCCAGTAACTTTATCAAAACTCTTAAAAATTTCCCCTCTTTGGCACAAACATATGGACACCTTTCTCACTCCAGAGTAAAGGAATGATGTACTAAAATGAAGGATTTATACCGGGTGGGGTGGCTCATGCCTGTAATCACTTTGAGAGGCTCAGGTGGGCGGATTGCTTGAGCTCAGGAGATCGATCAGCCTGGGCAACATGGTGAAACCTCGTCTCTACCAAAAGTATAAAAAATTAGCCAGGTGTGGTGGCACATATCTGTGGTCCCAGCTACTCAGGAGACTAAGGTGGGAGGATGGCTTAAGTCTGGGAGGAGGAGGCTGCAGTGAGCCAAGATCGCACTAGTACACTCCAGCCTGGGTGACAGAGGGAGACTCCATCTCAAAAAATAAAAAAATAGAAAAGGCTGGGCGCGGTGGCTCACGCCTGTAATCCCAGCACTTTCGGAGGCCGAGACGGGCGGATCACGAGGTCAGGAGATCGAGATCATCCTGGCTAACACGGTGAAACCCCGTCTCTACTAAAAATACAAAAAAAATTAGCCAGGCGAGGTGGCGGGCGCCTGTAGTCCCAGCTACTCGGGAGGCTGAGGCGGGAAAATGGCGTGAACCCGGGAGGCAGAGCTCGCAGTGAGCCGAGATCTTGCCACTGCACTCCAGCCTGGGCGACTGAGCGAGACTCCGTCTCCAAAAAAAAAAGAATGAATAGAAAAACTACAGAACCAGTATGTGTGAACACAACCCAAGGCCAATATGTGTAAGTCTACTGTTTAATTACTATCATAGAATTAATACACGCTGGTCAAAAGAGAACAAGAAGACCTTGAGAAAAGGTTCAGGGAAGTTAGAATCCCAATGTTTGGATGAACAGCATTTATAATTTTAAAATGCAAAATAAAGAGAAATCATTTCTCATGTATCAGTCTACTAAAGTTTTGTTTTCATTTTTTAAATAATTTTCTTTTTAAATAATAATACCTACTCTGTGTTGGTACGGATATGGTCAAAATGGCATTCTTAAATTCTGTTAACTTTGGTATAACCTGAAACAAGTTTTTTGATGGGTATTACGGCAGTAAGCATCAAGAAGCTTTAAAAGGCACATACCCAATTTTTCAGCTTTTTAAGTATTTATACTTCTGAATAAACTAGGCTCTCTTTTAGAAATCTACCCTACAGAATTACATATTTTTAAAAATCCTCGTACAAATGCTGTTATTTACAAAAATGTTCATTTTAGCATTATTGGTGACTTAAAATTAGAAAAATCCTTTCTCTTCCTCTCTCTCCAGGACTCTCATAACTGTCACCTGAGTTGGTTCCAACGGATACGCAGAATAGAAGACAAATGGGAGAAGAATATTGACAAACTGCAAGGTATGCACCCGAGCTACAGTAATTCCGAGTTGACAGCTCGATCTCCCCTCCCACTCTGCGGCTCTTCAAACCTCTGCAAAAGGAAGAGGGTCTCTGCCTGGGGCAGTCACTCACCGAACCCCGAACCCCGTGAAGCCCATGGTGACCACAAGCTGCGGGTCCGGTCCCGATGCGTCTGAGCCTGTCACTGGAGCAAGAGGAAAAGAGAGGCGGCCTAGTTAGTGCGGCGCCCCAGCTCCCCCGACACGGCCCACCCCGCCCGGACTCGCTTCATGAAACCCACCTTCGCTGGGCCCAGAGCGCTCCATGGCTGGCCGCACACCGCAGAACCAGCCACAGCGACAGCCCAAACAACTGCAGGGGAACTTGCCAATAACTCGCGGCAAATGCTGGAGGAAGTACCGCCTCCAAGCTACAGCGGCGCCGCCGAAGCCAAGAGCGGCGCCTTCCGCAGAGGGACTGCGGCTTCCTGCGCAGCGCCCCCTACCGGACAGGCGGCGGGAAAACGCCGCGCAACTCAGACCACTGGAGCGGAGTAGTATCTGGAGTTTCTGTAACATCCTTTCCCTTTTTTTTTTTTTTTAAAGCCAGAGCCTCTGTCGCCCAGGCTGCAGTACAGTGGCGTAATCTCAGCTCACTGCAACCTCTGCCTCCCGGGATCAAGCGATTCTCCTTCCTCAGCCTCCCGAGTAGCTGGGATTACAGGTGCCCGTCGGCTAATTTTTGGTTTTTTGTTTTGTTTTGTTTTGTTTTTTTTGTTTTTGTTTTTGTTTTGAAACGGAGTCTCTGTCGCCCAGGCTGGAGTGCAACGGCGTGATCTCGGCTCACTGCAACCTCCGCCTCCCGGGTTCAAGCGATTCTTCTGTCTCGGCCTCCCAAGTAGCTGGGATTACAGGCGTCCACCACCAGGCGCAGCTAATTTTTTGTATTTTTAGTAGACACGAGGTTTTGCCATGTTGGCCAGGCTGGTTTCGAACTCCTGGCCTCAAGTGATCCGCCTGCCTCGGCCTCCCAAAGTGCTGGGATTACAGGCGACACCCTTTGCTTTTTTTTTTTTTTTTTTTTTGAGGCGGAGTATCACTCTGTTGCCCAGGCTGGAGTGCAATGGCGTGATCTCGGCTCACTGCAACCTCTGCCTCCCAGGTTCAAGAGATTCTTCTGCCTCAGCCTCCCAAGTAGCTGGCACTGCAGACACGCACCACCACACCCAGGTAATTTTTTGTATTTTTAATAGAGACAGGGTTTAACCATATTGACCAGGCTGGTCTCAAACTCCTGACCTCCTGATTCACTCATCTCGGCCTCCCAAAGTGCTGGGATCACAAGCGTGAGCCATCGCAAATACAAATATTCATTAAACGTATAGGCTGTCTACTTACTCTATGACCTTTCTACCTAGACTAAAGCCAAAAAACTCTGACACCCTAAAAGATTCATAAATTATTTACTACATAAGGTTTAGATGCATCATTACCAATATTGCACATAGAAATTTAATGTTGTTAGTTGAGCAAACAGATGCCATGACTATTTCTTCTCTTTATAAATCTTGGTGGCTTATGGCAGCAGAAGCCTACTCCACTATTTAGGCTCCTATGACAGCTACTTTTCCCCTGTTGAGAAAGTTTCACCTTAAGTTGCTACCAAAAAAATTATACAATTAATGTATTTTGTAACTCCTGAAAATAATTGTTTATATTATCATCTCAAGTAAAATAAAATATTTTCATAGAGAGATGGAGAGATGTGTAGGCAATTTATCAAATATTAACCTCTTCCTAAACATGGGGTTGAATTCCTCCCGTAACATTGTAACGTTGTTAGAATTATGTGAAAGGGGGCTTTGTCTCAACTATCCTGCTAGTCATTCATTCAACAGCAATCTATTTATGTTGTATGTTTCCCTAAATGTTTCCATTTTTGCCTCCAAACACTGCTAATTTGGTTTGGTTGCTATTTATTTTATACTGTCTTATAAATCCCCTGGAAAGTGTATTGCCCCATGCCTGCACACACTGCAGTACAAGAGTGTACTGAAGTACATAATGGAAGGGTTGGTTTTTTCTGCCACTCCATCGCTTGAGTTTAAATAATAAGGAAACACAGAGATCTAAAACATTTTGAACAGTTAAGAATTATTAAAAGAAAGTAGAATGACAAACAGGAAAATTATCTATCCACATCTATATATGTATATCTTTCTAGAAATGTCCTATAAGGACAAAAGAGGAAAAAATGAAGGGAAAATTATGAACCCTTGAATATGAGTCCTTCTGAGCAAAACTCTGTTCTTAGCATTTCTCCACTATTATCAAGTTTCTAGTATCCTCCAAGAAAATACCATATTATCATCCTGGAACTTTGGTAGTATATACCTGTCCTTTCTATCCCTATCTACAGAGACCTGTCTGATTTAGATTCTAAACTGACCTTCCTCATTTTTTTTTTTTTTGAGACAATATTGCTCTGTTGCCTATGGTGGAGTTTAGTGGTGTAATCTAGCCTCACTGCAACGTTTGCCTCCAGGATTCAAGTAATTCTCATGCCTCAGCCACCTGAGTAGGTGGAATTAGAAGTGTTCCTCATTTTTAAAACTCTAGAACACAGAAATTTTATTTGTCTCCCAAAGTCCAAAAATTTAACAATAAAAGAAAAATTAAGAGTCAGCTTTGATATCCTGACATACAGTCTTCTTTGAGATATTAATACCTTTTATAATAAAAATGAATGGGTATTTTTATGACTTTTTAGTAAGAAAATAGTGAACCAAACCTGCTTGCACACATTTATATTTACATAATTCTCAAAGACAAATATTTAATTATAGAAACGGTATATATACATATGTACACACATACATACATTAGTGACTCATATTCAAGGACTCATATTCTAGGGTTCATAGTTTTCCCTTCTATATATATATATATATACACATTATATATATACATACACAGACACATGTATATACACATATAAAATACTAAAAAATGTTTAAAAGTTAACTTGTAAATCTTACATTCAGATATTCTGATTTACCGTGTCTATATCAAGACTCAATATGGTTTTGTAAAAGTAAACACTCCAAGTAGTTTCGATGCAAGTCATCTAAATCACTCATTAAAAAAATTGTGGCTCATAAGTGTTCATTAACAAATAAATGGATAAAGAAAATATGGTATATATACCCAAAGGAATACTACAGCGCCATAAAAAGAATCAAATCATGTTATTTGCAGAAACATGAATGAAACAATAGGTCCTTATGTTAAGTGAAACAAGCCAAGCATAGAATGACAAATATTGCATATTCTCACTCATTTGTGGGAGCTAAAAAGTCTGATCTCAGTAAGGTAGAGAGTAGAATGATGGTTAACAGAGGCTGGGAAGGAGGCAGGATGAAGATAGATATTGGTTAATGGGTGCACATGTAGAGTTATATAGAAGCGATAAGTTCTAGTGTTCAATAGCACACAAGAGTGATTATACTTAGCAATAATTTATTGCCTATTTCAAAATATTCAGAAGAAAAGACTTAAAATGTCCCCAACACATACACACGAAATAAATGTTGGAGGTAGTGGATATCCTAATTACCATGATTTGGCCATTATGCATTGTATGCATGCGTCGAAACATCACATGAACCCCATAAATATGTACAATCAATATGTATCAATTCACAAAGACGGAAAGATGGAAATGTTTTCGTTTATAAAAACAAGGATGGAAAAAAACATCCTTACCTAAATACTGTCCACAATGTCACCGGTGCTTTGCATCATTCAGGTGAGCGATGTTAGTCTCCCTTCTACTTATCCCCGGGGTTTAATTTGCACCAAGATTGTTGTCTGCACAAAGATTCAATAGTATACAGAAAATCTTATGGTGACCCAGAGAAGATGTGAAATGATTATAGTTTTATGCCTTAGATGATGTTGCATTTCTAGCCATGGCAACACATCCCCAGAAACTTTTCTGTAATTAAAATGGAAATACTATATAATTTATCATTTCATTATAAAAGTAGTTACTCTATATGTGGAAGGTTTTGGTGGTGTAATTTCCCCAGATATGTATATCAATATGTGCGAGCAAATGCTTGTAAGTAAAAACAGATAAGATAATTTTATATTCTATATGATGTTAAGAGTGTTAAGCCAGAGCAAAATTTCATTTTGAATATGGTAACCCTGGATTTGTTGTTTCAATCTGGATTTTATATTTTAGATAGGGTTAATTAATCAGAAAATAGATCACTCTTACTGCCTCTTCTGAAATTTTAACAAATAGTTTTGTTATCTGTTAAATATCAGCATCTTTAAAGTCTTTGGAGAGACTCTTTTCAGTTTCAGTAAAGCATTAGTGTTTGTACACTAATGTATGTTTGTCAGGTTTATTTATTTATTTATTGACCTCAGTGCAGGAAAATTTCACCCCAGGGGGTCTTACATTATTTTTCTACTCCAAAATACATAGGCTACACAGAACAACATCATTAGCAACATTGTTTCAGCAAGGAAATAATCCTTATTGGCAAAGGGAAACCAAGGAAAGAAAACTATTGTTTTCTTCGGCTACATGCTGTCTGCAAAGCACCCCATGGATTCAATTTCTCATCAATTCAGAATGGAATACTAACGTGCTGCCTAGAGATACAGAAGTGGGATGAACGCAGGGCCTTACTCAGCATTCAGAACAAAACTGTGAGTAAACTTTCGGGCATGACATGCTTAGAGTCAGTCATAGAGGAAAAATAGAAGCCTCAAGTTCTATTCAGAGACATCAACTTACCAAAGTTTAGGCTAGTATATTCGTCATTTGCACTGGTGCTTTCCAAAGACCCGGATGCGACATTAGCAAAGTCTTCTCATGACCATTCGTGTGCAATAAATTCATAAAGGTAAAATATGTGTATTTATTCTCCACATATTTTTTAATTGTATAAGCTTCGGGCTCAGAGGTGGCTTGGAAAAGATGTCCCTGACTGCATCTCCCTTCACTGCATCTTTGTTCAGCAAAATCTTATTTAAGAGCAAATCATCCTTCACTGATATCAGTGAATATGGTAACGTGAAAAAAATAACAATATGAAGGTAGAGAGAACATGGAAGGGGAGGTGAATAATGAACTGGAATGTCCAGTTGGAAAAACCATCTAGAAAGTATTGAGAAGGTATAATGATTGATACTATCATAGTAAAGTCAGAAGACATAGAGAAGTAGTGTTGACACATCCCATGTTTTGCTAGTCTCAGAATTAAAACTTAAAGAAATAATAGTCAATAATTTTTAATGATTAAATAAAAATGATGAAAAGACAATGGATTAAAATAAAACAAACAAAACTGCCTCTACATTATCGATGTTAATGTTAAGGAAGTTAAAGACAAAAAAATAAGCTTCCAGACAGAAGAAAACTTAACTACAAAGAAGTCAAGTGGAGATGAACATAAAGTATGAAAAAAATCTTTCTATGCAACATGCAATTAGACGTATCTAATAACTTGATAATATATAATATAGTATAATACATCTTGTTAATAAGAATAATTTAGAATGCATTAAGTTTACCTATAATTTATAGGTTGGTTAGCCATAGTAAACATGATAATACATAAATGTAGTTCTGTAATTTCAGTATGTAATGACTCCCTACAATAACTTTTGGAAGAAGTGTACATATGGGGGGAATCAATAAGACATACTCCATCAATCAGCTATTGTTGAGTAAAAACCACATCAAAACTTAGCAGATTAAAACAATAATTATTTATTATTTCTCATGATTGAGCCAAATCTGGCTGATCTATGCTTATATATCTGAGAACTCAATAACAATAGGTTAGTGGAAGTCAGTCTGTACTGAGACTACTGGTATCTGCTCTGTTGTAATTAACTTTGTGGGCTAACATTGCTCATGACATTGACTGGGCTCCAAAAGCAACAACAGAAACAAGAAAGCTGTTTGAAGCCTAAGCTCATGGATGACACATTCTCTTCATGACATGAAACATGAAGTAAAAAACTAATAATATCTTTACACACTTAATATACATAAAAGTAATAAAACTACTTATTTATTTAATTTTGCATTTAGTGTTTGCCCATCTCTGTTTAGCATATTGAATACCTATCTAAAAGTGATTAAAATTGAGTGAGGAACTCAAAGAGTTTATAGAACAGTGAGAAAGAGAATCCAGTCATAAGAAAATGCATCTGGAGTAAAACTGGATGTACAGACTTCCTGGAAGGGGCATATATTTATGCTACCTCAGTGTGTTATTTGAGTAGATATGTAGTTAAACAGAAAGGATGTAAAACATCAGGCTGAAGGTAAAATGCCACTATGTTTATGATTTTTTTCTTTTGTTGAGTACAGGGGACTTTATTGATGGTACATGACAAGGTGGGGCTCCCTAGGCTTCTCCCATTCTTCAGGGGGTCTGATGTGGAAACTGTGTTGAAGGGAGAGTCTCAGCATGTCAGGGACAGAATGTGGCAGCGACTTGCTAGCCCCTGAGGACCTCTTTTCCTGTTGTTTTCTCACTGGGGCTGATGGTCTAGGACAGTGTGGCAGGGACTTGCTGCAGCTGAGGGCCTCTGTTTTCTTGTTGTGTTCTCACTGGGGCTGATGGTCTAGGGGGCTCTTACTCCTTGGAGGCCATGTGTACCATAAAGTCTATCACCCTGTTGCTGTAGCCAAATTCCTTGTCATATCAGAATATGAGCTTGACAGAGTGATCACTGAGGACAATGCCAGCCCCAACGTCGAAAGTGGAAGGGTCGATGTCACTGTTAAAGTTGGAGGAGACAACTTGGTGCTCAGTGTAGCCCCACGATGTTCTTGAGGGGCCCTTCCGTGCCTCCTTCATTACCTTCTTGGTGTTACCATATTTGGCAGGTTTCTTTATATGGCAGGTCAGGTCCACAACCAACATGTTGGCAGTGGGGACACAGAAGGCCATGCCAGTGAGGTTCTCATTCAGTGTGGGGATGACTTTGCCTTGGTAACACTAGTTAATTGCAGGGGTGATGTTCTGTAGAGTTCCATAGCTGTCATCCCAGTTTCCCAGAGAGGTTGTCTTCGTCTTCTGGGTGGCAGTGATGGCATGGACTGTGGTCATGAATCCCTCCATGATGCCAAAGTTATCATGGATGACCTTGGCTGGGGGTGCTAAGCAGTTGGTAGAACAGGAAGCATTGCTGATGATTGTGAAGTTGTTTTTGTTTTTCTCATGATTCACAACCATCACAAACATGGGGGCATCAGCAGAAGGGGGAGAAATCATGACCCCTTTAAGTGAGCCCTAGTCTTTTCCAAGGTAGTGATGATGCTGGTGGATTCCACAAGATAATCAGCACTGGCATCCCCCTATTTGATTTGGATGGGATCTTGCTCCTGGAAGATGGTAATGGGATTGCCATTGATGACAAGCTTCCCATTCTCAGCCTTGATGGTGCGTGGAACTTGCCATGGGTGGAATCATACTGGAACATGTGGACCATGTAACTGAGGTCAATGAAGAGGTCATTGATGGTGACAATAATCACTTTGCTAGAGTTAAAACTGTACTAGTGATCAGGCACCCAGTAAGGCCAAATCCGTTTACTCTGGCCTTCACTTCAACCTTCGTGTCTCAGGGACATGGCTGGCACTGCACAAGATGTTACTGTCTATAGAATGGGAGGAGCAGAAAGCCTATATTTATGATTTTTATATAATTGCAACAGCACGGAAGAACGGTTGGTGCCTAGTATGCATCTTGCATATTTGGCATCCAAAACTATTGCTTGATTTGATTTCGTTTCAATCTAAAACTTTTTTTTTTGTAATATTAACATTTGGGGGAATTTATGCTCAGCTGCTCTTCAGAGAATAGAACACAGAGATGATAGAATTGGTAAACTGTAAACTAGTGTGGATGAATCTTTTGTAATGGTTGATTTTGTGTCACAGGGTGCCCAGATATTTGGTTAAACATTTTTTCTGTGTGTGTTTGTGAGGGTATTTCTGGATAAGATTAACATTTGAATTAGTAAACTGAGTATAGACGATTGCCCTGTACAATGTCCCCAGGCCTCATCCGATCAGTTGAAGTTTGAATAAAAACAGAAGGCTGAGTAAGGAAGAATTCACTCTCTCTGCTTGACTCCCTTTGAGCTGGGACATCAGTCTCCTCCTGCCTTTGGACTTGGACTGAGACTGAAACTTACACCATCAGCTCTCTTGCTTCTTGGGCCTTCAGACTTGGACTGGAGCTATACCATCAGCTCTCTTTGAGCCTGCTGACTTTCCTAGCTTGCAGATCTTAGGACTTGTCAGCCCTCATGTTGCATGAGCCAATTCTTTATAATAAATCTCTCTCTCTCCCCACACACATGCGTGCGCATACACACACACACACACACACACACACACACACTAGTGGTTCTGTTCTCTGGAGAACCCTAATACACATTTTGGTATGGAGTCTAGAGGAACAAAATCTTAAGAATGAGCTTTCTGAATTGGTTCTGGGGTTTTGTAATTGGCTCTGTAATGTAATTAGATTTAGAGATTCTCATAACTCTATTTCCAGCAGTAAAGAGAGCATTGATAGTACATGTTGTACTCTGGTGATAGCGATATACAAAATAGCACCATTTGATACTCTGAACCACTTATAGGAAGTAAAGATCTGAATGACTGTTTATATGAGACTTTCTAACATTTTTGGCAAACTAATGAGTATAATGAGATTGACTGGTTGCTCCTATTGTCACTAGACCAAGTGGGAAAAATAAAGGATGAGCTCAGAGATTTGAATATGATAAAGATCAGTGTCCCAGAGGCTGATGGGTGGATCATAGCAATCCCTTAGCCTATTTACCTGAAAGGGTGCTTGTACCAGGTGTTAACAGACTGGGTGAGTAATTTGAGGGACTTGCTCCAATATTGGGAAAAATGAAAACATGAGGCCATCTTGAAAAGTTTTTAAGAGCAGAGATAAGCTTTGTTCATCTTTGAAAAAATTGCACATCCATGGGCTTGGTACCTTTTTACTGGTGTGTGTTCAATAAAGGCTGGTTAAACTGGGCCACATTCTTGATGATGGAGCATTTCCCTTCCTGTTGAGGCTTTTCAATGGCAATAGAATTGCCTAGTAGCTGAAGAATGAGTGCTAAGGTGCAATGTTCTGGGAAACTAATAAGGGAAGTTTATTGATATAAATTTGCCTTACTCCAGAATAAGTATTTTTTGGCTGGCAGTGTTTTTTTATTTTATAGCTGTCTTGACTACTAGCAAGAAACTCAGGGAATATAAATTCTAACTTGGTTTTAACGGTAGGAGAGTACATGGCATCTCTTGGCCTCAGATCCCTCTCCTTCAATTTAAGTAGGGTAATCATATTAACCAAATCATCAGGCTGTTATAAAACATATTTTAATAAAAATATCCCCATACGAAAGAATCCCTTTGGTGATTAATAAAAAGTTGGTATAATGAGGTTGTAATCTCCAGCTCAGTAGGAGGAAGAGAACTACAATGGGAAGTATTGAGATTCTTCAACCCCATCAGGGGACAATTACAATAATAACCATAATAACAATAATAATAGCAAAAAACCCAATAGTACTTGCCATTTATATTACATTAGAGCCAGAAATTCTATACAGAAGGAGGGTGGCACCCTAGTTGGAAGGAGGTACTGAGGCTAGGAGACACCTTGTGGTTGAATTGGTATAGCACTTTACCTTCGATTGAGAAGACGACAACTGTTAGGATCAAAGAATGGGGATGGGCTGGGTGCAGTGGCTCACACCTGTAATCCCAGCACTTTGGGAGACCAAGATGGCGGATCACCTGAGGTCAGGAGTTTGAGACCAGCCTGGCCAACATGGTGAAACCCCGTCTCTACTAAACATACAAAAGTTAGCTGGGCATGTTTGTGGGCACCTGTACAGCTATTTGGGAGGCTGAGGCAAGAGAATCACTTGAACCCGAGAGACGGAGGTTGCATGAGCCAAGACCATGCCATTGCACTTCAGCCTGGGCAACAAGAGTGAAACTCCATCTCAAAAAAAAAAAAAAAGAAAAGAAAAGAAAAGAAAAAAGAAAAGAATGGGGATGGGGCAGGTGAGTGGAGGTGAGGAATAGGGATGGGGGTGGCACATATCTGGCTACCTCAATCGTGTGAGCTGAACTTTTCTAAGCCAAGCAGGCACCTCACTACCAAATGAAAGACCCAGTGATGATTTAAAATGCATATAATCCAAGCCTGTGCCTTTGACAGTCAGTTTTCTCTAAGAACTTATCCCTAATGTTGACAGGATACCCAACTAATTATCTTTGGTCACTTAGTTAATTAATTCCTACAAGAAATTTAATGCCTGAACCCTCTTCTCACTCCCCACAAACTACTTCTTTATGGCTGATGCATGGTGCTTTGCCATTTCAGAACTTGAAATAGTTTACTTACATCAATATACCTATTGCAGATATAATTCCTGTATAGTCTTTGTTCAAATAAAGTATTATTTGTTCTTTAATTTTTGTTATGTCATTCTCTCACAGGATGGTGCTAGCATATATAAGACTGAAACACCAAAGTCCTCCGTGGAAGTTAATGAATTTCTGTGAGTGCACTTTACGTTACATAGGAAGTTGTTTGGTAGCAAGTAGCACATATTTGGGTGATAAGGGGTTAATATGCTTCCATCTACATAAAAGTTCAAAGTTTGATTATTATGCATTGCATATCAGGGTGGATGACTAGTTTTGATTTTGTCAGGATAAATGTGTTCTCCCTGCTCCAACCATTATGCCAAGGATGGCCTTATTCTAGAACCTCCTAATTCTGTTTTGAACATTCCTAGTCATCATTCCTAAAAATGAAATATTATATACTAGTACATGAGCTCATGAGAGCTTTCATAGCTGTAATTAAAGATGCATAAAAGGCATGTAACACTTTCAACTCAAGTCACATGCTGGTCTGTTTTATCAACTATTCGCAAAGATTCTCCTGATTGGTGATTAAAAGTGGATTAACAATTTGAGTTTCTTTCTTCAGGGTTATGAGTTGGATTCTTCAGCGGAGTATTTGAGCCATGCCTTGAGGCACATACTTCAAGTTGCTGCATCCAGTTTTAAACTCCAGATTGAGCTTTACATATTAAATGTGCACATTTGTTTTCACATTTTTGAGCTTTGCCAGTGGCACCCTCTCTAATTAATCATCCCGCGGGCTTAGAAAACTTCTGCCCAATCCTTTCTGATTTGTTAAAAGAAAGAGAGAAGGTTTTAGTCTGAAAAAGGCCTTATCTGATAAACATCACATTATATGGATTTTTACATTTAAGTACATTTTCTTTTTAAATCCGGTGGCTTTCCCAAACTAGAAAGATGGAGTGTTTGCATACATCCACCAACCACCAACATCAGCAGAAAGAAAGCTTGATACAGTAAAGGAAAGAAATGGCAATTTAACAGTTCTTTTATTTTCCATTCAGATCACATACACATTAACCAAATGAGGCCTCACAGCGTGGAATCTGATATCATAGCAATGTTTTCAGGAAGCAATAATTGAATACTCCTCATTAAAAAGGTTCATAAAAGAATCCTATTAAAACCAATACGAATAATAAACCTTGAAAATGCTGCTTTAAATTCCAAGAGGATGGCGAAGATCTGCGTCAGTAACAGTCTTCCTGTTCATAGAGTGATTTTGAAAATCTCGTGGGCTGAATTTTTCCAAGCCAAGCAGGCATCTCACTATCCAGTGAAAGACCCAGGGACTATTTTGAATGCATTCAATCCAAGCCTGTGCCTTTCACAGTCAGTTTTCTCCAAGAATTTATCCCTAATCCTGACAGGATACCCAACCAAAAGGCTAATTATTTTTAGTCACTTAATTAATAGATAATTCTTACAAAGAGCCCAACACCTGAACCCACCAAGTCCTCTTTGCATGGGCAAATCCAGCTGGTTTGATGCACTAATTTCACTAAATGAAAATTTGGACAAATTTTATGTTACTGCAAATAATGGTAAATGTATCCAATTCAAAAAATAGTAATAAAAAGGTTATTTTTTTGTTCCCTTTTTAATCACAGAGGCAGCTGTGGTAGACCCCAAATGCACAGGGCATATGGCTCACCTCACCACCCCAGATGGTGCTACTGGCCCAGCCTTCCCAGCGTCCACCCTGGCAGTCTTTCCTCATTCCCTTGGCCCTCACCCTGTCTCCTCAGCCTTCCAGCTGCACTGCTATTGTAGGCTGCTCTTTCTCGACAATCTCCTCTTATTTTCTGTGATGTCTCAGGATGTTTCTTCTTCTCAGGGGTTTTCCAAGCTTCTTCCACACTCAGGTGCTCAGACGTTTTTATGGTCTGGCTTCTGAAGGAGATCAAAATTCATATGGACAGGCATTTGTGTATTAGCCAAGAGTTGCTAATGCATTTCTTGATCATAAGTCTCAGAGAAATGGGATGAAAGATCTTAGATTTTTATACACTCTGCTTCAATGATTTCTCAGCTTTTCTGATCTGAAAAGAATAAAGGACACCTTTTAGCTAAGCACTTTCTGTTTTATTTCTTATAATGCCATGTAGTGGCTGTTACTGCCAACACAGCAGTCATTTAATAAACCCTGAATGTCTGTAGCATTTCTTCTCATTCGTTTCAGTGAGTGCTGTTCTTTTCTGTGTTTATTTTTAATTTTTTTTTTCCATGCAGTATTTCTTGCACCCTCTTATTACTCCTCAGCCTTTGGATTCTAGATCAGTGGTTCTCAAACTGCCTGCATCAGAACACCTGAAGGGCTTGTACAACACAGATTGCTGGATCTCATTCCCAGAGTTTATTAATTGTTAGGTCCAGGTGGGCCAGGGAATTTGCATTTCTAACATATTCTCAGGTGATTCTGCTGCTGCTGGTCCAGGCACAGCACTTTGGGAAATGCTGCTCTAGAGAGAAGAGAAACTAGAGGTTAAGTGTTTTAGCTTGAGGGTCAGTTGTAATCCCTGCTTCACTGCCTTTCTAGCTGGGTAGTCTCTCAGCAGATAAAGCTCCCCCAAGTTCAGTTTCTTCACTCTTAAAATGAGTTTATTAAAACATCCCTAGCAGGGTTGTTTAAAGGAAGAAATTATATAATGTTTATTAAGCCTTTGAAAGAAAAGCGATCATGGTGGGTGTTTTGCTGTTATTACTTTTTATTTCTTCCTGAGGACTCAATTTTTAGAACTTCTAATTGAATCATAAAGGATCCTTCAAGCATCCAATTTGGTTAAGGAAATTGTGTGTCTGTTTAGAAAATAAGAAAATGAAATCCTTTTGAGAGGATCTTGACCAGATAGATTCTAAAATCTACCTGGACATGCTAAACAATAGTCAAGAGAATTTTGAAAGGAGGCACCTCTTTTGATGTGAGTCTTACCACAATCAAAACAGTCACAAGAAATCAAAATATGTTATAAAGTCACAAAAATCAAAACAGCATGGTATTGGTTTAGGAAAATGTAAGTCAATTAAATGACCAGAGTAAAAAATTTTATATCACATTGAGAGACAGGATTAGCTGGATTTCCTAGGCTGACTAAGAATTCCTAAGCCCAGCTGGGGAAGGTGACCACACCTACCTTTAAACACAGGGCTTGTAACTCAGCTCGCACCCCACCAGTCAGGTAGGAAAGAGGGCTCACTAAAATACTAATTAGGCTAAAAGCAGGAGGTAAAGAAATAGTCAAATCATGTATTGCCTGAGAGCACAGGAGGAGGGGCACTGATTAGGATATCAACCCAGGCATTCGAGCAGGGAGGGGCAACCCCCTTTAGGTCCCCTCCCATTGTATGGGAGTTCTGTTTTCACTCTATTATATCTTGCAATTGCACACTCTTCTGGTCTGTGTTTGTTATGGCTCGAGCTGAGCTTTTGCTCACGGTCCACCACTGCTGTTTGCTGCTGTCGCAGACCCGCCACTGACTTCCACCCATCTGGATCCAGCAGGATGTCCGCTGAGCTCCTGATCCAGTGAGGTGCCCATTGCAACTCCAGATCAGGCTAAAGGCTCGCCATTGTTCCTGCACGGCTAAGTGCCCAGGTTCGTCCTAATTGAGCTGAACACTAGTCGCTGGGTTCCACTGTTCTCTTCCATGACCCATGGCTTCTAATAGGGCTATAACACTCACCGCATGGCCCAAGGTTCCATTCCTTGGAATCTGTGAGGCCAAGAACCCCAGGTCAGACAACAAAAGGCTTGCCACCATCTTTGGAGCGGCACGCCACCATCTTGCGAGCTGTAAGGACAAAGAACCGCCGGTAACAACATGCAGGCACACACACATACACACATACTCATATATATCGATATAGATATAGGTATATAGATATAGATATCTATAT
Source organism: Homo sapiens (assembly GCF_000001405.40). NCBI lineage: Eukaryota > Metazoa > Chordata > Mammalia > Primates > Hominidae > Homo > Homo sapiens. The sequence goes on from NC_000006.12 coordinate 57,975,427, forward strand.
CTATATCTATATCTATATAGATATATCGATATATATGAGTATATATAAGTGTGTGTATATGTGTGTGTGTATGTGTGTGTATATATATATGACTATTATTTCAAGCTAGTGAGGGAAATACAGCGCGTTAAGTCATATTGGGGCATTTCATTATTGATTTGAAAACAACTTTGATATTTGTCTTATATCACACAAAATCAACTTCTGGATTGGTTTTTAAAGCTTAAAAAAATCAAAAGAAAATATAATGTAATATTTCTATTATATTGGGGAATAAAAGGAAATAAAGGTAAAAATGTTAGATTTGAAGTGACAGAAATTTGAAATTTCTGTATGAAAAAGATGTTTATTATGGATAAAGTTGAAAGACAAAATAGACTGGAAGAAAATATTTCAATCAGATTATGGAAAAGGATTAATACCTGGATAATAAAACTACCTTATCAAAGCAACAAAATACATACAATACAATAAAAATACAAGTAAAGCTTATCAATAGCCAATGCAGAAGAAAAGGAAGAGGAAGAGGAAGAAGAAGAAGAAAAAGAAATAATACTAATATTAATAGAAATGCCAGATAAAGATTGGTAAGATTTAGCACTGTTAAGGTTATGAAAACCCTGTCACTATCATTCAGTGTTCCTGGAAATATAAATTTATCCAGCTTTTTGATGAGAAAACTAAAAGTGCACATATGCTTTGAAACAGCCAGTCCACTTCTAGAAATATATGCAATAGAAGGATTTTTATGTAGGCACAATAATATATTCACAGGAATTCTTGAGGCATTTCTATTAATACTAAAAAATTAAAAACAATCTAAGTGTGCATTAACAGGAAAATAATTATATTATGGTACATCTACACCATGGGATACACATGTAAAAGGCAGGAATTGAAATTACAGCAAAATGAAAATCAGATATCACGAGACCCTTTGCTAGATAAAATACAACTATCCATTGAAAGGCATAGTTGAACTTGGAAGAAAGTAGGAAATTTTCACAGGGGCCAAAAAGATGAATTAGAAAACCAGAATGTTAAGCAAGCCCAGAATGTTCTGAAGACATTTGTTTAGAGTGGAATTTGGAGATAGTGAATAGGTGACAAATTCTTGGGCCTGTGTGGGATGGGGAGCTGGAACTGAGGCTTCACGATAAAATGATTCATTGTGGTAGATCTTCTGTGAAAGAATGTGCTAAACATCTGCAACTGATAGTTAAGGAAGATGAAAAAGACACTTGTTTGTCTCAGACTGGCCCTGAGGGGGAAAATTAAATATATGTAAACTTCTTCACATTAATCAGAAAACCCTGATATAGTCCAACAGAAAAATGGGAAAAAATACACGCAATTTTCAGAAGAGGAAACATGAATAGCCAATAAGTATACAAAACAGGCTTAATTCCCCTAGTAATTAGGAAATTGCAATGTAAAATCAAAATGAAATATCCGTCAGATTGGCAAACCATTACAGGTCAGAGGATACCTATTATTAGAGTATCAGAACTTATGGTGGGAGAATACAATGGAACAACTACCTTGCACAATAATATGGCCATAACTAGAAAATTAAAGATACAATATCCTATGAATCATCAATCTATTTCTACATTCATACCTTAGAGAAACTCCTATACAAGCACACAACGATGAATTTACAAGAATAATAATAGCATTTGTAATAGCAAAAAATTATAAACAACCGAAGTATTCAACAAGAAAAGAATGTATAAATTATGATATAATCAAATAGTAGATGACATATTGCAGTGAAAATTAGGAAACTAGAGGACCCAGATTATCCTTACAACATAATTTTGAGTGAAAAATTGAAGTTGTAGGGAAATACATACACTTTGGTACTGGATAGGGATAAAGTTTAAAAACATGCAAAATAATACTGAATTCAGCTCAGAAGTATATACATTTCTATTTGTAGGAAAAAGTAGAAATGGATGGGTTTAATAGATGCATTTAGAAAAATTATTATCTTGGGTGGGGCCATGGGAAGGTCAGGTTGTTGTGGATACAAAACATGGAACAAAATTTAGTGACTGGTGATAGGTAAGAATGTAATAAATGTTGACACATTTCAGAATATTTTCAATCTTTCCAAATGACAATTATGTAGATTACACATCAACCTGGAGAAAAATTTTGATACAATTAATGAAAACAATGCAAACTAGAGATATGTATATTATGCTACATTAAAAAATGCAGGCGCATGTAGATGAAGGTTGAAAGGTATCAAGCAAAAATGGAAATAATTCTGTTAGAGTAGTCTGATTAATAAAAATTATCTTTAATTTTGATATATCATTTTTCAATTCTTAATCTTTTTTTAGATTCACTTAAGAATCAGATAAAAACTTCCAAACACTATAACTATTAATCTGATAACTCAATCAAAATCAAAATAATCTGTCATTCAGAACTTTTACAGCTCAGAGCCACTAAAATATGCAAAAGGTCTGAAGGAGCTAACTGAAGCACCTGTAATTTTTGTTATGGATAAAGTATATATGGCAGATTGTATTATTTAAGCAACTTTTATATCAATTTGAAATTTAAAAATAAAATGCTAAAATATTCATGTGGAAAAAGTAAATACAGAGTAAATATTCTAAAAAATAAAAGCAGTGAGAATTATTGAAATGTATATTAAAACATATTTTAAAGCTTCTGTCATCAAAAGAATATGATACTGGAGGCAAATAACTAGACTTGATGCTTGCTACTCAGTTGGGAACAATGGAATCAGGAGCTATACCCAACCATTTGGTGAGACTACTGGTCTCAAGGTGGTTCAAGTTAGCTGCTTCAGACCTTTCACATATTTTAGTGGCTCTGAGCTGTAAAAGTTCTGAATGACAGTTTATTCAGATTTTGACTGAGTTATCAGATTAATACTTACAGTCTTTGGATTTTTTTTTTTTTATTCTTAGGTGAATCTAAAAAGTGACTAAAAATCACTTGGCATTAAAAAGGCTACAGAAGCTCTGTCACAGCTCCCTAAGTCCTGGATATCCCCACCACTGTGCTTTCCCAAGTGGTCATTGCTTCAGGCTGCCCTTTCCACATGCAGTTCTCATTCAAATGCATCTAGTTGGCATAACCTGGGCCACATTGCCCACTTACTAGGGAGAAGAAAGTGTGAGAAATTTAGTATTTATAAATCTACTTTGGGAGAGTGGGACATACAATATCAAGATATCGAGGAGATGTTTAAATTTGCTGGTCAATCAAGAATATAGATGGTCATCTAGTTCCTGACTCAGGAAATGACTATTCTTATAAAGGGTGTCCACAAAGGGACACCAAGGCTTGGACAGAAAGATGGCATAGAATTGAATGAAGAGAAAAGTCCAGAGAAACTAGACTAAGGGGTCTCAAACTTGAATGTGCATTGGAATCACGCAGAGGGTTTGTTGAAGCACAGATTGTTTGGCCCCAGCTCCTTGTAGTTTCTGATGCAGGAATCCTGGGGTGTGACAGAAGATTCTACAGTTCTCATAGAGTCCCAGGTACTCTTGATAATGACAATCCTAGGCTCACATCCTGAGAATCACTGAACTACTTAGACCATACATATTTCCTTCTGCAATAGCTGGTTTTCACAAATTTGCAAATTCGAGTTTTCACATGTTCAGTCTTAATGTCAGATTGAATGTTGGTAGCAAAAGTACAGTATAAATTATTAGTAATTTTATATTTTTTGAGTAAGTTTACTTAAATTGAAAAACGGAACATACTGGCACATGAATAGATAGACCATTGTAAGTAATAGAAAGTTCAGGGCTGGGCATGGTGGCTCACACCTGTAATCCCAGAACTTTGGGAGGCCGAGGCGGGCAGATCATGAGGTCAAGAGATTGAGACCATCCTGGCCAACATGGTGAAACCTCGTCTCTACTAAAAATACAAAAATTAGCTGGGTGTGGTGGTGTGTGCCTGTAATCCCAGCTACCCGGGAGGCTGAGGCAGGAGAATCGCTTGAACCAGGGAGCCGGAGGTTGCAGTGAGCTGAGATTGCGCCACTGCACTCCAGCCTGGCGACAGAGCAAGACTCTGTCTCAAAAAAAAAAAAAAAAAAAAAAAAAAGAGATAGGAACTTCAGAAACAGAGACAGTATATACAGAAAACAGTATATACATGAATTAAATATAGAAAGTAAATATAAATGTGTATATTAAATTGCTGTGAACAGGATAGATAAAACGGTTTTGGAAAAACTGGATAATTTTGGAAAAAATAGAGTCCATATTCATAGTATGCATTTAAATAAACTCCAAATGGATCATCAATTTTAATGAACTCATGACTTTAATAGATTCTCTTTCCTAGCTCTGTCCACTGAAAGGGCCAGGATGCAGTGACACGTTGCAAACAAGGTTATATTAGTTTCCAAATACTGTTCCCATCAAAAGGGCAGGACTCCCTGGAGTATTACATGATTCCAGGTCTTGCATTAGATGAACATGAAACATCTTGTGCCAGAAAGCAAGGAATTGCTGAAAGAGTGATGGGAAGATGTCAAAAGAACATAGGAACGACCACCTGACTGGCTAAATTTGAGACAATGTGAAAATAAAAAAAACGACAATGATAGATTATAGAACATTGAATATCCAGAAAATAATGACAAGGACCCTCAGACTAATCCAGATTGTAGGACATTTCCTAAGACAATTGATCTGAACTCTTCAAAAAATGTCAACGTCATGAAACACTGAAATGACAGTCACTGAAATGACAGTCACTGAAATGACAAAAAGGCAGGACACTGTTTAAGTTAAAGGCAGGACACTGTTTAAGTTAAAGAGGAATAAAGAGACATAAAAACTAAACAGCATGTGTGAACCTTGATTGGATCTTAGATTACAAAACAGAGCTATAAAGGATATCTTTGTAGATAATCAGGAAAATCTGAGTATGGACTGTGTATTAGAAAATATTGTATCAATGTTAAATTTCTTGGGTATGATAATGGTATTGTGTTTATTTAAAAGAATGTTCTTGAGATTTTCATGAGATGTAAGTAGTGATGAGGTGTTACAATATCTTTAACTTACTTTCAAGTGGTTTTTTCATGAAGTGTACATGTCTGTCAAAGAGAGGGATACCAAGAGACAAAGCAATGTGAGAAGATGTTAGCAACTGGTGCATCTAAGTGAGGATATATGCTGTTCATTGACCTGTTCTTTCAATTTCCTATAGCTTTGCAATTCTTCAAAATAAAAAGTAGAGAATAAAAATAAATAGTATTATTAAATAATTAAATTACCATTTATATGTAAATAATATTCATAGATCATGCTATTATGTCAGATTCTTTATAAATTAAGGCAAATGTAAGAAATAAATGTACGAGCATATAAAGGAATAAATGATGTAAGTAGAAACCATCTGTCTTCTTACTTGGTAGATGAAGACACAGATCCATGAATAAATTATCTCCCCTAAGGTCACCCTCTAATATGTGTAAGATTCCATTTCTGGGAGCTTTATATGGCAACTGAACATCAAATATGGTCCTTTGAATACTTGAAATTTTCTTTTCAATCTGTTGGTTTGAAGAAGCACATTGTATTACACCTTATCAAAGAGAACAGGCCTTTTGAGGATTTTGTTTTTCTTTTTATAGCTGCTATTTTTATCTCACATTTCAGTAGGGATTGAAATATCAGTAGGGATGCTTTCTGTTTCTCAACCCAGTTCTTTATAGAGTGGTTCTTAACCCATTTCTTCATAGGTGGTTGGAAGTCCATTAGATCTGTGGAATAAAGTAATAGAGATGCTGAAACGAACAATAAAGCCAGGATGTTAAAATAGATTCTAGTCAAAACTTAATATTTTGAAAATGTACATGGTCCTCTGTTCCTCTGAGTTAAGCAAGGATTCACTTTCCAACCATGGATCGTCACGGATCATGATATCATACATCATTATCACTACCACCTGCCTGGACAAGGAAACTGTGTGACACCACTGATTGTTCCAGCAGTGCAGTTGGAGTGCTGGCTCCATTTCTTGCTCTGCTTCTTACTGGCAGTGTGACTTGGAGCAAGTTACTTAGCCTCTCTAGCTTCAGTTTCTTCCGGGGAAACTGAATGGAAATAACAGTATCTAATTGACAGATTTGTTGAGAAGATTAAATGAGAATGGTCATAGCACAGGGCCTTGTATATAGTAAACATGTAGTTTTTTTTTTTTATTAAGCTCTATATTATTAATTAGATGTTTCTCAAAAGACTAGAAAAAATTTAAATGGTTTCTGTTTTACAGATCTCTCTGACCTTTCTATTTTCACATTTACATATTATGATGACTTAACTAGAAATTGTCGCCCATAAAAACTAGAAACTTTTAATTTAATTAATTTATTTATTTAGAGGTGGAGTCTCACTCTGTCACCCAGGCTGGAGTGCAGTGGCATGATCTCGGCTCACTGCAACCTCCACCTCCCTGGTTCAAGCAATTTCCCTGCCTCAGCCTCCCAAGTAGCTGGGATTACAGGAGCCTGCCACTGTGCCCGGCTAATTTTTTTGCATTTTTAGTAGAGATGGGTCTTGTTGGCCAGACTGGTCTTGAACTCCTGACGTCAGGCAATCTGCCCACCTCGGCTTCCCAAAGTGCTGGGATTATAGGCATGAGCCACCGCGCCCTGCTGAAACTATATTTTTGACATGAAAATACATTTAACAAAATAATTTCTGTCTGCCATGCTTCCAGAATTTTTATTTTGGTCATGTGCAATTGTTTAATATATGTTTCTTCTTATATATAGATAGAATCTATTAAAGTCATGAGTTCATTGAAATAGATGATCCATTTGGAGTTTATTATAATGCATGCTATGAATATGGACTCTTTCCAAAATTATCCAGTTGTCCCAACGCCATTTTGTCTATTTTGTTCACAGTAATTTAATATACAAATTACTATATACTTTCTATATTTACTTGAATCTAATTTCTGTATAAAATATATAGGAAATATTATTGTGATATATAAGCCAAAGTTAGGGTTTTTTTTCAGACTTTTATATGGAAACTGGTGCTAGTAATGCTTTTATTCTCACATTTTTTCTGTGGAGTAATTTCATATTTGATTGGCTTTTACAATATGTTTAAGGATTTGGAGTTAAACACGGACATTCAGCAATGAAGATTTAGGGTTCAACAAGAATCACTATTAATCTGACTTCTTCCCATTTCTTTACTTCATATAAAATCAAACTGCACGTTGGCTAATTTGCTCATTCTTCTCTAAGTATTTGTCAAGTGGCTGCTATGTTCAGTGTTAAGGGGAAAAATGTAAGGAACAGTACCTCTTCTCTAGGAACAACCGATATAATTAGAAATATAGATTATACACATAAACATGTATATAAGAATGGATGATAATATATAAATGGCCAAAATGAGTGGTGTAGGTGGGTGAAGGTCAAAAGAGCCAGAAATGGTCAGGAAGAGACCCCCGTGGGCTTATGTTAAATGAGTTACTTTTTAAAGAATGAGCAAGAATTATCTGGAAAAGAAGGGAGAAGTATTTCTATGTGAGGGGAACTGCATGATCAAAGACTTAAAATGGAGACTTAGGCCAGGCGCGGTGGCTCACGCCTGTAATCCCAGCGCTTTGGGAGGCCGAGGCTGGAAGATCACAAGGTCAGGAGATCGAGACCATCCTGGCTAACATGGTGGAACCCTGTCTCTACTAAAAATACAACAAAAATTAGCTGGGCATGGTGGCGGGCACCTGTAGTCCCAGCTACTGGGGAGGCTGAGGCAGGAGAATGGCGTGAACCCAGGAGGCGGAGCTTGTAGTGAACAGAGATCGCGCCACTGCACTCCAGCCTGGGCGACAAAGCAAGAATCCGTCTCACAAAAAAAAAAAAAAAAAGAAAAAATGGAGAGTTAGCTCAACATGTTGTCAAAATAATGAAATAATAAGCAATCTAGAGTGTAGGAAAGGTTTTTGGAGTAATCAGAGATAGGTATTGGAGAGAGATATTACAGAGCATCTTAGCTAGAGAAATCATGTATTTTGCCCTGAAGGAAACAGAAAGCTTTAGAGGATATTCAGCAGTGGGATAACTGATGAAATAATATTTTATGGAAATTTAAAATGTGTTGGTATAATTAAGAGGATGGAGCAAAAGAAGCTGGGAGCAGAGAAAACTGATAAAAATATGCTCTGCATTTAGTTTTCCCAAGGAAGATGATGCTGGACATGTTGCATTTACCAGAATAGTAGAACACACACACGGGAATTCAGGGCTGCAGATAGAGCCTGAGTTATTATTCAGAGGTCAAGCTGTCTGATATAACCATTTCAGTGGGCCCAAATGCCAGACATAGTTTTGTGAAGGATCATAGCACCATCTGTTTTGCCTAATGACTCTGGATTGGAAAACATTTGATAAGGCATTAAATGTGCTGCCTAAGTAACTTAAAGGGGTTCATGTTCAATGTCCTTGCAACATGCTATTTTTAACCTTTGGAATGAATATTATGGGAATTTATGATCATAAAGAATATTCTAGATTCAAATGGAAAGACCACAGAAGCTCTTTATTTGTGACAGGTGGATTAATTAGGAAGTCAATGGGGGAAAATAGTGAAAGCAGAAGGTTTGGTGGAGAGTCATGTGAGCTTTTGTGGGTAAACTTTGATCATATCAAAGTTAGTATAGGAGAGGGAGTGGATTATAAAGGAGCTTGACTTTTCGAAGGCCAACTATGCATTAGGTGTAATGTCCTGAAATCCAAGTTTAGGGCTGCACATTCTTGGATCCAGGCGAAGACTGAGCAAGGCTGGCTCACCAAGTTTATTGCAGCTGTGAACAGGCATGGATCAGTGGCTTCGTCAAAAGCAAATTATCACCCACAGGGGCACATGGAAATGGGGACATAAAGGGAAGGGCGACTCTTCTCAGTCGGCTGGGGAAAGAGGGATATGATTGCCACCTGATTTGGTAACCAACCTGACCCAGTTAGTATTCTTGTGACAGCCTGGACAGTGAATCTTAACACAGTCCTGGTCAGAATACTCACTGGACCTCTGGGGAAGTGCCAAAGAAGATACTCTTAGTCTTCAGCGGCTTCTTGATCCTTACACCATTTGAAGTCTGAGATGGAGATCTGAGCATAACAGCTTCTCCCTAGCCTTCATATTCCTACCTTCTTACCTGTGATCTTTTAAGGCATCCTTTTCTCTTGGGCGACAGTACTACGTTGCCCTTGGGAGAGGGCAGGGGAGGGCCTTATCTTTCAACAGTTCTGTTTGGGCATTGGTCCACAACATTTTCTTGGCTTAACTTACATGTGTTACTGTGCTCAGTGCTTTATATACGTTTCAAAACTGCTAGGGAATTACAATGTGAAACACCTGGTAATTTCAGTTAGAATTTGAAGCCCACTGGGGATTTGGCTGACAGTTGGGGAACAAACATTTACAGTGGGTCTAGGGAAAGAATAACATTTGAGGAATTTGGTGATAGCTAGGTCATTTTCTTTGCCTTAAACTACTTAAAATAAAATGATTTATGTGTGGACTTTTCTTGGAGGTGCCAAATATGAAGATAACCTCCAAGGAGTGATTTTCTAATGAATAGGAAGTCTTTCCATAAACAACCTATCTCAGTGGAAATATTGTCCTTGTTGAGAGAGAAACTGAGGAGAACTTATGTCTCAGTGTAAAAGTCATGGTGATTTTTCTTTTGGTAATTTGTTTCCTGGCCTGAGAAAATATTTGCATATAAATATGTAAGGAAAATTATAGAAATGGAGCTGAAATGTATTTTCTCTGAATACGTGTTAATATAATACTATTGAAATGCAAAGATCTGGTTGTCTGAATACAATACTGAAGTATTCCTAGACCCCCCACCTCAAAACTGGTCAATATTTATTAAAACATATCTTTAGGCTGAAGAGCAAAGAAGAGAAACAAGTATCAATAGAATGGACTTCTCATTGTTTGCAAGTGTGTGCATGTGTGTGCTTTCTCTGGAGATACTCTTCCTCCTTAAGAAGAAATGTTATACTTATTCCTCAGAGGCTTATTCTAAGGGAATGATGAAAGCAAATGGGAACATTTATGTGTGGTTTGAGTTGTTAATTTTGTTAAATATTTGCATCCCTGCCTATGGGTTCCAGAAGAAAACAGAATGAGCATGTTTAAATAAATGAATAAATTAGAATAGATGAATTTAGATGACTTAATCTTATTAAAAATTCGGGATATAGGATAAATTGTAAGCAGAACATGGATGATTTAATTTTTGTTGTCTACAACGGGAGAATATTTCACTCCCTGATCTTGCTGTCTTAGAAGGGTATTAAATGCAGTGTAGAGCTTTTGGGAAGCAGCGTTGAACCTGGATATTCCACTCACTTGCCAATATTTTATGACCGAGCAGATGTGTACACAAATCACACCTGTTCTAGTCCCAGAAGCTCTGCTTCAGTCAATCACTTTAAAATAACATCTGTCTCTAAGATACAAAATGTACTAAAGAATCTTGAAGGCTGGACAATGAAGGTGTCAGCAGCTCCCCGACCAAGGGCACAGCTGAAACATATGGTCACATTTTCCATGCTTTCATGGGAGTCCAGGGAGCACTCAATGACAAATCAATGAAAACTTCTCATGGACGGGAAAGTGAGAAGCCCAGAGAATGTGTTGGGAGGACAATAAGGCACATCTTGCTCTGTGGATGCTTTTCTTTTGCTGCTCTGTTCAGAAAAATCTTGAAGTAGTAATGGCCTTTTGCGATATAGTAACAGCAGGTAAATCTTATTTTGAAGTCAAAATTGTTCTCTGAGAAGGTGAAAGGTGAAATACTTGGCATTAACTGTTTTGATTGCTTTTAAAATATTTTTGTGTTTGTCTGGCACAAAACAGATACCATAACCTAGAAGAACAGACTGATACTTTTTCTGTAATGATTTACTAATAAAGTGAGAATTGCCTGGTTCTATAACTCACATCCCTAAGCACCATTGTTTGAGTTGGATCCTGAGTATTTAAACAATTCTGAAGAGATTTCTTCACAGAACAATAAACAGGTTTTGAATTTATGATGGGCATTGTGTAATCTGGGTTCTGACAGATCCTTGTACTTTTCTTCTCTGCACATGGCCACATGTTATTTCTGCTTTGTAAAAGTAGGCTGTTTTGTATAAGGTCAGAATTTACTGTGTTCTCTTTGAACACAACACAGTGATTTTTCATTGCATTCCTTGCAGTCACTTAACAGTTAATTGTTGATGAGAGCCACTGTCTCTATTGTGTCTGGCTTTTTAATCCACAGTAGCCACATTTACGGCAGTGCCCATAGTTACCCAGCTGATGATCTCTCACCGGTAGCTACTGTTCTTTGTCATAAGTTTCACTTCCTTTTTGTTGTCAATTGTCCTTTCCTGTATCACCATTGTAAACTTTTTGATATAAAGAGAGCAAGCTTAGATCTTTTTAAAAAATAATTTTTAAAATTTTATTGTTTACTATTTATTTACCTATGGCATGCATAAAGAAAAATGAATGTACTACAAGTGTGAATACTGTATGTAAAAGTTCAAATGAACACACCCAGGTAACCCGGATCCGGATAGGAAAATGCAGTATTGCCAGCACCACCTTCAGATTCTATCCCCAACTACCATAGATAACGACAGCTTTGATTTCTAGGAGCCTAGCTTAGCTTTGCATGTTTCTGAACTTTATTTAAATGTTTGTATGTACAAACATTTTGCTTGTATGTAGTTTAGTATGTTTATTTTCATTGCTATATAATATCCCATTTTTTTCATCCATTCTAGGGTTGGGCATTTACACAGTCTGTAATGTTTAGCTAATATGAAGAGAGTTGTTACTCACATTCTAGTAAATGCCACTTGATGAACATATGTATGCATACCTCTATGAGTGGAGTTGCTAGATTATGTGTATGCTTGATTGTAGAAGTTTTAAAAAGTAATTAATCAAATTAGGCTTTCGGAAAGACTTTCTCACAGCAGTGAAAAGAATGGATGAAAGAATGGTAAGAATAATTTAGATGAGGAATGATAAGAATTTGAACTGATGATTATCAGTGAGATAGAAATAAAAAGATGATTATGAGAACATTTGCATGGGAAAATAACTGAACTTGATGGCCTCATTAAACACGGGGTGAGGTCAGTATGACTTCCAGATGATGTCATTCATAGAGATAGAGAATCTCCTTAAATTAACATTAATATGCATCCAGGAAGTTGTTCTTGTTTATTTTGGAGATGAAGAAGTAGGACTGATACAGATAATACCTAATAAGTGGCTTATTTCCTCCAAGATGTAAGACTTATTCTTTAAATAGCCAAAATAGTGCCTGGATTCGTTTACCAAATGCCATGCCTTCTAATAATTGTTCCCAATGACACCTACAGAGTGCTTAAAGAGAAGGCCTTGTTTAAGTCTACCTCTGTCATTTAGAAGTTACATGGATTTGGGCTAGTTAATATTTAAAAGGCATTTTTTTTTCACATGTAACACAAGGTTAATAATATACATCTTGCATAATTCAATGAGATCAAGTATATAAAGTTTCTTTTAATGCCTGGCACATAGTAATTTTAAATGATAGCCATTATTATTGTTACATTTAGTCATTACATCTTAATGCTTTTTAAAAAACTATTCATATTCTCAAATAAAGAGATGAGGCCACCTTTCTCTTCTCCACATCCTCTCAACAAATTTACCCTAAAATCTGAACATTTGGACATTAAGTAAAAACTGACATTGTATTTAGCAGCTTTAAACCAGGCTTGACTATTCCACCCACCTCCAGGTAGTTTCTAATTGAAAATAAGGATGTAAGCATGCTTAGATCTTAATACGAATATATTCCAATTTTATCCAACAAGCTTATCCTGATCTTTTATTAATAAGTATCCTACAATTGCTTTGTAGGATCTCAAAGTTTGCACCCAAGACGAATCATCATCCATAAAAATTCCACTATATCTTCTTGGCTTTTAAGGTATAAAACTCCACTTGTCTTGGAAACAAATTGTACAGAGTAGAGTCTGGAAAAAGCTACAACTTTAGTTTTACAGCATGGGGATTATTACTATTCACCATGTGTACCTACATCTGCACAGGAAACAAAAAGACTCAGCACAGCCTCAGCTTCCAAATTCTGAAACATTTTGTGAGACTCCATAAAAGCAATGATGATCTTGGGATCCAGCTAGATCTGTTTTTCGTGGGGTCATTTCCAGGAGCAACAAGCAAGACCAGGGGTCTCCTTGTCCTTGCTGCATCATGTTCGGATCTGCTAAATGCAGTGCAAGCTGTTGAAGGAATTTTGAGGATGAAAATTTTGAATATAATGTTGATTTCATCATTGAAACTGTCAGGATAACAGAGGAATACTTTCGTAAAGCCTTTTAAATCTTCAACTATTTGTTCCTAGGCAAAGCATCCCTTCATTCCTGTCAGTTTCTCTGTCCCCTCACTCCCTTCACATACAAATCCCATGTATCTTTGTATTTATGTAATGATTCAATGAAATAAAAATATTATAGCAGTTTTGGCTAATACTATTATAAAGTAATGTTCATTATCTGTAAAAGTTGACGGTGATATATGCCATTCACAATTCACTGACTTTTCTGATATCTGCAAAGGACTTGGGGTTAGATCTGGACTAGAACATATTACTCATGTGACTATATTCTCTGGTTTCCAGGCTATAGAAAATTGTATCACACGACTATGCTTTGTTCTCTGAAAAACAGATGGAAGGGACACTATTTTTTAAATATCAGACTGATTTTGGTGGTTTATTTTCATGTGGCTTGCAGTAACTGAAGGAAGATGAACATGTTTTAAGATGTATGTGTCTCATTATACTGATTTGAAGACTCTGTAGGCATGTTTTGTTTGCTAAAACACTAGGAAAGATGAATATACACATAACAACAGTATAAAAGTGGTAAAGGCAGAAAATTCTGAGGTTGCCTCCAAATGCTTGTCTCATGAGTCTAAATTTAATATCACCCTTAAGCATTACAAGGAATAACTTTGGGGCTAATGCTGCTCCAAACTGCAATAGCATACCTTGGCAAAATCATCCCCTTACCACCACCCCAGCCATGATATCCTTCATACATTTTACAGTTCTTTACACGAGACATGAAAATAATTAAGATGAATAGAATCTCAGAAATTCTGTTTACTACAGATGTTCAGAGTAGAGGAGTCTCTTTAGGCTGAATTTATTGGCAGTGGAGGGGGACCTATGAGTCAGACACTGGTAAAGTGTACTGGGGAGTGTAGTGGCATCCAAGTCCATTGGTTTGTAGCCACCACTAGGGTGCATTTCTTGAGAATGCTGTCATTTTCCCCAACATGGGCCTCTGGTCATGTTGCCCTCTTGATCACAGACATCAGGATGTGGTGTGTCCACTCATTAAGAAGTCAGCGGAGCAAGCTCTATCAGTTAAATATTGAAAATCTGTCCTATAACTAAAGCTATATTCTGTTATGTTGTTTATCTGTCTATAGCAAATCCATGATTTCCCTATAAATTAATAATTCTACAAAAAATCAAGAAAAAGGCAGAGAAATTTGTTAAAAGGAAAACCTTACACAAATTAAATTCAGCAGAGTTTAATTGAACAAAGAATAAAATTGGTTAATCAGGTAACCCCCACAAACCAGAAGAGGCTCAGAATGACTCAGGTGTTGTCTCATGGTCTAAGAAAATTTATGAAGAGAAAAAGGAAAATGACAAAAGTGAAGTATAGAAACAGCTGGATTGGTTACAACTTGGCATTTGTCATATTTGAACATGGTTTGAACAGTTGGTTGCCTTTGGTTGTCGGAAACTTGGTGATTGGTACAAGAGTAGGTTACAGTCTGTTTATACATCCAATTAGGTTACAGTGCACTATATATGGAAAAACTTTAGGCCAAACATAAAATATGTAAGGAGGTAGCTTTAGGCTGAACTTAACAGGCTGAATGTTTTGAGTTTATTTTAGCATTGGTTTTCATGAGGACCCTGATTTCAGTGTCGGTGTCTTTGTTTTGTTTTGTTTTGTTGTGCTATTTTTTTTGGCTTGCTGAAAGCATCCCTCTGTTATCCTGACAGTTTCAATGATGAAATCAACATTATATCCAAAATTTTCATCCTCAAAATTCCTTCCCAGCTTGCACCGCAGTTAGCAGATCTGAACATGAGGGAGCAAGGGCAAGGAGATCCCTGGTCTTGCTTGTTGCTCCTGGAAATGACAGCACGAAAAACAGATCTAGCTGGATTGTAAGAACATTGTTTCTATGGAGTCTCACAAAATGTTTCAGCATTTGGAAGCTGTTGCAGAGCTGGGTCTTTTTGTTTTCCGTGCAGATGTAGGTACACATGGTGAAACAAAACAAACTGAATTTGTTTTCAGTTTTAGGCCTTTGTTTTATAAGCATTTTACATTAAAATGTAGAAAAAGGAAATACATAAAATTTCTTTTCTTGTGAGAAAGTGGTAATATGAATTCATACAAACTTGACAAAATACAATGGATTTGTGAGATTCAGTCCCTTTTAGTGACATGGATGATGATGTGTTATCTGAACTGCTCTTTCCAAGTGTACCATTTTTTTTCTTGTTAAGGGTCTGTCTTTATCAGAGGGTCTGTCTTTATCAGAAAGTCCAGATACATTTTTAGTGTAATACATGTGACATGTATTTGTATATAAATTTCCCCAGGCGTTTTTTGGTTGTAGAATATTATCATTTGGTATTTCCACAACTCCTAGAAATATTTTAAGCAGGATAGATGTCTTTACCTCAATCATATTAGGCATTTATTTAACATGAACCATGCCAGATGGTGTTTTGTATATGAAACTGAGAGTGTGCATGACATACAAAATTTGAAAGGTGCAAAGAGGATTCAGTGAAAAGTAAACCTTTACTCAGGGCCCCCAGCTACCCAGTCAGTGCATCTCCATCACCATTTTATCATTTTATTCTCTATGTTTATACATAAATATACAAAATGCATATATCATATTATATACTATATCCCTATATGTACATGTGATGTATATAATATATAATTTATTTAATCAAGCATCTATTGATAATTTTAGATTGTTTTCAATCTTTTACCAACAATCCTGTGATGATGGTGTATTTAGAATACCTCTTCTCATAGGTGTCTGTGGAGCTTCTTTCCTTATTTCCCTCAGGTTTCAGTTTAAATGTCACCTCCTTGCTACCTTACATAAAGCAGAATCCCTTCCTCATTACTCCCTACTCCTCTTATTCTATTTTTCTTCATAGCACTTGCCGTCAGTTGACATATTATGTATTTATTTGTTTAAAGGCTCTTTCCCCAACACATGTAAGCTTCATGAGTCTCTCTACTGTGTTTGCTTCTCTATCCCAAGTGTGTAGAACAAGAGCGGGTGTGCCATTAGTGTTCACTAGGCATTTATTAAATGAATAGTTCATTTTACACATTTGTGAGTAGATTTGTAGGAAAAATTACTAGAAGTGGAATTGCTGTGTTAAAGGATGTGGGCATTTTTAATTTTGACACATGTTGCCGAACAGCTTTCCCTAGAAGTTGTAGAAATTTATATTTTTATCAGCAGTGTACCCACACCTTCACCAGCATCAAACTTGCTATCAGTTGATATAACCTACGGTATCTCATTTTAGGTATAATTTGTATTTCTCTATTATGAGTGATGTGCATACACTACCAAAACTCTTTAGCTGTTTATGATGACTAAACATATATGAAGTATTTTCACTGAATCTTTTTCAAAGACCAAAAGATCTTCCTGACGCTTATGCTCTTATACCAGAAGTTGCCTAATATCTGCCCTGCTTGACTCTGGAAGAGTCATAATTTATCTGTGTTGAACATTGACTGACAAAATCTGGGAATTTTTTTTTTTTTTTTTTGAGATGGAATCTCGCTCTTTCGTCCAGGCCGGACTGCAGTGGCGCTATCTTAGCTCACTGCAAGCTCCGCCTCCCGGATTCGCGCCATTCTCCTGCCTCAGCCTCCCGAATAGCTGGGACTACAGGCGCCGGCCACCACGACCGGCTAATTTTTTTTGTATTTTTAGTAGGGACGGGGTTTCACTGTGTTAGCCAGGATGGTCTCGAGCTCCTGACCTCGTGATCCGCCAGCCTCGGCCTCCCAAAGTGCTGGGATTACAGGCGTGAGCCACCGCGTCCGGCCAAATCAGGGATTTTTGTAGTTGCTTTTGACTTCTAGATTTCTTATGCAATGAAATCTATCTAATTTTCCTTTTACCTTATGAATTTAATATTCTCCTGCTCCTAGGTTATATTTGGGACCTCAGTCTGTGCCACCCGGAATATCAACATCAAGTAGTACATCTTACCATAATGAAGTTAAAAATACCAGGGCTTTGATATATAATGGGGTCTAATTTAAAAAGTGATATTGGCCAGGCACGGTGGCTCATGCCTATAATCCCAGCACTTTGGGAGACTGAGGTGGGCGGATCCCTTAAGGTCAGGAGTTCGAGACCAGACTGGCCAATATGGTGAAACCCCATCTCTAAAATTACAAAAATTACCTGGGCGTGGTGGTGCATGCCGGTAGTCCCAGCTGCCCAGGAGGCTGAGGGAGGAGAAGCTCTTGAACCCGGGAGGTGGTGGTTGAGTGAGCTGAGATTGCACCACAGCACTCCAGCCTGGGTGACAGAGTGAGTCTCTGCCGTAAGAAAAAAAAAAAATTAATATCAATCCGTTGTGATGTTTCCTAGTTAATCGTATTTCAGGAGATCTTTTAACTCCCCCTTTAAAAATGTTTACATATATTAAACTCATGTGTTTGAACTATCATGGTTTTGCTGGAAAGTAAAATAGATATTTCCTGTTAGAATTAATTATTTGAATTGTTAGATGAAATCTAAATGCACAAAGTTCAGAATCCTCATAGCAAGAATAAAATAATGTCACAAAGATGATCTTCAACAATAGACCCTCTTGCCACTGCAACTCTAATCATACCAATACTTTTATATACCCTCCCCTGCCGCTGACAAAAAGACATGGATCATTTACCTTTTACAAACTCTACCAAAACTTTAAAAATGGAACTATTATAAGAACACTGAGGCAAAGACATCAATTTTCAGGACTCCTGAAAACTTGTGTTGTCTGATTTCTAACAAGAAATAAAAAGCATTATAGCATGTGGTTTTCTACTTTTGAGTGTTTGTCTAGGATCCTCTGAATTTTAATGTGGCTTATCCTTATAATTTGTGATATGATGTTTGTTAAATAATACCTTCATTCCTTTTTTTAATTAGGTGAGGCATTATGAAGAGCCATTGTTTAACAAACATAAGTAATACTAATAAGATCTAATTTTTAAATGAGGTTAGTATTATATTGATTAATATACAACTGAAAGTTCAGAGAAATGTTTTTTTGAAAATTTCTCACTGAAGTTTTTAAATCTGTAAATGTTGTATTTGGAAATTTTATGAGCTAGAAACAGATCATGTATAGATTTTCATTGGTCAAGGAAAGACAAGGTAACAAAGGATTGTTACAAGAAATATTTTGCACTAATAATATTCATGTTGCATGTAACCTTGATGAGAAAATTTTTATAAGCAGCAACCATAATGTTAGGGCTCAGTGATTATGAAAAACTACAGTGGCTAAGAGAAAATAACCTTGACACTATAATATAAAATCCCTGAAGTGTTATGGATGACTATGTTGTATAAATGTAACTTAGAAACATATTCATGCTGAGATTTAATACTTGGGGGTCAGTGCACTGGTAAAGTTGGAAAAAAATAAACATATCAACTAAACAAACTTCATTATTATGTCCACCAGGGAGTCTCAGTATGAAACCTTTTCATATCAAGAATAATTTTAACACGAGTCAAAAATCCTAAAGCATGCAGGAGATCAACTAAGCAATGACAAAATTCTTAAAAAGAAACACAAACTCCTGAGCTCTTGCATATAAGGTTTTATACATAATATATTTAAGCATATATTATTCAAAGATAGGTGTCTCAAGTATACATATATATATATAAAATCATTTACTTATTTTCCAAAAGAGTTGAGTTAATCAAAAAGATTAAAATGCTATTTTAGAATCATCATCACATCAGATACACATAAAATTAAAGTATTAAAATAAGTTAAATAAAAAATTCTTTCATTTATGTTTACTTTTATATTAACAGCTTTTTTGAGGTTCAACTGACACATAATAAGCTGCGCATATTTATAGTAAACATTTTGGTACATTTTCACATATATGTGCACTCATGGAAGTATCAGCACAATCAAAATAGTGAACATTTTCATTATTTTCCAAAGCTTTTTTATACCCCTTTGAAATCCCTTCTCCTGCCCCACCCTATTTAATTCTCCAGACAACTGCTATTCTGTGGTTACTGTAGTTAAGTTGGCATTTTCTAGAGCTTATATAAATGGAATCATACAGTATGTAATCTTTTTGCCTTCTTTCACTTAGCAAAATTATTTTGAAAATCATCCATGTTGCATTCACAATAGTTTATTTCTCTTCTATTGCTGAGTAGTATTTCATTGTATAGATATACCACAGTTTGTTTACCCATTTACCTGTTGATAGACATTTGGGTTGTCTGGATTGTTATGGCTATTACAAATGAAGCTGCTATGAACATTTGTGTATAAATCTTTGCATGGACATATGCTTTCTTTTCTCTTGAAAAATACCTAGGAGTAAAATGGCTGGAGTATATGGTACATGTATTTTTAATAAAGTGCCAAGCTGTTTCCAAAATGGTGGTACCATTATACGTTACCACCAATAGTGTGGTAATAGAGAATTCCAGTTCCTCTAAATGTTTGCCAACACTTGGTATGAGAAGTCTTTCTAATTGTTAGACATTCTAATAAGTGGGTTGTGGTCTCCAATTGTGGTTAATTTGCATTTTCCTGTGACTAATGATGTTGGGCATCTTTGCATTTGCTTATTTGCCATCCATATATCTTTTTTGGTGAAGTGTATGCAAAAATCTTCTTCCATGTTCAGGTTGAGTTTGCTTCCTTATTATTGAGTTTCAAGAGTTAAAAAAATATTTTTTGGATTTGAATATTTTATATATATAGTGGATACAAGTTCTTTGTCAGAGAGCTGCTTTGCAAATAACTTCTCCTGGTTTGTAGTTTGCATTTTCATTCTCTTGTGACTATGAGAAGAGAAATCTGCTGTTATCCTTATTTTTGTTCCCCTATAAGTAATGTGTATTTTTCTTTTAGCTGCTTTTAAGATTTCTTATTTATTCTTGGGTTTGAGCAATTTTATTATGATGTGCTTGTAGTCTTCTTTATGTTTCTTGTTCTTGAAGCTTGTTAAGATCCTGAATCTGTGGGTTTATGGTTTTCATAAAATTGAGAAAAATTTCAAACATTATTTCTTCAAAGAAATTTCCTGTTTTCCCTTCACTATTATGTTCTTTCATGACTCCAATTACATATATATTAAGCTACTTGAAGTTGTCCCAAGTTCACTCATTTACTTTTTAAAAATATTTTTTCTATGTATTTTATTTTCTAAAGTTTCTATTGCCATATCTTCATGTTCACTGTTCCTTTGTTTTGCAATATTGAATTTTCTTTTAATCCCTTCTACTGTATTTTTCAACTTCAGCATTGTAGTTTTCATCTGTGGAAAAAGGTTGATTTGGATTTGATTTTATAATATTTTCAATGTCTCTAACTTTTGGAGCATAGAGGGTAGAGTTACAATAATTATTTTAGTGTCCTTGTCTAATAATTCTAACATCTGTGTCAATTCTGGCCAATTGATTCTCATTGTTATGTAGTTCCTTGCTTCTTTGCATGGTAATCTCGAATTAGATGCCAGACATCGTAAATTTTGTCTTTTTAGATGTGGGATATATATTTTTTGTTTTTATAACTCTTTTTGAGCTTTGTTCTGAGATGCAGTTAATTTACTTGGAAACAATTTGATCTTTTCAAGTCTTATTTTTATGATTTGTTAAATGGATCTGGATTAATGTTCAACCTAGGGCTATTTCCCACCACTGAATCAAGGCCCTTCTGAATATTCTACCTAATGCTCCATGAATTGTGAGTTTTTTGGGATCTGGCTGTTGTGAACAGGCACTATTCCCAGTCCTATGTTAGCACCTGGCACATTCCTTCAAATCATTTCAAATGGTTCTTTCCCCAGCCTTGGGTAGTCTTCTCAAACACAAGTGCTGATCAATACTTAGTGGAATACTCCAGGACACCCTCTGTGGATGTCTGCATTTCTCTTTCCATATAGTTCTCTCCTTTCTGATATTCTGTCCTATGAACTCTTGCCTCTTTGGTCTCCCTGGACTCTCAACTATGTCTCTTCAACTCAGAGTATATCAGGTTCAAGCTAGGTTCCCCCTCCCTCTACTGAGGCCTGAAAACTCTTTCAGTCAGTAAACTGGAGGCAATTGCAGGGCTTCATTTATTTGCTGTCTCTCAGGGATCACTGTCCTTTTTTCCTTCCTGTCCAGTGTTTTTAAAATCTTGTTTCATTTATTTAATCTAGGATTTTTTTGTGGGGGTTGTTTCAGGCAAGCATTACTTCATCTTGGCCAGAAATGGAGGTCTCCAAAGACTAATTTTCCAAACATTTATATTCTTTTTTTTAAGACAGGAATAAGTAATATTTGAAAGATGTAAATGAGGAGAAAAGTGAATGCAACATTTCTGTTTATATAGAAAATTTATTCTGAGGTGCAGTGTTAATAGTTTGGGCTTCCCTTTTTAATTTTTTCTGATATTGAAATTTTTATTATTTAATACATGCTAAGCCTTCTAGATATGGACTCCATTGCTGTATGGTAATTAATCAAATTCCTACCTCGAGGAACTTGAAATCTAATGGCATTACATATATGTATATAATATTTAATATTGGAACTCAAATATAGAATTAAAATATAAGTGAACAGGGATAGCTAATGTGGAAATGCACTAGGTTGAAACTTTAATCTTCCCTTTTCAACCTTTCTTTAAATGGGGAGTCAAGCTACTAAGTAATAATGAAAGGAATAATTATTGAGAGTTATGAGAGGAGATAAATTAGGTGAATTTCTACAATTGGAATACTATTGGATGATCATACAGAAATAGAAAAGATGACATGCACCATATAACAACCTCCTGAGGTAGGTAGGCAGGTATTATCTCAGTTTTAAAGATGAGAACACTGAAGTCTTCGGAGAAACATAATGGATTCTTCAAAGATATACCTCTGCCAGCCACTCAAGTGGAGCTGATCATACCTGCTCTGGTGCCCCTAATTGTTCCTTTCTCATAAGGCTATGGGATCACACTGAACCTGAACCAATAGTTCACATGATTATCTTCCTTACTGCAACGTATATAGATTTGTTACATGGAAAATATATATGTTTGGAGGGATAAAATTTGACACGAAGAGATCTTTGTGAGTTTATGTATGTTTAAACTTTTGAGTGGTATAACAATTGTGTGGTTTTGGCACTGCTGTGGAACTGTACTGTATCTTATCCATCTTTTAATTTCTATTATTCAGCATAACATCATACATATAGTAAGTGGCCAGTAATTGTAGAATAAATGAATTAAGGGATACTCTGAATTTTAAGAGAATTGGAGCTAAGCATACTAACTTTGAATGTAAAACAGTATTTTTTAAATTATGACTTTATTACTTTAAGTGGGGTAGAGGCAAATATTTGTTTTAAAAAAGGCAAGATTCAGAGTCTTCTAACCTCATATCTTCAATGTTTGAAAGAATAATGATGAATTTATTATTTTACACACTTTACTTTCTTTCATATCTACTGTTCCTTTTCTTCCCAGTGTAACTCAATCTAACACTCTCCACCACCTCCATCACTGCTCCCCTTCTTGAAGCTACCATGACTTCACCTGCACTGCTACAAATGATCTCCCTGCTGCCACTCTTGCCCCCTACCATCTATTCTCTACTCAGCAGCCAGAGCGATTTTTAAATGTGTCTTACCACTTCCCTAGTTAAACATTTTTTGTGGGTTCCCACTCTATTTCATAACCTAACAGGCCACACAGGTGTGCTACTGCTGCTACCGTGCCTTCTTCTTTTACCAATTTCCCCCCACTCACCTGCTTGTATTGGCCTTGGCGTTCTTTAAGCACTACTTATGTTGCACTTGCTCTCCCTTCCACTTGAAATGTCTCGCCCATTTTATCCCAAAGTTATTTGAATAATGGTGTCTCTAATACAGTAGACATATAAAGCTCCCAATGGACTCCTCTGAAAAGCAACACACGTTTGGGTAGATAAGTTGCGGGTTTGTTAAAGAACCAGTCACAGTGACTTCTAGTTACAAAGCTTTTGGAAATAAAGATGGTTTACTCTCATTCTGCAAGGGGATGGCTTGCCATGTCTCATGGTTGTCTTGGGAGGTTGACATTACTGTTTGAACCATGAATTACCCGGTATCTATGTTGGTAGAACAAGCAGCTGTTATTCCTTCTGTCTCCTTCAGTGTGTTGTCACCTCTACCATCGATATTTTCCAGCTTGAATGATCGTCCTTAGGGATGTAACACCTCCCCTTTTCCCTCCAAGGTCGATTGTAGTTCAGTTGACAGGGACAGAACTATTATAGCTAAGTTACACAATTTGATTTTTTACTCTGATCCATTTTGCACCATTAATATGGGTATGGCTGTTTTGTTAGAAAAAGGAGCTATGTTCAGGGAGAAGAACATGAAAAATTACCTGGGGAGAAATGGGATCTTTCTAACAAAGAGATATATCAATGTAAGAACTTATTAAAAACATAGCATTTATAATGCACAAATTGTAGTCATTGCAATGGCCATGATTGTTATTCTAAACCGCTCCTCTAGACTTTCAAAGGAGACCAGTGTCTTCAGACAGTCTCTTTTGTCAATGATGGATTTCTCTTTTTATGTTGCAGTACTGTGGGATTTGTTTCTCTGCTTAGTTCAAAGGGCTGCACTTCTGTTCATCCCTGTTTTCACCAATTTCCCTTCCATCTTGTCTCTTCTCGGCTCATTACAAGAGCTAAGAATATTTTTTCCTTTCCAAAAATAAGCCAAACATAAATTACCTTTCAGCTTTAGGAAATTTAAAACTTTCATATAAATACTAATAAAAATATGATTCCTGTAGAATCTCTAACAATCCATTTTTGTTTTCCATAAGAATATTTTGACATGTTGCTTTTTAATGGCCAAGAATACTATGTATTTCTGTGATACTTAGGAAGATGGTGCATTCTACCACAGGTAGACTTTTTATATATCTACATGCAGAGTGTTTGCAAATATTTGGCTTCTCTTTTTCAGGGTAGAAATAGCCACTGTTGTATCATTTGAACCAGTTCAACCAGCATGCTGATAATTGTGAATAAACAGAGTAGGTAGAGTGTACTGGTCTCTAGGAATCAGAAGTGGTATTGTTTAATTTGAAAGAAACTTCTGTGCTAGTAGCAGTGTGACAGGCCTAGCAAACAGTTCAAATGGAGCGAAGACAATATATGGTAGGAAAAGAACTATAGATAATTCTTTAATCTCTTATTATATACTCATAAATCAAGGAAGTAATGCAACTAATGGAAGTACTTTAGGGAAGAATGTGTGATCCACAGTGCTCAAGTCAGGTAAGGTGGTAGATGCTGTTTGCAGATTAAGGGCTATTATGGACTGTTTTTGTCCCCCTCACATCAATATGTTGAAATTCTAAACCCCAATGTGGTGACATTAGGAAAAGGAAACTTTGGGAGGTAATTAAGGTTCGACAAGGTCATGAGAGTGGGGCCCTTGGGATAGGATTAGTGCCCTTGTAAGAAGAAACACCAGGGAGCTTGCTCTCTTTCTCTCCCTGCCACATGCACAACGAAGAGGTCAGGTGAGCCCACAGTGAGATGGCAGCCACCTACAATGCATGAGAAGGGGCCTCAGAATGAAACTACCTTCGTGACGCCTTGATCTGGGACTTCCCAGTCTCCAAAACTGCCAGAAATAAATTTCTGTTGTTTAAGCAACCTAGTCTGGGTTTACGTTATAGCAGCCCAAGAAGACTAACACGGGAGCTCTGTGAGAATGTGTGTGTTCCATTTGGCATGGCAAGGGGAGAATCTAGTGCAATAGTTTTTATATTAAAACCTTCACAGTCTCTCTTATGTTATAGCTGTTTGTATATTGAGGTTGACCTATCTCAATCTCCCATCATATAATGAGTTACAACTCAAAAAGGAGTAAATTGTAAACCCTGGTCTCTCCCAATCAATGCCTGCTATTTGTCTTATCTTAGGTCTCCTTTTTACTGAGACAGGTTTTTTATTTTTATTTTTTAATAAACAGAGGTTCAGAAGATGAAGAACAACTTGTCACTTCATACATCAGCAACTCTGACAAATGTTTAGAAGTAAACATTTGGAACTGAAGTGAAGTTTAGTAATAATTTGGGAGTCTTACTTCCTCAGTGATACTCAGAGATTAAATAGTACTTAATTATTGCTGGGAAGGTTGACGGGTAGGGAGGACAGGAGTAATTTGTTCCAGGAGCTTTTATTGTTGTGTGGCGGGAGGTCTGAGTCCTCCCCAGGCCTTCTGCTTCCTTCCTCTGTGTTTGTCTGGCTCCAAGACTCACTCCTCTCCTCCTGACTCCCCATTCCCCCTGCCTGGCTGCGCCAGTGAGCTACCATCTTAATATTAAACCGCCTTGGGGAAGAGAGTGCCTAAAGAAATCAGAGGTAATCTACCCCCAGATATTTCAGAGAAGACGGTTGTTTTGTTCTAATGATAACTTTGAGTTATTCTCCTTCTCCTACCCCGTTACACATGACAAATAAGTGTTAACAATATTCAGTACAGATATTTATTGACCTGCCTTTATATACTAAACATTGTGCTAGGCCTCAAAGCACAAACAGGAGTAAGGTCCGCTCTGTACTTGAAGAGCTTCCATTCCAAGGTGTTGTAGGAGAGGGGTAGAGTGAGGCACTTAATAAATAATAATATATGATATTTTGTAGTGGCGAAAGGACAGATTCACTCAGGAGGGGTCAGAGGGAGGATTTAATAGGGCTTCACAGGGAAGATAAGCATTGAACTTGGACCTTGAATAATAAATGGAAGTCTCCCAAATGGGATTTGGCAAGAGGAGCCTTCCAAGCAGAGGAAACTGCCTGAACCAAGGCCAACAGGTAGGAAAATGTTTGTAGCGTTTAGAAAGCTGAGAATCTGCCTATAGGGAAAGTTAAGTGGATTTATGGCAGGGAGAAGGCAGGAGATGAGCTTGGAAATTTAGTCCTCAAATGACAAGGCTAGGGGTTTCTCTTACCCCAATCTTGGCATGGGAGGGCCACCAAGAGTTTTAAGCAGGAAAGTATTATGAGAGTTAATTTTTTAGAAAACTCACTTAGGCTGTGTGTAAAGAGTGGATTGATTGCAATTAGGGAGATCAAGTTGGGGCTTGCAAAAATCTTTGCAGGTGATGGGAGTGTTGCAATTTAAAAAGTGGAGATAGAAGGAAGGAGCCAGAGATGCCAGAGATAGAATTGACAGTTGATCTAAAAAAGAACAACAGCTGATTGGGTTTGCCTATCTACAAAACTTTGGAACTGGTGAAAAAAATTAGGAAGCAGATGTCTTCAGCTGGACATGTTGAGAATAGAATCTGGTATGATCAGTTTTACCTAAAGACACTTAGATTCATATTATATAGATACTGAATTCTCAGTGCAGTGGTGATGAAGGATGCCTAGCTTTTTCCTGTGTCCATAGATTTTTAGTTGGTTTACCCACCTCCAAGAACCCAAGAACAATATAAGGGAATAACCAGTGTCATACTGAAACCACATAAAACAAATTAATATTTGATAATATTGATAAGGTAGTCAGAAATTTATTCATATAAAAAGAACCTGGTCCAAAAGTATTTAAAATAAGTTTTTCCTAAAATAGGAAAACAGGTAATTTATATTAATGAATTCTTTTAGGGCATAGAAAGAGATAGAAAGCTTTTACATTCAGTAAGATTTGAATATCAATAATAACAGAACTGATTGAGAATAACTTAAAAAAAGAAAGACTCATTTTATTTCCAAACATAAGCACAAATAGCTTAAATAATATATAAGCAAACCAAGTCCATCAAATATACTTAAAGTTGAAATATCATGAGCATTGTTATTAAAATCAGAAGTTATCACTATTAACATTAGACAGGTGATCCTAACCAAAGACTAGAACAAGAAGTAATCAATAACTAGATCAAAGACACAAAGGAACAAAAAAGTATGAGTATTAGAAAGATAAAAATTTATGAGTAATTTTAGACCTAATTTTTAATAACAAAATTTCAACCAAAAATCATTTGGGCTTCTAAAAGAATTAAGGAAGGCGTCCTGTTGCTATACACTGAATATTTATGTCCTTCTAAAATTTGTATATTAAGATTCTAACCCCAATGTGATAGTATTTGGAAGTGGGGCCTTTGGGAAGTGATTAGGTTATATTGGTGAAATGGGATTAGTGCACTTATTAATAGGATGAGTGCCCTTATAAAAGAGACCCCAGAGAGCTCCATTGCCCTTCTGCCTTGTGAGGATGTAATGAGAAGACAGCCATTTATGCATCAGGAAGTAGTCTCTCCCCAGATACAGAATCTACTGGCACCTTGATCTTGTACTTCCTAGCCTCCAGAACTGTGAGAAATAAATTTCAGTTGTTTATAAACTACCTTGTCTATGGTATTCTGTTATAGCAGCCCAAGTGGACTATGACACTTGCCATTCAATCAACATACAAAACTCAAATTATTTCAAACATTATCATTTAGAGGTGGAATTTAGAAATGTAATTGATGAAAGGATTTTTTTAAAAAAATAGCCAAAAAGCTTAGGACATCTAGCAATAAATCTAACAAAAAATGTGCAAGATCTATGTATTAGTTTCCTATTGCCACTGAAAGAAATTGGCACAAACTTATGTCTTAAAGCAGCATAAATTTATTAGCTTACAGCTGTGGAGGTCAGAAGTCCAAAATAGGTTCACAAGTCTGCATTCTTTCTGGAGGCTCTAGGGAAAAATATGTCTCATTGCCTCTTCCAGCCTGTAGAGGGTGCCTGCATTCTTTGACTCATGGTCCTTTCCTCTACCTTCAAAGCCAGCAGTCACATTACTTCAAACTCTGCTTCTTCTCAGATACTTCTACCTCCCTCTTTCATTTTTTCAGGATTATGATGATATTGAGCTTACCCAGATAATCCAGGAGAATCCCCCCATCTCAAAGTCCTTAACTTAATCACACCTGTAAAATCCCTTTTGCTGTGTAAGGTGACATATTCATGGTTTCCAGGGATCAGGAAATAAAAACCTTTTGGAGCCCATTATTCAACCTGCTACAGGATATATGAAGAAAATGGAGGCATTATAATGTTATGGTTAAAGATGAAGTTGTTAGCTCTGAAGTCAGACTACCTAAGGGGGAATTCCAATTCTACCACTTCTGCTTTTTTGATCTTAAGAAATTAACATAATCTTGCTAAACTTATTTTTTATTTGTAAAATAATGCAAATTATCTTTCATTCCTCAGAGAGTGATTGCAGGAAATAATATGATAATCCTTATAAAGAGTTTGGCACAACTTGATAATTTAAGAAGATACTGAATCCATAAATATGAACCACATGCAATGAAAAACAATGCTTATAAACAATAAAGAATGGTTGAGAAACAAAGTTATGTTATCAATATAAAATTTCGAGAAGAATTGAAAGGTAAAGTTCAAAAAATATCACAATGTGAAACAAACTAAAAAGACAATAATTGGAAAATATGAGCTATAATAAAGGCCAGACTTACAGACAATACTGTCAGGAACTCCTGTGATAATAGGCTTTCAGAAAGAGAGAACAGAAAAGCTTAACAGAGGACATTAGAAAAGGAGTAAAAGCGGCCAGGTGTGGTGGCTCATGCCTGTAATCCCAGCACTTTGGGAGGCTGAGGTGGGCGGATCCCCTGAGGTCAGGAATTCAAGACCAGCCTGGCCAACATAGTGAAACCCCATCTCTACTAAAAGTACAAAATTAGCCCGGCGTGGTGACGGGCACCTGTAATCCCTGCTGCTCAGGAGGCTGAGGCAGGAGAATTGCTAAAACTGTGAGGTGGAGGTTTCAGTGAGCGGAGATCATGCCACTGCACTCCAGCCTGGGTGACAGAGTGAGGCTCCATCACAAAAAAAAAAAAAAAAAAGAAAAAAGAAAAAAAGGAGTAAAAGCACGTAGTTTCTCACAGCTAAAGAATGGCATTACTCTTCTAATGGAAGAGGACTATTAACTGCTAAATTAAATGAATGTATCAGACTTTTCAATGGAAATATCAAATGCTGGAAAGCAGTGAAGTATAATGTTCAAAAATTTGACAAAAAATGAATTTCAACCTAGAGTTTTATACCTAGCCAAACTATCATTTGACACAAAGAAAAAAATACATTTTTAGACATACAAGGTCACAGAAGGCCTACCTTCCATGTACCCTTTTTTAATGAAGTAAATTGAGGGCATGAACTAAAGAAAAGAACTTGAGATCTAGGAATTAAAGGAATCAACTAAGGAGAGAAATGCAGGTGGTCTCAGAATGACAACTGAGGATTAGGTCTAAAAAGCAATCAAGTTGGAGTAGAATGATAGAGATCTTGTTGATTTACTATTTGTAGTGTGTTATCCTAATCTGAATGATCCAAAATGGTTCACTACCATGTCCAGCAGAAAGGGAAAAAGGAAAGAGGTGGGCCTTCCTTTGAGTACATGATCCAAATGTTCACATTATTTCTGCTCACATCCTATTGGCCAAAACCTAGTCACACTTCACTGGAAGGGTAGCTCAGGCTCCTGACTCTGTGCTCATTATTTCATTATTCTACTTTTATTCTGTGCTCTATTTCATTATTCTACTTGCTCTTGACTACTATTTATTGTTTAACGTTTGCTGACACTGTGATAAATTCTTAAATAGTTTTATCTGCAAAACAGTCATATGAGGCATTATCTACATATTGCAAATAAAAATTTAGGGCCTCTGGAAGTTTAGATAATCTCCCCAACATCATGCAACTACTAAGTAGAAGAGTTAGGACTAGGACTCTCATCTTTCTGACGTTAGTATTCATAATCTTAACTGCTAAGTCATACTGCCTTTATTATAATTGTCAACTGATGGAATGACAGTTCTTGACCACCAAAGCTGTACTCTTGGCATCATATCTGAGGTACGCTGCACACTGCCCTGTATTGTATTACTGAGGGCTGTGGTTTCTTGATTGGATATAAAAGCTCCTTTGGGCAAGGAGCTTCTTTGTAGAATAAAGTGGAGGTGGGGAGTGGCAGTGATTCTCAGGCTGTGTGGAATATAATTGCAGTTTCAACTATACAAATTAGGGATGTCTAGAAGCATTTTCCCACCTCTTATCTCTAGATGTGAAAGTGCTGTAGATGTGACTTAGGTGCTAATCATTTCTCAGGTCTATTCATCTGCTTTATATTTAGATATAAACTCTTTCCAAAACTGGGAAATTCCTTCATTGATATCCTTTATTTAAATTCTGTCACGACTTCACATCTTTTTCTGTTTTCATGGGTCTTTTGATTGGAAGGCAGATGAAGGTGGATCAGGCCCAGTCTGCTTTTTGCTGTCAAACTTCAAAATTGATCCAAGGCCAGTCTTTGTACTATTAAGGAAGCAGCTATTAAGAGAAGGACAGTAGAGCAATGGCTGCTTTATATTCTCAGCAGGTCTGAGCAGACACAATTTGACATCAAGGGGAAATATTTTTTAAAAAGGAAAGAAAAAAATGACTCTACTGTTTAGCATGTACTTTCTCAGAGAGTGAATGATTGTTTTATAAAGAGGTCTGTGTATGTTTGTGATTGTGTATGTGTTTGTGTGTGTAGGTGAACAAGTGCTTAAATAGGTGGAAAAATAAAAAAGGGGTAGTTGAAACTCATTTGCTGGGGAAATTTTGAAGGGCATGAGACTTGCAGTGTCCTCTTTGTATCAAGTCCTTCATTCCTCAAACCTTTTCTTCAGACGTAGAATGCCAGATACCACCACCTACTGCACAGCTGAGGCCCTCGAAGACTTTATTCTAGACCAAATTAATCTGATTTGAATTAATACACTGTTTGGGAGAAATAGGTGCATCTGGTTTGAAAACAATGGCTGTGGGCATACAGTGAAGGACCTTCCCATCAGATAGGTCTCCAGCCACGTGTGGGTTTGGGAGTGGAATGGAAAGAAGGAGGTGGTAAGGTACAGATGTCAGGGCAGCAGAGAAAGGTCACAAGTGAGATGTGATTGTGTGAGGAGTCCTGGGAAGGTTTACTTCTTCAGATGTCTTTCCTTTGGATTATGGGAAAAGTTGTTTACTATACACTTTCAGTTTTCCTGTAGGCATAATTCCTTTTCATTTCTCCAACCCTTGAGTAATGTTGAATTCTCCTGTACAGCCATGTGTAATAGTGTTGTTAAGAATAAAGTGAGAGTACGAGGTCAGGAGATCGAGACCATCTTGGCTAACACGGTTAAACCCCATCTCTACTAAAAATACAAAAAATTACCTGGGCATGGTGGCGGGCGCCTGTAGTCCCAGCTACTCGGGAGGCTGAGGCAGGAGAATGGCGTGAACCCAGGAGGCAGAGCTTGCAGTGGGCCGAGGTAGCGCCACTGCACTCCAGCCTGGGCGAAAGAGCGAGACTCCGTTCCCCCCCCCCAAAAAAAAAAAAAAAAAGGAAGAATAAAGTGAGAGTAAAGAAGAATGTGACTTGGCCCCCATCCGCTCCCCAGAGACAACAAAGGAGCTACTTCAGTCTCAAGAGCCTGAGGGATGTCAGTCCTCTGTGGTGCTCTAACTGTCAGGGGGAGCCCCACTGGTAAGCAAAGACCGTGGAGCAGGCAGTATAGGAAGAACTCACAGAAACCCCACCTCTTCTTTCCCTGTACAGCAGTGGGAAGTGATCTTTGCAAGGGGGAGGGTGATGATGGGGGCATACTTTGATATAAAGTGCTAGTTTATTTGTGTGTTTTCTGCGTTGCCATGATTTTATGACCAGTCTCCTAGTAAGATTAAAAGATTGTAAACGATTTCTTACATGAATCACCACAAAACCATGTCAAGATAAAATATTACTTTTCTCTATGTATGCTCTCTACAAAAAATACATTTTAAAGAGATTTCCTATAAGGACACTTGTACACAGAAAAAAATTTCATATGTCCTTTAACAAGTACAATTCTAGTTAAAATCCAATATGCTTGCATTAGCATTTCCAATTCAGAGATAACGATGTGTACATAACATATACCATGCCTGCTGAAAACCAGGCTTGGAGAGAGTTTGTAAATAATTTAACAGTATTCAATAGTACAGGCTGTGGAGCATCTGGAATTGCTTCCTTCTTTTTTGGATTGCACAATTTCATGTTTGTTTTGCCATATTTCCCATTTTTCTGTCTTGTTTTGTTTGCCAAAACCACCCAGTAAGGGACAACTTAAAATCTAAAATGTGTTTATCCTCCTGACTGCTTTGGTTCACCTTCCAACTTCCTGGCACCAGATTACAGAAGGGATTTTGTTCTCATCATCAAGACACACTTGTCCTGTTGAGAACTCATTCTCAGGGATAACCTCTTACTGGGGCCCCACTGTCAGAAGAGTTACTTGGCTCCATTGAAAGTGATCTTGTGCTTTTTTCTTGCTACAGTTGCTGCACAGAAGTGAGGTAGTGAAAGTCTTAAAAAGCATTTTATGTGTTTTACCCTTCCATATTCCCCAAGTCAAGAAATCTCTGGCTCTTGATTAAAATGTTCTCTTCTCTACCCTTAGGATCCACATTACAGTTTTAAAGTGTACAACAGCCAATGGGTCTAACAATCTTGGAATTCTTGCCTTGTAGAAGGGGAACAGGTGTTCTTCTGAATAGGGAAATCCATATGCACAGTGGCAAAGGTCCTGTCCTTACCTATCACATTTGAGCTTTATGCAGGCAGTAACGGGTTATGGCCTGGTTACAGCCATCAACATCTTTTCTCTGTGGCCTTTCCAGGTCAACAGTTGTTCTGGGAAATGTGGTGTCAAATGTTCCTGTTTGAAGTTATTCACTTCCACAGTCTTGTTCAATGTACAGAAACTATGAGTCCACACTGACAATTAGAGAGTTTGATAGTCATTTGCTCTCTTAGTCCTGTCTTAAGCCAGTAGAATTTTTGGCCTTTGCAGGGGCAGAGAATACAGATGTGACTGTATCTTTTCAAATCACTTGCTAGTTTGGGT
Organism: Homo sapiens; assembly: GCF_000001405.40. NCBI lineage: Eukaryota > Metazoa > Chordata > Mammalia > Primates > Hominidae > Homo > Homo sapiens. The sequence continues at coordinate 58,008,826 of NC_000006.12, forward strand.
CCTGTGTAGTTAAAGATTATGGGAGTATGTATACTTTCATGGGCATTGATAAGGAAGATGTTTTCAGAATGATTCCATTATAAGGAGACATATTTCCAGTTTGCAGGCCAATTAACAATCAGAACGATTAGTCAAGAGCACATAGGCATATTCATATAGCCTTGCGATCTTCTGGGGAAAGTGATGCTTGCTGCTGTAACAGACAATTCTAAAATCTCTATGGCATTACATGACAAAATATCATTTTTTACTCACATAAAGTGAGGGTAGGAGAAGTTTGTTCCACACTGTCATTTAAGAATTCAAGCTTCTTTCATATAGGACATCGTCTTTAAATATGGCTTCAAAGGTTGTTGCAAATGGATATTGCTTATTGCTGTAATAAGGAAGGGTTGACAGAATTTTTCCATAAAGTGCTAGGTGGTAAATATTTCTTTAATTTTGTGAGCCATGTGGTTTTGTTGCAGTTACTCAAATCTGCCATTGTCATGGAAGAGCAGTTGTAGCTGTAGTTTTGTTCTATTAAAACTTTACTTACAAAATCATACAGTAGCCTAGAGTTAGCTGTCAGCTATAGTTTGCTGATGCCTGGACTAATTTTGTCTGGGATATATTTATAATTCAGATATAGAAATAGCATATATTACTTCCACTCATTCTGTTGGCCAGAAATCAATGATTCAGTTTTAACCTAACTGCAAGAGAGCCAGATATGTAGTTTAGTGGGGTGTCTAGAAGAAGAGTAAAGGTATTGTGGGCCCCAGGGATCTTTTCTATACTTTTCAACAGCTTAATGTGAATTGACTGTCCCTGGCAAACCAGAAGTTTCTAATACTGCAGCTTTGTGGTTAGGATGTTAGATCACTTCAAGTGATACTATTTCCTAGTGTGGTTTTTGTATAAAAAACCATCACTATGACAAAGCTCCAAAAAAGTTATTTTACAAGGTACATTGAAAATTTCACTGCTTTTCTGATTTTGGTACTGATGCTTCAGAGAACTAGAGGAAAGTTGCCTGTAGTTAAATAGAAGTAAATGGGTGCTGCCTCAATCCTCCCTGGCTGAAGGTGGAGTAGGAGACCTTCCATAGTTGTAGCTTTTAGCAGAGACTCAACCTAAGAAAGCCTACAGGAAGGTGGTTAGTCCTCAGCAATCTTCTTTCCTGTAACTTTTTGGACAGGGTTGGAAGATCACTGTTTATATGATTTTTATTCCATATAATAAATAAGCTGCTAAAGAATACATTTTATTTCTCTGAAAAGAATTTTCTCTTCTTCTGATTTTTCTTTTAGCTACATCATTCTCCACCAAGTGACTAGTAATAGATGCATTTTGAACTTAATAAGCTAATAATCAGGTAAGACAGTTAGAATATAAGCCCAATGATTTTCAAATGCAATCTAAGTTTGTCTTGAGCCATTAATGGGATGTTTTGATAATGTGCTCTTTTACCTTTCTGAGGACTAGACCTTTCCCCAAGTTAGCCCAAAACCAAGTTGTCCGATACGGTTTGGCTGTGTCCCTACCCAAATCTCATCTTGAATTGTAGTTCCTATATTCCCCATGTGTTGTGGGAGGAACCCAGTGGGAGGGAATTCAATTATGAGAACAGTTAACCTCATGCTGTTCTCGTGATAGTGAGTGAGTTCTCACAAGATTTATGGTTTTATAAGGGGCTTTCCCCGCTTTTGCTCAGCACTGCTCTCTCCTACCATCATGTGAGGAAGGACATGTTTGCTTCCCCTTCCACTATGATCCTGAGGCCTCCCCAGCCATATGGAACTGTGAGTCAATTAAACCTCTTTCCTTTATAAATTAGTCAGTCTCAGGTATTTCTTCATAGCAGTGTAAGGACAGACTAATACAGTCTGTATGAGAAGTGCAGTGTTTGTTATAGACAGAATGAAAAGAGAAAGAATAAGGTAATGGTCAACTTTTAACATGCAAAATGGGATTTTTCAGTAGGTCTTGAGATCCAAGATGACACTATTTTAAGTTATAGAGGGGATAATCTGAACAGAGTCCACATGGGAGGTCCATTTTGGAACTTAAAGGTGTCTACACCACCAGTGCCAACTGACATGAGGCTGAATCACCCAGGGAATACTACCAGGCTCTGACCTAGTCAAGAGAAAACAAACTACAACCTAAACCTGTCATTGACTTCAGGTGTGATGTGATGTGATACCAAGATAATGATGTGATACCTACACTCAGTGTGGATCCAAGGACCACATTTAGCTTCAAATTCATGTTCTCTTTCACCCATCTTCCCCTTACTCTCAGACACCTAGAAACAAATTAAAGGACAGAAACAGAGGGAAGCACTTTTATCCAAGAGAAATTGAGTAATACCTAAAGGTACTATTAAACCATAGAGTCAGACCTCAAGTAAACATATTGGACATTTAGGTAATTTTTTTCTTACTAACCATTTCAGGAGAAAGGCTGATTGGATAAATCAAGAAGTTACATTTTCTCACCACATCTGAACTGATTTGTGAGTTAAATATTTGCTATCCTGCTACACTGGTTAATGAATTAAAATTAAAAGAAAATTTAAAAAGAAAATCAGGTAAAATTTTTATTGCATTTCAAACTCTCAGCTAATTGGAAAGTATTTGTATTATCTAAACACATATACTTACATCCACTTATCCTGAAATAATCAAGTATGATAAGTAAAAGCACTTTCTCTTAACATTTGGCAGAGAGGAAAATTGGATGTATTCTAAGCTTTATAATAGTATACCTCAAAAAAATTTTAAAACAATAATATACTTCATAGGCTGACTTTATGTAACTACAGTAGTTTCCTTTAAATATACAAATGTCTTTTAAAAATGTACATTGTTACAGGAAAGTTACTTTTCTTCTTATGCAATTGATAGCATCACAGAAAAAGGCAAATCACTACACATTTGCCTGCCATTAATATTGACTGAAATCACAAGCCGTTTTCTACCCTTAAGCTTCCTGCCTATTCTACATGTTATTACTTTGTGCCAAAGATGGAAATTTATCATAAATAAATTCAATGCATATTAAAGAGAGGAAGCATTCTCATGGCAGAGGTGGGGAGCACTTTTTGTTTCCACTTGTTTATAAGGGAATATTTTATTCATTTCTTACTCTCTCTCCGGGGTAGCATGCAAACAGAGTCACTCAACTGTTTCTTGCAGCCCCACTCTGTCCCTCTGTCTCCATGCATATGTTTGACTTAGATGAGCCTCTCTGGGCATTTGGGAATGCGTGAAGCGAGCTAAGCCTCCCTGATGAGGGTTGCCATTTCTGAGATGAAGCTCTTGCCTGACTGCTTGCTGTAGTTGCAGCTAAAGTCTGGAGAGCTGCTGGGACCTTGTGCAAAGGCTCACGGCAGCTGCGCTATCAGGTGGCCAGCCTGGCGCTCCCTCCCTGGCCACCACTGCCTCTGACCACAGTACAGTGTAATTCAATAGAACTCAAATCTTTAGCTGCCTAGAGCAGCCAGGCAGCAAGCCCAGAGGCCCTTTCAAATCAGGGTTTTTACAGTTATTTTAATCCACGAGAGATGCCAGCATTTCTCTGCCTCCCAAAGACAAGCAAAACTGTACAAACAGACGCTAGTAAGATACAAAATCTTAAGGAGAAAGTTGAGCCAGATTCTTTCATGGGAAAAAAATGAGAGCAAATGTATGTGTATTGTTCATTGTGCTAATCTGCTGTATATTTTCATGTCTCAAGGACATATTCAGGTAGAAAATGATACAATAAATAAATGGTGAGTTAAAGTGTTGGATTAGGTTGGACACTAAATCACTGATAGTTAATTGTGATTTAACTCTGCTGGGTCATCCAGATTTGTCTTAGCACTAGTTATTACACAAATCTGGGAAGCAATACCAACCACATAACCTAGGAAAAGCAGTACAGCGTGGTAGTTAGACCAGCACAGCTTCTGGGATCAGGCTGCCTAGGCTCAAAGCCTGCTCTGCCATTTACGAGTGATGAAAATTTGACCACATTTGTAACCTCTCTGTGCTCTCTGAGATGAGAAAGATGATGATGATAACTATAGTGAGGATTAAGTGAGTAAATTTATGCAAAGAATATAAAGCAGTATCTGGCACACAGTAGGTGCTATTCAAAGTGTGATCTGTAGATCAGCAGCATCTGCATCATCCAGGAGCTTATTAAAAATGCAGATCTCCAGGCCCTGTCCCAGACTGACTGCATCAGAGTCTGTATTTCAGCAAAATTTCTATTGACATTAAACATCTGAGAAGCATTGCTATGTAAATGTTGGTGTTGCTATTTCAGATTGGCTTTAACTAGCTTATGTTGTCAGGGTGAGAGAGGCACCCCTGCTGATTTGCATTTTCTTTCCAGCCTCTGAGCTCAAAGGAGAGACTTTTTGTCTCTGACACTGGTCTCTGATTATCCTTACATCATGGCAAAGAGTGGACCGTATGCTTGTGAACCTGCCTTCTGTATCATCCTCAACCTGCATCCCAATCTTTTTTTTTTGAGACAGAGTCTCACTTTGTCACCCAGGCTGGAGTACACTCTGTCACCCAAGCTGGAGTACAGTAGTACAAGCTTGGCTCACTTCAACCCCACCTCCCGGGTTCAAACAATTCTCCTGCCTCAGCCTCCCAAGTACCTGGGACTACAGGCACCTGCCACCACACCTGGCTAATTTTTGTATTTTTAGTAGAGATGGGGTTTCACCATGTTGGCCAGGGTGGTCTTGAACTCCTGACGTCAAATGATCCACCCACCTCGGCCTTCCAAAGTGCTGGGATTACAGGGGTGAGCCACCATGCCTACACTGCATCCCAATGTTTAATGTTTACTTTGTATGCAGATCCCAGTGTTTCTGACTCCAGTCAGCTAATTTAACCCCAAGTCTCCATTATTGTCTTTGCTTGTCAGCTTTATTTGATGTCTTAAATTATACACTGCATCCTGATACCTTCACTGCTCAGTTGGAAGGTTCTATGCCCAATTGCCCTTCCTGATCAAAGTAAGGAGAACATTAGGAATATATTAGGAGAAATAAAAGAGTTGGGATTATTTAACACTTCCCTCCTAGGCTCCATACTGCACAGAAACATTTGATTTTTATAGTTGTCTCCAAGAGGCAATTTTCTAACAGAGATTTTATAGCAGAGAAGAGAGCTTGGCTTTTAAACAATGCAAAGGTCAACAAAGCAAAATTTGCTCTATTTATGGTATGGGTGTGACATTTGGACCTCTTAGCATCCAACATTCTATTGGCTTTAGGAAAGAGCTCATCACCACACCTGCTTGCTTTATTTCACATTAAATGGTCTTTAGTTAAGAGGTTTGGAAACAGAAATTTTCCATAGGCATTCATGCCAAACTTATCACAGTTCCATGATGCCTGGTCAATAATGCAATGAGAATGGATGACACCAGGATACCAGGGCCCTTGGTGTGTGGTGAATTGAAGGAATGTAATTGTATGTGAAATGGACAGAAGAAATGCTTCAAGGGCACACTGGCACCTAACTTAAAGTAGCAAAGCAGCTCTGTTGAGAGGCAGGAATTCACAGCAATAAGCCTTGTATCCTGCCATGGATCAAATTGGAAAAGGGGAAAGTCTAGTTATTTGTAGACTGTGAGATTAATGTGACTCGCAAACGATTTCAATCGTGGATGTCCAAACTGCTTGGAAGAACTGCTCAGCCATCCACAATTATTGATTGCTTCCTCTGTGTACAGCACCGTGAAAGCAGCTGAGGGACAAAAAGAAGTATAAAACCTAGGTCCTTTCCACCAAAGAACTTAGAATATACCCACATCTACATGAAAGAAAATAAAATTTAGCAGAGGTAAGTTGAAGGCTCTAAACAAATAAGACAGGAAGATTCTTCTCTTTAGAGGGGCCAAGACAGCATGAGTGATGGATGGCTGCATGCATTTTTTGATACTTTACTGCTAACTTGGACAGAATTATCTATCTAATCACTGGAAGAGCTGGACAACCACAGGCCATCCCACAAAGACAGGGCCTTACTGCGTGGCAAAGAGCAGAACAAATGCACTCTGTCTGTAGGCAGGCATCTAGGAAAGTGAACATAGAAAGTCCGGTGGACATTAGATTACTTCATGCTGGCTTAGCACTTTCTTCAAAGCTCACCAATCAGAAAAGCTATTTCTCCTCCCTGGAAATACATCCTCTTCTCATCTGCCTACCTGCTATCATTGCCTGGAGTTTATGCTATTGTTAATTGACTCTGTAAATTGAAATCTGTGCAAGAAACCAAATGAACAAATAAACACTGTCACCATTATTTATCTTTCTTTAAATCTGTGTTTTTGTGATGACAATGTGTATATATATTGAATGTCTATCTAGTGTTTTCTTCTCATTAAACTAGTTTTTCTGTGTTTGATATAGCATTGTAACTATAAAATAAAGCTTTAGAATAAAGATTGTATGATGTAAAAGTTGTGACCTCTTTCTCTAAGAAATATATTACATCCTTATATTTCATTGTGGTGATTGTCTTGAAGGTCTTAATATAAATGACTGTTGGAAAGCTCCTTTCCCATCAGCCTCATTGAGAACTGTTAAAGAAACACTTATAATAAGACAAGAGAAGGCTCGGGAGAAACAAGAAAACTACAGTGTTTGGACTCTTACGTGGAAGGCAGATAAGATTTACTCTGTGGTCTCATTTCATGTAACTAAGGGCAAAGACTAGAAGTTATGTGGAGATATTTTACTTACATAGGAGGAAAATTTTTCCAACAATGTGAACCAATTAAATATTGAAAAGGGTTATCTTGGGAGATTGTAAATTTTCCATGCCTAGAAATGTATCAACCAAATCACTTTTTTTTAAGGTTATTTTAAGCATCAGATTGCTGGTGGCTAGATCAGAAGCTCCTAAAAGCCTCTTCTGAAACTAGTGGCCTCATTGACTGTTAGATTAATCCAGGGAATGTATAAAATATAAAGATTACTGGATAGAAATTATGATCCAGTGAGATTTGGGAGAGCCCCATAATGTGGATCAGAGTTTCCCAACAGGTATAGTATGCCATGGATGGGCCTGTGTTGAGGGTGATGGAGTTCAGGATACTCTACCCCAAAATGTGATGCCTTGGCATTTAAGAAAACAGTGAAAGCAGGAAAGTCTCTCTGACCTCCTGCCATTCCTCTCTGAAGCAGGCCATAAAACCCCGAAAGGTCATTCACTGGCCTTCTTCCCTTCTCTCCTGAAGACCCTCATGAAAATGTACCCTGCCCTATACCTGGAGGAGAGGAACAAAGACACAGAGGTGCCAAGAAGAATCTGAACAGATGGGCTTTGCTAAATTCCTCCCAGTTTATTACCATTAGATCATACCTCCTTTTGTCCAATCATACTTCTACACAAGTGTCTACTCGCCATCAAACCTAAGCATAAAAATACATAGTTTTCTCTGTTTCATGGAACTACCTTTGGGTCTTCAATTCTGAAGGCTCTTGTGTCATGTAAAATTTATACTAAATAAATGTAGATGATTTTCTCTTGCTAATCTGACTTTTATTATATGTGCTTCCACCATGAACCTAATAATGAGTGAGGGAAAGAGCATTACTTTTTCTCCTCTACAGGTGTCCTCAAGAGCACCCTTGGGCTCTATGATTCACTAGAAGGACCCACAGGACTCAGGAAAGCTCTTAGACTTATGGTTGTGGTTTATTGTGAAAGGACACAAATTAATATCAACAAAGGAAAAAGGACATCAGGTGCAAGCTTCCAGGTGTCGCCTCTCAGTTGAAGTTGCATGGGCATGAATTTAATTCTTCCAGCAACAATGTGTGACAACACGTGCAAAGTATTGCCAACCAGATAAACTCACTCAAGCCTTGGTGTCTAGGGTTTTCACTGGGGGTCAGTCACTTAGGCAATCAGCACCTGAGTGACTGATCTTAGTTATTCAATCTCTAGTACTCCAGAGATCATACGGAGGACATAGCATGGTCCACAGCTTTGGGCACACAAAACAACCACTCTTACCAGACCGGATATTTTGAGGGCTCAAAGGTTACCACCCAGGAGTCTGTCAAGGGCCAGTCCTTTTTTTTTTTTTTTTTTTTTTTTAAATGCAGTGTTTGAGTAATCGTAGCCTGCTGAATTAACCCTTCAGTGTACACATAGATACAGTTGTGGCTGGAGATATTGATCCCGTCCGTTCTCAGTAGGCCAGTGACCCCAGGCCTGGCATCTTAGCCATGAGCAGCCTCCTCTGGGCTTCTTTAGGGTCTGATGTAGGTGGAGTAGGAAAATGTTGGGAAGCACTGACAGATATTTAAATACCTCTCCAGGTGATTCTAATGAACACTGAAGGTTGGGACCTTTGTGAGTAGATGATTTTTAAGAATTTTGAAACTGTTGTTTCTATGAGTATTGAAGTTATAGTTCCTTGCAGATGTCTTTCACTTTATCTGGATTCTTATTTGCTTAAGTTTAGTTTCTGGCCAAAGATAGTACATTTTGGAGAAGTATTTCAAACAAATGCTACGTCCTCTGTTAAGTTGAAGAGAAAACATTCCAAGTGCATTCCCAGATGAGGAGGCATCAGGAAACCCTCAGGTTAGAGGGCACTTATACTAACAGGGAGATGGGTGGGGTAGGTCCTCTAAAGGCTTTTTAAAGAACTTAGGACAAAAGACTCTTGTCATTGAAAAATGATGTAATGAAAAGATGTGTAACAAATGATTGAATGATGGTGTTTTCAATTTTGTGGAATCTCTATTTTGCGGGAACTCTGGCATGTCACATGTCTCTCTAGGTCCCGTTATCTTATTAGCTAGTTAGAATTAAACAAAACTACATCTGCATGATTATAGTGCTAAATATAAAGAGTATTTCTGAGAAATTTGCAAATGTAAATGTTAAATTAATTACCAGCCTAAAATTTTGTAGTCTCTAAAGTTAGTTTATAGCACATGATATGCCCACTTAGGTTATATGTTCTAAAAATGAATTAATTTGCATTTTGGTATAAGCTTTCTTCTTTGTAATTTGCTTTGAGCACAAACACTAGTTCTCTTTTATTTTCTTCCCTACATATTACTGTGCTCTCTATGCTTCTAAGATGATTTTCATTCCTCGGTCTCTCCCTCTCCTTTGATGTTCTCTCATTCTCCTTTTTTTTTAGAACCTCATTCCTGTCCCTTAAATATAGTCGTGCCCAATTATATTTATAAGGTCCTATTCTCAGTGCTTTATTTATTTATTTATTTTGCTAATTCCTACAGAAAGGTAATTAAATAACAAATGTGTATTGAGTGCCTACTCTGTGCCAAACAGTGTACAAGGCACTAGGGTCAGGCAGGGACTTGAAGGTCAAAGAAAGACCCTGGCCTCAAAAGCTCAGACTTTGCCTCTCAAAAATTTGATGAGATTAATAATTTGTATTCAGTTCCCCTCCTCTGCAGTTCCAACCTCAAATTGCAAACAAAACCCCTCTTTTTGGAAGTCCTGTTGGCAGTGCATCCCCAATGCAGAAAAATACCAAAGTCACTATTTTTCCCTGTAAACCTACTCCTTTTTTTGTGTGTGTTCCTTTTCTCTATTAAATAACATTATCCCAAGCTCCCATATTAGTAAGCTTGTCATCCTCTGTGTAGCTACTCAGCCACTAATTCCGTTTTATTTTGCCTGTGATATGCCTCTCAAGTACATAGCCTTTTCTCCATTGCCGCTGTCTTAGCATAGGCCCCTGTCAGCTCTTGCTGGCACAGGGACAGCAGCCTCCTAATTGTGTTTATGCTTCCAGGTTATCACATGGCCCCAGAATTGTCTTTCTACTCACACACTTTTCTGCATGTTGTTTTTTGCTTACTTTCAGTGTAGCACATAACCCTTCCCGACGCGGTCCTAACTCTTCTTTCATCCTCCATCACTTTCTCTTGTGCCCTTGTGCCCAGGCAACACTGAACTACGCAGAATTCCCTGCACAATCCCATGTCTTTCCATGCCTCAGTGCCTCTGATGACCCATGGGCCTGGATGCCCTTTCTCCCCATCTTTGCTTGATAAACTTCAATGGTCAAGGGCTAGTTCAGGTCCTTCTTCGGTGAAGCTGTCTCCATATTTCCCAGGCAGCTGTTTCCACATCTTCCAGTTATTTGGTTATATTTCTCTTATAACGCTTTTCACGTAGTAGTTTGTATTCTCCGGATCTTGTTTCATATCTGGAACAGATGATCAATTCTTTTTCTTTGTCTTTCTTTTTTTGATGGCTGTTGGATGAGCAAAATAAAATTTGTCATACTTTTATATCTAAGGTTCTGTATCTATGTAATCCTTCACAACTGATTTCAGCTTTAGTAAAAGACTGAGTTGTTGAACAGTAGATATATTTAATTTTTAATATTTAATTAATTAAGTGCCATTGTGAGATGTGAATTTTGACTTGCTGGGTTTACATTTAGCTGAGAATTACATCTTAGTACAAAAATAGAATTCTTTTTTTAATATCTCTAACTTTCCTTTCTTAAAATATATTCTGATAAAGGAGTTGCACCTGAAAAATTAAGATAGTCCACTTTGCCTAACATATTTTCGGCAGGTAGTTTGAAGGAACCGAAAACATTCTGAGATTTTGCAAAGCATAATTGCTTTCGATTCTATGCCTATATTGTTCTTAATATTGTACTTTACACTTTAATGAAGTGTAAAGTATTGAATAATAATATGACTTCTTTTTTTTCCTTCATGGGTTAGTAGGGATATAAATGATAGGAAGGCATATAGTTAATTCCATTTATTCTATTTATTCATTCATAAATGGGTCATGTACCTATTATCACCATTTTCCATGGTAGGATTATTGGGTCCAGTTATTATGTGAATCTTTGGGTTTTCCTTTCAATTCCAGGTATTGTAACCTGATATGTGAGTAAGTTTATTATTGTTGCAGTGTGCTCCAGGAATACATTCCTACTAATCTGATTGTCTCCACAGGGTAGATTTTGCAGATACACATCAAGTCATTTACAGTTCAGGACAGCATGAGAGCAGGGGGATAATAAAGATTTAGTAATGTTATTGGTGTATTTGGCTGCATATGGATATTTGTATTTTTCCAGATTCTTCTTGGATTTAGTGTTATTTCTGAGGGATTTTTCTTTTCAGTGAGTTTCATCTAAGATTGTTAAGAAGCATAGAAAGAATAGACAAGATTCTCCTTGACTAAACATTTAAATATAAAAGCACTCAGGATACAGTATTGAATGGAAATAAATATTGGGAAAAGTGTTAAACTGACCCCAAGCATTAACTGTTTATAGTGGATTGAGTGGTTCCAAGCTGTAGAGGGACCTACCCAAAATGGTACAATTAAAACAAAAATGAATTTAAATACTCATTCCCCTAATTAAGTGTGTGCTGTTATGACATTTCAGCTATTACTCATTAATTCCTGCATAATTTGTGAGGCAAATTAAACAGATCTATAGCCATTGGATAAATGATCCACACTCCAGCAGCTTGCAACTGTCTGTGGTTCCTCGCACATGCTAGGTGTTTTTATTCCTGTTTTGTCTTTACTGATTTAGTCCCATCTGCTGGAGTATACATAACTTCTGCTCAGTCCTTAAGGCTCATAGCAGGTGACACTGATTGCAGGATATTTTCTTGTTACTCTCAGGCTGGGATAGGTGCCTCTATTTTACATATGTCTATCACTGTATTTTTCCATCCCATTTTTACAATTACCTTTTCACCTGTCGGTTTCTACTATTAGACTATGAGGTCCTTGAAATTATTCACCAATACTTCACTCTATGTTTTCAGTCTAGTAGTAAATACTGTACAAGTGTCTGTAGAGTGAATACATGAAGCCAACTCTCAGAAACTAGAATTTTCATTGCTGTGAAGCACTATTGAAAACTCTTATTTTGAAAGCTGAATTAAACATATTATCACCTACATTTTATGGACACATCTGAATCACTGCATTAAATTACTGTGTTTAATTTAGTTCTAAAATAAAAGCAATATCTTTGACCTCTAGTTTTTTAAGGGATATATTTTTAAAACAGAAAGGGAAAAGTCATAAGTGTAAATTGCTTCCCAATATAATCTCTTGAGTTCATATTTAATAAAGATAAGTTAATCAACAATTATTCCATGTGTGAGGGTATTTGTACATAAATCACTTAGTCTGGCTTGGATTTTACATTGATAGGACATAATTGATCTTTAAAAGTTTTATGAAGAATCACAGACTGTGAAATTAAAGGCGGTTGAATCATTTAACTTTGCCTTTCCATCAAGCAGACACCTATTTTCTTGGTAGTGGAAATCTTGTTTTATATGTATTATTGACCAGTCCATTAATTAACTGTCTCACAATAATTAACATCATGTTACCTTTTAGTTTATATCAGGAAAACCTACCAGAGTTTTCTAATCTGATAAACTGCTGATAAACTGCCAGCTAGAGTTTTTCCCACTCCCTCAAAATGTTTAAAGGTGTCATGAATGAGGTATATTATGTTTTCTGGCTTATAATTTGGCAATCCAGTTTGTCATTACATATTACACAGAGTTGTCATGGATAAGAAGAGGTGAAAAATGTCCAGTAAGCCAGTTTTACTCTGCTTCTGTCAATTTATAACAAGTTGCCCCTTGAAATTTACTTTCTGATTATTCATAAGTATTGTCACTGTTCTTGGAAAAGGGAAAATGAAAAGTGCACAATAGGCCAGTCGTGGTGGCTCACACCTGTAATTCCAGCACTTTGGAAGGCCAAGGCGGGTGGATCACCTGAGGTCAGGAGTTCAAGACCAGCCTGACCAACATGGTGAAACCCTGTCCCTACTAAAAATACAAAAAATTAGTCAGGCATGGTGGTGGGTGCCTGTAATCCCAGCTACTTGGGAGGCCAAGGCAGGAAAATTGCTGAACCCAAGAGGCGGCGGTTGCAGTGAACTGAGATTGCACCACTGCAAGCCAGCCTGGGTGACAGAACAAAACTCCATCTCAAAAAAAAAAAAAAAAAAAAAAAAGAAAGAAAAGAAAAATACACAATAGTCAAAGTTTGTCACTGAAATCTTTGGAAAGTATTGCATGTTTATGTATTTGTCTCATCCCCAAAATTAATGGTTCATGAGGTCACCTATATTACTTTCCTATTGCTACTATAAGAAATTACCACAGTCCAGGAGCGGTGGCTCATGCCCATAGTCCCAGCACTTTGGGAGGCCAAGGCAGGAGGATCACTTGAACCCAGGAGTTTGTGACCAGCTTGGGTTATATAGTGAGATCTCATCTCCACAAAAAATTAAAAAATTAGTGCAGTGTGGTGGCACGCACCTGTAATCCTAACTACTCAGGAGGTTCAGGCGGGAGGATCGCTTGAGCCCAGGAGTTGGAGGTTGCAGTGAACTATTATTGCACTGCTGCACTCCAGCCTGAGTGATAGAACAAATCCTGTTGCTCAGAAAAATAAAAAAGAAAGAAATTACCACAAACTTAGTGTCTTAAAATACCACAAATTTAATAGCTTACCTCAGTCCAAAATGGGTTTCACTAAGCTATAATCATAGTGTCAGCAGGATTCATTCTGGAGGCTTGAGCAAAGAATCTATCTTCTTAGCTTTTCCAGCTTCTAGAGGCCACCTGCAACCCTTGGCTCATGACATAGTCCTCCATCTTCAAAATCAGCAACCACATCACTCTGACCTTTACTTTGATTACATTGGGCTGCCCACATAATCCAAGATAATCTCTGCATCTCAAGGTATTTAATCATGTCAGCAAAATCCCTTTTGCTCTGTGTGTTAGGGATCCCCAAGAACACTCCCAAGTTTAATTCTTTTTTTCTTTTTTAATTATACTTTAAGTTCTAGGGTACATGTGCACAACGTGCAGGTTTGTTACATATGTATACATGTGCCATGTTGGTGTGCTGCACCCATTAACTCGTCATTTACATTAGGTATATCTCCTAATGCTATCCCTCCCCCCTCCCCCCACCCCACGGCAGGTGCCAGTGTGTGGTGTTCCCCACCCTGTGTCCAAGTGTTTTCATTGTTCAATTCCCACCTATGAGTGAGAACATGCAGTGTTTGGTTTTCTGTCCTTGCGATAGTTTGCTCAGAATGATTGTTTCCAGCTTCATCCATGTCCCTACAAAGGACATGAACTCATCCTTTTTTATGGCTGCATAGTATTCCATGGTGTATATGTGCCACATTTTCTTAATCCAGTCTATCATTGTTGGACATTTGGGTTGGTTCCAAGTCTTTGCTATTGTGAATAGTGCCACAATAAACACACATGTGCATGTGTCTTTATAGCAGCATGATTTATAATCCTTTGGGTATATACCCAGTAATGAGATGGCTGGGTCAAATGGTATTTCTAGTTCTAGATCCTTGAGGAATCACCACACTGTCTTCCACAATTGTTGAACTAGTTTACAGTCCCACCAACAGTGTAAAAAGAACACTCCCAACTTTAATTCTTTGCTAGGAGGACTCACAGGATTCAGCATATAGTCATACTCACAGCTATGATTTATTATGGCAGAAAACACCCTAAACAAATCAAAGCCAGTCAAGAGAAAGGCCCTTGGGCAAAGTTGAAGAAATTGCACACAAAGTTTCCAGGGTCCTCTCTCAATGGAGTCACCAAGGATGTGCTTAATTCTCCCAGCAACGGGTTGTGACAACACATGTAAAATGTTATTAACTGAAGCAAGTCATTAGAGACTTAGTGTCTACAGTTTTTACTGGGGCTGGTCATATAGGCAACTTCTACTGATCACGTTCTAAAATTCCGGACTCCCAGAAGCAAAGGAGGCATTCAGTATAAACTATATTGTTTGCCAAAACATTTTAGGCACAGCGAGCAACCCTTATCAGTTAACAGTGGGAACCCTCTAAAGTCTAAATTCCCAGATACTATCTAAGGGCCAATCCTAGAGGTAGGCCTTTTCAAGAATAGCAATTTAAAACTGTTGTTTTAACTCGTTTCTTCACACCATATAAGGTAATTTATTTACAGGTTTCAGGGATTAGGGTGCAGACATTTTGTTTTTTTATTATTATACTTTATGTTCTGGGTTACATGTGCAGAACGTGCAGTTTTTTTACACAGGTATGTACATGTCATTGTGGTTTGCTGCACCCATCAACCCGTCACTTACATTAGGTATTTCTCCTAATGTTATCCCTCCCCTAGCCCCCAACCCCACACAGGCCCCGGTGTGTGATGATCCACTCCCTGTGTCCATGTGTTCTCATTGTTCAACTCCCACTTATGAATGAGAACGTGCGGTGTTTCGTTTTCTGATCTTGTGACAGTTTGCTGAGAATGATGGTTTCCAGCGTCATCCATGTCCCTGCAAAGGACATGAACTCATCCTTTTTTATGGCTGCATAGTATTCCATGGTATATATGTGCCACATTTTCTTAATCCAGTCTATCATTGATGGACATTTGGATTATGGCTGCATAGTATTCCATGGTATATATGTGCCACATTTTCTTAATCCAGTCTATCATTGATGGACATTTGGGTTGGTTCCAAGACTTTGCTATTGTGAACAGTGCTGTGATAAACATATGTGTGCATGTGTCTTTATTGTAGAATGATTTATAATCCTGTGAGTATATGCCCAGTAATGGGATGGCTGGTTCAAATGGTATTTCTGGTTCTAGATCCTTGAGGAATCACCACACTGTCTTCCACAATTGTTGAACTAATTTACACTCCCACCAACAGTGTAAAAGCGTTCCTATTTTTCCACAACCTCTGCAGGATCTGTTGTTTCCTGACTTTTTAATGATCGCCATTCTAACTGGCATGAGATGGTATCTCATTGTGGTTTTGATTTGCATTTCTCTAATGAGCAGTGATGATGAGCATATTTTCATATGTCTGTTGGTTGCATAAAAATGTCTTCTTTTGAGAAGTGTCTGTTCATATCCCTTGCCCATTTTTTGATGAGGTTGTTTGCTTTATTCTTGTAAATTTAAGTTCCTTGTAGATTCTGGATATTAGCCCTTTGTCAGATGGATAGGTTGCACAAATCTTCTCCCATTCTGTAGGTTGTCTGTTCACTCTGATGATAGTTTCTTTTGCTTTTCAGAAGCTCTTTAGTTTAATTAGATCCCATTTGTCAATTTTGGCTTTTGTTGCCATTGCTTTTGATGTTTTAGACATGAAGTCTTTGCCCATGCCTATGTCCTGAATGGTATTGTCCAGGTTTTCTTTTAGGATTTTAATCGTCCTGGGTCTTATGTTTAAGTCTTTGATCATCTTGAATTGATTTTTGTATAAGGTGTAAGGAAGGGGTCCGGTTTCAGTTTTGCAGGGTGCAGACATGTTTTAAGGGGAGACATTATTCTGCCTACAATGTCCTTATTTTTTGTATACTCACACCTCTTGCCCAGTGTCTTGCATTTAGTGAGTGCATGGGAAGTTTTCCTGTGGACCATGATTTGGCATATTCCCCTGTGGCCTGGGCTTAGCAAATGTCATTAACATCCACCCAGTACCTGAATAGAAAAATCTACTTTGGTCCCTTCCTTTTTTCTGTCCTTCATATTCAATCAATCACGAAGTCCCACTGATTCTACTCTCTAAGCATTTTTTTTATTTCCTTTGGATTCACAACTATACTACCACTGTAGTTCAGACCACCATAACTTCTTGACTATCTTTGTCTATAAACTCTGGGCTGGTTTCAAGCTCTAGTTTTGCTTCCCTCCAATCCTTCCTCCAGGCAGAAACAAGTGTGTTCTTTTAGAACACAAATCAAATAGTGTTATTGCCCTATTAATAACCCTTCAGCGGTCTCTGTACTTCTCCAGGCTCAATTTTTACCCTCTTGCCTTGCACACTATACAGTTTCCAGTCACACTGAATTTCTCTTGGTTTCTCAAACAGACAGGCTCCCTCAGGTCTTACGTGAGTTTGTTCCTTTGTACTAAACACTTTCCCCTTTCTTTGCCAAGTTAATTCTGCTTATCCCTTTACTTGGGTCTCAGCATACACATTTCTTTCTCAGGGAGATCTCACCAGGCTTCTAAATAGATTAGGTCCCTTTACTACCTACTCCTTGATACCTGAACTTTCCCTATCATTCCACTCATCCACAAAGTTATGATTTTGTCTATCTCTCTACTAGATGATACTCTCCACTATGGTAGAGTCTCTGCTTTGTTTTCTTTTATTTCACTAATAGCTAGCACATGAAATTGGGCATACTAGGTTCTCAATAAATATTTCCTAAATTAGTGAATGGATTACTACCTAAAGCTTTTAAGAGTGATTGTATGGCAGCTTTGGAAAACAGCCTGGTAGTTCCTCAAATGGTCAAACATAGAGTTACTCTATGACCTAGCAATTTCACCTCCATGTATGTATTCAAGAGAAATGAAAACATACATTAGTGATTTTCCAGAGCTGAGGAAGTTGGAAAGAAATGGGGAGTGACTGCTGAGTATGGGGGTTTCATTCTGAGGTAATGACAATGTTATAAAGCTGATTATTATAATGGTTGCACAATTCTGTGAATATATTAAAAACTATTAAATGGTGCACAATTTGTGTATTGTACAGTATATGTGTTGTATGTCAATAAAGCTGTTATTAAAAAAGAATGATTGAAAACCAGCCAATGTATCATTCAACTTTGAAAGAGAGCTGATGTCTAATATAGATTAAGAAGAACATTAAGTTCAAGAAATACTAATTGAATGAGTGAATAGCCTACTATCTTCCCAAGACTACTGCATTCTGTGTTGACTAAAATGTCCGGTCAGCTAGTTCACTTCACAACTCAAGCACTCACATACATGCTTTTCCTTGGGTTGACTGTTGTACTTTGGTAAGAAGCAGAAGGGCTTTATGTATATTACATAAAATATTTTAAAAAGGAATGAATTCAAGGGTTGAGATTTAATAAAATTAATACTTTTAAGTGATTCATCAAGAACACCCTTAACTAACACTGGCTCCCCCTCATCCTTTGCCCCAGCCACTGCTAGTGTGTGGTACAGGGTAATGAATGCAATGACTGATTCAGGTTTAGATGCCAGCAGGTGTCCTCATTATTGCTTTTGCAATAGTGTAATATCACCTTATTGAAGAAGGCAAGTAGCTTCTTAGCATGAAATTAGTTTTGACCAAATGATTGCCCTGAAAGGATCTCAAGGAATCCATGCAGTTCTGTAGACCACAGTGGGAGCACTGCTGTCCTAAGTGATATAAAACCACAGAAGCCTTATAACAAAGGTTCAGAATGTGTTTACAGATCTCCCTGGTATTCGATATTAGGTTGTGCCCAAGTGGTCCTTGCTTTTAAGATTGATAATCATTGCAATCAAGGTGGAAATTATTTGGTCAAATTTCTTTTCTTTTTTTTTAAGACAGGGTCTCTCTCTGTTATCCAAGCTGGAGTGTAGTGGCACAGTCACAGCTCACTGCAGCCTCAACCTCTGGGCTCAAGCAATCCTCCCATCTTAGCTTCCTGAGTAGCTGGGGTAACAGAAGTGTGTCACCATGCCCAGCATATTTTAAAGTTTTTTTGTAGAAATAGGGTCTCACTATGTTGCCTGGGCTGGTCTCAAACTCCTGGGCTCAAGCAATCCACCTGCCTTGGCCTCCCAGAGTTCTGGGATTGTAGACATGAGCCACTGTGCCAAGTTTCTCCTTAATGTGGTATACTTCTAATTAAGGAGACAGCATTGCTAATTGTTAAATAATTAGCATTTCTCTGCTTTTCACTGTCAGTGGATATATTAACAGCAATCACTTCAAACTTTGTTATCTCTGGTCTTAATGTTTTTTTTCCTCTTCTGTTCTCTTCTCTCTTATCTAGAATAGTGAAATAAGGTGGCCAAGGAGGCAGAGATGGAGTCAGGGACTCTGTGGTAAGTAACCTTTCATGGTCTAAGAAGCTCATGCCATTGCTCTGGATATCTTTTCTTAGAAGCTTTCTGAATGACTTATGGTAATAGATTGGAGATGGATTGAAACATTCTGGCTGCTCCACATCTGGGTACTGAGAAGCCTGCCACCAAATTCTTGATTTGAGTTAAAAGATGCCATTCAGGACACAGTTTCAGGCATATTTAGGCTCAGCCCATGAATAATTTTCCAAGCAATGATGTAAGAGAAAAATTGCCAAAGTATTCTGTGATTTGCAATTAGATTTTAAGATATAGCTACCATACTTTGTGATAACACTGAAGGATAATGTACCAGTGGCAGTTTAGAGTTTTGCAATGTGTTAATGAAGGTTGTCTTTGTTTAGCTTTTTCTATGCATTTCTTCAGGGAACACTAAAATACTTCTTTGTGTTGCAGAAGATTTCTCAGCATGGCCAGGTGGCATTTAAAGAGCCTAATGAGAAAGATGACTTGGCTCCAAGTGGCAATGTCAAAAGATACATTGCAGCTGCCCTGTCTCAGAGGGCCTGGAACGAAACCAACATTCTCAATTACTGCCCAGTGCTAGCGCATCACTACTTCTTCTCAGCATCCGTCATGCCCTCTCTTCATCTGTTTAAGTGGGTGCTTTGGCATGAAGGAAGCTGTGCTTTATCTCCCAAATGCATCTTGCTGTCTTTGGCACATTTGTCGTTTGTTGGTGGTGGTGCCAGGACTCAGCCGTTTCATGACAGGCTTTGAGATAGTGAATCAATTGTTATTGTTTTTCTTTTTGAAATACCCATCAGACTTTGTGATTCCCCTTTAAAAATGAAGGCTGCTTCATGTCACTATCAGGAAAAAGAAAAATAAGTCACAGAAAATTATATCATTTTCACATTTGATTATATTCGGTAACTGGTCAGAAGAAAACTAAGCCTTGATTTTTCACAATGTTCATCTAGGTGGGAACAAATTCTAGATTTCTCAGAAATCTCATTTTATAGAAATATAGCATTAGGAGTATACTGATTTGGCCTTGGCTTTTAAAATTCCTTAGAAAGATAGACAGAGAGAGAGAGAGAGAGCAAGAAGAAAAAGAAAGAAAGGGAGAGACAGAGAAAGAAAGAAGGAAAGAAAGAAAGGGAAAGACAAAAGACGAAGAAAGAGTGAGACTTTATTATTTCCAGCTTTTCACTGTCCCAGGAGGGCAGGAACCCTTTAAGAAGCACTTTGTGAGAATCCAGGAGATTGCTTCTCACTTGAATGGTATTTGAAATTTCCTGTGGACTGTGGATCTGAAATCTTAGGGTCAGGATGAAGGATTTGTGATCTAAGGCTTCTTGATCCTACCTCCTAAAAAAACACAAATTAATATTGGTAGAGCTCATCACCACAGGATTACTATCCAGCTGCATCAAATCCAGATAAAACTGAGTAATAAATTCACAAAGTTGAATGTTCTTTGTTTTTGAAGCATCAAGTTAAACCTTTTATGTCTGACACTGTTATTCAAAACCTAAACCAGTTCTAAGTTTAAAAACCATTGTAAGAAAACTTCAACTTTTTAAGGTTTTTAGAATGATATTTAAAATTTGGCTGAACCTAATTTATGGCTTAAAAAAAAGAGGAAAGCCGGAACATATTCATGCCCTACCTTTGTATATGGTTCACATTCTGTGAAATAGTTTCCACGGCATTGCGCTAACAAGGGATACTGAAAAAAGAAGCTTCTTGAGGTCAGTGTCTCCTCTTGTTTTTACTAGCAATCAGCTAGTTTTGCCAGTTATGTGACCTTGAACAAAATCACCTTTCCATGCCTTAGTTTTCTCAACCGTGATACGGGAATAATAATAGTGATATCTTATAGAGTTGCATAAGGATTAAAATAATAAATACAATAAAGCACTAGAACAGTGCCAGATACAAAAGAAACACTACATTAGGTGTCGTAGTTATGACTGAGATGATGCTAATTGTACAAGAAAAAAGATGAATAAAGAGAATGTAAGAGAGAGGAGAGAGAGAGAGAGAGAGAGAGAGACAGACAGACAGACAGACAGACGATCTTCTTCCTGACAAAGAAGGGGAAAGGAGTTAGTAGTGATAGCTGGTGTGTTTCTTGGCATTCTTGGCATTCTTTTTTGGAAACTAACTTTCTAAGTGGGTGGAGAGTTTTCTTGAAGAAGACAGCATGGTTCATGGAGGAAGGCTTCCCTTTGGGCACGGGGTCTTTTCAGCCTTGCCAAAGATTCCCACATCCCTGGGATGTGCAGAGCCCCGGACATGAGGACTAATCTCAGTCATGACTATGATAATCTCAACAGTGATTAGTGAAGACCGATGCATCTGGATTGGGGGTAGGGTGGGATGAGTCTGTTCTTCTCTACCTTTAGTGCTGTAACACACACAATCTCTGTGCATTCTTAAGAGAAGAAAAACTTAGTAGGCTGGGTACTTGGAGTTGAATTTAGGTTTGTTTAAAGGTAATAAAGAAATTCAATGTTTTTTGTGTACCTGGATTGTAGACTAAGATTTATACCCACTGCGTTAATTGGCTTTTGTAGTTATTGTTTATAGATGTGTTTTGGATGTTTCACATATGTATGTTCCATTTTTCAAAATATATCTTTGATAGTAGGGACCATTTAAAAATATCTGTCATAATTCTCCACTGTGCCAGAATATCACAAATATCACTCTGTGCACACAGCAAGTGTTTAGTCAATATTGATGTTCTGTACAGGGTCCCAGGATATGGTTCATAACTGGCTTACTGGGGTACAGAGGTATAACTATATCCCTTCACCAAGTCATATGATACAAAACTTTTATCAATATGTAACAGTTTTTTTCTTTGCACCAACTGAATACTGTCACTCAGAACTCTGTAAAATATGACATAGATTAAATGGATTGTGTGATGCAGTTTAGTTAATATAAAACTATCATTAAAGAAAGAGCATGTGAGAACATTTGTACCAGGAGAGTATAAACAGCTAAGCCCAGGGCAGGAGACAGCTCTATTGAAACAGCCACACAGTGCAGAAAGGCTGCAAGGGAATGCATGAAGCCAAAGCTAGGGAAGCTTTTATGGAAATTGTGAGATGTCACATGATTTTCATGTTATTGTTAATGACTTTGATGATGATTTTGGTATTTAGTCTCTTTCAAGTACACTGTCAAAATTCTAGAATTCAAAAAAGTGTGACAAATACTGAAAAGTTAAGAATTACTGCTTTGGAATAATTATATCTTTTAAAAAATAGTTTGAGGCACTTGAATATTAGGAAGTTGATTTTTTCAACAGCATCTTTTTGGGCCAAAAAGAGTTATTTCAGCTGGATTGCCTCCTGCCTATTGTTCAGTGGTCAAGGAGATTTTAAGCAGCAAGGACAAGGAGATCTTCTGGTATGACTTCCAACACTTCCATGCATGTCTTTGGAAAAGAAACAAATAGTCCAAATGTCTTTAGACAGTTTATGCAGGGGCTTAATGTTTGCATCAGTTTCCCTTGTTCTGTAAGTCACATGGGGTTGGTGCACACATGGGCCCAGGAAAATATGGTACACATAGGATATGTGTCACTGCTGAGAAACCCTGAGTTTAAAAACCCTCAAGCTGGTAAGGGGCTGCTGGTAAACCTGTCCAATCTTTCCTCTCTAGGAAAACATTATCTTTATTATCTTGGAATGTAAGCAAATCCCCCATGAAGAAGGCAGGGAGACTTTATTATCCTGAAGTGACTAAATAAATCTGCTCTGTGACCAGGAGAGTGACATTCTCTCTAGCTTCTATAGCTGTCTGTTATGCAAATATCCTTGAACAAAATTGTTATTGAGCAATCATTGATGTACAATGCACTGGGTTTAACACTGAGGAAGAAATGATAGAGACCATCAGATCTGAATTTGAATCTGAGTTTTGCTGCATACTAATTGGGTCATCTTGGGTGAGTTATTTAACTATTATTCCCTGTAAAGTGGAGAATAATATTTTCCTCTTCAAAGAGCTATTGAAATAAGTTACATGGTGTACTTCAAGCACCTGGCACTAAACAGAAATAATCACATTGTAAAAGTTAGGATGGTATTAGGCTGAGAGTGCCAGAAAACTTGGCTATCAGTAGCTTAAAAGAAGACTTTTTTTTCCCCCTTGCATAAGTACAAGGCCAGAAGTAGATACCCAAGAGCCGGTTTGGTTGCTTACTAATGCTGCCAGAGATAGGCTTGCTCTGCCTTCCTTAACATGTGGTTCTTGCAACTATAATGATAGTTGCAAATGGTTGCTGTTCCTCTAGGCCTAAATCTACTTTCCAGGAAGGAAGAGAGTGGAAGGACCCAAAAGCCTTCTACTTGCAAGCTTTGTATTTCTATTTTGGAGTGAAAGCCCTTCTCAGGGACTTCATTCACATACTAACTGGCAAATTCTGGGTTACGTAGCTACTTTTAGCTGGGAGATTGGACATTTTTAGTTAGGTACACAGTTTCCCTAAACAAAATCAAAATTCTGCTAAAAAGGAAGAAGGTGGAATAGCCCTGGCTAGTTGACTGGCAGTGTCTGCCACAGACATTATACGTGTTCAGGCTGTTCATGTTCTAATACGTTACTTCTGTGAGCAATAAAAACTTTCTGTCCTGGCAGTAAGAGACTCTAGCTGGTGTTCACTTTTTATTAGACATTTATATTTAAACTTAAAAAGGTTAATTCTACTTTATCCAGTGGTCAAAGGACAGATACATTCTCAGCTTCCAGATTTCAGACAATGTGAATAGCATATTTAGTGAACTCTAAAATAGAACAGAATTAACATGTTGTAGTTAATAGGCCTACTGGAAAGCTTTATCAGCCCTAACATAGGTAGCCTAATTACCACATATTTTAATTTCTTCTTCTTCATTAACAGGTACTATGGGGGGCATTTTCAATGAATTGGCTCTCAGTATTTTGGCTTTAAGCTTCTGTTTCCATCTTTATATTATCAAGAATTGGTCAGTTGGGTATCAAGTCATTCTGTGGAGCCTAGTTTCCTGGTTGTGAATTAACCTGTAAGTTTAGGAATATTTATTTCAGTCCCTTTCTGTGGCATAAATGCTACTAAAATGTATTTCTCATTCCTTAATAGGAGAAAACTGAAAACAATTTTTCCTAATTTTGGTGATTCAGAATCACCTGTTAAGCATCAGTTATTATGAAATTTTATAGCCATAGTTATTGACATAAAACTCCTAGAGTCAACTTATTCTTTATTTACTTCTTTTTCATAAAATGAAGCTGATTTGTGAGACCCTTTGGGCCAGTGTAATAGGCCACCCTCAAGAGTCATCATCATTCTTAAAGAAGTTTTCAATGCATTCACTGTTGCTCTTGTCCTTGACTTCTCACCCCCGTTTAAATAATTATTTTTGGTATCTGTAACATCCATAATTGGATCACAAGTACCAATCTATGAACTTACACCCACTTTCCCTTCTCATCTGTACAAATTTCATTAACAAAGTAGAAGGGGATTCTCCCTCACCCTTTCAAAGAATTTTGAATGTATTTTGTGTGGGCTTATTCCAAAGCAGAACTCAGCGAACATTTTCTGTAAAGCGAAGACAGTAAATATTTTAGTCTTTGTGGACCACATACAGTCTCTGTTATATATACTTTTTTTTTCTTTCTTTCTTTTTTTTTTTTTTTTTTTCATTTGCAGCTTGAAGGGCCATACATAGATAGGTCAGATTTGGCCTGTAGGCGAAGTTCACTGACTCTTGTTCCAAAGCATATGGTTCTTTATCACTACAGCAGTGGTCTCCAAAATTTTTTAAAAGTGTATCCCTCTTAAAAAAGCTTCAAGAATGTACTCACAGCCTAGATACTGAAATGTTTATTTTTATTTATAAAACATTAGATGTTTTTATCAAACTAATAAATTATGTACATTATAAAACATGCTCAAAAATATAAATTTAAAAAGCATGAGATGAAATGTGAATGTAAATAGAAGTTCTAAAAGTTCTTTCTGTGCCCCAGGAGATCATCTTGCCTACTTTTTGAGCAATCTGCATTTCATCTTGGAGTTCTCCCTGTTGGAGGAAAAAGATGATGCTTGTCACATGACACTGGCCCACAATTTTCTAGAAGATCTTAATATCAGCCTTTATCTTGAGCCTACTTAAACCCAAGGGAACTTGATTCATTTGGACCTGCCAAAATAAAGGTTGAAAAACATTACAAGAATAGACTTAAAAAATTAGTTCTCAAAGCTATTCAGAAAATAGACTATAATAGAAAATAAGCTCTTCAAGATTATAAAAGTCTCCTTCAGGGTCATAATTTATTAACCATTTCATTTTTTTCACTGGTGAATGTACAGTCTTTTAATGTGATATATCACTTGAAATGCCAAGGCTACCTTTTGGGAAACAGCATGGAATCCAGGTAAATGCATTTACTTATGAAACCGGACTGTTAAGTGACCAGTACCTAGAACTCAGGGCACTCTCAAATTGTTTTCTAAGAACCATTATTGAAGTGCCCTGCATCGGACCCAGCATGGTAGGTACCACGCTAAGTGCTTTACACACATTTCCTCATTCCTCCTCAATCTTGAGAGAAGTGCCACCACCCTTTTAGGTTAATTTTCTAAATGGTATAGAAAAACAGCACATAACAGAGCTGCTTTTAGGTACCACTCATAGGCAAAACCAACTTGAACAAGCGTGAGGGGAAAAGAAAGTACGTTTGATTCATACCAGCAACCTGTGTTCACAAAGGGTGAAGGGGCAGCTGTTTCAGGGCAACTGGAAATAGGACTGGGAAGTTGGAGAACTCTGCTACTTCTCTCTGCTTTTCTCACTATGTGGGCTCCACTACCTCTTCCTGCAGTGTCTTCCTCCTCATGGTGGGAAACAGGGCTGCCAGCTCACGTGTCCCAACTTCACCACCTGAGAGAGAGACCCTCTTCCTAAACCTGGTCCACTTCGCTGGCCAGGGTGTGCTGCCCTGACTGGCTCAACCCTGTAGGTGACTCTAACCTCTGCATCAATCATGGTCTGAAGGGCAAGAGATCAAACTAAGATTCTTAATTTTGGATTTATGGAGTTTATAGTTGGCTATAGGTGAATTTTGGTGTACCAATGAATACATTACAATTTTTTATGTGGAGTGTATGTATGAAATAGGTGCATATTTCTGGGGGTATGTCCATAACGTCTATTTAGGAGATAGAATTCTCTTTTTGCTTGTTCAGTTACCTTGTTAACAATTGACCTTAGTTAATAATTCTTTATATTAAATTATTTCTGGAAAAATAGCTGGTGTGACTTCTAAGTGGTCACAGAGGTAGCATTTGCAGGAAGCTACTGCTACTCCTAGAGTTGAAGAAACAAAAAAAGGGGGTCTGGAGTCATTACAATTTAAAAATGTGGGGAGGGGGCCCCGTAGACTTGAAACTCAGCTCTCTAAGGAACCCCTGCTCATGTGGTGCTGGGACCTCTAAGAAAGAACGCCAGGCAGCTGGTGCGAGGGTCTCTGAGGGGACGTGATGGTGCTTGTTCTGAGTGCCGGAATCTCTTCACACTGGACTCAACTGAAGCCTCCAAAACAGACTGGCATTTTGAGGATGGAAGTACAGGAGCCACAGCAGACAGTTCGCCTACAGGAAGAAACAGGACCCTTCTTCCTCCTCCAGTCTTGCCATTACCCCAAAGCGCCACCTCTTGATGAACTCTAACAGGTGACAGCTAGTGAAGCAGAAGTGTGATTTGCAACATCACAAGGCTAGGGGTTTTAAAGTTCAGAGATAATAGTTCAATCACTGGCCCAGTGGCCCATTCAAATTCTTAAAGAGAACTGGGACCCCAAAGGTTAAAACCTCTACCTTATATTTCCTAATATTTGGGGAAAAGGATTGTTTTATGCATGGAGGCACTGCTTCACAGGTGAAGATAAATCAAAATCTGAACTGTTTTATTTTCTGGGTTCTGGTATCACATAGAACAGATTAATCTCTTATGGATGTTCTGGAACTAAACTTATGCATTTAGGCGGTGAGGTTCTATTTTTTTCCCTTGAATGTTCTGCTTCTTCCCTTTTGCTTTGCCTGGAAGGAGATTTCATTTCTTAGGATGGTGTATTGCACACCATCTGTGGTGGTCTAGAGCACCGAGATCACCCAGAGGGCCTGTGTGTGCTTCTCTCTTGCCCTTCAGGCCATGATGGATACAGAGGTTAGAGACATCTAAAGGGTCGAGACAATCAGGGCAGCATACCCTGGCCAGTGAAGTGGTCCAGGTTTAGGAAGAGAGTATCTCTCTCAGGTGGTGAAGTTGGGACACGTGAGCTAGCAGCTGCTGGCAGCTCTGTTTCCCACCATGAGGAGAAAGCCACTTTGAAGAAAGAGGGAGCGGAGCCCACATAGTAAGAAGAGCAGAGAGAAGTGGCAGAGTTCTCCAACTTCCCAGTCCTATTTCCAGTTGCCCTGAAACAGCTGCACCATCACCCTGTGTGAACACAGGTTCCTTGTATGAATCAAATGTACTTTCTTTTCCCTTCATGTTTGTTCAAGTTGGTTTTGCCTATGATTGGTACCTAAAAGTAGCTCTGTTGTGTGCTCTTTTTCTACACCATTTAGAAAATTAACCTAAAAGGGTGTGGTGGTACTTATCTCATAAGACTGAGGAGGAATGAGGAAATGTGTGTAAAGCACTTAGCTACCTACCGTAAAGTACCTACCATATACTACATATCACAAAAAATTGTCATGGGTCCAATATTGGATCGTTAATAGCCTAGCTTGTCACTAATCTGTGTTGTGTATAGCAACTTCTCTCTGAGCCTCTTTTACTACTTTACTATGCCACTTGTTTTTCCCTTTTTCTGATACCCTGATACTGTCAAAACCCAACAAGGCATAGGGAGGTAGCTATTAACCCACAATGGCAGTGCATCACTTCTTCAAAGACATTACCTTAGTGCAGGTGTCTGTGGGGGAAGGTGTCCATTTAGACTTAAAAGTGATTTGATTTTCTCTTCATCTTCTGTTAGGCACCCTTGCTGTTCTTCTCCACTATCACTATCTGTTGTTGAATCTGTGTCCTTATTTCTAATTGGCGATGTGGAAGCTACACATTTGAGTCTATCTTCTCTCAGTTTTTTCTTTTCATTATGTTTCTTCCAAATCTTATTATGTCTCTTTTGCATGTTGGCTTCTCATGTGAAAAGTCTGGTTATTTATTTATTTATTGTATTTCAGAAGATCAGTGTAATAATTTTCAGTGACGATTATAACTCTCCTGCAGGCCAGTGTATTCTTTTGAGGCATGAGATAGGAAGCTAAATTACAATCAGAAGCTGTCCTGGGCGAGCACAGTAGCTCATGCCTGTAACCCCAGCACTTTGGGAGGCAGAGGTGGGCGGATCACGAGGTCAGGAGATTGAGACCATCCTGGCTAACAGGATGGTCTCTACTAAACCCCGTCTCTACTAAAAATACAAAAAAAATTAGCCGGGCATGGTGGCAGGCGCCTGTAATCCCAGCTACTCGGAAGGCTGAGCCAGGAGAATGGTGGAACCCGGGAGGCGGAGCTTGCAGTGAGTTGAGATAGCGCCGCTCCACTCCAGCCTGGGCAACAGAGCGAGACTCCATCTCAAAAAAAAAAAAAAAAAAAAAATACAAAATATTAGCTGGGCGTGGTGGCGGGCGTGCCTGTAGTCCCAGCTGCTTGGGAGGCTGAGGCAGGAGAATCGCTGGAACCTTGGAGGCGGAGCTTGAAGTGAGCCGATATTGCATCCCTGCACTCCAGCCTGGTGACCCTGGCGACAGAGCGAGACTCCGTCTCAAAAGAAAAAAAGAAAAAAAAGAAAAAAAAAAGGTGTCTTGGCGATCTACCAGTCAATGTAAGAGGACACCCTTTCTCCAGGTTGTTTGATTTAGCCATCACTGCTGCAGACTTAAGAGGATAAAAGTACTTAGTTCTTCAGAAATTATTTTCAATTATCAAACCAGACAGCTAATGATTATGCAATTGCTATTTCAAATGAATAGTTTAAAAATAAAAATAGAACATAATTGTTTTATGTGTCTAAACAACTATCTCTGCCTCATAAATACAAAGATATGGGGATGTACTCAATTATCAAAAACAAAAGAGAACAAAACAAAACCCAAAAAAGCATGTGGGAGCAAGTAATGTCAAGAAAGATTTCCTACAATAATCAATGGAAAAATTGTTGTTAGGGAGGCAAATGGATTCATATGAGTTTTGCCAAGCTTGGTCAAGTGTAGCATTATCAATTTGATACTTTCAGCCACACAGGCTACATTAGTTGAGTTGATTTAAACTGACCTTCTAAGTGACTGAAATAACTATGTTGATTGTTCAGCTATTTGGATCACACATGCACTGTTTGAGACAAATTTCAAGCTGCATCAGTGCAGTGAGACAGAGTGATATAATAATGATACGTCTACATTTCTATCTTGTGCCCCACCCCTCCTCTGCCTTCTTGGCTTATCCATCCACCTGGCCACTGGACAGTCCACATGAATAGCTACCTGATATGGTTTGGCTGTGTGTCCCCACGTAGATCGCATCTTGAATTGTACTTCCTTAATTCTCACATGTTGAGGGAGAAACCTGGTGGGAGATAACTGAATCATGGGAGCGGGTTCCCCTATACTGTTCTCGTGGTAGTAAATAAATCTCGCGAGATCTGATGGTTTTATCAGTGGTTTCCGCTTTTCCGTCTTCCTGATTCTCTCTTTGCCAGCTGCCATCCAAGTAAGTTGGGATTTGCTTTTCCTTACCCTCCTCCATGAGTGTGAGGCTTCCCCAGCCACGTAGAACTGTAAGTCCAAGTAAACGTTTTTCTTTTGTAAATTGCCCAGTCTCGGGGATGTCTTTATCGGCAGCGTGAAAATGGACTAATACACCACCTTAACACATTCAAAACAATTCTCAACTTCTTTCTGAAAAATCTGCTACTCTCTCTTTTCTGTTGGGCCAAATGATACCCATTGTCCAACCTTTTCTCAGGTCAAAATCCTAAATTATTCTTGGCTTCTTTCTTTTGCTCACATTCCATAGATGCTTCATCAGCTGTACCTTCAAACAATGCTCCAGTTCTAGATATGTCATATTTTAGCACCCATAGTGCTCCTATCTGGTTCAAGCCTCCCTCATTTCTCTCCTGGATCTGCAGTAGCCCCCTAACTGGTTCTCTCTGCCTCTCAGGCTCTTCACCATTCTCCACAGAGCAGCCACCCGGGTGGTTTAAAAAGATAAATCACCTCACATCTTTTGCATATTCAAAATGCTCAATAAGTATCCAATACACTCAAAATAACATCTAGGTGATTTTTGTTTTCTTATTTATATTTCCTATAATTACCATGTATAATTTTTATAACCTAAAAAACAATTTTTTTTACATTTTTACTTTTATAAAGGATGTACCATTTTAAATACAAATGAAAGAAAGTATTTCTTGGTACAGGTTTGCTTTCTTTAATCACTTTTTTTTTTTTTGAAACAGTCTCACTGATTCCCAGGCTAAATGCAGTGACACAATCATAGCTCACTGCGACCTTGACCTTCCAGGCTCAAGCTATCCTCCCACTTCTGTCTTTGGAGTAGCTGGGATCACAGGTGTGCACCACCACACCCAGCTATTTTCTTCATTTTTATGTTTTGTAGAGACAGGGTCTCACTGTGTTGCCAGGTTGATCTCAAACTCCTGGTCTCAAGCAATCCTCCCACCTTGGCTTCCCAAAGTGCTGGGATTACAGATGTGAGCTGCCACACCTGGATGAATCATTTGGTTTGATACACTTACCCTGATGCTGACTTCAGAGGCTTCCTTTTGTTGTGACTATTTTTATTGCCAATTAGATAAAAGATAGTACTCAGTGACACTGGAAGACAGCATATTACAGTGGAAAAGTTACAGGTTTTAAGCCAAAAGACATAGGATTTAGTTTATTTGTCAGTGGAATTGCCACATGGCTTTAGCCAGTTGACTTAAACTTTCTGTCCCTCATCTAAAAAAAGTGAGACTAATAATATCTGGCTTACCTACCACATAGGATTTTTGTGAAGATCAAATCAATATTAGAAAGTGTTTGGTAAAGTATAAAACACTCAATGAATGCTAGTTAAAAACAACAGAATTACTCAATAGTCAAATAGTGTGTTGTAAAATCTGCAGATGGTGTAATGAATTACCTTAAACACTTATTAAAGTAAGCATTCAAATGAGTATTGCATTTCTTACATGTAATAATAACCCAATATCCATATGCATAAAGGATTAGATTAGTAGATGTCAGATGCTAACTGAATAAAAATTAGAATGACAGATGTAGAGTTGGAGTAGCTCTGCTCATTAGAGGAGAACTGTTCATAACTCAGAGAAAAACTTTGCCTTATTAAGTGAATAGGCTTTCTTAAATACTGTGAGGGAGCAGTTAAGAGCATAGACTGGGCTGTGAGTGGAAATAGTGCTCTGTTCTGGGTAGGGAGAGAGGTAACTGGTAGTTTTTCCCCGGAAGCCATAGGCTGATGTTGAGAAAAGTGGTCGTCTTGTCAGGCGGTTCTAGGAGAAACTTTGTTTTGCTAGTCTTGGAAGCACCATAGATACTAGAAATGAGGTCTCAGGAAAAAAGCTCTTTGCCCACTGGGAAAATTTAGAGTTGGAGCCTTAGAAGAATGAATAAGAAAGGTTTTGAGATGCTTATTCAGTTTAAAGCAACCCAACATTTACTGCATATCAGACATTGCTAGATCCATTTGTATATTATCATATTTGATTGTTACCATGCATTTTTAGGTAGATGCAATTATCACTTTACAGATGGGAAAACTCTAGACTCAGAGGAGTTACAGAAGTTGTTCAAGATCGCCCAACTAGTAAATGAGCAATTTGGGATAGAAATCCAGTTCTGTTGCCTCTTTACACTATATCCTCTTAAATATCAATGAACTTCTGTGTAGTAGAAGCCTTGTATTTGTTCATATTAAAGATTTTCAGTGAGATCGATATGAGGATTTTTTTTTAGGGATATTAGCAGTCTTTGATACTAGGGTGTGATGCTATTGGAAGAAACAAACCCCAGTAATGTGTGAAGCTGCTTTCTTTAACAAAGGAGGAAAATTAGAATTATGGCTCAGCCTCTGAAAGATTATCATGATTTTTTTCCAGTCAGATATTTTCTTGGCAAAAAACTATTTTGCTGTTTTGAATATAGCCTTTACAATATCCAAAATAATCTTATCAAATCAGTGTGTATTATGTAAGGAACCAAGGATTTTTCTGCACTAAAAGCTCTGGATGGTTTCATTCAGGTGTAGGCAAACAGCATAGCTGCCTATAATTCATGACCTGCTTCATGGAGTCAGGGACATTATTTGACAAGGACACTGTTTCATTTACATTTTTCTGCTCCACATAACAAAACAGAATACATGATTTCAAAGAGAGCTTTTCAGTCATGTGGGCGTCTTTTCAAATACTTCAAGACAAGATTTTTGCATTGGGGCAAATCCAAGATTTAGTAAAATCCAGCCTTCTTTTCACAAAGATTCACATTTTTTAATGTATTACGGACATACATAAGGTGCTCCTTTGAATTTTGTTGGCCCCATATTTTTATTAGAAAAAAAGTCTCTTAACACCAAAACAACTGAGACTTTTTTTCAATTTATGTTGAACTAGGTAAGTAAAATCTAAGAGTATGGAAATTTTATACTTTATTTTTCCTGCAATTTACAGCTAGGGTCTGTAACATAAATTTGTAAAAATCATCTGTCCATAAATATAATGATAGTTTATGTTTTATTTATTTATTTATTTATTTGAGACGAAATCTCGCTTTGTCGCCCAGGCTGGAGTGCAGTGATGCATCTCAGCTCACTGCAAGCTCCGCCTCCCGGGTTCACACCATTCTCCTGCCTCAGCCTCCTGAGAAGCTGGGACTACAGGCACCTGCCACCACGCCTAATTTTTTGTATTTTTTTAGTAGAGATGGGGTTTCACCGTGTTAGCCAGGATGGTCTCGATCTTCTGACCTCGTGATCTGCCCACCTCGGGATCCCAAAATGCTGGGATTACAGGCGTGAGCCACCATGCCTGGCCCTCTTTAGTTATTTTAAAATAAAAATTAGTCTAGATATCTTAGCATGGAAACAGTGATGGATTGTGTATGAACTGACCATGTATAGTACAAATAGTGTACTGATATTCTAAGTTATCTAGAGTTAACAATACTTTAACTTAATGTCTTGTAAATGAAATACTTATTACAAAGTTATGTTTTAAACTATTCAGAAAAAATTAAAGACAAAATAGTTAGGCGTCTTTTTCATGTGGCCCCTGAAATCAATCAATGGACCTCAAACTACAGTTTAAGAAATGATGTTTTAGAGGAAGTCCAAGCATTAGTTAGCCATGGTATAAGAATGATAATTTCCATAATCTGTAAAATTCAGTCTTTCTATTGTAAGAATCATTAATTGTATGATTCATTTAGATGTCAATGGCTTTATCTGATTGAAATCAAGGATATCAGATACCCTATTGTCTAACAGGATCAAAATGCCCTTTATTTTAGAAACACTTTACAGTTTTTCAAGTTTCCAGGTAAAGTATTTTATATGTGATAGGGTTGCATTTCAGTTATCTATTTTGTGTCCGGCTACCTCCAAATTTAGGGTCTTCAAACAACATTGATTCTTTCTTGTGGTTCTGCAGTGATTCTTTTATCACACATAGGGTTGACTGGGATCACTCATGCAGCCGTATTCATCTGAGAGCTTGGTTGGGACACCTTGGTTTGTCACATGGCCTCTTTCTTTAGCAGGATAGCTAGTACGTCCTTACAGATGGCAGTAAGCCTCTTAAGAGGGAGTGAGCTGATGTATAAAGCCTCTGCTTGTATCATGTTTGCAAATATTCCATTGATCAAGGCAAATATATGGCCAAGCCCACATGGGAGGGAATTTTAATTGGGTGTGAATATTGGGAGGTATGGTTAGTTGGGGGCTATCAGTGTATCTCCCACAGGCTGCTACTTCTCTCTTAATATCTCTTGTCCTCTTCTCGTTTTCCTTGGTAATAAAAGTCATTTTTAACAGGATGCATGGCCACCTAGAATAAAGACTACTTTTCCTATTCTATTAATAACATTTATCAAATTGTGGCTGGGAAGCTACATCTTTGAGCAGTAGGATGCAAGCAGAAGTGTTGTATGGGACTTCTGAATAGTGTCTTTATTATGCACGTATTGCTGTTGGACAAACTTTCACCAAATGTGGCAGCTTAAAACAAAAAATATTTTCTTACACAGTTTTCAAGAGTCAGGTTTTGGGAGTATCTAAGCTGGGTGACTTTGGTTTAGCGTCTTGTGTGATTGCAGTCAAGATATCCAGAAGGGCTGTAGTTATTGAGATGTTGACTGGGCTAGAGGATCAATTGCATGGTGGCTCGCTTGCATGGCTGTTGGCTGGAGGTCTTAGTGCCTCACTGGCTGTTGGGAGGAAGCCTCAGTCCCTTAAATGTTGCTCTCTCCATAGGGCTGCTTGAGAGGCAGCTAGCCTCATGCCATGGCAGCTAGCTTCTCCCAGAGTGAGTGAGTTAAGAGAAGGAAAAAGAGAAAGGAACCAAAATGTGTTTTATGACCTAGCCTTTGAAGTTGCATATTATAACTTCTGTATTCCTTTGGTCACACAGATCAACCCTGAGGATTGGGAAGGAACTATACATACCAGGAGGCAAGGAGCACTGGGGGCCCTCCTGGAACTGCCTGTCACAGCGTCCTCAAAGGTAAAGTGTAGATGTTTCTTTATATTTTAAGTTTTGAATAATTTTCAATATTCTAAGCAGTTATGTGAGATAAAACTGAGCAAACCAAATTCTATATAAAAGGTTCTCCACAGTGTAGCTAAGCTCCAATTTTTTGTATGCTTCCTTCTTATGATAGGGAAACAGAAAAAAAATCATTTCTTAAAAGTGAAAAACTGTTATGACAATATTAACTGACAATTCTGTTCTCTAACCTAGTAGAAATGTTTTTGGATTGTTTGAAAACACTTAAGAAAACATGGCCTACAATAGAAACATTGCTGTCTTATTCATATTCACTGCAGAAATATTACAGATTATTGTTGGCAAACTCATCTTTTTTTAAAAAAACTATAAATGGGGCAGTATAAACTGTGTGTGGTATGAAAATGAATTTTAATATTGA
Organism: Homo sapiens; assembly: GCF_000001405.40. Classification (NCBI taxonomy): domain Eukaryota; kingdom Metazoa; phylum Chordata; class Mammalia; order Primates; family Hominidae; genus Homo; species Homo sapiens. The sequence goes on from NC_000006.12 coordinate 58,043,952, forward strand.
CCACTTTGGCTATTGCTTCCTGCTGTATTCATAGCAGAGCTCTTGGTTAAATCCTATCTTTAACACATCCAAGAAAACACTGAAACTGTTTACATAATTATTAAAGAGAAGGTCACATCTTATCTGTTTGGCACAATGGAAATTTTGATAATTTAATTCTATCAGTGGATCAAGGCATTGACTTTGTGTCAGGGATTCATGGTTTTAGATTCCAGTTTGTCCTTTCCTTAGCTATGTGTCGTTCATATGCTCTAAGAGGCAGTTCCCTCATCTGTAAAATGGGAGTAGTATCAAATTCACAGGGTGCTGTTATGTATAAGATCAGATACATAAGGCTCATTGTAAGCACTTGATAAATGGAATTGTTGTTAGCTAAATATTCTTTAAATCTTTATTAGGATTAGTGTCTTTGGTGAATGCTAAGCATATTGTCTAACAAGACCTTCCCTTTAAGACAACTTACTCTGTGTGTGTGTGTGTGTGTGTGTGTGCATGTGTGTGTGTATTTAAAAAGAAGAGATTAAGCCACTGAGGCGCTAGAACTAAGAAAGCATATTTCCATTTTGAAAGCCTCTTCTATTGTAACATTTCTTTTAGCAACTTGAGTTGTGTTAATATAGACAAATAACTAGAAACCATCCATTCATCTATATATCTAGCCAATTATTTATCCAACATTTATAAAGTCTTCATTACGTGGTGAGCAATAAAAATGCAAAGAATAAGATCCTACCCTACCTTTAAGGGTTTCACAATCTAATAAAGATTTATATCAAAGAGACATATAAATATAATTAAAGCAGTGTTTCAGTTGCTATATTTGTAATGTATCAGTTATTAGCTGCTTATGACACTAGATGCTTGCACAGGAAGAAGCACTTAACTGATCAGGAGAGGATCCCTAAAGGGTTGATGCTTCATCTAGGCCTTGAAAAGTGAATCGTTTCTTAGATGGCCAAGGAAAGAACTGGGGGTATCATAAGGAAAGAGGACTTTCTGGGCAGAGGCTGTGCCTGTGAGAAGATAAAAAGGATCAGAAGAACATGGTGTATTCTGAGGAACCTCTATAGTTTCAAATGTCATGACTGTGGAGTGCTTAAGGGTGGCAGTCAGGGCAAGGCTAGAAAGGTAGGAAGGGCCAGATTATGAATGAGCTAGTGTGGCATGATAAAGAATACAGACTTTACCCTGTAGATATTGGTGAACCATTACAGGATTTTTAAGAGAGAAACAAGCAAATTAACACTTCCACTCTGGTGGCAGTGTGGAATATAGACTAGAGGGCTTGGGAAGGGAGGCTAAGAGACCTGGGCGGAGGCTACTGCAAGCATCCAGAGAGTCATGGTGAGAGACTGAGCTAAGGCAGTGGTGCTGGATATGGAGGAAAGAAAATGTGTCTGACTGGCCTGTGTGTGGGGTGAGGGGTGGGGAGGGGATAAGTGGTGAGAAAAATTCTTCCACTGATAGGAAGAGCTAGTAGTGGAGTTCTAGGAAGAACTCTAGAAAGACCCTTTTGGGTTTTGATTTAGGTGACGGAGGAGGTAATGTATATCATTTTGGACATGACAAGTCTGTTGTGCCGGGGTAATCCTAGTGGAGGCATCCTGTACCTGTTGGATGAATGTAGTTCAGGGATGGAGGGTGCTGGAGAGGCTCTAAGTCCAATCCCTTTTCATCAAGCAGCTGCATGTACACAGCAATGAATTTGGCTCTTAGAGTGGAGCCTGCTGTAGATGTACTCTGAGGTAGGTGCCTTCTACCACCTCCTCACCTTTTAGAATACATTATTGGCTGCTACTTTTATCTAACCCGTGTCTACCTCTTTAGCCCTACTTTCTACTATTTTTTTGTATTTATCTTTTATCCTGGTTACTCCAGACAACATGCAGTTTTATGGATAATTTTATACTATTTTATGAATCCATCATGCTATTCCAAGTTCAGTGTGTTCACAACTGTCTTCTGCTTTAAATTCTCTTCCCACTTTTTACATTTCATTGAAATTTCACTTAATAACTGCTTTCTCTAAGAAGCCTGCCTGGATTCCCTGTCTTTTTAAGATAACTTTTTGTGCGCAGTTCTTAAGTGCACAGCATGTTGGACTTTATATCATTCCAGGACAGTATTTATAAATATTACATATTATAAGTTTAATATTTTATATAAATGAAATTATCTATTGATTACTTGCAATGTCCCATGTCAATGATTTATCTGATTTACCTGTACATATGAATGGGAGTATACTATACTTACTTTTTAGACCACTTTCTGCAACAAACAATATATCATAAACAATTTTCATGTTAGTAAGTATATGGCTTCACTATCTTTTATAGTTATATGGTATTTTAAGATTGTATGCATTTATTATATTAATGATTTTTAAAATAGCACTATTTCCCTATCTCTTAGTTTTAAAATTTACTTGTCTATCTTTTCCTGCAGATTGTAAGGTCCTTGCTAGTAGGAGCTAAGTTTTGTTGGAAGGCAATTCTCTGGATTGCTTGTTTCCTGCACATATTGAGAACAGAGACTGATGGTCTTTGTTCTGGACTATTTTTTTTAAGGATGTTTATATAGTAAATAGCCCTAGAAGTTATAGTGTCTTCTTCTGAAGCGGAGAGCATGCATGATTACTAACTAGTATAATAAGGATAATGTTCACCTTCAGAACAAATGTTGGGCAAGTTTGCTTGCAGCCCATTATATAAGATTTGAGTGTCCTAGGCTCAGAGTGCCTTAACTGTGACCCAACCCTTGTGGGACTTTGGGGGATGAATGGAACTGTGTTCATGCTACTGGCTCTTCTCTAACAAAGCCCATTGTCTGACTTAATAGTCTAGTGACTTTTCCCAGCATCCCGGAAACTGTGACAGGCTCCCTTGTCAGCTTGCAAGTAGGGTTGAATCTCACACTTTTCAGTGTATATCTCAGTACTTATTGTTACTATTTATTATTATTGTTTTAAAAAGCTAGCATTTACTAAGTGCTTACTATGGGCTAAATTTTACAGGCATTTTTTTTTCAGTTGTCACATAACCATGAGTAGAATGTTATTTCCTCATTTTATAGATAAGCAAATTTTATGGACATGTTAATAACTTGTCAAGATCATGTCATTAGGAAGTGATGGAGTTGAGAATCAAATCCAGGCCTTGAAGTCCCAAACTATTATTTTGCATATCACCGCAGAATAGCTAAGTGGAGAAATCATCCCAGCGATTGTTAGTACTATAATTGGGCTAATTTCTTAATCTAAATGAGTGAATTCTTTGGTTTAAAGAAAATAAACACAGGGTAGAGGGACCTTTGTGCACCAGGAGGCCTTTCCCACCCTCCTCAGATAAGATGACAGGAAATAAATTTTATATATATATATATACTCAGCCTAGCTGAGGGGAACAGGATATACATGTTGGACATAATCCTTGCTCTCAGGGATCTTGTAGTCTTGTTTGGGAGGTTAAATTTACACATATTAAGCAATTAGAAGAAAGTAAGATAGTATTCAATTAAGTTCCACATTGAATGGTTCAAGCAATAAGTAAGTTACTAGTAGAGAGAGAGCTATGAACAATTAGGGCTGTATCCATTGGAAAAGATTTGTGGAGGAGGCAGGGCTTGAGCAGAGCCTGGAGGAAGGGAAAGTCAGTTCCATGGGGAGTCAAAAAGCCTAAAAATTCTAGGAGAAAATAACACACTTGTTCTCTGTTCCAGAGGAAAAAATACTTCTCATGCCTGATTTACTCCTTATATGGAAAGAACAGTTTTGCAGTTTTGTGTCCTTTAAAAAATCACAACATACAGCCACACACACGCACGCGGGCTCACACACACACACACACACACACACACACACAACATACGCAAAGAAACGAAACCCACCATGCTATTTTCTCATTTGCACTTAACTCGAGAGGTTATGAGTCTTTTTTCCTGGTGTGGATGTTGCCACAGGCTCCTGACATTCTTAACTTGGTTGGATCCCTGCAGTGCAGTCTACTTCAGACTACCTTTTTTAGACCACTTGAAAGTTTTTCAATTTATTCAGCAGAATATATCAGCCTGTCAGCTTTGGAGAGCTAGTGCCTGCAGAAGATATATCTTTCCTCTGCAGGTGGCACTGCCTGCCAATTTTTCTTTGGGGTGAGCTCTTGTTCGGAAGCAGCCCTCTGTGGTTTGAGTACCAGTCACATTGCAGTTGATCTCCTTTTCTGTCTACTGCTCTGTCTGGATAATGGGTATACCTGCTGTGTGTGAGTGGAGAGAGGAGCCTATTGTATTATTTCTTTGCTTTGTGATTAGCAAATTACTTTTTGCTTAAACTGGGTCATCCCATCTCTTTTTTCTTGCCTGAGCTATTTATCTGCCTCTATCATTTCCTAGATGTTGATATCAATGTCACTTTACCTTAGATGGTGTCCCCTGCATCCTTAGAGTTCCTGCTGTCTTCTCTTTGATTATTTGACATCCACTCTGCAGAATGGCTTCACTCTCCTCCTGCTGTCCATCCTCATCATATAAGCAATATGGTTCAGCTGAACTTCCATGAGCCTTTCCCACTGGGCTTCAGAGAGGAAGCAGAAAAATTTCCTATGGGATTGTCAGAGACCTTTAGAAGGTACCTCCATTTACTCCTGATAGCACAAGACAGAGCCTCAAGGCAAAACATACTTATTGCTGTCAGTTTTACTAAGTAGATTTTATGAGATGACATTGACTTCAAAAGTAATCATGAAGGAGGGAAAAGACTTCCTTTTTTCTGGAGTTTTCTTCTGCTTTCTCTGTTCTTTGTGAATGTGAATTTCCTTCTTCTGCACAGCAAATTACCAGGGGATTAATTTTAAAAATTTAACCAAATTAATTATAATTCCAGGCTGTGTCTTAAGGCATACTAAGCTCTAGTGATGGAAAAGTCCAGAAGAGGCCATTGAGCTCTTTTTTTTTCGTTGTGGGAGGGAGGACCCTTGAGCATCCCAGACAGAACAGATGGGTTTTAAGGGTATTTGTGGGTATCTTGTAAAACAGGGAGTGGGAGGAGATGTGGCTTATGGTAGATGGGTCTGTTTTTAACAAGTAACAGTTAGTAGTAATGAAGATTGTACACTATTAATAAAACAGCTAAGAAAAGGACTGGAGAATTATGGTAGTTAATGATCTGAAGAACATTTACTATAAACCTGATTTTATGATACATTTTAGAAGAGGAGTTTGATCATCAATATTCACTCTCTCGTGACATGTTGCACATAAAGTCTGATCCCAGGAACATCTTTAAAATACCTTCTAAAATTATAGAAGACAAGAAAAGATAGCTTTCACATGCTAGGGAAGTTCTCTGAAGCTTTTTGCCACTCTTGAAGTAGGAATCTTCCATCAGATTATTTCCACTAAAGATTTACCCTTAGGGAAAACTCATAAGAAAGTGAAAAGGTCAGCTCACAGAATATTTAAACTTCTGTAAAAGAGTGAGATATTCAATCAGGTGGTAGGTGGCTCACAGGTGTCTTGGTTTTGAATTTCATGATAATCTCAAGGAGTTTTTGTTAACAGTAGAGTTACAGTGTTTGGTCTTTTAGTTACATCTTTAACTTATGAGGAAAGTTCGCTCTTTTCTGCTCACAGGTGATGGCAACTATCAGTTGAATCTTCCTTTGAGGTGCTAATGTTAGTGAAAACTCTTTCACCCCACCCCAGGCACTGTGGGCAGAGCTGTGATTCCAAGCATGGCTAGTAAAATTAGTGCAGAGATATTTTCCTTCCGTTATGTCCCTGGTTTCTCAGGGCATATTTTAATTTGGAATAAATAGCCCTGGCTTCCCTTAAACCAGAAACAGATAGAAGAACTTCATTGTATTACAACTCAAATTGCTGTTTTTTTCTAGCTCTCAGGAGCAGTTCCTAATTCAGTCTGAACTTAACAATGAAGAAATGTGTTAAAGAAGGAAAGATAAAAAGGGTATTTAAGAACTTCTAAGTTTTCTCTAAATCAAATCTTCAATATGGGATTTTGTTATTAATTTTTGCTTTGTGTATACTCCCAAAGCATAAACCACACTTGTATTCAGAATAATTATGAAAACAAGAAAACACATCCCAATGGTATATATACTTTATTTGTGGGTTACTTGATGTTTTCTACCATATCTCTTCTTTCTGCCGCTTGTTAGGTTAATGATCTGTAAACTATTTTATTAACTCACGTGTTGGTAAAATACTTTGAGCATGCACTCCCCAAATATCTTTATATATATATATTATATATATATACACATATATATTATACATATATATTATATATGTATATATATAATATACATATATATTATATATGTATTTATACATTAAATATACTTACCATTATGCTAATATATGTACATTAAAATATGTACAATAATTTAAAAATAAGCTTAAAAATGTATTTTAAATATCTTGCCCATGTATATGTGTGTGTGTGTATTTTTTTTTTAAGGGATGGAGTCTACCTCTGTTACCCAAGCTAGAGTGCAGTGACACAATCATAGCTCACTGCAGCCTTGAACTCCAGGCCTCAAGTGATCCTCCTGCTTTGGCCTCTCAAAGCACTGGGATTACAGGCATGAGCCAGTGCACCTGGCCTTGTTTCAAATGTCTTGATAGTATCATTTGTTAATAGCTTATGGCGTGACAAACAGTTAAGACAAAGGTAATTGTTAACCATAGTAAATGTAAATTCATATTTTATTTTTTCCTTTAAAAATGGTTTGTGATTGACACATAATAATTATACATATTTATGGGGTACATAGTGATGTTTCAATACATACAATGTATAGTAATCATATCAGAATAATTAGCATATCCATCCTCTCAAACATTTGCCACTTCTTTGTGTTGGAAATATTCAGAATCTTTCTTCTAGCTGTTTGAAAGTATATATTATTAACTATAGTCATCCTACAGTGCTATAGAACACTAGAACTTATTCCTCCTTTCTAGCTGTACTTTTGTGTCTTTAAAAAGTCTCTGCCTATTCCCCACACCCTTCTCAGCCTCTAGTATACTCTATTCTACTTTTACTTCTGACTTCAACTTTTTTAATGTTTTATATGTTTTTTTATTGATATATAATAGATGTACATATTTTCTGAGTACATGTAATTTTATACATTCATATAATGTGTAAAGATCAAATCATGGAGACTGGGGTATCCAATTTTTTGATATTTAAATGAAATATTTATCTTTGCTTTATGCTAGGAACATTCAAATTATTCTCTTCTATTTTGAAATATTCCATAGATTATTGTTAACTATATTCACTCTACTGTTCTACCGAACACTAGGCATTATTTCTTCTATCTAACTATATATTTGTACTCCTTAATCAGCGTTTTTAAATAGTTTCCTCTCTCTACCCCTCCTGGCCTTTGATAACCACCAATCTTTCACTATCTTCATAAGATTCACTTTTTAAATTTCCACATGTGAGTTAGAACAATGCAATATTTGTCTTTCTTTGCTTGACTTATTTTACTTAATATAATGTTTTCTAGTTCTATCTGTGTTACTGCCAATGACAGAGTTTCATTCTTTTTGATGGCTGAGTAATATTCCAGTGGGTATATATACCACATTTTCTTTTCTTTTCTTTTCTTTTCTTTTCTTTTTGAGACAAGGTCTCACTCTATCACCCAGCCTGGAGTGCAGTGGTGCAATCTTGGCTCACTGCAACCTCTGCCTCCCAGGTTACAATTCTCCCACCTCAGCCTCTCCTGAGTAGCAAGGACTACAGGCACACACCACTATGTCCAGCTAATTTTTGTATTTTTTGGTAGAGACAGGGTTTTACCATGTTAGTCAGGCTGGTCTCAAACTCCTGACCTCAAGTGATCTGCCCACCTTGGCTTCCAGAAGTGTTGAGATTACAAGTTTGAGCCAATGTGCCTGGCCTCACATATTCTTTACCTGTTCATCAGTTGTTGGACACTTGGGTTGATTCCTATCTTGGCTATTGTGAATAGTGCTGCAATAAACATGGGGATGTAGATGTCTCTTTGAAATACTAATTTCCTTTCCTTTGGATAAGTACCCAGTAATGGGATTGTAGTTTTCTGAGGAACCTCCATACTGTTCTCTGTATTTGTTTACATTCCCACCAACAGTGTACAAGCATTTTCTTTTCTCCACATCCTTCCTAGCATTTGTTATTTTTTGTCTTTTTGATAATAGTCATTCTGAGGTGAGATGATATCTCATTGTGGTTTTGATTTGCATTTCCCTGATGATTAGTGATGTTAAATGTTTTCTCACGTACTTGTTGGCTATTTGTATGTCTTCTTTTGAAAAATGTTTGTTCAGATCATTTGCCCATGTTTTGAAACTGGCTTTTTTTTTTTGGCTGTTGAGATGTTTGAGTTCCTTTATATTCTGGATATTAATCTACTGTAAAATGAATAGTTTCCAAATATTTTCTCATTCTGTAGGTTATCTTTCCACTCTGTTGATTTCTTTGCAGTACAGAAATTTTTTAGTTTGATATAATCCCATTTGTTTACTTTTGGTTTTTCTTTTGCTTATGTGTTTGGGTCTTATTCACAAAATCTTTCCCCACACCTATGTCCTGAAGAGTTTCTCCTGTGTTTTCTTCTTGTAGTTTTATAGTTTCCATCTTACATTTAGGTCTTTAATCTATTTTGAGTTGATTTTTGTATAGGGTAAGAGGTGGAGGCCTAATGTTATTCTTCTGTATAGGAATATCCAGTTTTCCTATCATCATTTATTGAAGTGACTGTCCTTTCCTCAATGAATGTTCTTGTTGTCTTTGTAAAAATTTAGTTGGCTGTAGGTGTGTGGATTAATGTCTAGGTTCTCTATTCTGTTCCATTGGTCTATGTGCCTGTTTTTATGCTAGTAGCATGCTGTTTTTGTTACTGTAGCTTTGTAGTATATTTTAAAGTCTGGTAGTGTGATGCCTCCAGCTTTGTTCTTTTTGCTCAGGCTTGTTTTAGCTCTTTGGGTTTTTTGTGGTTCCATACAAATGTTAGTATTTTTTTTTCTATTTCAATGAAGAAAGTCATTGGTATTTTGGTAGGTATTGCATTGAATCTGTAGATTGCTTTGGGCAGTAGGGCCATTTTAACAGTTAAATTCCTATTTTAAATAATCCTCTTGATACATTAAAATTATTTTTGGCCACCAATTTATTATCGCTTTTATCTTATAAGGAAAATTTTATGTAAAGAGAACTCTCAGCTTTGTCATTTATTGTTAATTCATGTTTACATTATTAGTATCATATTCAATCTGTGGTCTTTGGAGGAGTGTTTTTAAACTACTTGTCTAGTTTAGGAGAGTCCTTTAATTAAAACTAGAAAATTATCTATAAATCTGAATAGCCAGTCACATTTTAAGCACAATATGTCTACTACACTAAAAGGAAATGCATGAGTGAGGCATGACTTTTAACTCCTCTGTATTGTGGAGCAACTTTTTCCCCCAGTACACCTCATCTCCCATATGTGATGGTGACCATGTGATACACAGATGGGCAAGGATGTGAGTGTTCATCTGAATATTAAATGCTAGAAAGTTGATAAAGCTTAGTTGTCTTTTTTTGAAGATAAAATGAATAAAAATTTAAATATTTTCTTTTCAACTCATATGGATTGTCTTGTGTACCCCTGAGAGAGAGATTGCCATCTTGGAGATGACTCTTTTTAATAGTATGAATTAATAATCTGAAAAATCTATGTATCTATTTAAGGTGAGTACTATTTTATTTTATGGTGATAGATATAAAGACAAAGTGTCATAGTCAAGAAATCCTAATAAGTCTTCAATTAAATAAGGTATCTATGATTCCCAATGACTTTTCAGAATCACTTCATTTAAGTCTGCTACTCTGTATGAATTCCATTAAGGACTACTTTTTAGGGAAGAGAAGTCCAGCAATTAAGTTCTAATTAAGCTGTTTAAAGTATAGGTTAACTAAAATATGCATTTAATGAAGTATAGTGTTAAACCCATTAGGTAACATTTATGAGAAATTCTGTCAGTCTCTTGTGGATCTAATGAATTCTGATAAAATACCTCAGAACTTAGCTTGTGAACTGCGAAATGGTTCTAATGAAGATACAGCTACAAATGCTCCAGGCTGTTGGAAAGTGGAAGTGTTTACTAATGTAATTGATCTTAGAAAAAAACTGATTCAAGAAAAATGGGCATAAAAGAGATTAGGGAGGTTATTTTGGAGAGTGAGAACATCTAAAACAAAACTTATGATTACTTCTCCTTTATTTTAGATAATTAAAAAGATTTGTTTATTACATAAATTTGGAAATCACTATTCTACATAGTTATAGGATTAGAATTAATTTTTTTGTAAGTACGTTCTTAAGAGCTTAGGGTATAATATATTTAACTCTGGGAAAGATAGCAATGGTTTCCCCCAATCCAGGAATAAATAGGAAACAGTTTGTTTTCTCTATTTTTTTCTCTAAATATTTTGTACTTGCCTTCTAACTTTTGAAGCCATATGCCATGGTAGAAGCAGTGGCTGTATGTTTTAGAGACACCAAAGGGCCCCCTGATGTTATTTGCAGGAGCAATTTATCTTTAGGATAGGATTTATGAATTTTTTGAAATGTATCTGAGCTATTCAAGTTTATTTTTACAAAGGCTAGTATCAGTAGGTGTGACTTCTTAAGATAGAATTCTGTTAAAATTTTTATCCTAAGTCTCTTTTTGTGTCATTGTATAAAATCAGCAAGTGTATTTGGGAATAGGTACAATAAAGACTCTTTCTTATCCTCAAAAGCTTCTTGATAATAACATTTTCTTCTTTCCAACTTATGTTGTGAGGAACAGTATGTCTATATAGACATTTAAAATGTTGGATGTATTCCATTCACATATTATATATCCTTTGGACATCAAGCAGATTTTGAATTCTCTTGTAGTGTGAGCATCACATCTTTTTTTTTGTCAAAGTGCTATTCAGCTTTTGTTCCTTTAGCATTAAAAAAAGATATCAAAATCTATTAATGCTTTCTATGACCTTTTATAGATGAAGACAAGGCAAAAACATTTTTCCCAAAAAATCAATTTAAATTATTACTATAAAATTTCTGAATGATCTGCTGTGCAATAGGGGCATATATTTTCCTAAAATTAAGACTTAAATAATAGGTTTATATTGACTATCGATTAGTAGCAAAACTTTAGAGATGTCCATGAATCCTGATATTCTGGAAGTTGCTAGAAATATAGAGGAAATTAAAATTAACAGTCTTGTACCAGATTCTTATTGCCTATACTTCATATTTCTCTGTATTTGTAGCTTGTAGTCTCTGCAGAGTCTTTTCAATTTGAATGGTAAAGAATAATGGCTGCCAAACATGGCTAACCATTAAAATCATGGTTGTTAGGAAACAAGATCTCCAGCCCCATAATTGATTCAATGATCTGGGGGCAGATGGTGAGGGTGGGGGAAAGGGGCATGCAGAAATCAGCATTTTAAAACCTCCCCATGTGGTTCTGATAATAAACCAGATTTGGCTTAAGTATCGAAGTGGTCATATTTCTTATTACAGCAATTAGAAGGAAAAGAAAAACCTCATGGTTTTAAAAGGGCAGAATTTCAAGCAATCACAGTGTCAGTGCACGTAATAGAAGACATTTACTTCAATAAGTTTGCTGCTTATTGCAATATCCCTCTCAGAAACAATGTGACTTTGTTCTCGCGTCACAAAGCCTGGCATACTTAATGAGAGGGTGTAATGAGAAGGCAGTCATAGCCCCTTGGGAAGAGGACTAGAGGAAGGCCATCCTTTCTGATTCTGATAGATTGTGGACAGAAAGAAGGAGAAGGGAGAGTCAGTCAACAGTATGTCTAATTCCCTTCCTCCCGTTAAGCTCTGATGTGGAAGAGAGTTACTTGGGTTTAAGTGAATAATTGTGGGAAGCAGCCCAGATTTATTGGCTGGCTTCCCTGGACTTACAAGGAAACAATTGCAGATACTTAGAGGAAAAGTAACCTTTAGCTCAGTGCCACAGCTTAGCATAACATAATTGAGATGGCGTAAGTCATAGAGAAGGACAAACAGGGAGTAAAATTCAAGTTTTGGGAACCACACCAGTAAAAATTATTATACTATATCTGAAATTTAAAAGTAAGATGCTAGATTACCATATAGAGAATTTACAAAATAAATGGAAAATATCAAATTTAACACCTCATGAGCCCCTCATGTAGGGGGTCTCACATTCACATCAAGACTGTAAAAAGGTGGTGAAAATGGACCTAGGGAGACTGTTAAAGACAGGGGAGAAGGTGAAGAGGACGTGTGTACGTATGTGTGGATGGGGAGTAAGAGAGTTTCTATCTCCTTCACTTCAAGCTCAGTTTGGGAGGAGGCTTCAATGGGATCACTCAGTTTGAAATGTATTCTCTACACTTGGGTAACACAGAGAACAATGCCTGTCTGCAACAGAAGGGTAAAGGTGGCAGTGTGAGGACAGGCTAACACTTATAAGCTTGTTGGAACTAAGGATGTATGAGCATTTCCCATGTTGGGGATGTGGAAGAGAGATCTTTCTGAGTTGGGAGTATGAGGAATCTTTTAACACTGAAAGTCCAAAATTGAGTGGGGCACTATAAAAGCCAGGGGCTCAGGAAGGGCAGGTGTCCACATGTCAATGTGGCCAGAAATGAAGGTTTCCAGTGAGAACACTCTCTAAGGAACCCATAAAAGCCTCTATGAAGAAGAGTCAATATTAAACACACACTCCAGAAGGCCCCCTTATCACGGAACAATAGAACTTGCCACTGTCCGTGGCCTTTTCTTAATGCACTCTCCATGTGGGACCAATCCTGGGAAGTTCTGCATCTTGCTGATCAAGCTGGTGGAAGAAGAGTAGGATTAGCCTAGTAAGAGAGGCTAATCCTTTCCCACTGTAAGTTGTCAGCTTAGGCCCCAGCAAGTGAGAGCAGAGGGGATACTAGTTAAAGTTGTGTTTAGAGTTTTGATTATCACATGAACCAGCTTAATTTAGCAAATCAGAATTTTTTTTGAGTTGTAATGACTGAAGGATTGCTTATATGCGTGAAAGTTTTACATCTATGGGGAGGGAGTGGAAAGAGATTTTATTAATCTTAAAAGTGTTTAAAAGAAGGGAAATAAAAATGAAAATTGTGTTTTAATTACACTGGGTTAGCTTAATACAACCATTTCAGATAGGCTGATTGGTAAAGGGATGTGGAAATGTCTGTGTGCCCTGGGGAGGGATGTGGAGGTGCAGAGAGTGCTGGGTGAGTGGTGGAGTCACAAGGCAGCAGTATTCTGTACTATAAGACTAGGGGTAAGGAGTAACTTCAAGGACTTCACTTTTAAGAACAAGCAAGACATCTTCCTCTCACCAAAAATAGAAAAATAAGTGTAACAAAAATATTGACCTAGTGTAAGTGTAGTACAAGAAGAAGACCAGACCAGTTGCTCTGCAGAGATGACCCGTAGATTCAGGTCCCTTTTCCCAAACTCTGCTGCCTTATATGTCATACGCTACTCCCTTCACTTGGTACCATCTTGAAGAGGAGGAGAGGATGGGTGCAATGGAACTGGACAATTTATTGAAGTCATATAAGCAGAGACTGAGTTACCTAAAGAGGCAGCTTAAATTATTAGGTCAAATGAAAGATACTGCAATGACTAAATTTTAGTTTTTCCAAGCTAAATAATTACTGATAGTAATGGTGGTTGTAACAATGGTAGTGAAGGGTAGTAGTTATAAAAAAAGGTCAGAACAAGTTAGAAAAAAATTATAGCATAGTATGAGGGAATTATTTACTTTTCTCCATTTGTGGTCATTTTTTCTTGTAGTATTTCATTGGAGGAGGAAGATAAATCAGGTAGCTGCTGTGTAGTACAAGCTCAATGCTTATTTCTTTCACTGATTTTAGGGCAGTATTAGGGATCATAACATTACTTTGTTTCTTGGGCTGGTGAAGAGAGAATCTGGTGTGGGAGAGAAGAAAGACTGCACTGGATGAGAGTGGAGAAGTCATAGAATGGCTTATATTTTCACACCAAGCAGTCAAAAATAGCGAGTGGCTTCTTCACATTAGTTCTGTTTTGAATGGGTCAAGAGCCAAGTGTGTTTAGCTTTTGCCACCACATACTTTCTCAAAGAGAAGGAGGTGGGGGAAGGGAAGAGGTTGATTTATTATTGTAGGGGATTTCTCCTTGATTTTCTTTTCCTTGATTTTATTTCCAGAATGGAGCTAATGGTATTGAAGATATGCAAAACTAGGTGGTATTGTTCAAGTATACTGATTTAACACTTCCATTTTACAGCTTTTATTTTAAAAAGGGAGACTGAGAAAATTTATTTTACAAAAAAAGTGAGGCTACTGAACTTCTTGATTTCTTAAGAGGACCACAAGGATTTAATAACCTTAGAAGTATAAGCTACCTTGTAGATGGCTGCAGGATGGCAGAATGTCTATAAGAGTCATGGATATGGATTCTTTTAAGAAATCAATCATCTTGGGTGATCAGACCGTATTACAACAGACAAGGCAATGACCTTTTTCCTGGTTAACCTATTTATTTTTCCTCTTGTGTTTATTAAAGAGTCTATTTTCAAGGTGGGGAGGATAATATAGGCATATTATTTAGACCTAATAAATGACTGGTAACATGGCTTTTTTTTTGAGAGTGCTTTGATGGAATTTTGTTTGTTTTAACTTTGAGGGTTAGTATTATTTTTAAAAAAAGAAGAAAAAGAAAAGGGAAAAAATTATGAACTTTTTGGGACTTCATGATCTTGCATCAGCATGTATTTAAAAACCATTAAGCATCTTGATTAGTTTGGAACATGGTATAAAGACTGTTACATTACTGGTTGCTGCAGCTGAATACTGGTTGCAATATTTGTCACAGTAAAATGCACCAATCAGAAAATGTGGGAAAATTATTATACACTTCAGTGGTTGATTTGGCCTAGGTATTGGACATAATGAGAGTCATTTAAAGAAAAGTATTCAAAGGGTTAGATACTATAGAAGGGATAGCAGTTCAGCTGTGGTAGATATGACCACAAAATAAAGCGTGGAATTTCTTAGGCCACACATAGAGATAATTTTCCTTATTGAATGATCACACTTTGCATATGTTAATGACTTTTCCTTACATCTTTAGGTTGAGCGATCACTCTTAATGAGTTATTATTATTATTATTTTTTACAAAAAACCCCAGCCAGGCATGGTGGCTCATGCCTATAATCCCAGAACTTTGGGAAGCTGAGGCAGGCAAATCACCAGAGGTCAAGAGTTCGAGACCAGCATCGCCAACATGGTGAAACCCCATTTCTACTAAAAATACAAAAATTAAGCAGGCATAGTGGCACATGGCTGTAATCCCAGCTACTCAGGAGGCTGAGTCAGGACAATTGCTTGAACGGGCGAGGCAGAGGTTGCAGTGAGCCAAGACCACGCCACTGCACTTCAGCCTGGGGGACAGAGCAAGACTCTGTCTCAAAAAAAAAAAAATCCTCCCAAACCCCCAAACTTTTCTTCAGCATACTAATTGGCATTGTACATACTAATGACATTGTTCGTCTACTTTAATTGGAAGGTTTATGTTCACATTTAATATACCAATTCATTATGTTCTGAAATAAGGATAACATGACTTCACTAAAGTCAGAATGCATATGTCTGACTTCAGATCTTATTTAAAAAGTCAAAGTGGGCTTTCATTGCAAACCCTGATTTTTCTGGACATGGATCCTGTAGAATATGCTCTGTTATGCAACAGCTGCTTATTCAGCCTGATTTTCTACTTGCTTACTTTTCTCCATGGCATCCTTAGGAAGCCTGTTAAGAGGATTTCTGAAAAAAAAAATGACTCAGAGATCCAGCTATCAAAACATGTATCATCCAACCACGCACTGGAGTCAGCAGAGGTTGTTGGGAGGCAGGGCTGGAAAAGACAATGACAGGTTTCAGAATGAGCTCACAGGCTCTGCTCACTCTCCCAGAGGACTTGATTTTTGAATTGAGCAGGATTAAGTGGCTTTGGGAGGACAGAAGCTAGTATTATCTGGGGAGTAATAACAAGGCTCAGCCACTCTGTTACCCTGAAAGGAATGTGAGAACTGTTGTGTTTTTCTATTTGATGTTTTGTTTCAAAAGTTTTGGGAGCAGAAGAAGGCTAGGATTGCCCTAAGTTCTGCAGGTTAAAAGTATGAACAATGTGTTAGGAGCTCTTTAAATTTAAAAGGAGGCTCTTTTCGAAGTTTTACCTGAGCAAAGGGTAGATAGGCATCAGTCTTCCCAGATACTAGTAACATATAGTGGGAATATGTTTGTTGTAGAATATATTTGATTTAAGCATGCAGATATTTTACTATCTTAAAATTATATGTATTATTTATAAAAATATATGACATTATTTTATAAAGAGAATGATTAAAAGCTCCTAAATTTCCACCTCAACTTATAACATATAGGAAATGTGCCAGGTATATTAGGATGAAGATACACTGTGATATTGATAATTGAACTATGATGTAATTCCAAAAGAGTGGGCCAACCATACAAGAATATCTTGGTGGAATTTTAGTTATAGTATTAGACATGTAAACTTGAAGGTGAAGTGAGGTTTTCTCTGGGGATGGAGATTAGGGAGCATAAAAAATGAAGCCAATGAACTCAAGGAAAAACATGTCCATTTAATCAGCATTTGTTGTACTTTTAAAAAATGGCTTATTTAAAACAGGTTTTTTAGGTTAGCTCAAAAAAAATTTTTTTTAAGTATACAAAAAGTTACATATTTCTTCCTCTATCTTCCTTTTACCCATCTCACACTCTGTTCACCCACTCCTGCTGGTAACCACTGCTATACATTTCTTATATGTTCTTGCTGTGGCAGATTGTGTTTCCAAAGATGGCCATCCCACCTGCTCTTTTGCAATGTGACTTTGCCACTTCCCCCATTAAGAGATAGAATCTATTTTCCCTCCTCTTGAATCTGGGCTGCTCAGTGTTCTAAGCTCTGTATAGGAATTAACTCATTCGAGCCTTACAAGAGCCATATGAGGAGATACCATTATTATCCCTGTTCTATAAATGAGGAAACAATAAAGGTAATAAGCCAAAGGTTACTTAAGAACAACATTCAGAGAGTAGAAATTATAGTATATACAAGAAGAAATAGAAACTTTAATTCATCCACAGAAAGCGCTCAGGAAGTGTTGGTTATTATTAACAGCATTTCAAATATGTTATTTCTATGTTAATTTTGTATAATTTCTTTTTTATTTCACATTTTTCTAATTTTCTAACATATTATTTTCATTGTTTCAAAATAATCTTCCATTCCCTTTTTTATTGTTTTACTATTATTCACTTTTCTTTTCAAGTCCTTAATTCTGTTTCTAAACCTTAATCCCACATAATTTTCCATTTTTAAACTCAAATTTTAAAAAATTCATTACCTCTTTTGCATTCCTGTTTTTAGTTTTAAAAATTCTATTGTTATGGAGACTTCTCAACTTAAATCTCATCTCATATTTCATTATTTTTAACTCATTATTTAATTCTTATTTGGAAATTAGTTCTTTCTTAGTTTTTAAAAATTAATTTTGCCTTTTTATTGTATTTTATTCTTAGTATATTTTGAATCTTTTAAGTTTCTTCTAGACTTTCATGGTGAGAGATTCTGATAATCTTCGTAATTTGTCTCTCTCACAAGTAACATCATCTAGTATATAAGACTCTAGAAGCCTGTAATCTCCTACCTTGAACTGGATGATCTGGGACAGGTTTCTACACTTTGAGTAGTGAATTTGATGGTTTAAGCTACCTTTAGTTGTACCTTTTGAGATCCATTATCTTCCCTATATTATGGAATGTGGCCAGTTGGGGTCATTAAACAAAGGACACTGATGTAGTAGCTTTACTTGTTTTTTTACGCATACACCTGCAAGAGAAGTCAAAATACTCACTTTGCCATATTCATGTTTTAGGCTTTTTTTTTAATTGTTCCTGATAATTGGTTAAAAAGGTTGGCTGAGATTAGGTTTGGGCTTGCTGTTGAGTTCCTTGATCATATGACAAGGATTTTTCTTAACAATGAACCATTATAGACAAGGTAGACTCTGTATTCTGGACACAGGCTGGTTCTCTTTTTGCTGATACTTTAGTTTCTATTTATTCTACACACACTGTAATTGAGCTTATTATTGTTGGTCACTGATGACCAGAACTGATTTCAAATTCAAGGAGGCATTTTCTGGAGTGATTGCAGTAGTTCCTATCTCTGTGAGCCTTCTCCCTTCAAGGCAGATGCATTAACATTAGTGAAGACTTCAGGCACATTTCTTCTCTGGGGACCAGCAATCTAGACCACTGAATATTAAGCCTTCTTTGCTTATACCATCTCAAGATAGATGCCTTGAACTAAATATTTTTATCTTTGGAAAAAAAGTAAACCATAGCCAATACTACCCGTGGTGAGAATAAAGAGATAAGAGGACAGAGAAGACTATGATGACCAAAGGGACTTTAAGATATATTGGTTTTCGGTTGTGGTCACAACTTACGATGGTAGCTTAAAAGGAGACTTCACCTCTTATTTCCTCTTAACAGTTTTGGTAACTTAAAAATGGTTTGATACATGTGGTATCCTAGAAAATGTAGAAATCACCTTCTAATGCTTGGTTTGACAAAGCCTTTTAGGTAGCAAAGAAAACAAAACACTACAAAACTAAACAAAACAAAACAAAATTAAACAACAAAAAGAGACTAGATAGTGCTTGACATATGAAACAAAAATAAAAAATTTCCACCTGCGATTTTTACCACATGTAAACTATAGGGACCAAAAGGAAAGTTCCCCTTGGCCCTCTGATGATTCATTGAAAAATCGACTCAAAAAAGGCATATTAATTGGAGAAAAGGCATCCAAATTCATTTAATGTATACACATAGAAGTCTTCAGAATGAAGACCCAAACATACAGGGAAAATTGTCCATTTTTATGCTTAGGTTCAACAAAATACAGACATCCATGTAGAAATATAATTGAACGAAATGTGTATGATCTAATGCTAATATGCTGAGTGGGGAAACCCAGCAAGGCCTGTCTGTCCAGATTGTTCTTGGCCTCTCTGAACATGCACTTTTTCCTCTGAGTGTAGATCTGAACCTCTCTTGAGTGGGGGGGTCTTATGACCTACAGTCAAACAAGGTAGGTCAGATAAATTTTTATGACCAGTTTTTACACAGCAAGGTAGAGGGAAAGTTAGAAAAATATTTTTAGGTTTTCTGGCTGGCTTTGGGGAAAAGGGATTCTGTTTTCTGTAACCCACCTTGGGGAAGAAGGATTCTAATTTCCATGTCTAGCTTTGGGGGAGAATGGGACTTAGAGATAGGAGGGCAGGGGAAGGTCAGGGAAAAATTTTTTCTTTGAGGCTGATTCTGAGGCCTTCATTTCGGGGTATTGCTTTCTGAGTCCCAAGATTATCCAGTCTGAAACCTCTCCAAGAAATTTACAGTCCAGAAATTGAATTGGTGGACCATCTTATAAGCAGCTGAACCAATCTTTTCAATCCCATGAATAGGCCAGTCCAATTAAACAGTTAACATCTGTGTTTCATTTCAGGCAGTGATGTTGTAGATGGCCGTCCACCAAAGTAAGGCCTCTATATGATCTGAGCAACCAGATGTTTATTAAGAGATGTTTCTATGGAAATAAAAGAAAAACAAATGTTAGTGGTTAGAACAAACTATAAACTCATTTTTTTTGAGTCCACATGGCAGCCAATCATGAAGGTTTTTAGATGTTGGGCTTGAAGCATCTTCAGGAAGTGAGAGCAGATAGTGGCAACCTGACACATTTTTCCTGGTTTGTAGTTTGCCTCAGGTGTTCCAGTGAGCTTTCTGAGCAGTCTATTTATCAACAGGCACAGAGTCTGTTCATATATTAAGTTGCTGTGATGATTTTTTTCCAAGTTTGTATCAAATTTTCTGGCTTCAGCTTCCGGGGCTTCAGGAAAAAGTGTTTTTAATTTTAGTGATTCCAAGTGATTCCAAAAACACTTCAGGAAAAAGTGTTTTTAATTTTAGTGATTTCCAGAAAAATGGAAAGAAATTTGGAAATATTAGTAATATTAGTTTAAATACTTGTAGACATGAAAGAATTCAAGGTCCACTCCAGATTTGTAGGGAAATAATAAATATTAAAAAGCAATGGACAAAGCTAGAGTCTAATAACAGGTGTACTATAGTTTTCTGCTGAAAACATAAATTTTCTCTCTCTAGTCCCCCATTTCTACCAAAGATGAATAGTAGGACTAATTTATTTGGAAAATAAGTTTTAGTCATATATTTGGCTTGATTATATATGTGAAGTTCACTGAGAATAGTGATTAGACAATATAGGCTCTTTTTAAGTTGGCTTTACTGGAACTTTTTCAAAAGAAATCTCAGATTAGTCTTTTACAGGCCTCAAGGCTAAGAAGGCAAGCCAAGGATTTGCCGACTGTACCTATAATACTGATATAAATTGGTTGAATTCCTCTCTCTCAAGGTGCCAAAATAACTTGAGCCTGTCAGAAAGTGACATTCCTTACTTACCTTGTAAAGAAACCAGGTAGACAAGGTATCAGAACAGTCTTTCCAAGGAACTTTTTATTGACCCTATAAAGTCAACATCAATTTCTCAAAGTGGTCTGAGCATATCTGAAAATAAGCCATTTTAGTTATGACTGGTGAAATAACCAGTGTCTCCATTTGTATCTTGTTATAAAACAGATAGTTATTGATAATAATTATTGGTAATTATTGCCATAATTTTTATTTTTTTGAGATGGAGTCTCGTTCTTGTTGTCCAGGCTGGAGTACAATGGCGCAATCTTGGCTCACTGCAACCTTCACCTCCTGAGGTGATTCTCCTGCCTCAGCATCCTGAGTATCTGGGATTATAGGCACCCGCCACCATGCCCAGCTAATTTTTGTACTTTTTTAGTAGAGATGGGGTTTCACCATGTTGACCAGGCTGGTCTCGATCTCCTGACCTTAGATGACCCACTCGCCTTGGCCTCCCAAAGTGCTGGGATTACAGGCGTGAGCCACTGTGCCTAGCCAATAAATTAAGCGTACTTACAAATGGTTTCCAAATTCTGGAGAAATAAGGTAGAGAGAAAGATAAATCCTTCAGATTTTGCTTATAAAAGTATACTTTACCCAATTGGTTGCAAGCTATAAACAGTTCAAAAGGAAAAAAGAAAGTTTTCTTGACTGTGTTAAACAAAGCATGAAAAGAATCAGCAATGTTTCAAACAAAAAGCTCACAAAAAATTATTTCAGTCCTCTATCAGTTCAGTCCCAGGTAATTAACTCTTGTCAGCTTGATGTTGGGTTAGCAATCCTCATGAATGCGTCAGCTTTTCAACTAGAATCCTGGAAGTTTTTTGCTAGTCCAATGGTATGATCTCCAAGATTATCAGAAAGCTGTATTTAAGAGTACTCCTAAGAGTCCTTTTCATGAATTTCCCTAAAAAAAGAAGCAAGTTTTGGTCTGTATCTGATTATAAACTACTTTTTGAGGAGAATTCAAATAAAACAATAACTGTCTGTGGATGACAGAAGTCTTAGAATAACTGTAGTTAAAAACACAATTGACAAGAAAATTTGGTTATTTTTGTGGCATACAACAATTTAATATAATAATTATTGTTGATAACATATATTAAGGCATATTATCAGAATTTTAGGAATCACATACAATTTTAGAATACATATTGAGAACATATTTATACAAATATAACCTCCCCAAAAGTTAGACACTATTTCTTATTTGACATTCCTATATGATTTTTAACATATCAAATCTTGTATTATCTCTTGGACTTCCAGGGGCCCTAATATCCAGAAAATTAGCTTGAGGTCAAAAAGACTGTATTTAGAAATTGAAATATTGATTTTACCAATTCAAATATCAAAGGTTTAAGACAGTTGCTCAATATAGAATCACAGGGCACTCTGTAAAATAAGGCATTCGTTTAGCCAAAGCACTAACTCAAAGATTTCAAAAAACAACAATCTTTAATCTTTGATAGAAGACTCAGTTTCCTAACAATCACAAGACCTAATAAAGATACCATGAGGCAAACACTGAATCTATCTCTCTTTCTTGCCCCTTTTTTTGTAGTTTACTCAAAAGGTAAACAAATATCTTTTAATACCTCTTATTAATACTACCAAAAAATCTCGTTCAAAAAAGAAAAAGTTTACCTTTGTATCAGCGTATTATTGTTAAGCTAATTTTAACAAAATCTTATAAACAAATCCATCTAATCCCAATCAGCTTTGACCACATAAAATAAGATTTTTATAAGCCTTTTATAACCTCTTGTAATTTTTCTCACTTTTAATTTCCTGAACTTTTAATATATACTTAGTTTTATTTTTCTATTTTTATTTAATTTAAAATGATTAAAACAGTTTTTAATTAGATAAAATTATTTTTCTTTTAACAAAAACTACATTCTTATGTCTTCTTTTAACTTTTTATTTTACCAAAAACACATCCAACTTTTAAAATACACTTACATGTAGAATTATTTCTCTCTTATCAAGTAGGTTTAATTACATATATGAATTACAATGTTAACTCTTGGTAACCCTTATTTTCATTGAAAAATCTAGGAAGTAAGCAGTTTTAATTATGTGTATCAGATATGTAACCCAGGACAAAGGACAATGCACAGGGGATCTAATTTATCCCAGCATGGCAAGAAGCACAGCCAGACCAGAGGACAGGCTGGGTGTTGTCCCTAGGCCTCACCATGACCCATGGTTGAAATCCAAAAATACAAGTTCACAGATTTAAAAAAAATATGTAATTTATTATTTATATATATAATAGAAGCAACAGTTTTATTACTGTGAAATATCTAGTAGAGATAGCATAAACCTATCTAACCAATAGATTCAAGCAAAAATGTCTATATTAGATTTTTTTTTTTTTTTTTGAGACGGGAGTCTCGCTCTGTCACCCAGGCTGGAGTGCGGTGGCGCAATCTCCGCTCACTGCAAGCTTGGCCTCCTGGGTTCACGCCATTCTCCTGCCTCAGCCTCCCAAGTAGCTGGGACTACAGGTGGCTGCTACCACACCTGGCTAATTTTTTGTATTTTCTTTCTTAGTAGAGATGGGATTTCACTGTGTTAGCCAGGATGGTCTTGATCTCCTGCCCTTGTGATCCACCTGCCTTTGCCTCCCAAAGTGCTAGGATTACAGGCATGCGCCACCGTGCCCGGCCTAGATTCTTAAGATGCTTTTGTTTTACCAACACATTAAAAACTATCTTTATTTACCAAAGATTAGTAAAGTCACATGAACTAGAAAAAGTAACTAATACTTTTACTTAGTTTATGATAACTTGTTTATTTATAAGTCAATTTAATATAACATAGACAGTATATAGACAGACATATACCCATGTACACACAGATATAGACAAACATAAATAAAGATATTATAGTTTTGCTTTTAAAATTTCAGCCAAGAGACAGGTAAAACTCACCAGTTTAAAAGGACAGTGGGATTAAATGGTGCCTCTGTAAATCAACAAGTTATGGCTGAAGACCATAACAAGTTTATAGTAAAGGGGCAGTAAATTTACATTTCAAGGCAAAGAGAGAGAATTGGAGCTTTTTCAAGAAAGTGTTTAGTTGTGTTAGTTCAAGGAAGATTAAAAATGAATGCCAAAGTAACACAATATCATAGGAATTTACCAGAGGATTGCATAAAGAGACCAATTTCATTTAGATAGGTAGCTTTTAATTTAATATTTTTCAACTAAGCCACTGAACTCAGGGCTGAGCCCATTAAGAAACAGGGCAAACAAAGTATTTGCAGTTTTTAGGACCTAATAATTTAAATATGTGAAAAGCAGGCATAATTGGAAGGCAGAAAATCTAAACTTTAAAAATAAAGAATTTCACTTTTACATTGAATCCCAGAACCCCTCAAAGAGGGAAGTGCCACATGACCCAGCTGTACAAGGCTTTCACAGTGTACTTGGCTACAAAGACATTTCTCTAAGTGTTTAAACTGCATCCTTTCTTATCTAAGCATGCAAAGATAAGAGTAACCCCAGTAGTAGAAACTATTGACTATAAACAACTGCAGCTCTTACCAGTGACCTGCCAGCCACCACATACACAAAGGTCAAGGTTTATTTTTTTTCACAGAACAAAGTAATTTTCTGATACTCTCCATAGTAAAAGAGATCAGATAATGCAGTGCAACCGAGCAGAGTTTTAGACCTGACAGGAGACTGTCCATGACTTCTAAAACTCTATAAGGAAAGTAGAAGAGCCCTTGAAAGGGGCTGGGTGGTGCTTTTTTCTGAGCTCCTTAAGGAGTCTGAGTCATTAGAATTCTTCTCTGGATCTTTTCATTTGTACCAAAGGTGGCAAAGAGAAAGGAGGAGTAAGGAGGAGGAAGAACAATTTTTAAGAAAGGAAGCAAACAGAGGGACCAAGCACATAATTAAGAAAGAAAAAAAAGATTTTAGTCCACTGAAAATAAAATTTCCAAAAACAGAATTCAAGGAGAAAGAACAGAAAGGCCTTGTATGTATATATATATGTGTATATATGTATATATTTATGTATGTATATTTATGTGTGCATATACATTATGTGTGTTTGTATATATATGTTGAATGTTAGGTTTTCATTCAATTAACTTTTAATTGTAGAGCTCTTAAAAAATCCTTTTAAGTCTCTTATTGTCAGATTTTATACAGGACAAACTACTGACATTTCTGGCTTATGAACTTTTTTTTTTTTTTTAAACCAAAGGTACCTTTTAAAGTCAAGCCTTAACTACCCAGAATCATCCTAAAGACAGCTCAAAGATAGGAAACTTTCTCTAGAATACTTTTTAGGGTCTCAGCTTCTCAGCTGCCTATCTACACAAAAAAGGCCAAAAAACCTTGTGTGCCTTCCACAGATAGAAAAAGACATAAAATCAAAAGCTGTCCATGGATGGGAAAAGGATCAAGAACAAATAGGTACCCTGAAAAGTTAAAAGCCACACAAATATCAAAAATCAAGAGGGAATGGTTTCCTGAACAGGAATTGAACCCAGGCCATGGCAGTGAAAGCACAGAATTTTAACTATTATGTCACAAAGTGGAGTGACCTTTATTGTTACTCCCACGGGGAAGCTAAAGCAGGTGGTTTGAGAATACAAAGGATTTTAACTTTGTTTTAGGTCAGATTTTTGCTCTTTAATTTAGTCAAGAGAATTTCAAAGGCTAGCCATTGTACTATTACGTGTCTTTCTTCTAATTTAATCTTCCCATCAGTTGTTTAGAATAAGTGATCTCTAAAATTCTTCTTCTTCTTCTTCTTTTTTTTTTAATTCAGGAAGCTTTCTAATTTAAAGGATCCATCTTTTGTCCACTGATTAATTAGAATTTCCAACAGTGTGCTTATTCCAATAATGACTCAATCCAATAGCCTCTTCAGTGAAGAAGCAATTTCAAAGATTCCCCCAAATAGGCTAAGATAGACAAACTCTCCTAAGAGCTTGACACACTTGGAACAAAAAGTCTCGGTTTCTGGGCCATTCTCAGACTGGCCACCTAACGTGACCTGAAAATGACACTGCTTGGATGGCAAGATCAAGAGAGAGTGCTCCCACAAGGTCACAAGTCAAGCTCTCAAAATGTAAAATACAATGAGAGAGAGCCTCATTTGGTACCTCTCTTTATGACAGAACAACACGGAAAAACAAATACAATGAGTATTTCTGGGAGGAAAAGGATCAAACAATACAAATAGTAACGTTGCAAAGTACCACAAAGTACATCAGAATCGCTACACCGACTAGTTACACAATTTTTTTTCTCTCATTAATCAAAATTTTGCAGAGGAAAGGTGATTTTCACCATCCTCTCAGCTGGATTACATAGAGAGGGTGAGAGCCTGTCTGGTAAGAAATTCCTACCCTTATGCTAACTTACTGGGTCCTGGATTCTCTTCACTGAGGCTTCCGGAAGAGCAGAGCTTTGATCATCTTGTTCACAGTGTCAAATAGTTGGGGCAAAGGGAAAATTTCCCCTTCACCCTCTGAAGATTCACTGAAAACTGAACTCCCCAAAAGGCAGAGACTCCAATTAATCTCCTTCTTTATAACATGTACCATAGCTTGATAGCCTTTTTGTGAGTTGATTTTTCAGTGAACCTTCAGAGGACAAAGGGGAAATATTCCCTAGGCCCCCAAAAACATTATCAGTGTTTTTTTAAAAAGTGGTAAAATAAAACTATGTGGAAAGCTCCAACAAACTAGTAAGAATAGATTTTGAGATATAATTACTTGAGGTACGATTTTGGAAAGTGAGGAAGAGGACTGGTTATTTATATTTCCTAGCTTTACAAAAAAATAATTTGCTCTGAATTTTATAATGAATTGCTTCCCTATGCTTCCTTGTCTTCTGTCATTGACTTTAAGAGTTTAAGATACTTGTGGACAGATTTATCTTTTGAATTTTTCAGACTTCCCATGGTGTGTTACAATTTCTTTCAATTTCTTTGTTAATTAATGCCACATTTACCGTAAAATATAGTCCATCTTTTCTTTTTTAAAGGAAAAATTACAGATCTATTAGAGTATAATACAATAAATTCCTTTTACAATACAGACCATGTTCTTCTTGGTGAATTGCAAATTTGATTTTTTATGTTAATGTCCCCCCCAACCAAACAGGCAAGATTTAAGCATCGTTATTCCATTATTGACTTATCATACTCTGTCACCTCGTAGAAACCTGTCTTCACAGCAGTGTGAACTTGTTTGCAATTTTGACAATGTAGACAAGAATTAATTGACCTTAAATTTGTAAGCAGAACTTAATTATAGCAAAACTAAATTTGCATTCCCCAGTTATTCATGTTTGTATTAAATTGTGCCTTAAATATTATGGGGAGAGCTGGGGTTATTAGTAATGATCTTTTGATCTTTTGATTGATCAGATAACAATTGTTTTTGTGCAAGAAGGACAGAGTTCTGATTCTCCTTTTTTATCACTTGTACCATGGCTTAATAGCTGTTTTTGATTAGCTGCAAGCATACTTCCCACATAAGATAATAAGTATATTTTTAGATGTGATGATGGTGGTGATGATATGGTTTTTTTTTCTTGGCACGTTAGAATATGTTTTATTGAAGGAAATTAATGAAATCATACTTTTGTACATGCTTAACTAATTATTACCTAAGCTAGGGTAGTAACAATTTTCTAAAGTCTTACAATACTACAATAACAAAATAAACTAGCATTTTTTGAATGCTGGACGTGTGCCAGGTACTTTCCCCAGGACTTTACATGTATGATCACATTTAATTCACACAATAACCCTTTTAGGTAAATACTATTTTTCTTATCTGCATTTTTAAAATGAGGAAACACAGGTAGAGACAGATCAATTTCCCTGATGTCACACGGTAAGTGGCAGTAATTAGAATTCAAAATTCAGTTTGACACCAGAAAGCAAATATACATTATATGATAGAAAGTTAAAGATTTGCTAACTGCCTGGTGTGGTGGCTCACACCTATAATCCTAGCACTTTGGGAGGCCAAGGCAGGCAGACTGCTTGAGGCCAGGAGTTCAAGACTGGCCTGAGCAACATAGGGAAACCCCATCTCTATTAATTTTTTTTTTTTTTTTTTTTTTGCTAAGAGCTTAGTGGAAAATTAACTTACTTCAAATAAAAATCTGTGATAATATCACTAAGAAATTTTCCTTCATTTAGGCAGTGTAGGTCCTCTTTAGTAACAGATATCTCCCTTAGCTGGAGGTGGTAAATATACTATCAAATATTTTTATAGGATTAATGGAAATGGCCTGGCTCTCTCATTGATTTCTCATTATCAAAACAGTGGATTCTCATTTGTTTCAAAGTGGTATTTTAGATTCAAAGTACACATTTCAAATTTTTGTTTTGCTTATGCCTTCCTTTGATGCTTCCTTCACAGGCAACACATCTGCTACTGGCTTATTCAAAGAGAATTTTCCCAGAAAAATTAAAAATATTCTTCATTATACTAATGTTAGTAATACTTTCAAATACTATATTTTCTAGAGGGTTAAAGATAGTTTGAAAAATTAAAATAATATTTTGTTCTTCCTGAATTGTTAACCTATTTATTTCTTTGCAATTATTCTAAACTCTATCTATCCCTATTCATTTGCAGACTTAGTCCCAGCCTTTGAAAAACTGCTGGTACCATCTGCAGAAACACTACCGGTAATTTTCAGACATTACATCATTCACATTTAGTTTGGCCAGAGTCATTTAAAGTAATATCTGCAGGATCATTTTTTGGTTCTTCTAGCTGTATCCTGATAAAGTCTAAATAAAAAAAATTATAGACTCTTTAACAGAAGAATGTTCCTACTAGTGTACTTCCGCACTTTAAAATGACACCTTCAAAGGAACTTCTGGATCAACTAAAATTTCTGGAGAAATCACTTTATGACCTTTTAGAGGTGTGTTGGCAATAGAATTGGCAGACTGGTCATGTGATTCTTGATTTCCTGCGAAATGTAACCGTCTTTAACTCTGAATCTGTGGGAATGCTTTATGCTCTACTTTGCAGGTGTCTTTAGTTAGTACTGCTTCTACTTTTCCAGAGAGTGGTGCTAGGGAAGAACATGCTAAATTATCTGGGTTAGGAGATATCCTTTCTCTGTTAGTGCTGTTACTATTGTTGTCCTCATTGTGGTCATTGGTCATTGTTATCATCATCATCATCATCACTGAACACACTGGTTGCATTATTTCAGTCCAACAGACTTTTGAAACAGGAGACAAAGGAGACACAGGAGAAGTAGACTAATGTGTACTACAGCGACGTTTCTGTTCCACTTTCCTCTTAATTTCAGGGTCCAGTTTGTGATTCAGACTTTTGTTTTCGTTATTATGCATTGAACACCTTGAGGCCAGTTTAATCTTAAAGGGTTAATTTCAATTGTTTAGACATGAGATGGTTATTTTCTTTGGGCTGCTGATTTTACTATTCTTATCTGTGCCTTAGCATGATAAAAACACCTACTATGAAGGTTCCAGAAAGTAATTATGCATTTTGTGTATTTTCACTTAGTTTCTAATTGTTGCTCAACATGTTAAATCCAATTTTGTGGCTTTCCAAAGTTTAAAACGTCCAGCCTTGCTTCTTTTTACACTTCAAGACAAAATCACCAGAATCACTAACAACTTTGGATCTACAATTTAATGTTCAGAGACGTCACTTCCCCAGCGTCTTCCTCGCGCCGCAGGCAGCCATCTTCCGTACTCCCCCGCAGCCTTGAGTTCTTAATCTGTGGCCCACATGGCCAGTGGCTCCCCAGGATGCGGGGCCACTCCGCAGGAGGGAGGCTGCCACAGCCTTGTGGGCTTCAGGCAGGTGCTCCCACATCCAAACGTCCTACACCAAGGCAGGACCGAAGCCCCCGGGCTTGTCCGTGTCCGTGGTTCTGGGGAGCAGAGAATGGCGCACTGAGGCGCTCCTTAGGGCCCTGCAGGGCGCGAAGAACAGTGACAGCAACTGCTCCTCGCAGGCCCGGTTCCACTCTTCCCCTGACACCCCATCCACTCCTTACTGCGGAGAAGGTTCCCCTAGCCGCGGGAATCTTCACTATGAATTGTGAATCTTTTATAAGAATAGAGAATATAAGATTTGCCTATTCTATTACAGAGAATATGATACTTATGAAAAGCATATTTTAAAATAAAAATAAAGCTACTTTAAAGTAGCAATGTGGTTTTATTAAATATAAATTAGGTGGTATTGCCTATAACCATATGTCACTTAATTTTTAGATACAAATGTAATATATCTATCATATATTACCCTTTTTTGTGTACCCTTAATTAACTGCAGTTTTCAAAATTAGATACCCTTGTCTAACAAAAGAAGTTTTATATTTGGAAGACATTTTTGCAATTATAATGTTAAGACCATTAGGATTTCAACAATACAACATGTAAAACTAAAATAGGTATACATTCAATCAAAACTGGAAAAGAACTATTCCCCCAACTCTAATAGTTAATATGTACGAGTAATGGAATTGTAGTTTGTTTATTCACTTTTCGAAATTTGATTTGCTGTCATCTTATTGTTTTGTGAATAGGAATAACAACAACAATATTAATAAATCATGTAATTTTGGACAATGTAGGAGAGATAAAATAGGTAGAGTCAATAGCACAGTTAAAAATATTCCCAAATTCATCTACCTCAAAACAAAAACTGGATGTACAGTTTGAAAATGTTTTAATCAATGCAATAATGCAGGAAACAGAAATGAATGGTATAATTATCAAAAAGGTAAATCCTTATTTTAAATGTTTCAGAAGGTCTAGCCAATACGACAAAGCTGGAAACTCATTTTTGAAAAAGATAAAATCTGTTTCAAAGTATTTTTGTACTTCATCTGGATAATAAGTATATGAAGATTAAATGAAAGATCATTGGAATCCAGAATAAATTGCTAATCCTCAAAAAACGAAATCCAACAGCTTTCATATACATTCTTGCAGTAACCAACTAGAAAACCAAATGGAAGATCCTACTAACAGAATGGAATAAAAAATTAGCAATAAATGTCTAGGACAAATAAAAAACTATAAAACCTTATGTGTAGAGAGAAATAAGATGAGCAAATGAACAGATATAAGTATGTTCTTTAATGAAAATGCCAATATTGCAAATATTTCAAAACTCCCTAAATTAATGTATAAACTTAGAACTTAACAAAATAATGTTGAAGGTTATCAGAAAGATTATATGACCCAGAAAAAAAAATGGTCAAGAACAATTTGAATACAAAAATAATGAGAAAAAATGTTAACTACCAGATATTAAAATATAAGATTAAAAGTAAATTAATTAAATAACCTAGTAGATTCTCAATTTCCTATCACTGGAAGTATTCAACTGAAAGATGTAATAGAAAGGGTATAATGGAATCTTCTTACTGGCCATAAGCTGTCCTACATAATTTCCAAGGTTCCTGAAACTCTAAACTTCTGCCTTTATGTGTTAACAAAGGTGACACGTCAGATATCCTCTGCAAAACATATTGTTTTACAGTGAGACCTTCACATTTTGCCTCAAATCTTAATAGGTAGACACCTGCTAAGGCTGCCAGCCTGTAACTAGGGCACCCCAACATAGCACATGTTGCAACCTACACATCCCCAGAGGGCGTGTAGCCTTCAGTTTATCCCCTAGATATATCTGGGGATACAAGCCAGTACACAGAGCCTTGGGTCCAGATGCCGTCTAGTATTTTGCATCTAGGGGCTACAAAACCTCACTTCCCCTAACTTGCCAAGTAAACTACACTTCATTCCAGGTCTGGAAACTGCTTTCTCCTCAGACAGTCAGGGTTTCTCCATTTGTGTGATTGCAAGGTATCCTCCAGCCATCATCTTAAAAGAGACAGTGCTCCATAATCATAATAGAATTTCAGGTTCCCAACTTTACTGTGACAAACAGGAAACTTTCCTCACTGAAGAAAATAAAACTAACATAAAGTTAATCTCTGGAGGATTTTCATTCTCATTTTCTACCAAATCTCACCCATTTCAGGGGACCTTTTTGTAATTCTCCTAAATCAGATCTACTGAATCAAACTTTTGAGGAGTTCAGGAATAGCTATTTCTTTTAGCAAGCTCTCCATGAAACACTTAGATATTAAAGTTTGAGAATCACTGCCCGAGGCTTTAATCACTTTACCATTGTCTCTTTTCCCATTTCATCAACATAAAACAACGTTACATTATCACAGTTATGCTTTCTATTTCTATGGCTTCAGCAAGAATTTCTTATGCAATTTGAAAGAAGAGGAAGAATAGACAAGCAGCAGAAATCATGGCATGGTGGTGGGATAGCTATCAGAAACAGCAACAGCAAATTATAGACTTTTTTGCAAAAAAGGAAGGTTAGCAACAACGAGAAGGAAAGGTGTAGATTCATAAACTGCAGAGTAGAGGCAAACTACCATCTTGTCAATAGTCCCTTCACCCCTGCAAGCACATACACAGAAGAAAACCTTTGCATATCTTGCTCCTACTTCCGTGCATGCTCTCTTTATTAATTCATTAGAAGGTTACGCCAGGCACTGTGTCAGGTTCTGCATATTCAACGATGAACAAAGCAGATATGATCACTATCATTATGGAACTCACTATGTGGTAAGAGAGATAAGCACTAATCAAGCAAAACTCAAAACTGTAAAAGTGCAATAAGTTCTAAAAGATGTGCATGAGTGATGAGAGAGAATAATGGGAAGGTGAAAGAGAAGGCCTCAATGAAAAAGCAACACTTAAACACCTGCTAGATTAGCATGAACTAGGTAGAGAGTAAGGAGAGAGGAGCTCAGGGTGCTGGGGAAAATAGCTGTAGGCACAACAGAAAGCAAGTGCAAAGGCTGTGAGGTGGAAACAAGATTAGTGCCTTACCGTCTGAGAGATACAGTAGTTATAGGAAATGAACAAGGAGAAGGATGAAAAGATATTATGTTGAATATTCAGAGATCAACTCACACAGAACCTTAAGAACATTGTCAAGATTTTGGGCTTTAAGTGTCATGGGAAGTCAACAAAAGGTTTTAAGCCAAGACAGTTAATCTCTTTCTTTTTAAAAAAATCACTGTGGGTACTATGTGGAAAATGGATGGAGGTAGTCAAGAAAGGAAATAAAGTGAGTATTCTAGGCAAGGGATGATGTAGTTTATATAAAAGCGTTTGCTTGTGTAAGAAGCTCAGTAGAAAGAGGACACCAGTTACTAAATGAAAATAATAGGGGTAGAGCAGGTTTGTAGGATGAAACTCAGAAATTTAACCTTGGACACATTATATTTGAGATTCTTTTGACAAATATGGAAAATATAGGTAGCATAATATAGGTATGAAGAGCAAACAACTGTGGACTGATCTGGAGATATGAATTTGAGTTATTTGCCTAAAAGTGCTACTGAAAGCCACAGGATTACGTGAGATTATCAAAAGGCGGTGTGCTCTAGAAAAGGAAAGCTAAGATGAATCCTTGATAATTCTAACATTAGAAGTTTATGGGAAAAAAGCCACTTCTATGTAACTATCCCAAGAAACTTAACATCAGTGAGCTATGCCAAGAAGTCAATCAACAGATGAGATGACTGAGATTTGCCATTGTAAGACAAACTGTAAACCATCTAGTGTTGTGTTCCATCGTGTCAACAGATATATTTATATCTCTATGTGCATCATAGCCCAATAAATGCAGTTCAAGGAGGAGTTGCCAGTTATTGACTGATTATTATAGCTCAGAGATTATAAAATAATTTATGTACTTTGTATGTATTAGGAGATACTGGGCTTTGGAGAACAGTGGCTAAGCATAGGGTCCAAAGCTTTTTAGAAAGATCTACAACCTTGGTGCCAGGCAACAGTGTCAGTAACACTCCAACAGAAAGAAACAAGGTCAGCAGGTGTGTCACACTCAGTATCTCTCCATTCAGCATGTAGAAGATTGATTGCTTCTATCTCCCACTTTGAACTAAATAAGATTCCAGGCCTCTTTGCCAATTCTGGGATGCGGGAGCCTTGAGAAGAAGATGCTAGGTTTTGTCTAATAGGGCAGAAGGGTGCTCAAGTGAAATATGATCATAAGTGTATCCAAAGCTGACAGAATGGATCATATGGGTTAAATATATAACAAGTATATTAAATTAGCTTACTCAGTAGGATACAATCTAAAAATACTTCTTTGTTCTTACTGCTATCTTTCCAGTCTGCTCTGTTGTATCTCACGTCTCTTTGGTGGGTTGCAATGGGGGCATGCTCCTATTTCACAAACAGTAGAACAAGAGTGTCTCCTAATAACAAGAGCTGGGCTCTGGAGCATGGGCAAATATAAGGAGCATGGGCAAAACCATCTTAATAGGTGAGGCCATAGCATCAGGAAGAAGCTGTATGGGGTCATGCCTTCTAGGCTAAAAAATCCCTTCAAATAAATCCTCTTTCTTGTCAGAGTAACTCATGGATGCTCTCTTGTGTGTGGCCTATTATGTCTCAAGTAGCTTTGGCTAGTTAGCAAGTCATTCC
Organism: Homo sapiens; assembly: GCF_000001405.40. Lineage (NCBI taxonomy): Eukaryota > Metazoa > Chordata > Mammalia > Primates > Hominidae > Homo > Homo sapiens. The sequence continues at coordinate 58,078,118 of NC_000006.12, forward strand.
ATTTAGAATGTTTGGGATCTTGTCATCTGTTGTGTTCAGCATTGAGTTTCCATCCAGAACTCCTAGACAACAAGATGGTAGCCCATTAAATAAACTCTTGGTTGTAGAAGATACTATCTCCATCCTCCAAAGGAGGAAACTGAGGTTCAGAGAGAGTAAGTGACTTTCTGCAGGTACAGGTGTAACAAATGACAGTGAAAGATTTTCACCATGTTCTGTTGAACCTCTAAATTGTTTCAGTTGCACTGCAGTAATCTGTGTTTAAGAAATCAAGCCAGATACACTATCATTTAGAAACTACCCACCTAACTAATTAATTAGTTAATTTGCATGTAACAGATTAAAGCAGTGATTTTTTTCAACCAGGGATATAGATCGGAATCACTTTTTAAAACTATAGATCTCAAAACTCCAGTTTTGGAATTCTGATTCAAAAGTCTGAGACAAGGTTTTTCAATCTTTATATTAGTTTTTAATGAGGGAAACTCCTGGGTTAAACTTTCAACTTTTCTTTAGTATGTTATTTGAGGTTGTCTTGTCTACTCAAGCTTTTAGTAAATAAGCATATTTAAAAATCTGCAAACTTAGGAGTGGAAGTAGATTAAAGGATATTTGTTTAAGGTAAAATGGGAGCAGGAAATTATATTGTTGGAGTATCAGTCACTTAGGCACACAAAGAATAAGGAAGGTTCTTTCTGTAAGCAAATTACAAAACCAGCACAAAGGCAAGTAAAGCAGTGATTATGGACTTCAACTAACCTTACCTTTGCCTGGATTCTGTCTAAATTTTATCAAAATATAGCATAGGTACATTCATAGTATACCTTACTCACGTCTTCATCACTTCAAAAGCAAGTGAAGAGCCAACAAGATTTCTTATTTAAAATGGCACTTGTTTACATTTCTTGCCTTTCCTATCTTTTAACTAAAATGCTTATACAAACATAGGAAAAGTTGAAAATATACCACCACCTAAAATTAAGATCTAGGGACAACCTCAGGAGGCTGAGTCAAGAGAATGGTATGAACCCTGGAGGTGGAGCTTGCAGTGAGCCAAGGTCGTGCCACTGCACTCCAGCCTGGGTGACAGAGCGAGACTCCGTCTCAAAAAAAAAAAAAAAAAAAAAATCTAGGGACAACTTGAAGCAGACATCTGGAAAGAATCTCTACAAAGCACAAGACAGATGAATTCAGTTTGCCTTCAGATGGAACCCTGACTACATTTTTTTCTCAACCTGACTTCCAAGTATAAATCTGAGAAGTGGATTCAGTCATGACTCAAATGGAAAAAGAGACTGAAAAAAGACAATCTAACATCTTGCCTATGGAAAAATACAGTTTAGGCAGATAGAATCTCTTTCAAAAATTAGTACAGAGAAAAGAGCCAACATGAAACACATAAAATATTTCTTTTTTTTCTTGTTACTGACAAAGATCAGGAAAATATTTCTTAATAAACTTAAGAATATAGATATTTTTCTAAATACCACTTCATCTATATCTCACGTTTTGATATGTATTTTTTATTATTGTTCAACTCTAAGTTTGCAACACAAGTTATTTGAGAATATGTTTTTAGTTTCAAACATACTTTATTTATTCTATTTTCATTTCACTGTTAGTTCTCTAGTAATGTTTTAAGACAAATTTGTTGTAAGATAATACAATTGCTTCTAATAATTTTGTTTTCTAATAAAATTGTTTTAAGATAGGAAAAATGTTCCATATGTCTGTTTTTTGAAATTTGTTGAGATTACTTGTGAGCTAGTACATGATCAATGTGTACTTGAAAAGAATATGTTTTATCTTGCGTGTATGATTTTTATGATTTATCTTTAGATCAATATTATTGACCTACAGCCAGTCCAGATATAACATAAAGCAGAAAAATTATAAAATTCCACATTATCAAGAGTAAACAGGAAAGTTAAGACTGTGGGCCTAGACAAAATTTGTTTCAGATTTCAGAGGAAGCATGACCCTGTCAACACCTTAATTTCAGACTTCTAGCTTCCAAAAATGAGACCACAAATTTCATTGTTCTAAGTCACCCAGTTTGTGATACTTTGCTATGTCAGCTGTAGAAAATTAACACTAAGATGTTTGCAGATATTTCTTAGTGAATCTAAAGAGTTCATAATAGCATCAAAATGTAGAAAAATTCAAAGTAGTATTTTAAAATTAAAAGTGGGATAAAGATCTAGCTGGAAATCCTGAATGAATATCAGAATAAAATTCTGGAATGAATGAATGGCATGAAAAACTGGAATTCATTTGAACTCATTGCCAATGCTCAGTCTTGAAAAGTAAAAAATGATACAGATGGATATTTTAGCATTTTAAAATTACTGAGGGAAGAGCCAATGTGGCTGACTAGATGCAGCCAGGAAGAGCTTCTCCCACTAAGACCAGACCACCAAGTACACCGGCATACTCTAAACAGATCTTCAGAAAAAAGGCATTGAGAGTGGATAGAGGGAGGATATAGATCCTGGGCTGAAGGGGGAAAAAGCTAGAAAGGCCACACAGGGCTGCAGAGCAACAGAATTCATTCCTTGCCATGAACAGATTCTAGGGAAGGGTTAAGTCAAATAGGTGTAGAACTGTCCACTCTTGCTACAGACCTCCAGGATCCTAGCTGTGGAGACCCAACAACCCCCATGGACATTTTGAGTTTTAGAGGGAGAATTGCCTGAGTTGGCAGAGACAGAACTCCAGTCTGCACAGAGCCTGGAGGGTTTGGTGCGGGAATGGCTACAGTGGAGCATAGCCATTGCTTATCCCCCAAAGTTCACCATACTTCTCTAGTTGGCTTTAGCTTTCATTAGCTGCCAGACCTGGAGAGAGCAGGGCTGTCTTGCCCAGTGGACACAGTCAGTCTGATCTGAATGCCCCCTCTATCTGCCGGCCTCTCCCAGGGTCCCTGTCTGGATGCACCTGCTTACAGTATGGCCTCAGGTGCCCTGCCAAAATGCTTGCCTGTGGTCACCACCATAGCTCTTTTGCCAGCATCCCCCATCATCCCATCAGAGTACTTTTGCAGATGGAACCCTGCTGGTGCACACTCACTAGCAACCTCCCCTCATCACCTTGTTGGTGTGTGCACACATGCATACAGAAACACCACTGCCCCACTGGCTAACACACACACAGGGCCCCCTGCTACTCCACCAGCGTGCACACGTCTGGGTCTCATTTACCACTCTGTTGGTGTGCATTCATCCATACTCTACCCACCCCATTGCTGCACTAGTGCACAGTTGCCTGCAGCTGCCTCGCTGGTGCACACTCATCCAGGACCCTCTGCTGAAATGCACTCTCCCACGGTGCACGTGCCGTCCTGCCAGAGCACTTTTGCTAACAGCTCCCATCAGAATGTTATTGCCAGTGGACTGGGAACACCTCTTCCCCTCCAGTGCAGTTGGTGCTTGGCCTTGAGGAACCGGAAAGCAAAGCCAGGGTCCTGGTCCTAGGCCGCATTGTTAGAACACGCAGCCCACGAATGCTGAGTTAAACACTGGCCCCCTGAAGATATCCAGAAATGAAGCCAATTGACTAAACCCAACTTATACCACAGTCAGAACCTTAAGGACAACAAAGAATTGAAAAGCAAAAAGCCCCATTCACAAGGCCAGCAACTTCAGAGATTAAAGGAACATTAGCACACACAGATGAGAAGGAACCAATGCAAGCATTCTGGCAACTCTAAAAGCCAGAGTGTCTTCTTGCCTCCAAATAACCACACTAACTTCCCAGCAGTGGTTCTTAACCAGACTGAAATGGGTGAAATGACAGACATAGAATTCAGAATCTGGATGGCAAGGAAACTCAATGAGATCCAGGATTAGGTTTAAACCCAATGTAAGGAAACCAGTAAAATGATCAAGAGCTGAAAGATGACACAGCCATTTTAAGAAAGAAGCAAACTTAACTTCTGGAAATAAAAAAATTCCCCAAAGGAATCTTATAATACAAATGGAAACATTAATAACAGAATAGACCAAGCTGAGGAAAGAATCTCAGAGCTCAAAGACCACTTCTTCCAATCAACACAGGCAGACAAAAAATTTTTTTAAAAATTTTAAATGAATAAAACCTCCAAGAAATATTGGATTATGTAAAGAGACCAAACCTATGACTCATTGGCATTACTGAAAGAAATAGAGAGAGCACAAACAACATGGTAAACGTATTTGAGGATATAGTCCACAAAAATTTCCCCAACCTTGATAGAGAAATTGACCTGCAAATTCAGAGAACACCTGTAAGATCCTATACAAAATGACTGTTGCCAAAACACATAATCATCAGATTCTCCAAGGTCAACACAAAAGAAAAAAAAATGCAGCTACAGAGAGGGGCAGGTCACGTACAGAGGGAACCCCTTCAGGCTATCAGCAGAAACCTTACAAGCCAGAAGAGACTGGGGGCCTATAACCAGCATACTTAAAGAAAATAAATTCCAACCAAGAATCTCACTTTCACCCAAACTAGATTTCATGAGTGAAGGAGAAATAAAATCCTTTTTCAGACAAGCAAATGCTAAGATAATTCATTACCACTAGACCTGCCTTATAAAAGGTCCTTCAGGGAGTGCTCAACATGGAAATGAAAGACTGATGCCTGTCACCACAAAGACACACTTAAGAACATAGCCCACTGACGGTATAAAGCAACTACACAATCAAGTCTACATAACAGCCAGCTAAAAACATGATGATAGGGTCAAATCCTCACATATCAATACTTACCTTGAACATAAATGGGCTAAACACCCCACTTAAAAGGCAGAGTGCCAAGTTGGATAAAGAAGCAAGACCCAACTGTACATTGTCTTTAAGAGACCTGTCTCACATGCAATGACAACATAGGCTCAAAGTAAAGGAATGGAGAAATACCTATCATGCAAACAGTAGACAAAAAAGAGCAGGGTTGCTATTCTTATCTCAGACGAAACAGACTTTAAACCAGTGATGATCAAAAAGGACAAAGAAAGCCACTATATAATGATAAAGGGTCTATTCAACAAGAAGACTTAACTATCCTAAATATATATGCATCCAATCACACCAAGATTCATAAAATAAATTCTTAGAGACCTATGAAGATACTTACATAACCATGCAATAATACTGAGAGGGTTCCACATACCACTGAAAGCGTTAGACAGATCATGAAGGGAGAAAACTAACAAAGATATTTGGGACTTGACACTTGACCAAATGGACCTAACAGACATCTACAGAATTCTCCCACCCCAACACAACAGAATATACATTTTTCTCATCTGCATATGCCACATGCTCTAAAATCAACCGCATCCTCAGCCATAAAGCAATTCTCAACAACAACAACAACAAAAAATACCAATCACATTCTCAGACCATAGCACAATAAAAATGAAAATCAATACCAAGAAGTTCTCTCAAAATTAAACAACTTGCTCCTGAATGACTTTGGGGTAAATAATAAAATTAAGATGGAAATTAAAAAATTCTTCAAAACTAGTGAAAACAAAAATACAACCTGCCAGAATCTCTGGGACACAGCTAAACTAGTGTTCAGAGGAAAGTTTATAGCACTAAATCCTCACATCAAGAAGTTAGAAAGTTCTCAAATTACCAACTTAACATCACACCTAGAGGAACTAGATAAATAAGAGCAAATCAACCTCAAAGCTATCAGAAGAAAAGTAATAACCAAAATTAGAGCTGAACTGAAATAAATTGAGATGCAAAAATCCACACAAAAGACCAATGAAATCAAAAATTGGTTCTTCAAAAGAATAAACAAGACTGATAGACTGCTAGCTAGACTAATAACGAAAAAAAGAGAGATGATCCAAATAAACACAATCAGAAATGACAAAGTGGAAACTACAACCAACCCCACCAAAATACATAAAACCATCACAGACTTTTACAAACACTTCCATGCACACAACCTAGAAAATCTAGAATAAATAGATAAATTCTTGGAAATATACAACCTCCCAAGATTGAATCAGGGAGACATTGAAATCCCAAAAAGACCAATAACAAGTTCCAAAATTGAATCAGTAATAAAAAACCTCCAAAAAAAAAAAAAAAAAAAAGCACTGGACCAGATAGATTCACAGCTGAATTCTACTAGACATACAAAGAAGAGCTGGTACCAATCCTACTGAAATTATTCCAAAAAACTCAGGAGGAGGGACTCCTCCCTAACTCATTCTATGAGGCCAGTGTCACCTTGATATCAAAACCCGGCAGAGACACATTGAAGAACAAAACTTCAGACCAATCCCCATGATGAGCATAGACACAAAAATCCTCAACAAAATACTAGCAAACCAAATCCAGCAGCACATAAAAAACAAATCCATCACAATCAAGTAAGGCTTTGTTCCTGGATGCAAGGTTGGTTCAACATATGCAAATCAATAAATGCAATTCACCGCATAAACAGAATTAAAAATAAAGCCACATGATCATCTCAATAGAAACAGAGAAGGCTTTCAATAAAATTCAACATCCTTTCATGTTAAAAACCCTCAACAGACTAGGCACTGAAGGAAGTTACCTCAAAATAGTAAGAGTCATCTATGACAAATTCACAGCCAACATCATACTGAACAGACAAAAGCTGGAAGCATTCCCCCTGAAAACCGGAACAAAAGGATGCCCTTTCTCACCACTCCTATTTAACACAGTACTAGCCAGAACAATCAGGCAAGAAAAAGAAATAAAAGGCATCCAAATAGGAATAAAGGAAGTAACACTATCTCTTGTCACAGATGATATAATTCTACACCTAACAAGCCCCACAGTCTTTGTCCAAAGGCTCCTAGAACTGATAAACAACTTCAGTAAGGTTTCAAGATAGAAAATTGACATACAAAAATCAGTATCATATCTATAACACCAACAACGTCCAAGCTGAGAGCCAAATCAAGAATGCAGTCCCATTCACAATAACCACAAAAAGAATCAGATACCTAGGAATACAGCTAACCAGGGAGGTGAAAGATCAATGCAACAAGAATTACAAAACACCACTGAAAGAAATCAGAGATGACACAAGCAAATGGAAGAACATTCCATGCTCACGGATTGGAAGAATCAATATTGTTAAAATGGCCATACTGCCCCAAACAATTAACTGATTTGATGCTATTCTTATCAAAATGCCTATGTCATTTTTCAAAAAATTAAAAAAAAATTCTCAAATTTATATGGAACCATAAAGAAGCCCAAATAGCCAAAGCAAGCCATGTGTATAAGATTGAAACTGGACCCCTACCTTTCACTACTTACAAAAATCAACTCAAAATGGAATAAAGACTTAAACATGAGACTAAAAGTATTAAAACCCTAGTAGAAAACCTAGGAAATACCATTCTGGAGATAGGCCTTGGCAAAAATTTCATGACAGTCTCCACAGAAATTGCAATAAAAATAAAAATAGACACGTGGGACCTAATTAAACTAAAGAGTTTCTGCACAGCAAAAGAAACTACCAACAGGGTAAACAGACAACCTACAGAATGGAAGAAAATATTCATAAACTGTGCATCCAACAAAGTTCTAATATCCAGAATCTGTAGGGAACAGAAAACCTAATACCATGTATTTTCACTTATAAATGGGAGCTAAACATTGAGTATACATGGACTGAAAGGTGGGGACAATACACACCAAGGCCTATTTGAGTGGGAAGAGTGGGAAGAGAGTGAAGGTCAAAAAACTGCCTATCAAGTACTGTGCTCGCTACCTGGATAATGAAATCATTTGTACACCAATCCTAGTGACACATAATTTACCCATGTAAAAAACCTGCACATGTACCCTCTGAACCTAAAGTAAACATTGAAAGACAAAAATATCCTAAATTAAGTATAGTAGAATAAAAATTTAGTGAACAATTGGCCTTTGTCTAATATATGCCTGTCTTCTTTGCTCTTAGAAAGTTCTAATAATACATTAAGTATTTGTGGTGCCCTTATTAAATCTTAAATTACCTAGTGAACATATACATACATATCTAACCATGTAAACCTTGGGGAAGGTTAACCAAGCCTTTCCTTTGGATATCAAGTCTATGGTTTATTTTATTCCACTCAAAAATGAGATTGAGCAAGGGATAATTACTTATGTAGAAGATTTCAGCAATTTTTTTTTCAAAAGAAAATACAATTTGGAAATAGCAAATGACTGCTATAACCAACTGAGCAATTACATCCCTTTTTAATAGTGCATAAAAACATGCACTCATTAACCCTTGTTATGGTAGTATGTGAATAAATTGACATCACTTGTTTCTTTGGATTACCTGGCCTTTTTTTTTTTTTTTTTTTTTTTTGAGACGGTGAGACGGAGTCTTGCTCTGTCGCCCAGGCTGGAGTGCAGTGGCATGATCTCAGCTCACTGCTACCTCTGCCTCCTGGGTTGAAGCGATTCTCCTGTCTCAGCCTCCCTAGTAGCTGGGACTACAGGTGCGTGCTACCATGCCTGGCTAATTTTTGTATTTTTAGTAGAGACGGGATTTCACCATGTTGGCCAGCATGGTATGGATCTCCTGAGCTTGTGATCAGCATGCCTCGGCCTCCCAAAGTGCTGGGACTATAGGCGTGAGCCATCGTGCCCAGCCTGATTTATCTTTTAAGATTACAGACTGGCCATTATCAGCTCAATGGCTTTTTAAAAATGCATAATTACATATGCTAATTATATGTAAGGACAGAGTTCAAATGTTATTATTCTTACATTTGCTTTCTTGCCTGCTAAATGAAAGGAAACAATTCTCATTTTCAAATAAAAAGTCTTTAAATGGCACGTTTCATTCTTTAGAGTAAATTCACAAAATTAGGCTCTTCTCATATCGCTATAAAGAAATGTCTGAGGCTGGGTAATTTATAAAGAAAAGAAGTTTAATTGGCTCATGGTTCTGCAGGCTGTACAGGAAGCATGATGCTGGCATCTGCTCAGCTTCTGGGGAGCCCTCAGGAAGCTTACAATCATGGCAGAAGATGAAGGGGGAGGAGGCAGTTCACATGGCCAGAGCAGGAGCAAGAGAGAGAGCAGGGGAGATGAGCAGGGGAGATGCCACACTTTTTAAACAACTAGATCTTATGAGAAATTCACTCACTATAACCAGGACAGCACCAAGAGGACAGTGCTAAACCGTTCATGAGAAATCCAGTCCTGTGATCCAGTGACCTCCCACCAGATCCCACCTCCAACATTGGGGATTACAACTCAACATTAGATTTGGGCAGGGACACACATCCAAACTATATCGTTTACCATAATACAAAACAAAGACAAAAATGGCCTGAAGTGTGCTTTATGAAATCAGTTGTGTTATTGAATTTTACATTCTAAAAGAGCTCTACTCACTACCTGGGTGATAGGATCATTTGTACACCAATCCTCGGCAACACGCAATTTACCCATGTACAAAACTGCACATGTACCCCTGAATCTAAAACAAAAATTAAAAAAAAGAAATTATGTTAAAAAAATAAAATAACACTTCAATTTAAATAACTCTTCTAAATATCTGTCCTTTGTTCTTCAGAAATCAGATTAACATTGAAATAGTGAGACTCTGCTATGCTAGGAAAATGTATTTGTATTAGTCCATATCACATATATATCAGTTGAGAGACTTATATTTCTCAATTAAAAATTAAAACAAAATATGATATTTTCCTCTTCTAATAGCACAAAAATCCTGAATCCTTCAGAAAAAGGAAAAAAAAAAAAAGAACTCTGCTATGGGGCACATAGTTGACCCTGTTTTTTCCTAAAGTCGTAATAGATATGTTTAAGAAAAATGAAGTTATTATTTTCTCAGGAAAAAAGCACATCTGTATAAATTTTTTTAAGTTCGAGTTTTTACTTTAAATGGTTATTGTTGTAACAACACATAAAAATTATTGCCATTATTGTAAGATTTCAGAGACCTAAACATACAAGGCTAATTGTGCTCCTGTACATAAATGAGTCATGTATAAGAATAAACTATTAAAACTCCCAAATCCAAAAAAAGGAATCATTTTGTAGCATATATAAATTAAAATTTTGCTACAGCAAAAACAAATTCAAATCTATCTGAAGAAAAAAGCAATCAGATAATCTATACATATAATTGACATGTAATAAAACTGGGCATTGATTAAATTCAGTAATATTTCAAATGCTAGTATTTTCTTTAAACTGAAAGGAAATGTATCATTCAATAGAAATCTTAGTTATACTAGAATACAACTATCAAAATGTCCTACTAAGATTTTTATCTAATTTTAAGTAGCCTAGCCAATGAAAACACTCAGTGGTTCTAAATTGTTTGTATTTGTGCTACCTTTGAATCTGACCACAACAATTCTAGTAGTCAACACTAATATTGAATTAATTCTGGCATTACACACTCTAAACAGGGTCATACAGGACAGCAGAGTATGCATTCACTTTCACAGTATAAGAATGTCTTAGTACATTTAAATATATTGTCATATTATTCTTTGCCCATTATTATTGTATGGGTATTTGTTTAAAAGTAGTTATTGTCCTCATAGGGTCTCCAGTATATACCATCAGGGGACATTTTGGAATAATCTAATAAATATGTTACTTTGCTTGTTACCAGTTTGACATCATAATAAGCCCCTTGCTTCTGACTCACAATGAAGTGTACGTACATTTCCCTCAACACAATATTACATGAATTGATCCTACTTTCCTGAATCACCATTTATGAATAAATATATCCAGGAGGAAAAATTTTTCCTCTGTCCTCTCAGGTTGAGTGTCCTGTTAAATTGAAAAAAAGGCCAATTAATAAGAGAAAAAGTTTATTCATATGTAAAATAAAATTAACAAAAGAAGTAGCCAGCTCTTTAAATGGGTAAAATTACAGACTTACATTCCCAATAAAGTTTCCATGTCTATTTCTTATCTTAAGTGCCTCCTATTAGGGGAATGAATAAAATAGTCAATTATATAGAAAGGATGGAATAATATAATTTCCAAATATAATTTGGAAATTTAAATATAATTAAATTTCCAAATATAATTTCCAAAGGATGGAATTAATAACTTGCTTAACGTATATCATGAATAAATTTCAAAATCAATGTTCAAAGTAAAGCAAAACAAGTTTATTTATATAATTTTTTAAAAATACCCAAATGGTATCTATTTCATTCATGGATACATGCATATGTAGACAGTAGAAAACATGGATAGTAATAATATACATGAACTTCAGAAGTGTGGTTAACACCTAGGGGAAAAGATTTAGCTATTGTTGCAAATCTTTTTTAAGACAGAAGGAGAGAGGGAGAGAGAAAGAGGGAAGGAAGGAGGGAGGGAAGGAGGAAATTGTTAATATATATTTAATTTCAGTGGTGTATACATAAGTGTGATATTTTCTCTACATTTTATTGTTTAAACATTTTTAAAGTTTTAATTTTAACTTAAAGCTCATATAATTTTAATCCCTCTGAAATTTTTGGAGAAAAATATCTTTTTTGGCTCAATTTATCCATTTATACTGGAAATCAAGCCAACAACCTAGAAACTCGAATCTCTCTCTCATCTAGAAAGAAATCACAATGCGCTGGGCATGGTGGCTCATGCCTATAATCCCAGCACTCTGAGAGGCCAAGGTGGGTGGATTACGAGGTCAGGAGTTCGAGACCAGCCTGACCGACATAGTGAAACCCTGTCTCTACTAAAATACAAAAATTAGCTGGGTGTGGTGGCACGCGCCTGTATTCCCAGCTACTCGGGAGGCTGAGGCAGGAAATCGCTTGAACCCAGGGTGGAGGTTGCAGTGAGCCGAGACCGTGCCATTGCACTCCAGCCTGGGTGACAAAGCAAGAGTCCATCTCAAAAAAAAAAAAAAAAAAAAAAAAAGAGAGAGAGAGAAAGAAATCAGAATCTATCTTCTTCTTTCCTCAAGAGAGCTGGGCAGTTATAAAAACTGCTTTCTTCCTTTAGTATTTTCATGTACCAAAATGGGAAGAAGTAAAATGGTACAAGTACCAAACTGCCTCTAGCTACAGAGGGGAAAAAAATGAAATTGGCCTCTTAAGGGGTTGAAGGGCTTGGAGAATTCACATGTTAGGTCGTACTTCTTTGATTTCCACCCTCCTCTGTAGGAATGAATATTAGGAACAATCATAAGTATGTCAAGGTCATGTTTACCTAATTCCAATGAAGCCAGTCATAAATCTCAAATTGTTAACCATCTGCAGGGAATGAGTGGATCTTTTTTTTTAGAAGCCAAGTAGTTAAAATGGAAAAATGTGTTTAGTGTGAAAAGAAACTGGAGTGTTTCTATATTAGATAAGGGAACAGTCCGTGACCACATAATGTCAATGATGTGATCGGAAATTATGTGGTCTTTTAATTTGCTTTATTTCCCTCAGCAGAATATTAATTTCAGGTGAGTAATTTAAATTGCATTAACAGCAGCCTCCTTAAGATGACACTTCATTTAGTTTTGAAAGTTGCTGCTGTTTAAGATATCCCCCAGCCTGCCATTTCACACTGGTGCTAACTTGTGCCAGATTGTATATTGTTTCTTTCAAAATACCATGGGGGTGTCAAATGCTTTATTGCAAACCTGCTGCTTTATGGGAATATGCAATGTAAATAAACCAGAGAGACACTTCTGTAAATTGCCCTATTTTAGATGGAAAATGTTTCAATTAGATGTATGAAATCAGCTGACAGTTTTATGAACCAAACCATTTTGAAAATATCCTTCACATGCACTAGGTATCGTCATATTTTCAGAGACCATATGTTGTAAAGTAGATCCACAAGATCTTCAAGGACAGGCAAACTTATACTCAGCATGAATTTCTATCCCAATGCCTTTGTCTCCTTCACTAACAAAAGTCCAGGTAAGACAACTTTCAAAATCACTAATTTGGTAGAAAGGGAAGTATCAAAATAATTTTTAAAACTTATCATGGTTATTTTCCTTAGGAAAACAAGATACATGCACATTCCTGCACTCTTTCCTGGACCATCAATCCAGTAACGCAAATAGAGACAGACTGTCAGAACCTGGGACAAGGGCTACAGGGTTAAAGACATGTTTTTGTAAGCAATCTTTGTTAGGAGACTTAAAAACCAACTCATAACATGGATAATCATTTGCAGGAGAATAAGAGTTTCATGGGTGACTGAATGAGATTATTAAATGGCTCAAGAAACTTCACAGTAGTAGCAAATAAATATATAATTTGAATTTACCTTTGATCTACCAAGCCCTTCTTAAAGGGAAGGATGCATTCATAATTAGATTTGACAGAGTCGTTGGTTCAATCCCCTTCTCTTTATCAAATAACCCTGTTTTTTCTTTTTCTGTTCCTTTTTCCTATTATTGTAAATGGTTTACAAGCACCTTCAGAGATATATAATTTTTTTTTACTTTTACAATACAAGGTCTTTGCTTTCCCAACCATAATTCCTTCTGACACACTTTCCTTTTCTCCTATAAACTCTATATTCTAATCTGTGACACCTCTCTCCTGTGACTCACATGCTCTCTGAATTTTGCTTCCTGGCAGCTGCTTTTCTGTGCTGCCATTGCTTATTCTTTCGAGCTATTCCCGTGGTGTTCAACTCAGCTGCCATGATACTGCTGTCCCTGGCTGTTATCTGCCTCCTGAATCCAGCTCACATACTCCAGAGCCATCTTTCCAGCAAGGGAGTTTCAGGCCATTGACTCCACTCCAGCAAATCACTGATTTGACTGAGTATATCTTTCTAATTCTCATTTAATGTAGGATGGAACAGATTATTTCTACAGAAACCCTAAGTTTTAAAAAGAAAAAATGCACAACATTCCCAGAAGACCAGCAGCAGGAGCGACATTCCACAACCTTGAATTTAAGGTGCTTCCTGTTTACTTCTCTGTGAATTATCATTGCCACCTCTGTGAAATCACCTAGCCACATGAGGTAGCAAAGCTGCCTGCCACCCAACGGGCTGCAGGGGTAAGTGTGCATTGCTATAATCCTCAAAGAGGGAAATTTGAAAACCCTTGAGAAAATAATGACAAAGAAGGATCTAAATTGCACAGCAGGAGCCCAATAACCTAGCAAAGAACATACAGTGATGTGGGATGTTGAGAATAGATATTTCTTGAATTATAGGTAATCTAAAGTTAGTCTCTGTTAAAAACATAAGAAAAAGTAACCTAGAAAGAAGAAAACACATTAACTTTCTTATATTAATCACAAATACAATAATACGTTTTAACCTTCAACAAAAACTGGCAGAATGTTCCAGAAAACTGGTCTGTTTCTTTCATATTAATGAAATGATGCAAGGAGTAGAAGCAAAGTATAAACAAGGAAGGAAATCAAGAAAGTCTTAGCTATGGTGATTTTACTATATTTCCTTCCATATGTAAGTTGCTTTTAGGATGCTTCTTTTTTAAAAGATTATAGAGATGGGGTAACTCTAAATGAGAAAGCCTTTAGCCCTAACTCCTGATAAATATAATCTGGGTCATTTGTCATTGTTCCCTCGACACACTGTGTAGCAAAAAGCAGCAGGACTCTGAAGACTGATGCTGCACTCACATGGGCTGAGCAGAAATAACACTGTTTAGTCCCAGGAACTAAAGGAAATTTGTAGGCTTATTTAATTTTAGCCCATCTTCAAATGGCACTATAAAGTTATAGGAAAGCAGATATTGTCATGGTAGCATGAAAAATATAGAAACCAAGGCTCCAGAAGAACAGGTGAATGGAGCCATTTGCAGGTCAAGGGATTAGGAACTCAGCTATGGATCAGCCAGAACAGTAGGAGCTGCTACTTTAAGATGTGCCCTAAGCTGGAAGGGCAAACAGCTAGGAAAGCCTGTCTGCCTGCCTGCCTGCCTGCCTGCCTCCCTCCCTCCCTCCCTCCCTTCCTTCCTTCCTTCCACTGTTGTTAGCCCGGGCTGGAATGCAATGGTGCTATCTTGGCTCACTGCAACCTCCGCCTCCTGAGTTCCAGCGATTCTCTTGCCTCAGCCTCCCGAATAGCTGGGATTACAGGTGCATGCCACCACACCCAGCTAATTTTTGTATTTTTCAGTAGAGATGGGGTTTCACCATGTTCGCCAAGCTGGTCTCGAACTCCTGACCTCAGGTGATCTGCCCACCTCGGCCTCCCAAAGTGCTGGGATTACAGGCGTGAGCCACCGCGTCTGGCCCAAAGCCTCCTTTTAAACAGGAATCTCCCTCTCCATTCTTTAACATAAAATTCACATGCCTCTAGATTGAGATGATATCTAAAGTGTTCTGTGCCTACCTCTCTGACTATGGTCAGCCTATATCACAGTCTTTCAGAAAATTCCTTCCCCAGAGGAACACAGCTTGTTTTCCCAGGGTACCTTTTTATTTCTTATTACAAAACTCCTTTAGTTTAGATACAAAAATTTATTTGCTCCTTAGGGATCCTGTTTGACATATCAGAGTATGTTTTCAATATTTTTATTGTGGTAAAATATATGTAATATAAAATCATTTTAGGCTGGACACGGTGGCTCACGCCTGTAATCCCAGCACTTTGGGAGGCTGAGGCGGGCAGATCACTTGAGGTCAGGAGTTCAAGACCAGCCTGGCCAATATGGCAAAACCCTGTCTCTACTAAAAATACAAAAATTAGTTGGGCGTGGCGGCGGGTGCCTGTAATCCCAGCTACTCAGAAGGCTGAGGCAGGAGAATCACTTGAACCCATGGAGAAGAGGTTTCCATGAGCAGAGATCCTACCAGCCTGGATTACACAGGGAGACTCTGTCTCAAAAAAAATTATTTTTAAATCATATTAACCATTTTTAGATAAACAGTTGAGTGGTATTAAGTACATTCACATAGTTGTGCAACTATCACCATTATGCATCTCCACAAATTTTTCATCTTCCCCCAAAGGAACTCTGCACTTATTACACAAAAATTCACTTTCTGCCCTTCCCTTTCTGCCTAAAAGCAAGGCATAAATTTCCCTTTGTAAAGGTGAGATAAGTTCCTATTTGTAAAGGTGTTCCCGTGTCCTGTACCAGGAAGACCAGAAACAGCACTGAGATGAGACTGCATAACAAACCTTACTAAACATTCTGTATCTACCATACATTTCCTAGTACCTTCCAACAATTTACCATCGTTAGAAACCCAATGTTCTTTTCACTTTCTAGTTACTTCTCCACAACCTATCGCCCTTTGTTAAAATGGTACATAAACCCTTGAGTCTAACCACTCCTTTTTTTTTTTTTTTTTTTGAGACGGAGTCTCACTCTGTCACCCAGGCTAGAGTTTAACCACTTCTTTGGGTTTTCACTTCTTTTCTGTGAAGTACCTGTACATGTAAAAATATTAAAATTTGCATGCCTTTTCTACTGTTAATCTGTCTTTTCTCAATTTGATGAGTGTGCCCCAGATAGAGAACCTAACAGGATAGAGGGAAAGTTTTTCTTCTCCTAAACTACTTTATTTCTCTATAAATTTGACTATTTTAGGCACCTCACAGAAGTAGAATCATACAGTATTTGTCTTCTGTGCCTGTCTCATTTACTTAGTATAATGTTCTCAAGTTTCATCCATGCCACAGCAGGCATCAAAATTCCATTCCTCTTTAAAGCTGAATAATATTCCATTTTATGTATAGACAACATTTGGTTTATCCATTCATCCTTCAATGGACATTTGGTTTGTTTATACCTTCTGGCTATTGTGCATAATGTTACTATAAATAGTATGCACAAATATTTGTTCAAGTCCCTGCTTTCAGTTCTTTTGTGTATATATCCAGAAGTGGAATTAGTAGATCATATGGTAATCTATGCTTAATTTGTTGAGGAACCACCATACTGTTTTCCATAGCAGCTGTACCATTTTACATTCCACCAGCAATTTCTCCACATCCTCACTGATATTTCTTATATTTCATTTTTTAATAATAGCCATCCTTCATCTGTGGGTATGAAGTGGCATCTCACTGTGGTTTCAATTTGCACTTACCTAATGATTAGTGATGATGAATAACTGATATGTCAGATTTACAGCTATTTTATTTCTTTCCTTGAAACTGCATTTATTTATTTTTCTCTCTTTAGAACTTTATTGGCATTATAACTTATATACAATAAAATGCATATATTTAAGGTATGCAATTTGATAAATTTTGACAAAAGTATACACCTTTGAAACTGTCACCACACATTAAGACAATCCATCACTCCCTAGAGTTTCTTCTTGTCTTTTTATAACTCCTCCCTGCCACACCTCCTCTCCTTACCTCATCTGCTGGCAAGCACTGATTATCTACTTTCTGTAATTTTAGATTCACTGGCATTTTCTAGAATTTTATGCAAATAGTTATAGAATATGTACTATGAGGTCCATCCATGTTGTTGCATATATCAATAGTTTATTCCTTTTTACTGCTGAGCAGTATTCTATTATATGGATATATCACATGTTATATGCACAATTACCTGTTGATGAATATTTGGATTGTTTCTAGTTTTGACTATTACAAATAAAGCTGTTATGAATAGTCCTGTATAGTGTTTGAATTGAGATAATATTTTCATGTCTCTTGGATAAATATTGAGAAGTGAAATGGCTGGGTCATTATTAATAATTTCATTATTAACTATTTAGGGAACTGTTTCATTTGTATTAGAGTTCTTCAAAGAAAGAGGGAGAAAGAGTGAGAAAGAAAGATTATGGAAATTCACTCATATGATTACGGGAGTCAAAAAGTCCCACCATCTGCCTTCTTCAAGCTGGAGAACCAGGAAAGTCAGTGGTGTAATTCAGTCCAAGTCCAAAGGCCTGAGAACCACGGGAGCCAATGGTATAAGTCCCAGTCTGAAGCCAAAGGCCTGAGAACCACTGGCAGGAGGGCAGAGGAGTCTTGCTGGTATAAGACCCATAATCCAAAGGACTGAGAACCAGGAAGCTTTGATGTCCAAGAGAAGGAGAAGATGGATATCCTTGCTCATGCTTCTTCTGCCTTTTATTCCTATTTGAGCCCACAACAGATTGGATGATGTCTGCCCACTTTAGTGAGGGAAGATTTTTTTTACCCGGTCTACTTATTCAAATGTTAATATCTTCTGGAGATCCTCATACAGACACACCCAGAAATAATGTTTTACCAGCAATCTGGGCATCCTCAGCCCAGTCAGGGTGACACATAAAATTAGCCCTTACAACATTACTGCCATTTTACAATACAGTGGCAATGTATGAAAACGCTAGGTCCCCTACATTCTTGGCAATACTTGGTATGGTCAGTCTTTTTCGTTTTAATCATTCTAATGGGAATGCTGTAATATCTCATTGTGGTTTAATTTGTATTTTCCTCATGATAATGATAAAGAATATCTTTACATGTGCTCATTTGTCATCAATATATTTTCTTTAGAGAAGTATCTGTTCAATTTTTTTGTCCAATTTTCAATTGAGTTGTCTTCTTATTAAGTTGTAAGAGTAGTATGTCATTATACAAATATATCACATATGTCACACAAAGGATATACATATATAATATTGTCAAATTTGTGTTTTGTGAATATTTTCTCCAACTCTGTAGTTTGCCCTTTCATTTTTTAACAGTCTTTTAAAAAGCAAATGTTTTAACTTTGATAAATTCCAATTGATTGATTTTTCTTCTATAGCTTGTGCTTTTTCTGTCAAATTTAAGAAATCTTTGCTAAACCTAAACTCACTAATCTTGCCTCCTAAGTATACCTAATATCTTATTTCTAAAATAAACTGAAAGTAAATCATGTACACTAAAAAAAAAGAAGACTGACCATCCAACCCTACCATGAATTAGTGCCACAGAATCTCTGTTAGTATCTTTAAGCTCTCTGTCCCTGATGGTCCTGCTGACCCAAAAGGCTATTCTTTGAAGAAGGCTGAAAACTCCATACATAGTATAACAAATCGTAAGAACTGGACTAGCATAGATCAGTGGTAACCACTCAATACCCTCTGTAAAGGCACCTATACAGTGATGCCTGATCCATCATCCTATCTTTACTAATTCAGTTTTTCCTTTTCAAAGACTGTAATCAGGCAAAAACAGGCAAGAGATGCAGCCAGGAAGTGCTGCCCCCATGGAGAGACACTGGGATTTAAACCAACATAATTTGAACAGGTCTTTGGAGACAAAATGCTGAATGTGGATGGGGAAAAGATGCAGATGTTGAGGTTGAAGAGGGAGGAAGCTGGGAACCCTGCATAGGGTGCTGAATGATAAAGCTGGTTCCCAGCCCCAAACTTCTGGGGAAGAGAGCACAGCTGCAAATGCCAGGATACACATAGAAGCCATGAAGTTGAGTAAGTGCTTATCTACAGCCCATTGTTCTCAACTGTCTTCTATTGGATCACAGCCAAAGCTACAACATCAAGAAATTCCTGGCTAATTCTGCTTCCTGCAAAATCAAGGGCAAGAATTCAACAACAAAGATCCAGTACAGAGGCTTAGCCCTCTGAAAACTTCCACAAATGAAGCCAATGGACTATACTCAATTTAAAACACAGTTAAAGGACACCAACCCTCCCAGATGAGAAGGAATCAGTGGAAGAACTCTGGCATTTCAAAAAGCCAGAGTGTCCCCTTACCTCCAAATGAGCCCACTAGGTCCCCACCAATGGTTCTTAACTAGTCTGAAATGTCTGAAACGACAGACATGAAATTCAGAATACGAATGGCAAGGAAGCTCATCAAGAACTAGGAGAATGTTGAAAGTCATTCCAAGGAAGCCAAGCAATTCAAGAGCCGAAAGATGAAATAGCCATTTTAAGAAAGACCCAAATTAAACTTTTTAAGCTGAAAAATTCACCACAAGAATTGCATAATATGATCAGAAGTATTAATATTAACAGCATCCCAGTGCAGTGAGTGGCTCATGCCTGTAATCTCGGTACTTTGGGAGGCCGAGGCAGGTGGATCACTTGAAGTCAGGAGTTCAAGATCAGTCTGGGAAACATGGCAAGACCCTGTCTCTACTATAAATACAAAAAAAATAGCTGGGCATGGTGGTGCATATCTGTGGTCCCAACTACTCAGGAGGCTGAGGTGGGAGGATTGCTTGAGCCCAGGGGGTGAAGGCTGCAGTAAGCCAAGATCACACCACTACACTCCAGCCTGGGTGACAGAGCAAGACCCTGTCTACCCTGTCTCCAGAAAAAAAAGAAGTATTAATAGCAGAATAAACCTATCTGAGGAAAGAATCTCAGAGCTCAAATACCAGTTCTTCAAATCAACTCAGTCACACAAAAATAAAGAAAAAAGAATTTTTACAGTCCCACCAACAGTGTAAAAGTGTTCCTATTTCTCCACATCCTCTCCAGCACCTGTTGTTTCCTGACTTTTTAATGATTGCCATTCTAACTGGTGTGAGATGGTTTCTCATTGTGGTTTTGATTTGCATTTCTCTGATGGCCAGTGATGATGAGCATTTTTTCATGTGTTTTTTGGCTGCATAAATGTCTTCTTTTGAGAAGTGTCTGTTCATGTCCTTCACCCACTTTTTGATGGGGTTGTTTGTTTTTTTCTTGTAAATTTGTTTGAGTTCATTGTAGATTCTGGATATTAGCCCTTTGTCAGATGAGTAGGTTGCGAAAATTTTCTCCCATTTTGTAGGTTGCCTGTTCACTCTGATGGTAGTTTATTTTGCTGTGCAGAAGCTCTTTAGCTTAATTAGATCCCATTTGTCAATTTTGGCTTTTGTTGCCATTGCTTTTGGTGTTTTAGACATGAAGTCCTTGCCCATGCCTATGTCCTGAATGGTAATGCCTAGGTTTTCTTCTAGGGTTTTTATGGTTTTAGGTCTAACGTTTAAGTCTTTAATTTACACTGTTGATGGGACTGTAAACTAGTTCAACCATTGTGGAAGTCAGTGTGGCGATTCCTCAGGGATCTAGAACTAGAAATACCATTTGACCCAGCCATCCCATTACTGGGTATATACCCAAAGGACTATAAATCATGCTGCTATAAAGACACATGCACACGTATGTTTATTGTGGCATTATTCACAATAGCAAAGACTTAGAACCAAGCCAAATGTCCAACAATGATAGACTGGATTAAGAAAATGTGGCACATATACACCATGGAATACCATGCAGCCATAAAAAGTGATGAGTTCATATCCTTTGTAGGGACATGGATGAAATTGGAAATCATCATTCTCAGTAAACTATCGCAAGAACAAAAAACCAAACACCGCATATTCTCACTCATAGGTGGGAATTGAACAATGAGATCACATGGACACAGGAAGGGGAACATCACACTCTGGGGACTGTTGTGGGGTGGGGGGAGGGGGGAGGGATAGCATTGGGAGATATACCTAATGCTAGATGACGAGTTAGTGGGTGCAGCGCACCAGCATGGCACATGTATACGTATGTAACTAACCTGCACAATGTGCACATGTACCCTAAAACTTAAAGTATAATAATAAAAAAAAAAGAAATCAATTGGAAAAAAAAGAATTTTTAAAAATAAAAGATCCAACAATATGGGATTATGTAAAGAGGCCAAATCTATATCACACTGGCATTTCTGAGAGAGAAGGAAAGGGAATAAGCAACTTGGAAAATATATTTGAAGATGTAGTTCATAAAAATTTTCCTAATCTCGCTAGAAAGGCTGGCATGCAAATCTAAGAAATACAGAAACCCCTGGAAAATACAATAAAAGATGACCATCCCCAAGGCACATAGTCATCAGATTCACCAAGGTCAATGCAAAAGTCAAAATCTTAATGGCAGCTACAGAGAAGGGGCAAGTTATTTATAGAGGGAACCCCATCAGGCTAGCAGCAAACTTCTCAGCTGAAACCATATAAGCCAGAAGAGATTGGGGGCCTATTTTCAGCATCCTGAAAGAAAAGAAATTCCAACCAAGAATTTGATATCATCCCAAGTGAAGCTTTATAAGTGAAGGAGAAATAAAATCCTTCTCGGACAAACAAATGCTGAGACAATACATTTCAACTAGACCACCCTTACAAGAGGTCCTTAAAGGAGTGCTAAACAGGCAATTGAAAAAATGACACCTGCTACCACAAAAACACACTTAAGCACATAGCCCACAGGCACTATAAATCAACTGCACAATCAAGTCTACATAACAACCAGCTAACAGCACAATTACAGGATCAAAATCATACATATCATTACTAACCTTGAATATAAATGGGCTAAATGCCCCACTTAAAAGACAGAGTAGCAAGCTGGATAAAAAGAAAAGAGCCAACCATCTGTTGTCTTTAAGAGACTCATTTCATATAGCAAAACACACATGCTCAAAGTAAAAGGATAGAAAAAATCTACCATGCAAACAGAAAACAAAAAAGAGTAGGAAGTACTATCCTTATTCAGATAAGACAGAATTTAAACCAATAAAAATTAAGAAAGACAATGAAGGGCATTACATAATGATAACGGGTACAATCCAACAAGAAGCCTCAACTATTCTAATATATAGGTTCCCAACATTAGAGCAACAGGCTCATAAAACAAGTTCTTCTTGATCTACAAAAGGACTTAGACAACCACACCATAATAGTGAGAGATTTCTACACCCCACTGGCAACATTAGATGGATCATTGAGGCAGAAAACTAACAAACTCTGGACTTAAACTCGACACTTGTCTAATTGGACCTAATAGACATCTACAGAACATTCCATCAAACAACCACAGAATATACATTCTTCTCATCTGCACATGCAACATATTCTAAGATCAACCACATGCTCAGTCATAAAGCACGTCTCAATACATTGAAAAAAATTGAAATCATACCAAGCACATTCTCACACCACAGTGCAATACAAATAAAATCAATATTAAGAAGATCTCTCAAGACTACACAAGCACATGTAAAGTAAATAACTTAGTCCTGAATAACTCCTGGATGAACGTCAAAATTAAGGCAGGAATCAAAAAATTATTTGAAATCTATGAAAATGGGGATACAACTTACAAAATCTCTGGGATACAGTCAAAGCAGTATTAAGAGGAAAGTTTATAGTGCTAAACGCCTTCATCAAGAAGTTACAAAGATCTCTTATTAACAATCAAACTTTGCACCTAAAAGGACTAAAAACAGAACAATCCAACCCAAAGCCAGTAGGAGTAAATAAATAACTAAAATTAGAGAAAAACTTAATGAAAACTGAAATGCAAAAATCCTTACGAAAGATCAATAAAAGCAAGACTTTGCTCTTCAAGTAAATAAATAAGGTAAACTACTAACTAAATTAACAAAGGAAAAGAAAGAGAAGATCCAAGTAAGCACAATCAGAAAGACAAGGGTGATATTACAACTGATCCCACAGAAATTTTTAAAAATAACCCTCAGAGACTACTACAAACAACTCTATGCACAAAAATTAGAAAATCTAGAGGAAATAGATAACTTCATGGAAGCACATAATCTCCCAAGATTGAATCATGAATAAATCAAAACCTTGAACAGATCATATCAATTTCTGAAATTAAATTAGTAAAAAAGAACCTACTGACCGAAAAAACCCTTGGACCAGATGGACTCACTGCTGGAATCTACCAGACACACAAAGAACTGACACCAATCCTACTGAAACTATTCCAAACCAATTGAAGAGAAGGGGCTCCTCCCTAACTCATTCTATGAAGCCAGCATCAGCCTGATACCAAAATGTGGCAGAGACACAATAAAAAAGAAGACCTCAGGCCAATATCCTCAATGAACATAGATGCAATAATCCTTAAGATATTAGCAAACCAAATCCAGCAGCACATCAAAAAGTTAATACATCACAATCAAGTAGGCTTCATTCTTGGGATGCAAGCCTGGTTCAACATACAGAAATTAATAAATGTGATTGACCACATAAACAGAATTAAAAGCAAAAGCCATAGGATCATCTCAATAGATGTCGAAAAAGCTTTTAATAAAATTCAACATTGCTTTATGTTAAAAACCCTCAAGATGTATGTTCCTAGGCATTGAAGAAACATACTTCAAAATAAAAAGAGCTATCTATGACAAACCTTAGCTAATATCCTGCTGAATGCACAAAAGCTCGAACCATTCCCCTTAAGAACTGAAACAAGACAGATGTCCTCTCTCACCGCTCCTATTCAGTATAGCACTGGAAATCCTAGCCAAAGCAATCGCAAGAGAAGGAAATAAAAGGCATCCAAACAGGAAAAGAAGTCAAACTATCTCTCTTCACTGACAATATGATTCTATACCTAGTAAAACCCAAAATACTCTGCCAAAAGGCTGCTAGAACTGATAAATGACTTTAGTAAGGTTTCAGGATACAAAATCAATGTATAAAGATCAGTAGAATTTCCATACATTAAAAATGTCCAGGCCAAGAGTGAACTTAAGAAAACAATCTCACTTTAAGAAACCACAAGGAGGGGCTGAGCACGGTGGCTCACGCCTGTAATCCCAGCACTTTGGGAGGCCGAGGCGGGCAGATCATGAGATGAGGAGATGGAGACCATCCTGGCTAACACGGTGAAACCCCGTCTCTACTAAAAATACAAAAAAAAAAAAATATTAGCTGGGCGTGGCAGGCGCCTGTAGTCCCAGCTACTCGGGAGGCTGAGGCAGGAGAATGGCGTGAACCCGGGAGGCGGAGCTTGCAGTGAGCCGAGATGGGCCACTGCACTCCAGCCTGGATGACAGAGTGAGACTCCATCTAAAAAAAAAAAAAAAAAAAAAAAAAAACAAGCCACAAAGAAAATGAAATATCTAGGAATACAACATCTCTGCAATGAGAACTACAAAACACTGCTGAAAGAAATCAGAGATGAAACAAAGAAATGGAAAAACAATCTATGCTCATGGATGAGAAGAATCAATATTGTACAAATGTCCATACTGCTCAAAGCAATTTACAGATCAGTGCTATTCCTATCAAACTACCAATATCATTCTTCACAAAATTAGGTAAAATCATTTTAAAATTCATATAGAACCAAAAATGAGCCCAAATAGCCAAAGCAATCCTAAGCAAAAAGAACAAAGCCAGAGGCATCACATTACTCAACTTCAAATTATACTATGAAGCTACAGTAGCCAAAACCGCATGGTAATGGTACAATATTAGATACATAGATCAATGGAGCAGAATAGAAAACCCAGAAATAAAACAGCATGCCTACAATCATCTGACTTCAACAAGGCCAACAAAAACAAGCAATAGGGAAAACACTCCCTATTCAATAAATGGTGCCGAGATAATTGGCAGGAGGTGGAGGTTGCAGTGATCCAAGATTGTGCCATTACACTCTAGCCTGGTGGACAGAGCAAGACTCTGTGTCAAAAGAGAAAAAAAAGAAAAAAAGAAAAAAAGAAAGAGTCCTTCAGACAAACAAAAACTGAGGGAATTCATCACCAGCAGACTTGCCCTTCAAGAAATGTTAAAAGAAGTTATTCAGATGGAGGAAAATGATATAAGTCAGGGTCAACTTCAAGAAAGAAAATGCTCTGAGGAAGGAATGAATGAAAGTAAGATAAAATCTTTTATTTTTCTTATTTTTAGTTGATCTAAAACATCTCTTTCTTCAAAGCAATAATCATAACAGTACATTGGATGGTTATAACATATAGATAAGCAAAATGAATCACAGCAATGTCACAAGAGACAGGAGGAATTCAGGATATTCTGTTATAAGGCAACTCTACCCACATATGACAGAGTATAGTGAGAGTTATTCAAAGGTCGACTTAGAATAGTTAATAATGTGTATTGTAAACTATACATCAACCACTAAGATGTTTTTAAAAGAAGTCATTGATATGCTGAGAAAGGAGTAAAATGGAATCATACAAAATGTTCTATTAAAACCAGAAAAAGATGGAGGACAGGGAGAGAAAACAAAGAACAAATGCAACAATCAGAAAACAAACATAAGTATGATAGGTATTAATCCAATTATATCAATAATCAGTTTAAATATGAATGGTATGATTGGGTAAAGACTGATTCTCTGGCTTATTGACTTGACTAGGAATTTTAGATGCAGTTTACATGAGAGGTCTTTACTACCTTTTCCATTTTGCTGTAAATTTAAAAGTAATAAATATTATTTTATTTATTCTAAAATTAAAAGGTTATTTAAAACCGATATTCGGCTAAAGCCGTAGAGTCCATAACCTTAATTTTAAGTAGTTCTCTCAAAATGCAATGCATTAATTCCAAGAGGATTGGGTTTTTCTGCAAATGCAAATTTAAAGACATCATTGTCTAGAACAGCACTGTCTGATAAAACTTTCTGCCATGACAGAAATGGTCTTTATGTGTGCAGTTCAGTATGGTAGCCACAAACCACATGTGGCTACTGAACATTTCAAATGTGGCTAATGTAGCAAAGAAAATAAATTTTTTATTTTATTTTCTATTAGTTATTTTTTTAAATTTAAATAACCACATTGTACCATATTAATGCAGGTGTCTTGTGCAAGTTGAATACAAGTCTTAATTTAAGCAAGCAACTCACTCTCCTACCCAGTTCTAGCATTAACTTATTATATTAGGTGCTAAAATTTTCATAGTTGGAATTTAATGATATTATGAATTTATAAAAATATTTTTTTCAGACTTTACCAGATTAACTATGAAAATATAGTTCTGAAATATAATATCAGGAGAGAAATAAGATTAATTCCAGTTTTAGAAACCTCTAGTCCAAATTATGGACTTTTATTTTGTTAGAAACCAACTCCTTTCATCTCGACAAAAATTGTATATGAACTAAACTGTGCAACTGCGTCAAGCTATTATCACACACGTTTAAAGCTTCTATCACAGTACCACCAGCTTTCAGTTAAAACAGAGCCTAGCTAGAAGTCCCTGAAATGGAGTAATCCCCAAATTCCCACTAAAGTATCTTTGAAAGCAAAAACAAAGACAATACACAATAGCACTGAAAACTAGAATCAACTTTATGGAGGAATTTTCATTAGTTATTAGGCCAATGGATCTGGGTTGAGAAACACAGGTTTTTTCTTCTAATTGGTTTAGCCATAAGAAATGGAAAATTTATCTGCCTAAAATGAGGCCAAAAAGCCATTAGTCCTCCAGATATTACTTTCTAGTTCATAAAACAAAATATTTATTTACCTGAAAACTGGGTAACTGTTCTTCTGCCTCAAAGCAGCGCTTATTGAGGTAGCCCCAGTGAGTACTTGTCTTTCTTTGAATATTGGGGAAACAAAATTTGCAACAAAAAATTGGGCTGCAAATGAAGGCCCCAGAGATGGGTGTTGTACACTTGCTGGCACCATCCCCAGGCAGAAGGACTGTCAGTGGAAGTGGAAGCCAAAATATCTCTAGTGACACATGGTGTATGGTCTTGTCAAATTAAGTCTGATATGGAAAGGGAAGAAACTATCTTCATGAGATAGATATACATATTCGGTGTGACTGGGAACTAAACCAGGGCAGGAATATCCATGCTGTTGTTTCAGAAGAGGGTTCACCTGGCATCAAATGGAAAGTGAACTGGAAATATAGAAAACTGTAGATTCAACCACAAACTTTATTAAAGGAAGATGATCTGAAACTCAACCAAAAATGATAAACGATTTAAAAAATAATGAAAATTTGACGGATGTGGAACCCAGAGAATGAAGAAACTATGTTAAGAATTACAATTATTCCCAAAGATGTAACTAGAAACACGTAACAGAGGCCATGGTGAGTGACAGAATTGAATAAAACTTGTCAAAGCTAGTTAAAGACATTATAACTTAGTTTAAAAGGCCAACTCAACTATTTTCCAAGTAAATATCCATCAACAGAGCAAAATCTACATATTCTATGAAAGTGCCCCATTAACAGGCTAAAATAAAGTCCATAAGGCTCTAGGCAGAAAAAGCAAAGAAACTGGCCTCTCCATCAAGGAACAATATTAAGCTGGCCTGAAATTTTTTTCTTTGCAATATGTAGTAAGCACACAATGAATTTTTAGGGAGAAAAGGCAAATAATACAAGGATGTAGCTCTGCCAAGTTGTCATTCACATGTGAAGATAACAAAAAGACAGTCTCAATGACAGAGGGTTCAGAAAACATACCACTGTTATACCATTTTTACTTAAAAGGTCAAGTGCAGTTATGTAGTGGAACTCTTATCCTTTGCTTTTCACATCCCTATTTCAAACTATAAAAACCATATTCCTGCTTCAGCCCAAAGTCTGCCTTCCTAGGGAGGCTGGGGAGAGGGTTTTCCAACTTTCTTTCCTCTCTAAGAAGGGAAGAATGGTGGAAAGAACCTACCCTTCATTGGTTCTCACTACTGGGGAATAGTCGTTGTGCCTCGAAGGAAGAAATGGACTCCACCGATTCTCTCTGCTGCTCCTTCTCTGCCTCTGCTGTAATTACCTGCTCAGGCAGAGCATGCTCTCCTCTTTTCCCTGTTCCCAAGTGGTAGACCGTCAGCTCAGGGCCTCCAGGCTTGGAGAAAAAAGGCCTGCAATACATTCTTTCTGCTTATGACTGAGTGGAGAAATTAATTTCTGGGTACATCCTTGGCTTTCTCAGCTTTACTACTGTGTAGATAGGAGATTTGACTCTGGACATCTATTCCATCCTCTTTCTATAGAATATTCCTGTAAAGCAGAGAATGGAAGACCCAACAATTCAATTCATAGGCTACTTTGCACTAAAGTTCCAGGTGTGATTCAGGTTAGACCAATCAAATACATTTGCAGGAGATTTGGAAAAAGCTGCAGTATTGCACAAGGCACTTTCTCCGGCTGCTGCTCCTATTTCTGCTGGCAGCACAGTCATGAAGGACCTTAGTTTTTCTGAGGCAGCATTAATAGTCCAGTCCCTAGCTTCATAGCTGTCAAAAGGCAGACCGTGGGTCATCCATTTTGCCAGCACACTTTCTAACAAGTGGGACATGGTTGTGCAGCCAGGTGCAGAAGCAGCTTCCTAATCATGGCTGTGACAGAATGACCCTGGAGCTGGACATTTCCTGATTATAGCAGTGGGGGAAGCCCCATAGGTGACCTGGTCCTGGGCTGTAGCTTGGGAGTCACTCTTGTATATTCCATTTTATAAACTATTTAATGTCATGTACACACAGACACGCACACACACACACACACAATTATTTTTCCTGCTTTAACTAGCAGAAATGGATTCATTTCTCTGCTACTGAACTCTGACCAATACAACCAGAGAGCCATATACTTGTTCAGGTGTTATTGATCCTACTTGACCCCTATGTCTGTTATCAATTCTTTAGAACTTGGCGGGGGAAAGGGATGAAGATTGGGCTCTCCTAAACCTCCAAAATCAGTCATCTAAGAAGAGGATTAAAATTAAAAACTCAATATTTTATACAAGGTTGTTATGTAAAAGGATTGGTGGTGAGCATTAAAATCAAATAATGTTTGACTATATAACATTACTGTAAACATAAAATAAAAATTTCACAAATAATACATAAAATATATATAGCCTAGAAAGTACTTATTTAACTACTCATATAGCCTAAAATTCAAGATAAAACTAATGAAGTTTAGGAATTTAGAGCTATTATGAGTCAAAAATAAAAGTGGCATAAAGAATACTAAAAATATTTAGCTCTTACTAAAATAAAGATTTTAAATGTTGCTGGAAAGTTATTTTTTCAAAAAATGTGAACCTCTAGTATGCCTTAAATATTGGCAAACAAAGCAAAATTGGGACAGTTGTAGAAAAATTCAGAAATAAGGAAACAGTAATTATGGCAAGGAAAAGTAAATTATAAAATAACATATCAAATCCTTCAGATCATGAATGTGAATAATATAGATTTCTCAATTAAATTATAAGGTTATGATACACTGCTTACAAAAGAAACAATAACAGAATGATTACAATGGGTTAAAAATAAAAGCCTTGTAGAAAAGATATCAAACTCAAGCCGAAATAAAAACAGTAAACACCAGGGGTAACAATATTAATTTTAGACCAAGCCACATTTAAGATACCAATTATTAAGTGGGCAAAAATTATCGCTTAAAAATTGAATCCATAAAACAGAGATATACACTTTCATTTGACAAAATGTGAAATAAAAACTAAGAAGTACAAGGAGGAATATGCAGGCACACAACTGTTTGGGAAGCTCATAAATTCAAGCTCTGGCAGACCATATTAGTGTTAATACAGAAGAACATAGATATTTTAAATCATATGTGGAGGGAGAAAAAACATTTGTTCTTTATAAAAAAGAAATAAACTCTCTAGGAATATTCATCTGCTCCTGGTAAAAAGAAAAACAAACACCTTTCTTTGAAAGAAAGTTAAATTTAAATCTGTTAAAATGTTTTTAATTCCAGGTACAAAGATTCGTGTATATAGATATTAATAGTAGTTACCATTTTAGTGCTTACTATGTCCCAGACATTCTGATAAGAGGTTTACATGTATTTATATGCAACAATGACATAATAAGTTAAAAATAAGGAATGAAGAATGTTTGCTAACTTGGAACAGTCACATGCTATAATATGAAGTGGATGTCAAACTAAGAGTACATGTATTTGTGTGCCTGTGTGTATACATACAAATAGTAGGATCAACCTTTGTAAAATGTAGACAAAGTCTGAAATGAAACAAAAGCATCCATATAGTAATGGCAGTTTCCTCTGAGTAGTGAGATTACAGGTGATTTTTTTGTTGTTGTTCTTTATATTTTTCTGTAGTTTCCAAACTTTCTTTCTATACTTCACTATTTAATTATCAAAAAAATGAGTTTTAAAATAAAATACATAGGGAAAGTTTCTGATAAATAAAATGTCAACTCATTACAATATGAAACAAGGCCCCTTATTTTAAATTTCGCTTGAATAATTTGAAATATCAACCAACTGAACTAAATAGATGTTCCCTTCACTGTAGCAATGTTGAAGGCATAGTTTAGTATATCTAACTAGGAGCTGACTTGAACAAACATTTTAGCTAGTTATAGTAAGGAAAAATTTAAAAATAGCAGCTTAGCAGAGAATCTGTTAAAACCAAAATACCACCTTGGTATGTGGCAGACATGTTCTTGTATAAAAACACTTTATTGATTGTGACCAAGGCAATTGTACTTTATAAAATAGGGAAATAAAAAAACATTGTAGAGATGAAAGTCTACAAGATGCATGTATATATGTAGGGGGAAAAAGTCACTAAAAGCAGTTGATACTGGTTAAAAAATGAAGCTACCATACTTTGAAGAAAAATTAATTAGTAGTTCACAAGACAAAAACGAATAAAGGCTTACTTGGAACACATGAAACCCATGAAGTTTATGGTGAGATGGAACACATATACTATGTTTTTATGAAATCCAAAATCAACAGGAATAATCACTAGAAAATTAGGGGTGTAGGAAAGTGGGATTATGCTTAAGAATCCACTTACAAACTGACTATCATCTAAATCTCTCTCCTTCTTCATCTCCTCAATAAGATTTGACAATTATTTATGTAGGTAATAAAAGGTACATGAATGAATGTACAACAATAAGTCATGCATGATTATAATTTGCCACTCATTATGTTAAGTCCAACACATTTGCTTAATTCTTTCATCAACTCCATGTAGTAGACATTATTAACATCTCCCTTTCACAGATGAGGTAACTAAGGCTTAAAAGAAAAATAATGTTTTAATTGTCCAACTAGAAAATGGTAAAACCAGGACTTAGATACAATTTCATCTGACCCCAAACCTCTGCTCTTAACCATTGTGATGTGCTATATAATTAATGCCAGTAGATATTTATATTGGAATGTCAAATTAATTATTTGTATCAACTTTTCCTCATTGTGACTGCCTTTTGCACAATACTTCAATTACCTTACATCTAAATTAATAATAAATTAAATGATTAAGAGCAAATATAGTGACTAAGTTAGAACTACACTCCCAAAATGTTTCCAGTTTGGAATTGGTAAGTTAGAATTTTCACGAGAATTAGAAAGTGGAAATGAATGTCAATCATGACTCTCAGAAGGTCAATGTGAGTTAGATGCAAAGATAGATTGGCATGGAGTTGGCAGCAGGTTTCAGTTGGTTCTGGTTCTCTACTCCGCATCCACCTCTTAAC
The DNA here is from genome assembly GCF_000001405.40 of Homo sapiens. Taxonomy (NCBI): domain Eukaryota; kingdom Metazoa; phylum Chordata; class Mammalia; order Primates; family Hominidae; genus Homo; species Homo sapiens. The sequence continues at coordinate 58,110,238 of NC_000006.12, forward strand.
AACAGCAGTCCCAGGTCCACCCCCAGACTCTTGGTAGTGAATGCACAGAGGCCTTAGTTACCCAGAGTCACAGCTCCCCATGGACTTTTCCATGAACTTTCCCTTCAGCCTCATTTTGGAAGTTGGAAATACTTTGCAAACTTTTCATATTAACTGGTTGCTGATCTTGCCTCTCACCCTTCAATGCCTTATTGGACCTTCTCTTTTCCAGCTCCTACCACAACTGTAGAAATTCTAATTCCTATAATAAATCTCTTATCTCATAACTCATTAGTGGTTCTGTTTCTGTGATTGAACCTTGACTAATGCAACAAGTATAACCTTTTAAATAAAACATAAACTTATGAAAATAATGTCAATGAAATATATTTTTTTGGTTACAAGGAAAAGAATATCCAAACCAAACTGATTTTTTTTTAAGTGAAGTAGGGGCATTTATTGGCTCATGGAACTTAGTAAAAGGACAACAATAATTCTGAGCACAGCTTGATCTAAGAGCTCAAACCGTGTCAGCAGGACCATGTCTCCTCATCCAGATTCTGCTTCCTTCTGTGTTGGTTCCAATCCCAGGAAGCCACTCCTATCATGCGGACAGAAGAGAGAATAAAATGGCCACCAGCAGCCTCAGACTTACATTCTTTACTTCTCAACGAAAGCAGAAATGAAGAGCTTCTCGCCTATAACAGGTTGAACAAAAGTCCTGGACCTTGATTCCATTGGTCCAAATTAGGTCAAATGCCTATCTGTAAATCAATGCCTATGCCCAGGAAGAGGTAAGCTTTATAGATGGGCTCAGGCTGCAAGCCAAGCTCAACACCAATCAGATGGCATATAAAAAGGAGAATGGAAGCCTGACAGATCCACAAGAATATCCACAAGTGTCAGATATCCCTTTTGTAAAATCATACAAGAAATAAACTAAAATAAGAAAATGAACTTAGAGAAGCATCACCCCAGGTTTACTTATTTTATCTTGGTAATTACTAAATACTCTGCTTTACTTGGCCATGTAGCACTCACTATAACTTTACCCTGGTGTCTGTGACACTGAGGAAAAAATGCCAAGAAATCTACTATTATCCAAAGAATACTGATTAGATCGGGCCTTGCAGAATGTCCTTTAAAAAAATCAGCTTTAAAAAACACCTTGTAGTAACTGTCAAATTTCCAATCATGCTTCCAGACAGATCAGCATTTGTGGTAGGAACTGTTCTCAGTTTTTATTAAAAATCTCATTTGCCAGTAGGTTCATATATTTTTTAGATGTCTGGCCTAATTTCTTTCAACTCTGTACATATCACATATTTTTCTTAGCTATAATTAGTCACTAAGACTTATTAGCACAGTAGTAGTTCCAAGAAACTCTAAACTACAAGTCAGCATGGATTTTTGCTTTTATGTATTTCTTGACACTCAGGATAAGTGTTTTGTTTCTTCCCCCTGGAATAAGGCACACATCAGGTTTCCTCTTTTCACTCCTTGAGGATAACTATTATCATTAGGAGGGAACATTAGAATAATTCTTAAAGTAACACATCAAAAGGATTTGGTTGTGTTTAAGCAGTCTCTCAATTCTTTGACTATAGTGTAGCAAAACTTTCAGGCATCAGGAGAAAAAAAAAGTTAAAACAAACCCTTTATTACCAGCTGCTACATTTGGAGGTGAATCCATAATACTAACTGACAACTTTTCATATGAAATTCAGAGTCTGAAGTTTCCTTTTTGTATTCCCTGAATATCTGTTCTCTCCACTTCAAAGGACTGTCTGCTGCAGAGCAAGGAGAGGTGGCTCATATACAACGGCACTCCTCTTCTGTTTAAATCATACCTTTCAGCAGTTCTGGGGCTGCAGGCAATGATAAAAGGGCACATGGCTTTGATTGTTTATTCTTCAATAGCAAAGGCAGAGAAGCACCATGAACAAGGGCAAAAACTAAGGAGATAAGCAGGCTAGGTTCTAACCACTGCTCTGCCACTTAGTCTTGTGTGTGACCTTGAACAAATTATTTAACTTCCAAATTACTCCTGTCCTCATTTGTAAAATGAATATACAGTTGTCCCTTGGTATCCAAGAGAGATTGGTTCCAGGACCCACTTCCCTACCTCCCCATACCAAAATCTGCGATGCTTAAGTCCCTTATGTAAAATGACGTTGTATTTGCATATAACCTATACACATTCTCCTGTATACATATTTTTAAATCATTCTAAATTACTTATAATATCTAATACATTTTGTATTAGATAGGAAGAAAATGTAAAAAGTATTGGACAAGACATCAGAGAAATGCAAATCAAAACGACAATGAAATATCACTTCACACCCATTAGGATGGTTATATTAAAAAAGACAGATAAAAACAGGTCTTGGTGTGGATGTGGAGAGATTGGAACTCTCCCATACTGATGGTGGGAATTTAAAATGGTACAACTACTTTAGAAAACAGTCACACAGTTCTTCAAAAGGTTAAACATAGTGTTATCATAGGGCCCAGCAGTCTCACTCCTAGGTGTATACCCAAGAGAAATGAAAACATGCCCACACAAACACTTGTACACAAATGTTCATAGCAGCATTATATATACTACCCAAAAAGTGGAAACAGCCCACATGTCCATCAACTGATGAATGGATAAACAAAATGTAGAATATCCATACAATGGAATATTATTCTGAAATAAAAAGGAATGAAGTACTGTTACATGCTACAACATAGATGAACCTTGAAAACATTACACTATGTCAAAGGAGGCAGTCAGAGAAGACCACATATTATGTAATTGCATTTATATGAAATGGTCAGAATAGGCAAAGCTATAGAGAAAAGCAGGTACCCAGTTGCTAGAAACTGGGGTGAGGAGAAACAGGAAATGGCTGCAACTGGGTATACGTTTTGGGGGAGGTGAAGAAAATTTTCTAAACTTAGATAGTAGTGATGGTTGCAGAACTCTGTGAATCTACTGAAAATTATTTCATTGTACATTTTAAATGGTTGAATTGTATGATATGTGACTTATATCTCCATAAAGCCATTTTAATAAAAATGTTGTGCGTTGTAGGCAGAAAAAACTGCCTTCACCCAAAGTGTTTTTCTTTTTGTCACTGTTCGATATTTACTTTTCCAATATGATTTCATAGGCTTGGGAAAGGCCTTTGTGTGCCAAAAATGTCTCCTGCCCTTACCCTGCTCCTGCTTCACTAGTTTATAAAATTATACCTTATTAATTTCACTCCTTCTGCTGAAGGCTTTGCTTCTAACAAATATTCAAAATAGCTCAAGGAAAGATTTCTCACTGAGCTTTATCAACCATGTGCTATTTAGTATGAATGAGCTTGCCAGATCTTTTGCTGACATCGGAATTTGGTTGAAGGCAAACAGAATGAGGATAAACTGCCAAGGGATGAAGGAAGAGGGCATTCTAATGAAAAGAGGGTACGCATACATTTTTTTTCATCCCTTAATGTTTTAACAGCAATGATCCTACTGCCTGCCTGTCTTTGCTAATACCCTGATATGTCTCCTGTGTTTCTCTGTTTTCTCATCTACTGATTCATACCATCTCTGTATCCTGCAGGACCTGATTCGAAGGTCACTTATGCCAAAGCCATGATTGTTTAAAGTTACTACTTATGTTTCTATTTCCTATGCTTTTGGTCCATATCTTTATTTATTTTAATTTGAGATTACATTGAAACTTTTTCAAGCTGCTTCATATATACGAGTTTTGCTCTTTAAATAAAATATTAGTTCAGCAACAACATGACTATGTCACAGATTGTGGATAGGTTTTGTTTAGAGAATCAATTCCAACCGATGGTCAGGAGCTGTCTGAGAAGGACTCCAAACCTTTCTACCCTCAGCAAGGAGGCATACTGTGATTGACTAGCTATGCCTGCAATTAACACAGGAGGGAGTAGAGAATATGCGTGCCACTCCTCATTGTTGTAACTCCTTAGACAGCCCTTTGTTATTTGATACTTCCCTCTGCCTTACAATCAGACATGAGTTTTACCTACACAGTAGAAAAACTTTCTTCGTTTTTGCACACCAGCATGGGCTGTCTTGTTAGATCATTTGCTAATAATCCTAACACTCTGTACTCTATAACATTATGTGACACTACAATATTTCATCTATTATTTTGTAACACTACCTATGTGACTTAGATCGTCTAACCTCCATGAATAAGAAAAATATTTTTTAATACATATACATGACATATGGCACAGCACACACTGTTGTCTGGCTAACCAGCATCCATCCCCTCAACCCTCCTTCCGAAAACAATTACAATGTTGCTTCCTTATCCACCCTTTCCCGTGGGTCCAGGTGATTCAGGGGAGGTTGGGGCTACTACAAGGCAAAGCCTCGAAGCCAAACTTGACAATTCTGTTCCTCTGCCTGGGGTTGGTTTAAGCCAGTAATGTGATGCAACTCTGACGGGAAAGGAGATTGCTGCTGGATTGGGGGCATCTGGGAGAGTCCCCCTCTCCCTCTTTTCAAGACTCACAGAAATAGATGTTCTCTTTTTTCTCTGGACATTGTTGTGTGTGGATACTAGGCCTGGAACTGCTATACCCTTCATGCTATGAGGCTAAGAACAAGGTCTGTCCGCAGAGGAGGGTGAAACAGAGAAAATGACAAAGAGGCAGAGCCAGAGTCATGACAGCCTGTACCTGGGGTATGCCAACTTGCCCCTTCACTGGGCTTCTTAAGAGAGGTAATAATTCTGGTACTTTTTAAACCTACTTGATTCCAGTTTACTGATACTTCACCTTAGTGATACATGTGGTAATTCCAAACTATAGTTACACCTATATATTTGATAGCACAGACATAAACATTTATCATTAACTGCAATAACCCAATCTGGGTTCAACTTTGCGTAATAAAGTGGGAAGTTATTTCTCGGTTGCCATGGACCCCAAGGTGGCAAGTTATGTAACCTGAGCATACCCAGATGAACCAAGCATGCAATCATGGGCAGAACCTAAGTGCTCAGACCAAGGAATGGTGACTGAATGAAGAAGCAATCACCACATGGCATGATCCAGGTCCAATCAGACCAAGCCCTGTGATCACCTCATGGCATAGTCCAATCAATGCACACCTCCCGGCACCACCCCATCACAAGATCCAATCAGATCACACTTCATTACCCTCTGACTATAAAATTTGCCCAATCTCCATCTTGGAAAGACAGATTTGACATGACCCTGACTCATGTCTCCTTGCAGCTGCCTGGTAATAAACCTTTCTCGCTACAAAACCCAGTGCTTTTGTGTTTGGCTTTCCATTGCACACAGGCAAATGGACACAGTTCAGTTTAGTAACATGTCTCTGTGTGTGTGTGTTTGTGTGTGTATGTGTGTATAATTTCAGATGCTCTTTATAACAATTTTATAAAGCAGCTATTTTACAGGAATTATCATCTTGAATTAAAATATAAAGAAACTGAGCCTCAGACATGCCAGAGATCACACAATTTGTTAGTGCCATTCTTCATTCATTCATTCATTCCTCTAGGCCCTCCAGCCTGGATCTAGGGTGGCATTATTGAGCAATACAGTTATTTGTTTCATCCAAGAAAAACCAAATGCGTTATTTGTGCCAGGCATTCATCTAAGGACTGGTGACACACCTGAAGATGACACACCTGCTGTCATGGAGCTTTTAGTTTGTAGGAAAATATATGTGATAACTATTGGGAGAAAATGTTACACAATTCAGGCCGGCTGTGGTGGCTCACACCTATAATCCCAGTAACTCTGGGAGGCCGAGGTGGGTGGATCACTTGAGGTCAGGAGATCAAGGCCAGCCTGGCCAACATGGTGAAATCCCCTCTCTACCAAAAGATAGAAAAATTAACCGGGTGTGGTTGTGGGTGCCTGTAGTCCCAGCTACTTGGGAGGCTGAGGTGGAAGAATTGCTTGAACCTGGGAGGTGGAGGTTGCAGTGAGCCGAGATCACGTCACTGCACTACAGCCTGGATGTCAGAGTGAGGCTCTGTGTCCAAAGTTAAAAAAAAAAAAAAAATAGAAAAAAAGAAAATGTTACACAATTCGAATGGTAATATGTCCTATGAAGGAAAAAGTCTTAGATTGTTTAAGAGAACCTTAAAGTATGTTAAAGAGTAACCTCATCTGGACCAGGATGTTAGAGTTGCCCTCCCTATGGAGCTGAAGATAGGAAGTTAGTTGCGGGAGGAGGAGGAGTTGGTTGGAAAGCATTTCAGGGAAGAAGAAACAGTGTGTTAATATGAGTAAGGCTCTAAGGCAGGAAGGAGCTTGGTTCTCTCCCTGAACCAAGAGAAAGCCAATCTGCCAAAACATTATGTACCCAGGGATGTGGACATACCAAAGACAAGGTGGAATGGGCCAAGAGTATTAAGAACCTGAAGCCACTGAAGAGTTTTAATTAAGGAAGTGATGGGATTGGATTTACACTTTAAAAGATTTGGAGAGAGGCTAAAGAGGAAGGGAATATATGAGTTTATTGAAGAATAGGCAAGAAATGATGGTGACTTAGACAAATTAATTAATTCATACTAAATGCTTCCGCCACACAAATCCTCCCTGCTGTCCAAAGTCCTGTGTAGCTCCTATCCTGGCAATAGCATAATCCATAAACCTTTATGGCATTGGGATTCAACTGTCTTTCAACCCAAGAGAATGAATAAGAGTCACAGAGAAGCATTCCCCTGGAGCCTGTCACAAAAGCATATGCCTTAATTTACAGGTCACACTGTGTTCTTATAAAATTATTTTTCATGAGTTTGCAATACCAGTCCTCTCATGCACAGGGCTCCTGTCAGAGACCCCTCAGACCTAGGTGTAAGGAGAGAACTTGCTGAACAGCACAAGGATTTATCGTTGGAATAGTTCCATCCAAGATAAACTGATTGCTAAGTGCATGCTAACTGGATGGATTAAGCTGCTATAAAAAACAAGATTATTAAATATAAGCCAGTTAAATGTTGAGGAACAACTATCACAAATGACAGCCTTAGTTTAGAATAACAGACTCGCAGCCCTTCTTTTTGTTTACAATTATATGGCAGATTCAGTTTTATATTAAGCATATTGCTAGTTTGTGACAGAACAGTCAACATCAGGGGACAGGGTGAGGATGGGGGCTGGGTGGCTTCTCTAGAGCCCATGCAGGAGGAGTGTGGCAGAGGGAACCCACCTGCACTGCCTGTTACTGGTGGAGGGTGTCCAGGTTCTTGGCTTTTTGAACAAAGAATTGGACAAAACACACAAACAAAGCAAGGAAAGAATGAAGCAACAAAAGAACAAAGCAGGGATTTATTGAAAATGAAAGTGCACTCCACAGGGTGGGAGCAGACCCCAGCAGTGGCTCAAGGGCCTAGATACAGAATCTTCTCAAGTCCAAATACCCCCTAGAGGTTTCCTACTGGCTACTTGGTGTTCACCCCGTGTAAATGAAGTGGTGGTAATCAGTCCGATTGGTTGTGGAAAGCAGAGGCTGAAGTAAAGTTACAAAGTTACACTCCTATGCAAACGTCTAATTGGTTGCAAAAAGCAAATTTCAATTTCCCATCTGCCCTGCAGAAAAGGTGGGGGTTTACAAAAGGTGCTGCCTCTGGTCTTTTTGTTACTTAGGCTTGGAAAGTTAGGGTTTTCCTTTCAATTTAGTTCTAGGAAGTCAGTGTGAAATGGCCTTAGCTTCCCTGCCTCCAGACCCTGTTCTCCTACCTGTAGCAAAGGCCTCCAGGTGCTTTCACTTGAGAATGCAGTGGACCCATGGCCAGAGGCAGTGGCTGCAGGAGCCAGGGCTTGGGGGTGCCTGAGGGTCACATAGCTGTTGCCCCCATGGTGTGTCGGGTACAGCCATTTCATAACCAGTGAGAGGAAGGGTGTTTGCCTGCACCCCCTTCACCAGACCATCCTGATTCTTTCATTTTTATCTTTTAATTATTCTCTCTGCATTGTACGTAAAATTCTAAAGGTTTTTTTCCAATTAGATTTTATGCAGCGTTGATTCTGAACCTCAGTGCTTCTAAAGATCTTCAGTTAAAATTCAGTGACTATGGTTTTGTCTTTAAAATCCTTGTCTCATCCCGCTCTTCCTCCCTCTCAGCAAGACAGCCTTTCAGCTGAGACTGTTATGAGTTCATCTTTGGTCGTCTCTCTTTTTGCAGAGTCATTTAAATTTTTAATAATTGAGGACATAAAGAAGATGCATATTTCTGTTTTCTGTGGAATGCTTATCTTTTATACCTAATATTTGGTATAAAATTTTTTTATTTGCTTCCTTAACACTGCCCCCACCCCACCTTGTCTTTAAAAAGGAGAGCCAACATATACTACAAATGGTCAATAATAATGAAATGTGTTTAACAGTGATATATCAAGTTCAGATTAAGAAAGAGATGTACTTACTCCAAGTCTCAGAGAATGTAGAGAAGCAGGGGTTTGTCTTTCTTTCACTGACTGTCCATCTTTGCATATCCTGGCATTGAATCAACACCTTTAGGTTCTCCAGAGGTCAATGGTTCAAAGTGTACAGATCCCAATGCTAGAGGAAGGATCACATATTATATCAGTATTATGATAACTCCATGACTCTGGTGTAAACCTGATGTCATACTGTGTATTTTGTAGAGTGATATACTTGCACATATGACACCTAACTCCTAAGTTTTAATGAGATCACTTAGCACTTTCAATGACTTACTATTATCTTTTTTTAAAATCAAGGATTAATTTAATTTTTAAAACAAATACAAGTTATTGATTTACTCTTCTCAACTTGACAGTCTACCTGTAGTATAACTGTCAGGTAAAAACATACATCTTTACAACTTGGCACCCCCAAGTAAAAACAAACAAACAAACAAACAGACACACCATTTCACAGAAAGGAAAGAAACAACATGAAAATAGCTCAAGAAATACAGTAACGAGCAAAAATATATGGGAAAAGAGGAACGTGTAGTTTTGACTTAGCTGAAGAAACCAAGAGGAAACTGGTCTACGTATGAAAATGTGCATCCTGAAAGTCAGGTGTCAAGATTTTCGAGTAGGCATCTATATGACTTGAATCTCCCCTATTTCCTGAATAAAAGTGACATCTTTCAGTATTTATACTTCATGGCTCAGACACCTACCTCATTTGGTTCTGTTCCTTACTTACTCTAGCCTTTACTTAAATGAGTCTGAAAAACTTGGGGATATAGCATAAGAAGAAAAATAATCACACATAATATTCCCCTTTCTGTAGCTACTTTAGACCTGGGTTGTTACTAGAAAATTCCTGAAGAAAATTTCAATGTAAGTCTGTGGCTTTGCTGAATCAAACCCCCCCGCCATTAATATTTAAAAAACACCCACTGTTTGGGCTAATAGCATTATTGGTGGTACCTATTATATAGAGGGATAGCTGAGCAAAGTCTGTGTCTTGAAACCAGTGTTGAATCACTCTCAGGGTTGAGAAGAAAAAAGGGGAGTCTAAAATCACAAGAAGTAAAGACATATCTAGGACTCTTGTCCTTCTGGATCCACGCTTCCTTCAGGGTCTTCATTGTTGTAAATGTTCTCTGCCATTTGCCACACTTGCATAATATTGTCTTCTGGTACAGAACAAATCACCCAAGGTTCGTTGGGATTCCCGGAGAAATCAGGTATCTTGGCAGTGTGACCACCATGAATAAACAATAACTCTGGTGGCCTGTCTTTTTTATCTTCTGGGGATTGTTTCTCTCCAATTTTACTTAAATCCCAGACATTCAGTCTGTGATTGGTACCACTGGAAGCCAAAATAGTCTCATTGTGAGGTGACCACTGAACCTGGAATATTTTATCCTTAAGTAATTCAAAGGAATGCAACTTAAGTTTCAGATTTCTCAGATCCCGCAAGGCAACAGTCTTGTCAGCGGATCCTGTGGCAAGAATGAACTCACTATAAGGATTGAAAGAGAGGCAGCAGTGTGAGCGTCACTTCAGCAGTGTGAGCGTCAACTGAATGGCTTGGTTTGGAAGCACTGTTTGAACAAGTATCCCAAATCATAAGTTTCTGATCATCAGCAACTGACCCAAACAGAGACTCATGGAGCAGATGCCAGGAAACATCTTCTACTACTGCTGTATGCCCTGTAAAGATGATCTTCACATCCACCACTTTTTCCCTCCTTTGGGACAGCACTGCTGTCCCACAGGCAGCTGGTGTGGTCATCTGAAGCACCAAGTAAGTGCCCACAGAGATTTGGGTTCCAAGAAAGCCCATAGCCTTCCTTCTGATGTCCACAGAGACACAAGTCTGGATTGCACTCTCCAGAAGGATCTGGTTTAGAAGGGTGTTTTGTATAGTCAAAGACAAGAACATCACTGGAAGGAGTCTTAGTTGAGATGATACAAGGGTTCTGGGGCATATAACGGACCTTGTTCACTTCTCCTTCATGGTTGATGTTGATTTCTATTTCAATTTTTCCTCTAACTGAATAAAAACCTCCAAATTCTCCTTTCTCAGTGTTGTAGTGTGACGCATCAAACTGAGTGTCATCATTAGGGAGTTGCACACTGGCTATAACGAGATGGTTTTGTTCATCCAATGTGCATGTCCCCAGGACAAGTTGATGAATGCTGAAATCTTTCCCTTCTGGTCTGGTTACATCTGGAAGCCACTGGGCAGTTAGGCTGGGCCACTCCAGAGCATGGGTCAACACCAAATCATAAAGAAAAGGGGTGTTCTTTTTCCATTTTTTGTACTCCTCGTTGATCACTCGTTCTTCCACTGCGTCGTCAAAGGCTGCTTCCTTGTCGGCCATGGCAGGCAGGCAAGCTGGGGGAATCCTGGGGTCGAGCGTTGCAGGTGAGGGTGGGGGCACTATTATCTTTTAATTTAGTTATATAAAGGTTTTTTTTTTTCTTTTGGATGTTTTTGGTTTACCATTGGTTCCTTTCTTTTTCCTCTACTATCTTGGAGTAACTGTTCTGATGTGGGTATTGTTTACTGTATTTCAAGTACAGTTAGTTGAAGTAACTGTTCTGATGTGGGTATTGCAAGGTAACATTTACTAACTATTGAGGAGATTGTAAAATATTTTTTCTTCATTCTTAAAAATCAGTAATTTTACCATGATGTGCTTAAGTGTGTGTCAAACATTCCTGGATTTAGTGAGCCATTTTAATAAGAGAACTGAAGATTTTCTTTAGCTCAGGGAAACTTTATCTATTATCTGAAACATTATCACATTTTATTCTCTCCCCCCACCCCTACCACCCCCAGCCACCTACCCTTTGTGATCTGCCCTTGAAGCCCCTTTTCTCTTATTTGCCCTTTTGGGACCTGAGTTAGTGACCTAAGAGATTTAAAAAATCCTTGTGTTAAATTCATTTACTGAATTAATTTTTTTTTAGCAAATTCTTCCAATCCTGAGATTTACTGCATTTTTAATTTGAAAATCATGTCTATTTTTAGAAAATCTTTTGTCATACTGAATCTTAATCGCATTCAATTTTTGTTCAGTAGTCATTTTTTTTCCTCTGGTAGCTGTGTCTCACAAGGTGGTGTGTTTGTTCATTCTCTCTCTGACTGCTGGGACGTATTACGAGGAGAGTGTAGGTGGAGGAGAAGAAGGTGACAGCTGCTCCATTAGGGGGATGTTGTTAGTAGCTGGATTGGAGTCAAGAGGAGAGGGAAAAAGGGGTTCCCATCTTTCCAGAATTTTATATAATCTTAGCATAGGATATTTTTCTTTGTTACTAGAAACAGAAGTCTCATAGATTTTATGTTAGGAATCATGGACCCCTCAAATCAGGAAAATCATCTTTTTTTTTTCTTAAAAATGGCAAAAAAATTGATTTTACCCCTTTAAATCTTTCTTCTCATCATTATTAGGTTGTTTTGCAGGATTTTGTCAACTGAAATTTTATCTGTAATAATGTCAGAATCTAGTGACACTGCAACCGCAGATAGGTAGTATTTTTGGCAATGAAAGTTTACAGTATAATCCGATATAAACTGCTATTGTTCAAATATTAATAATATATAAAAACTAATGAAATATGAAGAAAAATCAGGCATGCCTCATTTTATTGTGTTTCACAGATTTTTTTTATTTTTTTAATAAATTGAAGGTTTGTGGCAACCCTGCACTGAGTAAGTCTATCATTGCCGTTTTTCCAACAGTATGTGCTCACTTCATTTCTCTGTGCCACATTTTGTTAATACTGATACAATAATAATAATAAAGTTTGAAATAGTTCATAGTTCTCTTTTTTCCTCTCATTCTTATCAGATCATCACAACAGATAGGTATCTGTTGTGATGATCAGTGATCTTTGATGTTACTATTATAATTGAAGTTGTGGTAGATATAGCAAGACAACTAGAATTAGAGTGATATCTAAAGATGTGACTGAATTGCTGCAATCTCACGATAAAACTTGAATGAATGAGGAGCTGCTTCTCATTGATGAGCAAAGGAAAGTAGTTTCTTGAGATGAAATCTCACAGTGAAGATGCTGTGAGCTTTGTAGAAATGACCACAAACGATTTAGAATATTACATAACCTTAGTTGACAAAGCAGTGGCAGGGCTTGAGAGGATTGACTCCAATTTTGAAAGCAGTTCTACACAAGGTAAAATGCTATCAAACAGCATTGCATGCTACAGAGAAATCTTTTGTGAAAGGAAGAATCAATCAATGCAGCAAACTTCATTGTTGTTTTTTCAGAAATGGCCACAGCTACCCCGACAACCTTCAGCAACCCCACCCTGATCAGTCCGTAGCCATCAACAATGAAGCAAGAGTCTTCACCAGCAAAAAGATTATGACTTGCTAAAAGTTCAGATGATTGTTAGCATTTTTAAATTTTATTTTATTTTTGAGATGGAGTCTTGCTCTGTCACCAGGCTGGAGTGCAGTGGCGTAATCTTGGCTCACTGCAACCTCCACCTCCCAGGTTCAAGCGATTCCCCTGCGTCAGCCTCCCGAGTAGGTGGGACTACAGGTACACCACCATGCCCAGCTAATTTTGTGTGTGTGTTTTAGTAGAGACAGGATTTCACCTTGTTGGCCAGGATGGTCTCGATCACCTGACCTCGTGATCCGCCTGTCACGGCCTCCCAAAGTGCTGGGATTATAGGCATGAGCCACTGCACCCGGCCCGATTGTTAGCATTTTTGTTGTTGTTGTTGTTAGCAATAAAATATTTTAAAATTAAAGTGCGTACATTGTTATTTTAGACATGATGCTATTGCACACTTAACAGACTACAGTATATTGTAAACATAACTTTTATATGCACTGGGAAACAAAAAATTCAAGTGACTCGCTTCATTATGATTTCGCTTTATTGTGGTAGTCTGAAATTAAATCCATAATATGTCAGAGGTATTATATGCTTTTCTGATTCAAATATTTTAATTACGTAAGTCTGAGGTAACACAAACAATGTAGAACTGACCACAATTAATTAATTGTATTTATTATACTAGTCAAACTCCTGATTTAAGCCTATTATAACTCAGCTATTTGGCCTTAAAGTAAGATAAGGTATGCCTGTGTGTATTTACTAAATACATTTATCAGAGGTATGCCTGTATGTATTTTACTAAAAAAAGTTTTCATATTAATTTCTATATTTTATTTTTCTCTCTGTGTTCCCTGGCTGAGTGTCAGAGCAGTAATTATTCCCTGAAAAAGGGAACAGGCTTCTTCCAAAGGCGTTTCTATGGCACCTCCATAAATCAGCAAGGAAAGGCACCTAAGAGAGCAGTAAATCAGTACCCTGGGCTCTGTCCTCTCATTATACTCCCTTCTTGAGCACGATGAGGCTATATTTATTCCCTAAAGCAGTCCATCTATGTAAATATTTGAAAAAATGTATATATTTTTGGCTTTTGGCTTTATGAAAGCTTTAGGAATATGTTTTACTTCTTGTACATAGAAATCTATTTCTGTCTGCATATTTTGACTGATGTATGAGTACATATGATCTGTGAGCATAGTTCTCTTTTATCCTCTCATTCTTATCCGTCTACTTCTTGATACGTGTTTAATTTCAATTTGGTATACATACATCCACTGATTAACTTGATACATCATAAATATTGTAGGTATTGGTGATATTAAAATAAATATAGCATGATTCCTGTGTGCATATATAATTTGTAAACACTGTAGGAGTGAAATGAATTTTTTCTTTTCCCCTCTGAAGGTTTCAATCTGCTGAAATAAACTGACAATACATTAATAGGCAAAAAGGCATACAAATTTGTTAATGTGCAAGTGTGCATGGGAGCCATGTAAGATATGAGACTCAAAGAAGGGAACAGAGATGGTTGAAGGTTAAAATAGCATGAAGGAATAGGGGCTTCAGACTTTTGGTGGACTTTACAGGTGGCTGTAAGTTATGGGAGGGAAAGGGGAGGAATCTCATGGTGACCAAAGTTTATCTTACTACACAGATAAAAGTCTCTTAGGTAATAAAAGTTCTTTAAGGATCAACCTTCAGGAGAAGATGCCTGCCGTCTGGATGTGGTGATTACCTCTTTTTTTCTTTCTTTCTTTTTTTTTTTTTTTTTTGTGACAAAGTCTTGCCCTGTTGCCCAGGCTGGAGTGCAGTGGTGTGATCTTGGCTCGCTGCAACCTCCACCTCCCAGGTTCAAGTGATTTTCATTCCTCAGTCTCCTGAGTAGCTGGGACTACAGGTGCATGTCACCATGCCCAGCTATTTTTTTTCTTTTTTCGTATTTTCAGTAGGGGTAAGGTTTCGTCATGTTGGCCAAGCTGGTCTCAAACTCCTGGCCTTGAGTGATCTGCCCACCTTGGCCTCCCAAAGTGCTGAGATTACAGGCGTGAGCCCCACGGTGCCCAGCCTGGATGTAGTGATGACTTTTAATGTCCTTTCTGGTAAATAATCTTTTCTGGTTGTTTGATGAGATTCCTAGGGAAGGGGTTCAAGACAATTGCATTCCTTTTGGAAGAACTTCCTTCAGTCAGATAAGGGAACTTGAGAAAGCTCCTCTCTGCACTAGCAAAAGGAAAGAGAAGAAAGGGCAGGAGAAGGTCAGAGAGAGCGACCTTAGTTCTGAGGCTCATTTCTGAGGCTTTTCAATCTTCTTTGTTCAAAGCACTCAGCATGCCAACATGCCATATTGTAGGGTATTATCTTCTGAACCCCAACAACACATAGCACATATTCTAGCTAGATATTTAGTATGCTCGTCAAGTCAGAATATTTTTAGATGATAGAATACAAGTAAAGCCCTAATTTTTATTAAGCCTTTAGAGAGGTGGTGAGTTTACAATTGGGCCATGTGAAAGTAAATTATACAGCACTCTGGAGAGGTGGGGAAATACAAATTATTCCCTTTTATCTTTATCCTTTTATCCTGACCCAACCACAAAAGTCAGTTGTCTGTTTCCTTGACAAGTTAAAAATTATCCCAAGGCCCTAAGAATATTTATTACCCCTTTTCCTGTTTTATAAAATGATATCTAACTTTAAAAAGCATTTGTAGCCTAATGGAAATAATACTATAGTGGGAAACATATACTAATTTGAGATCTTGGCCTATTGAACCCAATAAAAGCTCAAAATTTATTTATTTTGATGATTTGATCTAGGTCACATCTGAAACTTTAATTCAATGGAATTGAAAATATGTTTTTTAAAATTATTTTAATCATATAAAAACTTTAAAGAAAGTTATCATCTTTTGTAAGCTAGTTTTGTAGAAACCATTAACTAATCTTTATCAGCACAGATCTACCTCAAAATTGTAATTGCAGTCCAGTTGTAATTACCTAAAAAGGTACAAAGGGATGGTATTTGAATTTGGCATGTATGTTCACATATTTATAGTAGAAGCTAAGTTTTAGAATAATAAATGTATAATATATTTTCTAGGTATAAACTGATATGAAGGATTTACCTATAATCTGAAAAACGAATATGTAATTGATGTTAGATAATTTCAGGAATGGAATAATTTGTGTAGTTGTTATTAAATAGTGACATTATTTAGCCTTGTTTGAACAAAGTAGATAAAGGATCCAAAGTGAAGCAATATTTAGAAATAAAAATTTTTAAGGAAATAGCTTATAAGCTGAAGTAAATATTTTCAAAGTGTCTTATGTTGTCAAAATGATAACATAAAGCAAGCTGGAGACTTTGCTCTTCAAATCTACACAACAGGACTGGCCTATCCATGAACCTTTCTACATGTAAATATCTAGTTAGAAAGGAGCTTTCTGGGGAGTCTATTCTGGGGTAGATCTGTGTTTAAGACAACTGAGTGTACTGGAAATGGACTCTCCAGTCACTTGCAAAACATGTTATTTCATTATTTATCTTTAACACTTTAAGTTTAATTAGCATTTTTTTTCAGGCTTATATATACATTGGCTCAAGTGCAGCCAAACTTGCTTTCGATTTGTGAAAAGGAACTTCAACTTTAAGTAGGAAAAAAGAATGTACAATGTATATTGTTAGAGTTCTTTAAAAGAAACCTTGAAACGATCCATAATACAATGATTTTTCAGGATTTGAGCATTAAGCTATCCATCTGAAATATTCCTTCATAAATAAATAAATAATGTTTTGCCTTAAAGAATGAGATAATTTTGAGCCAAGCACAGGGTATTATGCCTGTAATCCCAACACTTTAGGAGGCCAAGGCAGGAGGACCGCTTGAACAAGCCAGGAGTTTGAGACCAGCGTGGACAACAAAATGAGACCCTGTCTCTACAAAAAATGTTTAAAGACTTAACTGAACCTGGTGTTGCATGCCTGTGGTCCCAGTTACTTGGGAGGCTGAGGCAGAAGGATCACTTGAGCCTAGGAGTTTGAGACTGTAGTGAGCTATGATTGTGTCACTGCACTGCAGCCTTGGTGACAGTTTGAGACCCTGTGTCTAAAATCAAATAAATAAATAAATTAAAAAAATTGAATGGGATCATTTATCTTACTTTAAGGCCAAACAGCTGAGTTATAATAGGCTTAAATCAGGAGTTTGACTAGTATAATAAATACAATTAATTAATTGTGGTCAATTCTACATTGTTTGTGTTACCTCAGACTTATGTAATTAAAATAATTGAATCAGAAAAGCATATTTTTTGTGTTAATTTGATAAGCATGGCCGCCAAGTACTCATCTCTGTTTGCCTTTTTTTCTTTTTCTTTTTTTCCCTCCCTTGTTTCTTTGTGTTATGAACCAAATCATAACTTCCTCTTACAGATCCAGAGAGCTGTTCGTCTTTGAGTAGGAACATACAGAAAAGACGTAAGGCATTTCTTTTCTCACATTTTAAAATAAAGAGCCTCAGCATTTCCAGAGTGAATTTTATGGTTTATGGCTCTGAAAATTGCAAGTTAAAAAGCACATTAGCAATTATTTTGAATTGCACTAGAAATTATGGACCAATTCAAAACAGATTGCTGATGTTCTAAAGTGAACCGCAGGTGCAACAAAAATCTTTTGCAATAGAGATTTTTGTTATGATTTTATCCATATCCTATACCCTTTTTTCCTGCAACATTACTGCATTTTCTTTTAAACAATGCTATTACAGATAATTCCCAAAGATATAATGTAATCTTCTGCTCAGAACAGGATAAAAATGGAAAATTCCAGGTTCTATTTCTGAGCTTTGCTTATAGCGGTTTAGTAGAAAGCTTAGTATCTGAGCCTCCCCATTACAAAAACTAAAGTTTAATTACTATTTATCCTCAAAGATACTTAATTATCAGTAGGAAAGGCTTGATGCTATTCAATGATCCTCAAATCAAAGCAATTTAAACATGCATTATTTTAACAATACACAAGTACAAAAGCTAAGAAATTATCTAGTGCGAGGCTCATCACCCTCTCTCTATGATTTTTTTTTCTCAGAATTTATGGGTAACCTAGATTCTGAAGTGGAGATATACAAAGAACATCCATTTGAGGCAGAGGAAATTATTTCCTTTGCCTTTTGTTTTGTTTTCTGCATAAAAGGAATCGCAGATATTTCCACATGAAAGGATTTATTTATCCAGGAACACTTTTGAACTTATACTATTTTTTGGGGGGCCCAAATCATTTAGAAGATTTTTGTATGGGGGAGAAAACAATAGCCACATTGTGACAGGATGGTAGAGTCATTGTCAGTAGCATTTAGTTAAAGGACAGTACGATGGACAAGACATAGGCCTTAAAGTAGAAATAAAGTGCTTGCTTTGGTCCATAGTTATTGCTGGCTTAATTGGATATTTCATCATATACTGTGATGGACTTTTGGTTATCATGTTTATGTGTCTTTTACCTATTTGAATCTTTACACAAATGAAAGGCTCTTTTTGAGAGTGTGTTTCTTTTTTAAAAGGGGAAATCATATTGGACTTGAGCACTATAATCGATTGGTTAGCTCATAAATATATGATAATACAGGTACTATAAATAATGTTTTTACCTCTTGTTTTTGATCTCTTTTTCTTTCGTTTTCAGCCTTTCAGAGCTGAAGCATCCCATGTAATTGCTTTTACTTTCCCACATCTCAGTCATTCTGCTCTTTTTCTGTTAGTGATTATATTAGCTCAACAGTATTTAACTACAGTTTTCATGGTCAATTATTAATGAATGTTTCATTTTATCTGTGGTATTACTTTGCCAACAAAACTGCTGTGAAGTTAATTACTTGGCAGTTTTTTAAAGTATAAAATGGAAAGAAATGGCTTTTGCTGTTAAATTGTCATGCAGACCCACTTTTGTCATTACAGGATACAAGAGATCCCTTTGATAACTGAGCCAAGCAGGTCAGCCACTCTCCATTGTTCAAATGGTTGATAAAATATGCACAAAACTGAAATCTGGTGGGGTCTGGAACCTGTGGCTTTGCAATTTGGAAGGCATTTGATTATGTCCTTTGTAGATTGTTCATGTTCTTTGAACCTGTTTGAAAAAACGTTTATATTTCAACCTGCTGAGTTCCTAACATTTAAAAGAGAATAAGTGGCTTCCATAAATCCAGGCACCCCAGGCAGAAAAGGTTTGCCTCACAAACAATGGCTGAGAGAGACACCTGGCCTCAGGCACATCAAGAGGCTGTATTGTTAGGCCTGGGCATTGTGGAGAGTGGATGTTCAGGAAAAGGCAATTCCTAAAAGGTTACTGTACTAAAAGGCTTAAGACTCTTATCTGTCTTGACTCATTTCAAACATTCTTCTTCACAAAAACATCAAGGCAATACCTTTAAGATTTTTAATTAGAAGTTGTTTGTGTGCTGTGAGGGAAAGCACAAGCATAATCTCCACCTTAGGGTGGCCAGATACAGCGAATAAAAGTACACAGCACCCAGTAAAATGTGAATTTCAGAAAGTAAGTATGAACCACATGTCCTGTATTTTATCTGGAAGCCTTACATTTTAGTTCTATTTCTTTTCATCCCACATAAAAGTTACATGTTTTGCTGTCACATATAATGAGTAAGGGGAGAATTCATGAACACAACGTAAATGAAATATGATTATGTTATTTTGTTAACACTTTAATTTGAGGTAGTTTTGAGAGTTTTTCTAAACATCTCAGTGCTGGTTTCCAGTCTTGGGTACCTATTGGATTCTTATCTAGAGAACTAAGAAAACTCACTGACATATGCTCAAGATGGCCTTAATGATCCACTTAGTTTGTCTAGACTTTAGATACGTTTCTTAACTATAGGCCCTTGACCTCCCTTTTCTCTTTTCTTTTCTTTCTTTCTTCTTTCTTTTTTTTTTTTATTATACTTTAAATTCTGGGATACACGCGCAGAACATGTAGGTTTGTTGCATAGGTATATATGTGTCATGGTGGTTTGCTGCACCCATCAACCCATCATCTAGGTTTTAAGCCCCACATCTATTAGATATTTGTCCTAATGCTCTCCCTCCCATTGCCTCCTACCCCCCAACAGGCCCCAGTGTGTGATGTTCCCCTTCCTGTGTCCATGTGTTCTCATTGTTCAACTCCCACTGATGAGTGAGAACATGCAGTGTTCGGTTTTCTGTTCCTGTGTTAGTATGCTGAGAATGATGGTTTCCAGCTTCATCCATATCCCTGCAAAAGACATGAATTCCTTCTCTTTTATGGCTGTATATTATTCCATTGTGTATATGTGCCACATTTTTTTTTTATCCAGTCTATCATTGATGGGTATTTGGGTTGGTTCCAAGTCTTTGCTATTGTGAATAGTGCTGCAATAAACATACGTGTGCATATGTCTTTATAGTAGAATGATTTATAATCCTTTGGGTATATACCCAGTAATGGGATTGCTAGGTCAAATGGTATTTCTGGTCCTAGATCCTTGAGGAATTGCCACACTGTCTTCCACTATGGTTGAACTAATTTACACTCCCACCAACAGTGTAAAAGCCTTCCTATTTCTCCACATCCTCTCTAGCATCTGTTGTTTCCTGACTTTTTAATGATCACCATTCTAACTGGTGTGAGATGGTATCTCATTGTGGTTTTGATTTGCATTTCTGTAATGACCAGTGATGAGCTTTTTTTCATATGTTTGTTGGCCACATAACTGTTTTCTTTTGAGAAGTCTGTTCATATCCTTCACCCACTTTTTGATGGGGTTGTTTTTTTTTTCTTGTATATTTGTTTAAGTTCTTTGCAGATTCTGGATAATATCAGACCTTTGTCGGATAGATACGTTGCAAAAATTTTCTCCCATTCTCTGGATTGCCTGTTCACTCTGATGATAGTTTCTTTTGCTGTGCAGAAACTTTTTAGTTTAATTAGACACCATTTGTCAATTTTGGCCTTTGTTGCAATTGCTTTTGGTGTTTTAGTCATGAAGTCTTTGCCCATGCCTATGTCCTGAATGGTATTGCCTAGGTTTTCTTCTAGGGTTTTTATGGTTTTAGGTTTTACATTTAAGTCTTTAATCCATCTTAAGTTAATTTTTGTATAAGGTGTGAGGAAGGGGTCCAGTTTCAGTTTTCTGCATATGGCTAGCCAGTTTTACCAGCACCATTTATTAAATGGGGAATCCTTTCCCCATTTCTTGTTTTCGTCAGATTTGTTGAAGATCAGATGGTTGTATATGTGTGGTGTTATTTCTGAGGGCTTTATTCTGTTACATTGGTCTATATATCCGTTTTTGTTTCAATACCATGCTGTTTTGGTTACTGTAGCCTTGTAGTATACTTTGAAGTCAGGTAGTGTGATGCCTCCAGCTTTCTTTTTGCTTAGGATTGTCTTGACTGTATGGGCTCTTTTCTGGTTCCATATGAAATTTAAAGTAGTTTTTCTAATTCTGTGAAGAAAGTCAATTGTAGCTTGATGGAAATAACATTGAATCTATAAATTATTTTGGGCAGTATAGCCATGTTCACGATATTGATTCTTCCTATCCATGAGCATGGAATGTTTTTCCATTTGTTTGTGTCCTCTCTTATTTCCTTGAGCAGTGGTTTATAGTTCTCCTTGAAGAGGTACTTCATGTCCCTTGTAAGTTGTATTCCTAGGTATTTTATTCTCTTTGTAGCAATTGTGAATGGGAGTTCACTCATCATTTGGCTGTTTGTCTGTTGTTGGTGTACAGGAATGCTTGTGATTTTTGCACATTGATTTTCATATCCTGAGATGCTGAATTTGCTTATAATCTTAAGGAGTTTTTGGGCTGAGACAACGGGGTTTTCTAAATATACAATCATGTCATCTGTAAACAGAGACAATTTGACTTCCTCTCTTCCTATTTGAATACAGTTTATTTCTTTCTCTTGCCTAATTGCCCTTGCCAGAAGTTCCAATACTATGCTGAATAGGAGTGGTGAGAGAGGGCATCCTTGTCATGTGACAGTTTTCAAAGGGAATGCTTCCAGCTTTTGCCCATTCAGTATGATACTGGCTGTGGGTTTGTCATAAATAGCTCTTATTGTTTTGAGACATATTCCATCAATACCTAGTTTATTGAGTGTTTTTATCATGAAGCGGGGTTAAATTTTATTAAAGGCCTTTTCTGCATCTGTTGAGATAATCATGTGGTTTTTGTCATTGATTCTGTTTATGTGATGGATTACGTTTATTGATTTGGGTATGTAGAGCTAACTATCCTAAATATATATGCACCCAGTACGGGAGTACCCAGATTCATAAAACAAGTTCTTAGAGACCTACAAAGAGACTTATGCTCCCACACAATAATACAGTGAGACTTTAACACCCCACTGTCAACATTAGACAGATCAATGAGACAGGAAATTAACAGGAATATTCAGGACTTGAACTCTGCTCTGGTCCAAGTGGACCTAATAGACGTCTACAGCACTCTCCACTCCAAGTCAACAGAATGTACATTCTTCCGAGCACCACATAGCACTTATTCTAAAATCAACCACATAATTGGAAGTAAAACACTCCTCATCAAATGCGAAAAATGGAAATCATAACAGTCTCTCAGACCACAGTGCAATCAAGTTAGAACTCAGGATTAAGAAACTCACTCAAAACCACACAACTGCATGGAAACTGAACAACCTGCTCCTGAATGACTACTAGGTAAATAATGAAATTAAGTTAGAAATAACGAAGTTTTTTGAAACCAATGAGAACAAAGAGACAATGTACCAGAATCTCCAGGACACAGCTAAAGCAGTGTTAGGAGGCAAATTTATAGCACTAAAATGCCCATATCAGAAAGCTGGAAACATCTAAAATGGACATCCTAGCATCACAATTAAAAGAACAAGAGAAGTAAGAGCAAACAAATTTAAAAGCTAGCAGAAGACAAAAAGTAACTAAGATCAGAACTGAAGGAGATAGAGATACCAAAAACCCTTCCAAAAATAAATCATTGAATCCAGGAGCTGGCTTTTTGGAAAGGTTACCAAAATAGATTGACCACTAGCCAGACTAATAAAGAAGAAAATAGAGAAGAATCAAATAGATACAATAAAAAATGATAAAGTGGAGATTACCACTGATCCCACAATAATATAAACTAGCATCAGATAATACTATAAACACCTCTATGCAAATAAACTAGAAAATCTAGAAGAAATGAATACATTCCTGGACACCTACACCCTCCCAAGACTAAACCAGGAAGAAGTTGAATTCCTGAATAGACCAATAGCAAGGTCTGAAATTGAGGCAGTAATTAATAGCCTACCAACCAGAAAAAGCCCAGGACCAGACAAATTCACAGCTGAATTCTACAAAGAAGAGCTGGTACCATTCCTTCTGAAACTATTCCAAACAATAGAAAAAGAACGACTCCTCCCTAAGTCATTTTATGAGGCCAGCATCATCCTGACACCAAAACCTGGCAGAGCCACAACAACAAAAGAAAATTTTAGGCCAATATCCCTGATGAACATTGATGTGAAAATCCTCAATAAAATACTGGCAAACCAAATCCAGCAGCATATCAAAAAGCTTATCCACCACAATCAAGTTGGCTTCATCCCTGGGACCTCCCTTTTTTTTTTTTTTTTAATAACATTTACTTTAAAATTACAACTGTAAATTCTTCCTCCCTTCCTTTGAGATATAAATATTTTTCCAGCCTCTTGACATTTTTTACCACCCACTGATGTCTTTCTCAAGGACCTGGAGGCCATCCTTTTGAAATGTAGTAAAGGAAGATAGTGTCACTATTTTCCAGTCTCTGTGAGTGGTAGGAGCCTAACTTCAATAGGAGACAATTAGCAAACACAGATGACCTAATCACGTTGGCAATCATTCTGCTAAGAAGCTAGCTCACCCCAGTGCTTAAAAGCTCTTCTACCTTTTATTTCAGTAGAAGTCTTCCTCCCCTACTACAGTAGCCTGAATAAACTCATCTTACTATTTTTAACAAGTGTCCAGTGCATTTTTACTTAGATAGGACAAAGCCTAGGCCTTGGACTTTACCAAGTCCCCTGGGTGATTCTAATACTGACCCAAGTTTGAGAACCCCTTTAGCTTTTGTAGTATTTTTCAAAACACCACAGTAATAAGTCTTGAAATTTATTTGTGGTTATAAGACAAATTTGTAATGCCGGAGAAATACTCCCTTACTTCAATGGCATTTTTTAAAATTAAAAAAAAAAAAAAAGGGCCAGGTGTGCTGCCACCTGTAATCTCAGCACATTGGAAAGCTGAGGTGGGAGGATTGCTTGAGGACAGGAATTCAAGATCACCCTGGGCAACACAGGGAGACCGCCATCTCTACAAAAAAAAAAAAATTTAGCTGGATGTGGTGATGCGCACTTGTAGTCCCAGCAACTTGGGAGGCCGAGGTGGGAGGATAGCTTGAGCCCAGGTGTTTGGGGTTACAATAAGCCATAATTGTGCCACTGCATTCCAGCCTGGGAAATAGAATAAGACCCTGTCTCTTAAGAAATGATAATAATAACAAATATTAAATAAAATAGTTATTGCTCACTTTGTCTTTTTCTTTACCTCAATCTAGCCATAATTCTAAACTTTAACCAATTGGATATTCTTGGTTCCTAAGGAATGTGGCCTAGGTCTCTCAGTGAGAGTGGCTTAGCATGGCACTTACTCTAAGCAGACAGAGAAATGGGATTCAGTGAAGAGGAGAGGTATGGAGTGTGTTAAAGCCCCTTGGGTGGTTCTGCTTTTCCAATCCACCTCCTCACTGAGAAAACTTGCTTGTGACATTCTTGGGTTGTCCCTTGGTTTGTCTGGGTAAGTTGCTCAGAAAGGAGATAATGTCCTACTCATTTGTTTTCTCACTTCCTAGCACAGTGCCTGTCAATAAGTTAAAGCTTAATGAAGTATTCTTTTTTTCTCTAGTCCTTTGTAGGATTT
The DNA here is from genome assembly GCF_000001405.40 of Homo sapiens. Taxonomy (NCBI): domain Eukaryota; kingdom Metazoa; phylum Chordata; class Mammalia; order Primates; family Hominidae; genus Homo; species Homo sapiens. Next base: position 58,135,005 of record NC_000006.12, read on the forward strand.
TTTCCCAGTGTGTATCCTAAGCCATCTTCTTCTTTTTTTTTTTTTTTTTTGGCCTGGCATGGTATTAAAATTAATTTAACTTTGCATGTGAAATTTTTCTGTGGGACTAGAACATTCCAGATTAGAATAGGAAGGAAATTAGTAACTTTGTATTTTATTTCTCTAGCAAAAGAATTACCAATTTTTATGGGTAAAAGCTGGAAGCATTCCTCTTGAACACAAGAACAAGACAAGGGCCCTTTCTCACCAGTCCTATTTAACATAGTAGCGGAAATCCTGGCCAGAGCAATCAGTCAAGAGAAAGAAATAAAAGGCATCCAAATAGCAAGAGAGGAAGTCAAACTATCCCTGTTTGCAGATAGTAAGATTCTACACATAGGAAACCCCATAGTCTCTGCCTAAAATCTCCTTAATCTGTTAAACAACTTCAGCAAAGTTTCAAGATACAAAATCAATGTACACACATCAGTAGTATTCCTATATACCAACAACAACCAAGCTGAAAGCCAAATCAAGAATGCAATCCTATTCACAGTAGCCACAAAAAGAATAAAATACCTAGGAATACAGCTAATGAGGGAGGTCAAAGATCTCTACAGTGAGAATTACAAAACACTGTTGGAAGAAATCAGAGGTGACACAAGCAAATGGAAAACATTTCCATGGTCATAGATAGGAAGAATCAATATGGTTAAATTGGCCATACTGCCCAAAGCAATGAGCAGATTCAGTGCTATTCCTATCAAACTACCAATGACATTCCTCGCAGAATGATAAAAAACTATTTTTAAATTCATATGGAACAAAAAAAGAGCTCAAATAGCCAAGGCAACTCTCAGCAAAAAGAACAAAGCTGGAGGCATCATCTTACCTGACTGCAAACTATAGTACAAGGCTACAGTAACCCAAACAGCATGCTACTGTCACAAAAACAGACACATAGACAAATGGAACAGAATAGATAGCCCAGAAATAATGCTGCACACCTACAACCATGTGATCTTTGACAAAGTCAACAAAAACAAGCAATGGGGAAAGGACTCCATATTTAATAAATGGTGCTGTGATAACTGGCTCACCATATGCACAAGATTGAAACTGGACCTCTTCCTTATACCATATACAAAAATCAACTCAAGATGGATTAAAGACTTCAATATAAAACCTCAAACTATAAAAACCCTAGAAGATAACCTAGAAAATCTCATTCTAGAAATAGGACCTGACAAAAGTTTCATGACAGAGTCATCAAAAGCAATTGCAACAAAAATGAAGATTCACACATGGGACTTAATTAAACTGAAGAGCTGCTGCACAGCAAAAGAAACTATCAACAGAGTAAACAGACAACCATAGAATGGGAGAAAATATTTGCAATCTATGCATCCAACAAAGGTCTAGTATCCAGAATCTATGATGAACATAAACAAATCTACAAGCAGAAAACAAACAACCCCATTAAAAAATGGGCAAAAAACATGAACAGATACTTTTCAAAAGAAGATGTATATGTGGCCAACAAACATATGAAAAAATGTTCAACATCACTAATCATTAGAGAAATCCAAATGAAAACCACAATGAGTTACCATCTAACATTTCAGAATGGCTATTATTAAAAAGTCAAAAAATAACAGATGCTTATGAAGTGGAAAAAAGTGGAGATAAGAGAATGCTTATACACTGCTGGTGGGAATGTAAGTTAGTTCAGCCATTGTGGACAGCTATTTAGCTTTCTCAAAGAATTCCTCAAAGAATTCAAAGCAGAATTACGATTTGACCAAGCAATCCCGTTATTGGGTATATACCTAAAGAAATATAAATTGTTCCACCATAAAGATGCATGCACATGTATATTCATCACAGCAGTATTCACAATAGCAAAAACATGGAATTAACCTAAATGCCCATCAACAGTAGACTGGATAAAGAAAATGTGGTACATATACACCAAGGAATACTACATAGTCATAAAAAGCAATGAGATCATATCCTTTGCAGCAACATGGATAGAGCTGGAGGCCATTGTTCTAAGTGAATATGGGAACAGAAAACCAAATATTACCTGTTCTGACTTATAAATGGGAGCTAAACATTGAGTACATATGGACACAAAAAAGGTAACAACAGACATCAGGACCTACATAAGGTTGGAGGGAGGAAAGAGGGTAAGGATTGAAAAACTACCTATTGGGTACTATGTCTATTACCTGGGTGGCAAAATAATCTGTACACCAAACCCTTTTGACACGCAGTTTACCTGCACATGTACTCCTAAACCTAAAAGAAAAGGAAAAAAAAAGTTGGAGACAAAAAAAATCACCAATTCTAAATCACTTAATACATTTAAAAATTAGTCATAAAATCTAAGTACGTATTTCCAGTTGAGGAAACAAAGGCAGAATACCTCAGTTGCTCCAGGTCAGATAGTCAAGTTGTGCTGAGTTAAGACTCGACCTCTGTCTCATTATTGTCCTAAGTTATTCATTCATTAAACAGTTACTGAGAGCCTATTATGTGCCACGTACTATATTAGCTACTGGAGATACAAAAGCAAATATGTTAAATAATCAAAAGGATCATAATCTGATTTAAAGAGAATGTATTCAAGTGCACAGTTTGAGGGTAGCCCTCCTAGAAACACTAACTTTAAGGAATGGAGTCAGCCTTCGGAAGTAGAGAAGTTTCATTTATACTTCCTTGTCATAGGGGGCTGTTTTGCACAATGCAGGATGTTTAGTAGCGTCCCTGACCAAATGCTAGTAGCACCCACCAGATGCCAGTAGCATTCTCCAATTTTAACAAACAAAAATGTCCCCAGATATGGCCAGATGTCCACTGTGGGGTAAAATCACCCCAAGTTGAGAACCAATATACTAGAAGAAATATGTAGATTTGCCTCACTGAGGTGAAATCATACAGAATCATTATATTTTAGGTTTTATTTAAATACTCTACATGTTAAGGACTCTAAAATGACCAATAAATAATGAGCTTTGAATACAAGAAAAGAAAGCAAGCATACTAATAATTTTAAAGAGTATTATCTGCTTATTGAACAATTCAGAAGGACACATCCATGTTTATTTAGTCACTATGAAATTTATGGATGGATTGTATGACAGCAATACAACCTTTCTTGGCAAACTGTCATTATCCTTTCATCTGGGTCTGTATATCACATAGGTGTCAGGCCTATGGAGATTAAGACTTGATTAAAAAGCTCTGTGTGTGTATAAGTACATGATACTTACTAACAAATTCTTTTAAAAAATCTTTATAACAAAGTCTATGTTTAAAAATAACAACACAAATCTTTATAAATCATTCAAATAAAGTTGGATGCATTTCTAGCTGAACATAACAGAAACATCTTGACACAGCTTCTTTTTCTCTAGAGAAATTCCAGGTATGGAGTTTCCTAGACTGAGTTATGAATCCTGTAAAGATTGTTACAGCTCTCCAATAACTCATTTTCTGAATTTCCTTCCCCCTTTAGTAGAGGCACTTCTTCCTTTTAGGCATACTTAGGCTTTCTTGTGGCATGCATTCCCCTACACCCTACCCTAGTAGGGTAGGTAAGTCTCTGATTCCTGTGATAGATGCTATTTGCCTGCTTGACTTTGAATCAGCCTCAGTAAACCAAGCACGTGCACATTAATTTGAATTATCACAAGAAAGACTCCATACCTCTCTTCCCTACCTTGATTTCATACGTCATCGACCACGTAAGGAGATGGAGGAGGGAAGGGTAAGGGGTTCACTGCAATTAAGTGTTGATAGTTTCTTTTGAGCACTTTCTTTGGATTTATTGAGGTTGAGCCTGTTAACCCAAACAAGGAAAAAAAAGTGACTAATTATCTTTAATTTTGGAATTGGATGTAAACTCTACTGTTGAAAAATACATTTAATAACACTTCCTCTTAACCTATGTGAATTTGAAAAGAAGTTACTTCTTGTGCTCTAGGAACTTGCTATGGTTTGGATGTTTGTCTCCCCAGATCTCATGTTGAAACTTGATCCCCAGTGTTGGAGGTGAGACCTAAGGGGAGGTGCTTGAGTGATTCTTGGGTATAGATCTCTCATGAATGGTTTGGTCCCATCCTCATGGTAATGAGTGAGTTCTTGCACTATTAGCTCCTATGAGAACTGGTTGTTTAAAAAACCTAGCATCTCCCTGCCCTCCTCCCTTGCTGCTTCTCTCACCATGTGATTTCTGCACATGCCCTTTGTTTCCCACCTTGAGTGGAAGACACCTAAAGTCCTTACCGGGAGCAGATACTAGTACCATACTTCTTTTACAGCCTGCAGAACCATGAGCCAAATAAACCTCTTTTCTTTATAAGTTACTCAGCCTCAGGTTATTCCTTTATAGTAACACAAATAGGCTAAGACAGAACTAGAACCTAAACTCTGTTTCCAAAACGTGTGCGCAAGTTTGAATAAAATCAAGTAAGTGTTAGAAAAAAATTCTTATTGCGTTTGCATGAATGTGTACACATATGCCTGTGTATATCTACTATCTACACACACATGTATGTCCACTTATATGTAGGAAACAGTCAGTATTTTTTGACAAATTTATATTTTAGGCATTTACATGGTGGTGGTTTCTCTACATGCATATATGAATAATTACACTCTAACTCACTTCAGTAATTTTATAATTTGCCTCATAGCAAAATATCTCTTTCCATTTTAAAGAAATTACTGTGGCCTTTTAAAAAAGAATATAAGGGAAATAATGACTTTTTTTTTTTGTATTTTATACCCATACCACATCCAAAAGCTTTAGGATTCAAACACAAAGTAGCAAGCATTTACGTAGAAAGCAAATCCAAAGAAAAGAGGATTTATATGAGACCAACTAACCAAGTAGGGATTGAATTCCAAATTCAGAGAAAAAAAGGTTTATTAAAATATGTCAGCTCATCAATTTCTAGATTACGCTTTTGAAATAGCCAGTGGCCCTCTTTCAGGTGATTTCAGATAGCAGTTCATTTTCTTTCAGGTAATAGGATTGAATAAATAGAGAAGGAAGTATTTCTACCTATTTAATCCCTTGATGCTGGCATATATCAGCCTGCTACATAACTATGCTTCCATTTATAGTTTAAGTATTTTTTTGTTACATTTAGATTATAAGAATGATTTCAGTCCATGGCCATTTAAAGTGGATCCAAGCTGAGATCACATTGAGAATAAGCCTCTTACTGTTTGCTGAGCTAGTGGTCTGGTGACCTATAAGAACATCTGTCAGCATACCTTGTTATGAATAAGATATTTTGTTCTAGGTTAAGGCAGAATTTTTCATTGCAGAAGTACCTGGAGGTGGTGTGTGGCAAATAACAATGGAGAGAGCAAAATGGCTACAGCCTATTTGGATTTTTGAGCCTCGATAGAATGATGGAGGGGAAAAAGCTGAAGGAGCTGCTTTCATGAGAAATGCCATGATGCTTGTGGAATGAGCTGGGCTGCTTCAAGGACAATGACAGAGGACTGCACAGAGTATGTGAGGGGGTCATTTTTTCATCCTCAGATAACAATTGGCATAGACTACTATTCCAAGACTGTCTTCTTTGGGAACATGGAGGCGGCACCTTAACATGGGCCCAGGCATTTCATGGAAGTTATGGGAGGGTATGGCTGTGATTGGCAGTTTTCCTGCAGGAAGGCAACCCTCAGAGGGAGAAGTTGGAAGCAGATAACATAGCAGATTTATTCTTCCCCTGTTGGACACTTCCAGAAATACCTGGGCAAGGGACCCTTCCAGAGATCGGAGTCCTTCCTCCATGAGCAAAAAGACAGTGAACCACTGAATATTGGATATCTGCTGATGCAGCTTCCTCTCTTTCCACAGGCTGGTGACATCTAGAGACATCCAAGTTATCTTGAAACTCCATAGATAATGGAGTTTCAAAATTACTGTGATGGTCATTTTTAAATGAAGGGTGCATTGAATTACAAACAAATAAAAAATACGAACAACACCTGAGTGATGTTCACAAATACAGTTTTGTTTTCACAGTCTGGACTCATTATACAACTTCTGAATTATCTTTGTGCATATAAATGAACTTAATAATTTGATGAGGATGAGGGAGAAAATGTAGTTCAGAAACAATTGGTCAAGATTCTGAGAATACAGCCTGTATTAGTCTATTCTTGCATTGCTATGAAGAAATACCTGAGACTGGGTTATTTATAAATAAAAGAGGTTTAATTGGCTCATGGTTCTTCTGGCTGTACAGGAAGCATAATGTTTTCTGCTTCTGGGGAGGCCTCAGAAAGCTTCTAATAGTGGTGGAAGACAAAGGGGGAATGAAGCACTTTACATGGCCAGAGTAGGATGAAGAGAGAGATGGGGGAGGTGCCACACACTTTTAAATGACCAAATTTCATGAGAACTCACTCATCCACTATCATGAGAGTAGCACCAAGAGGATGGTGCTAAACCATTCATGAGAAACTGCCCCCATGATCCAGTCACCTCCTGCCACGCCTCACCTCTAACATTGGGTATTACAATTCAACATGTGGTTTGGTGGAGATACAGATCCAAACTGTATGAAAATCTGTAAGTTGTATCTGTTTATTCAGAAAGATTATATTCTCAGTTTCAGAATTTAAGAATTACATATTAAATTATCAGATAACTTATTTGGTAGAAAAGTTAGGATTACAATTCTATTTTTATTTAACTAGTGCTAGAACACACATTAAAGCACATTTTATTATAGTGTGCTATACTGAAAATTGGAGATCTGTTAGCTGGACAATGGACTAATTGTCAATATGCCCTGTACTGTATGACTTTATGAAACTTGGAAAATACTTCAGATTGGGGAATAGTATGAGGTATACTATGGGAGGTTTTGAGTCACTATTAGTATATTTTAAGTTCGTGCTTTTGTTTTGCAGTGATTTGGGGCTGTGATTGCTCAGAAACATTTCTACTCTAGCACAAAAACATAGAGCTATTTATTTTATTTGCACTATTTTGCTACCAAAGTAGCAGTGTACTCCTCTACTTACTGACCGAAAGATACTGAACAAGTTATTTTTTTCAACCACAGTTTTGTCATTTGCAAAGTGGGGATAAAAGAAGCCCTAATAATATTGGTGTGTTAAGAAACTGAGATATAGTCATTCCCAGCATCTGACTGTTGAGCACTCTCCAGCTTTTCCTTTCTGTAATGCAATTCTTGTAAAAAACAAAGTCTTGGATTTAAATTCTGCTCTATGATCTTTTTTTCTGCCAAATGTTCCAGGGTTATAATTATATTGTTTTCATATATTAATTCTATACTCAGATGATGGCCTGTCAATGATGTAGACTGAAGTATACTTATCTCTAAATCAGTAAGTCTCCAATTTTGGTATTTTTTGGAAATGTCTTATATTTGTCATCTCTCTTTCCTTCCTAACACCGTAATTCTAGTTTGGGTGCTTATCATCTCATATAGGGATTACTGAGCAACACCTAGCAGGCATCGCTGATACCAGATTTCCCCAGTTCCATTCAATGTGCATTATGTTGCAAAGATTATTTTCTGTAAAAGTTGTATCATTCCCCTTATCAACTTCAAGACATTCAGTGGATTGATAAAATTTTAAATTTTATTATGCCCTCCTAATTTCTTTCCTAGCTTTGATGGCTCTTTATAACAAGAAACATTTTTATCTCCCATTTCTCAATATCCCTCTTCCTATATACTCCAAACTCCAGGCAGGAAGTTTTTTTAGTGTGTTTGTTTGTTCTGACCTCTGTGCTTTTGAGTGCGCTGTTCCCCTCATCTGGCATGCTTCTCCTTTCCTACTCATCTTTCAGGCATCATCCTGGTTTTTCTTTGCCCTTGATGCTTCCTACCCAAGTTAGATGAAACCTCACCAAATCATTATGTTTAGTACTCCTTTACCATCGATTTTTATACATACAGTAACTAATTGATCCTGACCTTTTTTTATTGTGGTAAAATATTTATAACATAAAATTTACTATATACCATTTTTGAGTGCACGATTGAGTGACATTGAGTACATTCACATTGTTGTGCAACCATGGCTACTCCCCAGCATCTCCAGAACTTTTTAATCATCCCAAATTGAAAGTCTGTACCATTAAACAATTACTCCCCGTTTTCCCCTCCCCCAAACCCTGGTGGCTACCATTCTATTTCATTTCTCTATAAATTTTACTGTTCTAGGTACCTCATGTAAGTGGAACCATATAATATTTATCCTTTTGTTTCTAGCATATTTCACTTATCACAATATTCTCAAGGTTTCTCATATCCCATGTTATAGCATGTGATAGGAATTCCATTCCTCTTAAAGGCTAAATAACATTCCATTATATGTATAGGCCACTTTTTGTTTATCTGTACATCTGTTGATGAACTTTTGGGTTGTTTCTACTTTTTGGCTATTGTGCATAATGCTTCTATGACTGTTGGTATACAAATATCTGTTCAAGCCCCTGCATTCGATTCTTTTGTATACATATGCAGAAGTGGAATTCTGGGTCATATAGTATTTCTATGTTTAAATTTTTTGAAGAACAGCCATTGTATCTTCACAGTGCCCGCATCATTTAACATTCCCACCAGCAATATACAGAGGTTCCCATTTCTCCATGTCATTGCCAGTAGTTGTTATTTTCTGCTTTTTGGACAATAGCCATCTTAATGGGTGTGAAGTGGTATCTCATTGCGGTTTCAATTTGCATTTCCTAATGATAGTGATGTCAAACACCTTTTAAAATGCTTCTTGGCCACTTTTATACCTTCTTTGGAAAAATGTCTATTCAAGTCCCTTGTCAATTTTTTAATTGAGTTGTTTGGTTTTTTGTTTTTTAAACACACACAGTTTAACAGGTGTTTGAAGACATAAGTCATCACAAGGAATGTGAGTTAATGCACTGTGTGTATAATGCAATGGGAATCATTGAGGAGGATAGGGCTTTTCAGTGGTCTCAGATGCATTGCTTCTTGAGTTATTGAGTATTGAGTATTGAGTTATTGGGTATTCTCTTTTTAGGTTTTCTGCCATTTTTTTTGGTTTGTTTATAGCAGCTCTTTTGTTGTTGTTGTTGTTGTTGTTGTTGTTTTTGGTATGGTGTGCCTGTCTCTAAACTATTTTCTTTCTCACTTGATGCCTTAATCTAATTTTTTTCTTGAAAACCACATGATCTAATTTGTTAAAGTTACATATAAAGTTAGACTAAATAAGCACTTTTCATGGCCTTAGAGATTCACCTATGGTAAAAAGTAGAAGCTTTATTGTATGAAGCTCATGATGTCACACATATTGCTTACTTTTGTTTCTCACTGATAGAGCTAAGTGAGATTTCTTGATGGTCTTGTTCTGGAGAAGTGAGGTTTTGCATTCATTCAAATTCATTCATTAAGGGTAGTAGCCATATTTGGTTGCTTACCTACCTTCTATATCTTACTATACTTATCATATTAATATTTAGTGGGTATCTAATGAATATATTAAGCTGCTTCGTGGTAGGTTCATTCAAGTTATATCACAGGGCAGTTTCTACATCCTCCCATGCCTATTTTAATCATATTTTTTCATTGATAAAATGATTCTAAAATCATAGTGATATGGTTTGGATGTTTATCACCTCTAAATCTCATGTTGAAATGTGATTTCCAGTTTTGGATATGGGGCTTGGTGGACAGTGATTGGATCAAGAGGGCGGATCCCTTATGAATGGTTTAGCACCATCCTCTTGGTGATAAGTGAGCTCAGTTAGCTCATGTGAGATCTGATAGTTTAAAAGTCTGGGACTTACTCCCCATCTCTGTCTTGCTCCCTCTCTTACCATGTGAGATGCCAGCTCCCCATTTGCCTTCTGCTATATTTTTAAGCTCCCTGAGGCCCTTACCAGAAGTGGAGCAGTCGCAGGTTCCATGCTTCCTGTACAGCCTTCAGAATCACAAGCTAAGTAAACCTGTTTTCTTTGTAAATTACCCAGTCTCAGGTATTCCTCTATAGCAGTGCAAAACTGACTGACACAGATAGGCATTATATTTTGCTGGAAGCTCCGTGTAAAACAAAATCATGGTCATTGTAAAGAAGAGGCCTTTAGATTTGTTTTGATTCTTTAAAAATATTGACTGTATTATTAATCTTTGCTTTGTTACAAATCCCAAAACTTAGTGTTTAAAACAAAGATCATGAGCTCATTTGCATACAACTCTGTGGGTCAGTATTTTTAGGTTAGGCTCATCTGGGGTATTCTGATAATCTCACTTGTGGCTACAGTCAGCTGGAGGGTGGCTAGGATCTCTGGTTGGTTCCATATGTCCCTTTTTGCAAGTGTGACAGTTGACTTGGATGGCCAGGGTGAGTGGGTCACATATCCACCCTCTAGCAGGCTTCTTCACACGGTTCTAAAAGCAACAGGTAAAAGCACACTCCAGTGTGCCAGCTTTCTTCTTGTCTCTGCTAGGGTCCTTTGGCCAAAGAAGTCACGTGGCTAAGCCCAGATTCAGGAGAAAGTGAAATAGATTTTATCTCTACATGGAAGGAGCTGCAACCTACTGTGATTAGTTTTTTGTCTTTGATCTACCACAAACATCAATATCAATTCATGGTCTTGATTTTTATTGATGTATTAACATTACCATATGAAAACAATATTTCAAAAATGTAACACTAACATTCTATATAGATTGAAGCAATAAATACACAATACTGAAATTGCATGAGGCTTGAAAATCTTCTGTTTGAATTTATAGTTTAAAATATTTTCCAACAAGTGAAAAAACATCAATTATTTGTCTTTTTATCAGAATTTGCAAGGTGAGAGAATTACTAAAATGCCAAAATCTCTGTTCATTAATCATACAAGACAACTGAAAGCCATAATTTTTAACATCAAATCGCTCCCCAAAGTAGCTTTGTCCTTTTAAAGGTTAACTTCTGTAAAATATCAGAAAAGGGGGAAAAAAAAGGAGTAAAAAAGCAAATGTAGAGTAAAATTGTAGTCATAAATCTATTGAAGTTACCCAAGTTATTTGGAAACTAATTACAACTATGTGCAAAGCAAATGAAGTGAGAATTGAATTAATGAATATCAGCTACCTCCCACAAGCTAATGAGGCATGCTTTATACCAATAGTGCCTCAAATTGAAAAATTAAACCACTTGATGGGGAGAAAAGGGAGCATCTCATGTACAGAATAGCACACAAAGCCAAAGGACTTACCAAATGAGTTCTCTGGGATTAACAGTATTTGCTTATTAGTCTATGATATGGTCTATAGACTGTAGAATCCTTGTGATTCCCCCAACTTTGCTTTTTTTTCTCCGACCCCCTCCAAAACAATTCATGCACAGTGGTTTGCTTTAGCCCCACAGAGTCAATGTAGGTAAAAGTGCTAGTGTTCAAATTCATTTATATTTCTCAGGTGTTATGCTTAACTTCTGTGCAATGGTAGCCTTTCTTTTTGCTTTTCTTGGCATGACCATATAAGTGATTTACAGCCAGGTTCTTTTTATATGTTTTCCCCCACTAAACTCATATATAATGATATGAGAAATATATATATGAGAAAATATGGAAACAAATATATATATATTTTCTTTTGAAATTTTTTGCTTCCATGTTTTCTCTTATGTTTACCCTTTTACATTCATAAATCAACATGCCCATCTTACAGTTACTGCACTTAGTATATCTCCCTTTCACTCAAGTTATATTTTTGACTTTTTTAGGAGAAATGTATGTGAGAAAAATATATACAAAAAAAGAAGCAAAAATTTCTAAAAGTAGTATATATTTTCTTTTGGAATTTTTGCTCCCATGTTTTTTCTCTTGTTCACCTTTTACATTCATAAATCAAGATCCTGATGTTATAGTTACTGTACTTAGTATATCTTCTTTTTGCTGTACATCTCAAATTATATATTTTTTTTAGGAAGCCACTATGTTACACAAAATATATTTCTTAATGTTAAAAATACTTTTGTTAAGAATGTGTAAAGACAGACACAATTTTTGAAACTAATTTTAAACTTTTAAAAAATATTTAATTAATAAAGGTAACACAAATAGTAACACACACACTCACACGACATGTCTTAAATGTTGATAATTTTGAATTTAGAGACATAAAATAAAGACATTTGATCAAGTCCTGGAAAATTTTGGAAACTTCAGAAAAAATGTTGTGGCCGAAATGTAAATGTTTTTGTTTGCCTAGGTTTTGCCCTCTGGGTAGCAAGTAAGATCATCTTATTAAAGACGTAAAACAAAAAGTTATTGTATAGAGTTAATAAGAATAACTTATGTGAAAGGTTAGTTGTTAAACATTTAAAATATTTAATTTAATTTTATTTTATTTTAAGTTCCAGGATACATGTGCAGGGCATGCAGGTAAACGTGTGCGATGGTGGTTTGCTGAACCTATCAACCCATTACCTAGGTTTTAAGCTTTGCATGCATTAGCTATTTATCCTGATACTATCCCTCCCCCAACCCCACCCCTGACAGGCCCAAGTACGTGTTGTTCCCCTCCCTATGTCCATGTGTTCTCATTGTTCAGCTCCCACTTATAAGTGAGAACATGCAGTGTTTGGTTTTCTGTTCCTGTGTTAGTTTGCTGAGGATAATGGCTTCCTTGAAATAGTAAGACAGAAACTATCATCAGAGTGAACAGACAACCTACACAATGGGAGAAAATTTTTTCAATCTATTCACCTGATAAAGGTCTAATATGCAGAATTTACAAGGAACTTAAATAAATTTACAAGAAAAAAAACAACCCCATCAAAAAGTGGGCAAAGGACATGAACAGACACTTCTCAAAAGAAGACATCTATGTGGCCAAAACACATGAAAAAAAGCTGAACATCACTGATCATTAGAGAAATGCAAACCAAAACCACAATGAGATACTATCTCATGCCAGTCAGAATGGCAATTATTAAAAAGTCAAGAAAAAACAGATGCTGGCGAGGCTGTGGAGAAATAAGAATGCTTTTACACTGTTGGTGGGAATGTAAATTAGTTCAGTCATTGTGGAAGACAGTGTGGCAATTTCTCAAAGATCTAGAACCAGAAATACCATTTGACCCAGCAATCCCATTACTGGGTATATACTCAAAGGAATAGAAATCATCCTATTATAAAGATACATGCATGTGTATGTTCACTGCAACACTATTCACAATAGCAAAGGCACAGAATCAACCCAAATGCCCACCAATGATAGAAAGGATAAAGAAAATGTGGTACATATACACCATGGAATACCATGCAGCCATAAAAAGGAATGAAATTATGTCCTTTGAAGGGACATGGATGGGCATTTAAAAATTTTATCCTTTTTTTTTAAGGACAAAATTTAAAATTTTGGACATAAATTTTTTAAGGACAGAATTAAAAAATAATGTTTTCTTAACCTTTGGAGGAAAATGTAATCATATAGATGTGTTAGTTTTTTTCCATGCATTAAAAATACTAATAATTAAAAAACTTTCTGGTTATAAAGACATTTTAGAAAATTATAAGTAACAAATACACATCATTTATAATATTATCACCTAGGATTTATTAATGTTTTGGCATATTTCTTTCTCACCTTTCTTATATGTATGTATACTATTTAAATAAAACTTTATACTCTATATAATTTATATTCTTTATATTCTCTGTATATGTAGTTTATATATTCTGACTTTACATTTAATGTTATCATGAGCATTTTTCTATGATATAAAATATACATCAGAGTATGCATTAAATATACCCCCAAACCATCATATTATTGCTTCCTAATATTCCATCCTATGGGTTTACTATTATTTTTTAAAATAATTGTTCTATTATCTATATTTCAAATGAGATAATGAAAAGCTACCTATTAAATATACCAGTATTAGAAAATTTTAAGGGCTCTAATATATTCTCCTTCTTTCCTTGCCTTCCTCTCTTCCTCCCTCCTCTTTATCTCTCTCTCACTCTCCCCCCACCCTCTCTTTCTCTGTCTCTCTCCTGTAATAAAAAATTTTAATAGGAATAATCTAGCCATTTTGTCCACTGATTTTTTTAAGGCTTCTAAGTACCTGCCATCTCTTTTTAATCATTTAAGCCTTTATAGGCTATTCTGTTATTACTCAATAACTATGTTTTTATGAGAACTTATGAAATAAAAAATGACATAATTAAAATAAAGGGGCAAGTATAGTGGGTTACAGTTATGAACTAGTTTCAGATTTGCAACAATATATTTCATTAACAAAGGTATAGCTATAATCGTGCAAATACACAACCTAAACGTCACTCAATCAGTATTTATTACGTCCATCCCTTGCTATCATTAACACAGGACTTCTTAAACATTCTTACTTTCTCTATCTTGTGTGGTTACGATAAAGCTCGAAGCCACTCAAACAGAGGCTTAAGCTTTCAGTGTTTGGTGCCAGTTTTGAATCTTGATTACTCATAACAACTGGCAGAATACAAATTGTTTACCCTAAATAATGGATCACCAATGTCTCCATAGGGAGTTATGAAACCTTCTGCTGGGACTCAGCAGAAATGTGGATGCAGTATTCTTCTCAATTGTTTACATTCTGCTAGTTACTATGGATATAGTTTATCTTCAGGGAATATTGAGACCCTCCTCTAAAGGCTGAGCTATTCATAATTTTATTAAATATAAATATAGGAAGATGTGAACTGCTTCTGAGGGTAATCTATAGCTATTTCACATATACCACAGTACCAGACATGGATAAGTGTGCAATGAGCAATGGATGTATGTAGCATACATAGTTATTGCTTTTTCTTGCTTACCTATAGACAATTGAAGTGGTATTATGAATTTATCAAGAACTTTGTATGTACAGAAATGATTCTAAGCAATTTATTTACTATGAGATACATATTCAAATTATCTGTACTTATAGATGAGAAAACTAATGTACAAATAAGCTAAATTATTAGACCAAGGATGAAGCCATCTCATTTCAGAGCCACATTTTTAACTGCTATGCCATGCTCCACCTCTATATGTAAAATAGTCTGACTCATTTGGGAGAGATGGATTTAATAATTACATAAGAGAAACATTAATATATTGGACCTAATTCAATCATCGAGATAAAATATTTTCGGGAATAATTGAACACTAGTCTTTAAATGAAACAAATACAAGCTTAGATCTTATATCATCCACTTAACAGTTGTGTGAACTTGTTCAAGACACTTCAAATAAACATTTCAACTAATGCTATGAGAATTGTGTATAGTTAATTGCATGATAATCCATCGAGAAATATTAAGATTTTATTACCATCTGTAAAATAGAGTACTGAACTATAAACTTGGAGGCCAAGTCTAATTCTTATTTTGCACTAGTTGGTTGTTTAGATAAATTACATAAAATTCTTTTATTTCCCCACTTATTAGAACAATTTTTAACCATATCCTCTACAATTATCACAGGAATGTTAGAAAAATGGGAAAGTAAATGAAAATGCTTTGAAAAAGTATTTTATAAATTCAGACTGGTGTCATTGCTATAAACAGAACTCAAAAATATTAAGTTCTATGTGATATTTAGGTCCTTTTTAAGGTCTCTCTTATGTCCAAATGGCTGCTTGTGTTGAGAACAGTTGGTGGTTACTGAAATCAAACAATATCTGTTTGTGGTGGGAAGGTATATGTCCTATAAGTTTCCTTCTGCTATGATTTTATATTAACTTTTCTGAGGCTTCCATATATAAGAAAACTAACCATAATAATGTTTTAAAATATGTCTTATATATAACATATATGTATATATACAAATGTCTATATGACTATATACATACACACCCACATAGATATATTTCTCAGCTTTAGAATCACAGTGCTTATTCAAGTTAGAGGCATTTTTGGAAGTTGATCTCATTCAAACCCCACATTTTGTGATCAATAATAATGCATCATTGTTGCCACTAACACTATTTCCAAATTAAGAGTAAAATCAGGTTGCCTGCAACAGAATACAGGGCATTTTCCATTTTCTGTGGAAGTGGTTACCTCTACCAGTATTCTGACGTGCTATTTTCTTTATTTGATCTTATCCTTTATTTTTCTTTCTTTCCATTTTGTTAATTTCTTTTTCATTTTCAAAATGTCCTTCTCTTCCACTCTCTTGTAATAAATTCACATCAGAGATTTTTAAAATAGGACCAAAATTGGTTAAGAAAAATGAAATATCTTCCATCTATTCACATTTTTGGAAAAAAAGATACTTTTAATTTTACCATATTTGGTTAAATATATAGCTGCCACGAAAAGGCCAGTTTAGGCTTTTTTTTATATACAATTTTTATTTTTAAGTTTTGTGGGTACATAATAGGTGTATATATTATGGGATACTTGAGATATTTTGATACAGGCATACAATGCATAGTAATCACATCAGGGTAAATGGGGTATTAATCACCACAGCATTTATCCTTTTTATTTGTTAAAAACAATCCAATTCTATTGTTTTAGTTATTTTTAAATGTGCAATAAATTATTGTTGACCGTCGTCACCCCATTACACTATCAAATACTAGCTCTTGTAGATACTATCTTATTATTTTTCCATACCCATTAACCATCCCCACTTTTCCTCCCACCCAGGAATTCCCTTCCCAGTCTCTAGTAACCATCATTTTATTCTCTATCTCCATAAGTACAATTGTTTTAATTTTGTGAGAATGTATGAAGTTTGTCTTTCTGTGCCTAGCCTATTTAACTTAACTTCCAATTCCATCCATGTTCTTGCCAATGACAGGACCTCATTCTTTTTAAAGTATATGTGTGTCACATTTTGTGTGTATGCGCCCATTATCCATTTGTCTGCTGATGGATACTTGGGTTGCTTCTTAATCTTGGCTGTTGTGAATAGTGTCACAATAAACATTTGAGTGCAAATATCTCTTTAATATACTAATTTCCTTTATTTGGGGGTATATACCTAGCAGTGGGATTGCTAGATCATATGATAGTTCTATTTTTAGTTTTTTGTTTGTTTGTTTTGAGATGGAGTCTTGTTCTGTCACCAGGCTGGAGTGCAGTGGTGTGATCTCAGCTTACTGCAACCTCCACCTCCAGAGTTCAAGAGATTCTCCTGCCTCAGCCTTCTGAGTAGCTGGGACTGCAGGTGTGCGCCACCACGCCCAGCTAATTTTTGTATTTTTAGTAGAGATGGAGTTTCACCATGTTGGCCAGGATGGTCTTGATGTCTTGACCTGGTGATCCACACTGTTCTTCGTTGTGCTTGTACCAATTTACATTCCTTCCAACAGTGTACAAGAGATCCCTTTTCTCCACATCTTCACCAGCATTTCTTATTGTCTGTCTTTTGGATAAAAGCCATTTTAACTAGAGTGAGATGAGATCTCATTGTAATTTTGATTTGCATTTCTCTATTAATCTTTTGTCAGATGGATAGGTTTGTAAATATTTTTCTCCCATTCTGTGGGTTATTTCTTCACGTTGCTGATTGTTTCCTTTGCTGTGCAGAAAGCTTAAAACTTGATGTAATTCCATTTGTCCATTTTTGCTTTAATTGCCTGTTCTTGTGGGGGTATTACTCAATAAATCTTTGCCCAGTCCTATGTCCTGGGGAGTTTTCCCAATGTTTTCTTCTAGTAAACAAGACCTCATAGTTTAAGGTCTTAGATTTAAGTCTTTAATCCATTTTGATTTGATTTTTGTATATGGCAAGAGATAGGGGTCTAGTTTCATTCTTCTGCATAAGAATATCCAGTCTTCCTGGAACTATTTATTGAAGAAACTGTCCTTTTTCCAGTGTATGTTCTTGGTATCTTTGTCAAAATGGGATAACTGTACATGTATGAATTTGTTTCTGAGTTCTTTATTCTGTTCCATTGGTCTATGTGTCTGTTTTTATGCCAGTACCATGCTGTTTTTGGTTATTATAACTTTGTAGTATAATTTGAAGTCAGGCAATGTGATTGCTCTAATTTTATTGTTTTTGCTCAGGATAACTTTGACTATTCTGGGTGTTTTGTGGTTCCATATACATTTTAGGATTGCTTTTTCTATTTATGTGAAGAATGTCATTGGTATTTTGATAGGGATGACATTGAATTATGTAGATTGCTTTGGGTAATATGGACATTTTCACAATATTGATTCTTTCAATCCATGAATATGAAATATCTTCTGATTTTATGGTATTATTTTCAATTTCTTTCATCAATGTTTTATTGTTTTCACTATAGAGATCTTTCACTTCTTTGGTTAATTCCTAGGTATTTAATTTTATTTGTAGTTATTGTAAATTGGATTACTTGTTAAATTTCTTTTTCAGATTGTTTGCTATTGGCATATAGAAATGTTACCGCTTTTTGTGTGTTGATTTAGTATCCTGCAACTCTACTGAATTCGTGTATCAGCTGTAATTATTTTTTGGTGGCATCTTGAGGATTTTCCAAGTATAAGATCATACCATTTGCAAACAAGGATAATTTGACTTCTTTTCCAATTTGTATGCCCTTTATTTCTTTCTCTTGTCTGATTGCTCTAGCAGGACTTCTAATACTATGTTAAATAACAGTGGTGATAGTGGGCATTTTTGTTGTGTTCTAGATTTTCAAATAAAGTCTTTTCAGTTTTTCTCCATTAGATATTATACTAGCTGTGGTTCTGTCATATATGGCTCCAATTATGTTCCTTCTTTACCTAGGTTTTTTGGCAGTTTTAATTATGAAGGCATGTTGAATTTTATTAAATGCTTTTTTAACATCAATTAAAATGATATTAAAATGATCGTATGGTTTTTGCCCTACATTCTGTTGGTAGGATGTATCACATTGATTGATTTGCATATGTTGAACCACCCTTACATCCTTGGGATAAGTTGTACTTGGTCATGATGAATATCTTTTTAATGTGTTGTTGAATTTGCTTTGCTAGTATTTTATTGAGGATTTTTGCATCAATGTTCATCAGGGATAGTGGCCTGTAGTATTCTCTTTTTGAGGTGTCTTTATCTGGTTTTGGAATCAAGGTAATACCGGCCTTGTAGAATAAGTTGGAGGTATTGCCTCCTTCTCTATTTTTCAGAACAGTTTGAGCAGGATTGGTATTTTAATGTTTGATAAAATTCAGCAGTGAAACCATCGGGTACCAGGCTTTTCTTTGTTGTGAGATTTTTTATTACTGCTTCAATCTTGTTATTTATTATTGGTCTGTTTAGGCTTTGAATTTCTTCATGACTCAATATTGATAGTATGTATGTGTCTAGGAATTTATCCATTTTTTTCTGGGTTTTCCAATTGATTGGCATATAGTTGCTCACAGTAGCCACTAATGATCCTTTGAATTTCTGCAGTATCAGTTGTAATGTTCCCTTTTACATCTCTGATTTTATTTGCATCTTCTTGCTTTTTTTCTTGATCTGGCTAAATGTTTGTCAATTTTGTTTATCTTTAAAAAAACAACTTTTTATTTCATTGATCTTTTGTATTATTTTCTTTATTTTAATTTCATTTATTTCTGCTCTGATCTTGTGTGTGTGTGTGAGACAGGGTCTTGCTCTGTCACGCAGGCTGATGTGCAGTGGCACAATCATGGCTCACTGAAGCCTTGAACTCTGGGGCACAAGTGATCCTCTCACCCCTGCCTTCTCAGTAGCTGATACTACAGATGTGTGCTACCCCACCCAGCTCAATTTTTTTTTCTTTTTTTTTTTTTTAGAGACAGAGTCTCATGTTGTCCAGGCTGGTCTTGAACTCCTGGCCTCAAGCAGTCCTCCTGCCTTGGCCTCCTAAAGGCTAGGATTACAGATACTTGGTCTGCCCTCATCTTTTTTATTTCTTTTCTTCTGCTAATTTTGGATTTAATTTTCTCTTGCTTATCTAGTTCTTTAAGATGCATCATTAGGTTGTTTACTTGCAGTTTTTCTACTTTTTAACATAGTTGTTTATAGCTATAAACTTCTCTCTTAGTACTGTTTTTACTGTATCCCATAGGTTTTAGTATGTTGTATTTTCCCTATCATTTGTTTTAAAATTTTTTCAATTTTCTTCTTAATTTCTTCATGGAACCACTGACCATTCAGGAGCATATTCTTTAAATTTCACGTGTGTGTATAGTCTCCAAAATTCCTCTTGTTATTGATTGCTAGTTTTATTCCATTGGGGTCAGAGAAAATACTTAATATTATTTTTATTTTTTTGAAATTTTAAAGACTTTTTTGGTGGCCTAACATATGGTCTATCCTTGAGAATGATTCATGTGCTGAGGAGAAGAATGTGTGTTCTGCAGCTGATGGATGAAATGTTCTGTAAATATCAATTAGGTTTGTTTGGTCTATAGTACACATTAAGTCTGATGTTTCTTTGTTGCAGGAAGTCAGGGGCCCTGAACGGAGGGACCTGCTGAAGCCGTGATAGAAGAACATAAATTGTGAAGATTTCATGGACATTTGTTAGTTCTCCAAATTAATACTTTTATAATTTCTTACGCCTGTCTTTACTGCAATCTCTGAATATAAATTGTGAAGATTTCATGGACGTTTATCACTTCCCCAATCAATACTCTTATAATTTCCTATGCCTGTCTTTACTTTAATCTCTTAATCCCGTCATCTTTGTAAGCAGAGGATGTATGTCGCCTCTGGACCCTGATGATTGTGTTAACTGCACAAATTGTTCATAAAGCGTGTGTGTTTGAACAGTATGAAATCTGGGCACCTTAAGAACAGGATCACAGCGATTTTCAGGGAACAAGGGAGATAATCTTAAAGTCTGGCTGCCTGGGAGCCGGGCGGAACAGAGCCATATTTCTCTTCTTACCAAAAACGGGTAAGAGAAATATAGCTGAATTCTTTCCCCAGTAAGGAATATGGGGGCCTCTAAAATGGCCGCTCTGGGAGTGTCTGCCTTATGCAGTTGTAGATAAGGGATGAAACACGCCCTGGCCTCCTGCAGTGCTCCCAGGCTTGCT
This sequence comes from Homo sapiens, assembly GCF_000001405.40. Lineage (NCBI taxonomy): Eukaryota > Metazoa > Chordata > Mammalia > Primates > Hominidae > Homo > Homo sapiens. The sequence continues at coordinate 58,155,985 of NC_000006.12, forward strand.
AGGATTAGGAAATTCCAGCCTGGCGAATTCTAATCAGACTGGTTCTCTGCTCTTGAACACTGTTAAGATGTTTATCCATGACATTGCGTGCACAGTGGGACATGGAAGTTCATTAGTGATTCTAGTTTCGCCCTGACCTTGTGATCTTGCCCTGACCTTCTGCCTTGTGATCCCTTGAAGCATGTGATCTGTGTGACCCACACCCTATTCGTACACTCCCTTCCCTTTGAAAATTGCTAATAAAGACTTGCTGGTTTTATGGATCACGGGCATCACGGAACCTGCTGACGTGTGATGTCTCCCCTGGACACCCAGCTTTAAAATTTCTCTCTTTTGTATTCTTTCCCTTTATTTCTTAGACCGGCTGACACTTAGGGAAAATAGAAAAGAACCTACGTTGAATTATCGGGGGTGGGTTCCACCAATATTTCTTTGTTGATTTTCTGTCTGGACAATCTGTCCAAAGCTAAAAGTGGGGTGTTGAAGTCTCTAGCTGTTATTGTATTGGTGATCTCTCTCAAGCTCTAATATTTACTTTATATATCTAGGTGCTCCAGTGTTGAGTACATGTATATTTACAATTGCTATATCCTCTTGCTGAACTGACCCTTATTCTAGGGTAAAAAATTTGTTTTTTAGCTCTTTAAATATGTCATGCCATTGTCTCCTGGCCTGTAGGGTTTCCACAGAAAAGTCTTCTGCAAAATGTACTGGAGCTTTTTTGTATGTTGTTTCTTTTCTCTTGCTGCTTTTAGTATCTTTTCTTTATCCTTTGACCTTTGGGAGTTTGATTATTGAATGCCTTGAGGTAGTCTTCTTTGGTTTAAATCTGCTTGGTGTTATGTAACCTTCTTGGAGTTGGATACTGATATCTTTCTCTAAGTTTGGGAAGTTCTCTGTTATTATCCCTTTGAATAAACTTTCTACCCCTATCTCTCTCCCTACCTCTTGTTTAAGGCCAGTATCTCTTAGATTTGCCCTCTTGAGGCTATTTTATAGATATTGTAGATGTTCTTGTTTTTTAAATTCTTTTTTTCTTTTGTCTCCTCTGAGTGTGTATTTTCAAGTAGCCTATCATCAAGCTTACTAATTCTTTCTTTTGCTTGATCAACTCTGCTGTTAAGAGACCACTGCATTCTTCAATATGTCAGTTTCATTTTTCAACTCCACGATTTCTGCTTCTAGTTTTTTCAATGTTTTTGTTAAATTTCTCTGATAGAATTCTTAAATCTTTCTTTGTGTTACCTTCAATTCCACTGAGTTTCCTCAAAAGCTATGGATTATCTGTCTAAAATGGCACACATCTCTGTCTCTCCAGAATTGGTCCCTGGTGCCTTATTTAGTTCATATGGTAAGGTCATGTTTTCCTGGGTGGTGCTGATGCTTGTGGATATTCGTTGGTGTCTGGATATTGAAGAGTTAGATGTTTATTATAGTCTTTGCAATCCGGGCCTCTTTGTACCTGTCCTTCTTGGGAATGCTTTCCTAGATATCAAAGGGATCGGGTGTTGTGATACAAGTTTTTGGTCACTGTAGTCACATCTGCATTATGGGGCACCACAAGCCTACTAAGGCTGTGGCTCTTGCAGACTTGTAGAGGCACTGCTTTGGTGGTCTTGGATAAGATTCAGATACATTCTCTGGATTACCAAACTGAGACTCCTGTTCTCTTCCCTTACTTTATCACAAACAAATGGAGTATCTCTCTGTGTGCTGAGCTGCTGGAACTGGGGGAAGGGTGACATAATTAACCCTGTGGCCACCACCACTGGGACTGTTCTGAGTCAGACCTGAAGCCAGCACAGAACTGGGTCTTGCCCAAGACCTGCAGCAACTACTACCAGGCTATTGCCTGTGTTCTTTCAAAACCCTAGGGCTCTACCACCAGCAGGTGGCAAAGCCAGCCAGGCTTGTGTCCTTCCTTTCAGGACAACAAGTTCTCTTGGAGCGTTTCCAGCAATACCATCCGGGAGCCAGAGTCTGGAGTCAGAAACCTTAGGAATCTCCCTGGTCCTCTATTCTGCTGTTGCTGAGCTGGCACCCAAAGCACAAGACAAAGCTATTCCCACTCTTTCCTCCCTTTCCCAAAAGCAGAGGAGTCTCTCCCCATGGCCACCACTGCCCCAGGACTACCTGGCTACTGCCAATGTTCACTCAATGCCCAAGGGCTCTTTAATCAACTTTTGGTGAGTTCTGCCAGGCCTGAGACTCTCCCTTCATGGCAGTGGGCTCCCTTCTGACTCAGGGCATGTCCAGATATGCCATCCAAGAGTGAAGGCCTCGAGCTGGGGACCCCAAGAGCCTGTTTGGTGTTCTACCCCACTGCGGCCAAGCAAGACAAAGTCTGCTTTACTCTTCCCTCTCATTTTCTAAAGCAGGAATTTCTGCCTGTAGCCACCACAGCTGGGAATGTGCTGGGTCACACCTGAAGCCAGCACATCTCAGTCTCACCCAAAGCCCATGGCAAGTACTAGCTGGCTACCACTGATGATTTTTCAGGGCCCAAGGGATCTTTAGTCCTCAAGTGATAAATGCTGCTAAGACTGGCTCCTTCTCTTCAAGGCAGTGGGTTCCTTTCTCACCCAGGGTGTGTCTAGAAATGTTATCCAGGAATTAGGGTCTGGAATGGGGGCTTCAGGACTTTGCCTGGTACCCTGTTCTACTGTGGCTGAGCTGATATTCAACTTGCAAGACAAAGTCCTCATTACCCTATCCTCTCCTTTCCTCAGGCAGAGGAAAGGAGTCTCTCCTGGAGCTGTGAGCTGTGCTACCTGGGAATGGGTGAGGGGTGGTGCAACCCCAACTCGTTTAGCTACCCCAGCTGGTGTCTTACTAGGTTGCATGTCCCCAGGTCTACTGGCTCTGAGCCCAACACAGCACTAGCACTTGCTTAGTGGTAGTCGTTAAGGCTTAGACTGCCTTTTGAGTTTATTTAGGACTCCAGAGTACTTTAGCCTTTGGCGGTAAAGCTTGGTGGAACTCAGGTTCTGACTGCTGGAATGGGCAATTCCTCTCTGGCTAGGGCTGGTCAAAAAGCTCCCTCCATGGGAGCTGGCTGAGTTCTGCACAGTGTTGCTTTCTGCTGTGACAGGGCAGCACTGAGTTCCAATGCAGAATCCCATAATCACTGCATTCTGCCTCTCCCAAATGCACAGATTTTGTCTCCATGCCATGTGGCCACTGCCAAGGAATAGGGGAGGAGTGGCATTGACAATTCAACACTTTCTTGGCTGGGTGCAGTGGCTTATACCTGTAATCCCAGCACTTTGGGAAGCCAAGGTGGGAGGATCACTTGAGCTCTGGAGTTCAAGACCAGCTTAGGAAACATGATGAAACCCTATCTCTACAAAAATACAAAAATTAGCTGGGATTGCTTGAGGCTGGGAGTTCAGTGCTGCAGTTGAAGTGGCTATGTTATTTGGGGTATAAACCCGGGGTATGTTATCACGTGCCAGGAAAATTTAGGGCATGGACACACATGAGGAGTTTAGGAGTGGAGGTTTAATAGGTAGAAGAGAAGAGAAAGAGAAACAGCTTCCTCTATAGAGAAAGCAGTCTCCGAGTGGAAAAGGACTGGGTGGCAGCAAAGTGTTGAGTTTTATAGTCCAGTTTGAGGAGGCGGTGTCTTCTGATTTACATGGGGATCACAGATTGATTCAATCAGGTATGACGTTTCCATAGTGCTCTGGGAAGGCTGATCGCTCCACCCTAATCTTCTTATGCAAATGGGCCTTCCAGTTGATCGGTGCCATCTTGTCTGCTCCTTACAGTGCAGGTGGCTGGCAAAGAAGGGATGGTGGAGCCACCATTTTGAAAATGTCTAGTCCTTAGTTCCTGGGGCATTCACCTGTGCAAGCTCCCAGCTTGCAGGCTGCTGTTTGTTAGAAAATGATTTGGGGCTGCTTTTCATTAAAAAGAAAAGCCTTACCGAGGACTTCCATGCCCTTGCTATCTGCTTAAATAATTACTTCTTAACTCCTATATGACAGTGAGCCATAATTGCTCTACTGCACTCCAGGCTGGGCAACAGAGCAAGACCTTGTCTCAAAATAAATAAATGAATAAATGAATAGTAAATAAATGAATGACAAAAAAAAAAGATTTTCTACCTTTCTCAGTGCCTCTTTCAATGATATGAAGTAAAAACCAGGTAGTGTGATTGCTCACCTGATTTGTGGTTCTTATGAAGGTGCTTTTTTTGTGTGGATGGTTGTTATGTTTAGTGTTCCTGTAGGGAGGAAGATCAATATAAGCTTCTATTTAGCCATCATGCTGTGTCTCTCTCTCTGCTTCTCATGTAGTTAGGGACATTCATGACCCTGAGGCAAACAGTGCTCCCCCATGATACATGGTGCAAGTGATCTAGCTCAGATTTTTATTAAGAAGTTATATAATGTATAGAATCCACATGCCATCTCCCAAGTAGGTGGACTGCTTATGGACATAGATTTCTCAGGAAGTCATGGTCTTCACAAAGCCTATATACTTCCCCCTTAACCAGGAATGATGAGCCCCTTTTTTGAGGCAAAATACCCAACTGTGAATAGAGAGGTTTCTTTGTTCAGTAATGTAGCTCCCAACTTTCTTTGAACCCAGTTGGATAACCAAATTTGATATTTTCTAACCTCAGACCACTGTTGGAGACAATGAATCTACTACATTTCTCTTCTGTTTTAAAGGAAGTTTATATACACAGTATAGGAGGACAGATGACACACTTTATTGGATTATTTTCCTTAAATTCTTTTAAAAATAATTAAGATAGTGGCCTATTAAACAAGCATTACTTAATGTAATCAATAGCTCATTTCTTATACTTTAAAATAGAACTGTGATGGACAGGGATGGGTAGAAGGGATGATTAAAGAATTGGGTGGGAAAGTATAGATTCATTTGACAAATAATATGTTAGTACTGCAGTAAGTCCTTGAAACTCTAATAAGAAAAGTGCAGGACCAATAAAAGAAAATTTAAAAATTTACCCAGTGAGTAGTTTATTGAGCTCATGCCTTTGGGGAGCATTTTTAGGGAAGCCAGGCAACACCTTCCTGAATTACCTACCATTTGGCTATGTTATCAATGACTAAATATTAAATAGGGTGGGTCAAGGTCCTTACCTAGTGAAGTTATTTTTCTTTTGCACTTAGGTTCATAAGCAGTCCTAGCTTCCATGATGGACACTGATAGAAAATCTACTTTTAAGACTGCTCAAAAAGAAAGCTTTGCTGGCGGCTTAGGTACACTTTTGAAAGGGACGTGACATCAGCAGTGCTTATGAGTTTCTTATGAAAATTTAATGGAACTTGTGATATAAAATGAAATACTGGATCAACTTATGACAGGCTGCCTTTAATGACAGTTCAAGATACAAATAACTCATTTCAGAGACCATTTACCTAAGGCTTTTAAATTAAATTTTCTAAGTACCTTGCATATTCAACTCTACATTTAAAGCAAACAGAATTCCACTTTAGGGAACTGAAGCTATTTATGGTCATTAAAAAATAGATTCAGATAGGCCTTTCAATAAAAGGGTCAGTGTATCAAAAATCTGAAGGATATTACTGTAAATAAAAATCTTTATTAAGAACTAAAGAGTGCAATTGATTTTAAAGGTTGCTATTCTTTCTGGCACATAATAAAATAAAATAATAATGATCAATACTAAAATGTTCCCTAGAAAGGAGGAGGTCCTGAAGCAATACAGAGCTCTGTGCCATTGATGAGGATTGCCCAGTACATAAAAGTGATGGGTTGGAGGACTGTGTGAATGAAACCCAGTTACAAAGGCCAAAGGTCAGCAGTTCACCATTAGGTTTATTTGTTTCTTAGTGAGAAGCGTTGCTCTTAACTCCAGCAAAGACTCTGTTCACAAAAGGTTTTCACCCAAGTCAATTAGTTAATGTTTGTTGCTTAAAAGTGTTTTGGCAATTACAGCTGGCTCTAAGGAAAATAAATTAGTAATATTTGAAATTAGTATTCCTCTCTTAACAGTTTTCTGTATCTATTTCCTTGCTTTTGATCTACCTCTCTGCCACACACTTATACACACCTATAATAGAATAGAAGACTAAAGCAAACTTATGGAATTAGTGACTCAAAGTGGCATCCATTCTTCCTCATCCCTCCCAGGAATACTGGCCTGTTTAAAGAGAGCCCACAATGTTTTTCTGAAAGAGAGTCAAACAATGACCAATATTATTATACCCATTTGCATATTGGAGAATTGAGATTGAGGGTAGAATAAACTTCTTATTCAAGGTCACATGGTTAGGAAGTTGCAGAACAAGAATTTATACCTAGATCCAGTTAACTCCCAGGTTCTTGAATGCTAAGCTATGTCACCTTCCAGTCTCTGGCAGATACTTTGCAGGAAATCCCTTAGGAAGATGAGGAAGAGTTCCTGCTCTCCCACAAAGCCACATTATATACCAACCTCTCCTCCACTGGTACACAAAAGCAGTCCATCTGGCCCAGGCCTCCTTAAGAAGTTGCCTTAGTTGCTAACTCATGGCTATTTATTCTGACTTTTACCTCAACCTTGGCCTCCCTTTAGATTTGCAGCAAGCCTTCATTTTTGAATTTTAACTCCTTTCACATTCCATGTTTCTTCCTGTCTCCTTAGGTTTTCACTCTCCTAGGATGACCCAGGTATAGAATCTGCCCCTATGGTTCGGCTCCACCCTCTCACCTGTCTCTTGAGAGCATTGTGAAATTCTGAGACACAGCAAGGACAGAAACAGAGGGCATGGAAGATGCTTTCAGGTTGGTTTATTCTTACTGATTAAATTAACACTTCATGATTGTCTCAGTCTGCACAGGCTGCCATAACAAAATACCACAAACTGGGTGGCTTAACGAAATTTTCTTGCAGTTCTGGAGGCTGAAAGTCCAAGATCAGGGTACCAGCAGGGCTGGTTTCTTCTCAGGCCCCTCTCCGTGGCTTACAGATGGCGTCTTCTTGCTGTGTCCTCATATGGCCTTTCCTCTGTGCATGGAGAGAGATAGATCTCTGGTGTCTTCTCCTGTTCTTAGAAGGATACCAGTCCTATTAGATTAGGGCCTCACTTTTACAATCTCATTTAACCATAATCACTTCTTTAAAGGCCTTATCTCCCAATACAGTCACATTGAAGGTTAGGGCTTCAGACTACAAATTTTAGGGGAACACAATTCAGTCCATAATAATTATCCAAGTAGAAAGCAGGATACATGAGAATGCAGTAACTTGAGAATCTGACTTTGTTTTTCTCTATATCTGTAAGCTAAGTCCCAGGCCTTTAGTGAAGGTTTCTTCCACTGCAGATAGAAAGAAAAAAAGGCCTTTATAGACATAAAAATGACTTAAGACATTTGCTTCTCTGATACTCACTTCTGAGAAATGCTTCTTCATCTCTGTGCCCAACCATTTTTCATAACTGTATAGAATGAACATTCATCCTGATTGAGTAGAATAATAAATTTAGTAGCGCTCATTTGTCCTGACTAATTATTAATAGTGTCTTCTTTTTCTTCCAAAGTTTAGATGACACAGATGTCTAACCTATAAAGGAGTTTTTCAAGTTTAAGCTATTTTTTTACTAACTAGATTTAAGTAATTTTCTTATTTTCCTCTCCACATGAATATACCAATATATCTCTCATAACCCTTGAAGTTTGTCTCTACTTTTCTGAGTTTTGTGCTCCTGCCCCCTCTTCTGTTTGCATCTGTGGGCTTTCTTTCCTTTTACTGTCTTGCTCTGCATGTATGTACTCATATAATCAGTTTCTGTGAACTCTTGTCTGCTGCCAGGGGATTGGTTTCCTCCAGCTTGTTAACAGCAGTTACAATTTCTCACATTCAACCAATGCTAGAAGTTTGAGAAGTTAAGATTAGCAGCCACATGAGTTTTAACCAGATTTTAAAATGTGTGATGCTAATTTTATAGCTTTACTTACTACAGAAAAACATCCACACATCTCCTGTGGTAGCAGCTAAGCTGATTAGTGCATGGAGCTAATGAAACCCACAGCTTTGTCTCCCTTCCTAAGGCTGTCCATTGTTGTGTCTTATCTCTAGAGGAGGCCTGCTTCTATGGTCCTCCCTCTCGTCAGCCAATGATGTTGCTTATTGTTGGTCACTGGGGGCTTGGTAATAGAGAGGATCGGCTTCCTTCCTGCTACTAAAAAAACAACTTATGGCACTCACTGGGGAAGCAGAGTGCTCAGCAGGACAATCTTCTTATGTTAAGGTCAGCACGTTATTAAATATTCTCCATTAGGAGGTGATTGGATTAAATAATTAGTGAATGTAAAGTGCTTTAAACTGCTAATTATTATGCTTTGTGGGCCTACTTTGCAGATGATCCATAGTCAGTGAATCTATTACAAGGCATGAGGAGCAGGATGATGTTCTCTCTCACTTATCTCCATTCCCCATGAGTGTTTACAATTATATCATGGATGAGTTTTGGCATTTTACAGCATTCGCAAACGTAATCTACCATGTGACTTCTCAAACTTTGGTACCCAAGAAAAACAGGGCGAGATAGCTAAGGAAACCTTTTTAGGAGAAAAGGAAGATTAGATACACTAGATTAGCAAACAGCTCACACTATTAATTATGTATCACCATACCAACATAAGTACTGTAAGTTTGTGTTGTGTAGGGAAAAAAAGAAGCCTAGAAATAAAGCTCAACTACTGATAGTCTCTTATGGGCTGCTTGCTCTAAAAGTTCAATTTAATCTCCTGTTGCAGCATGGAGATTTGAGAGGTAGAGAAGTAATTACTCCTGTCCCTGGAAGATCAGGCTCTTGTCCATTAAGGAATTTAAGCCAGTTTTAGAGATGATTTAAAAAGCTATTTTGACATATACAGTACATAAATTTGAATAACCGTATCAGCATGGTTTCCAATAGGTTTTATGTTTGTTTTTGATTTTTTGAGACAGGATCTTGTTCTGTCTCCCAGGCTGAAGTGAAGTGGTGCAATCATGGCTCACTGCAGCCTTGACTTTCTGGATTTAAGCTCTCCTCTTGCCTGTTCACTCAGCCTCCTGAGTAGCTAGGATCACGGGTGCACACTGCCACACCCAGCTAATTTTTTTTCTTTTTTTTGTAGAGAGGAGGTTTCTCTATGTTTCCCAGGCTGGTCTTGAACTCCTGGGCTTAAGTAATCCTCCCACCTCGGCCTCCCAAAGTGCTGAGATTACAGGTGAGAGCCACTGCATCTGGCCTCCAATAGATTTTAAATAATATTTCTTTGTTTACAAAATTATTTTGTTTAGTAGTGACACTTTTCCTTTGCAAACCACAAGAGAACATAACAAAATTTAAATATAAAGCACTCACTCCAAAGTTGGGCTGGAATTGAATGCAGTTGACACCATTACTTTTAAGTTATTTTGGAATAGTGTTAGGAGAGGGGAGTATTAAATTAGGAGACAGTGTGTTGTTGAGCATGTAAACCCCAAATGCTATCACTGCCTTACATATATGGGGGTAGAGTTAAGTGAATCCATGGAAATAGAATATGTCAAGATAAAAGCAAACTAAATATTTAAAAACATTTGCTTATGGTAGATAACTAATTATTAAAGGGAAAAGGATTTCTGGAGACAACTGTCACATTCTCTTAGCCCCTTATTACCCCACCCATTTTCCATGTTTGATTTGAAAAGGAATAAAACAAATGGATAAGCCAGTGATGGGAATCCAGTGAGAAATGACTTTGTATGTCTGTGCTGGCCCCAAGCCTGAGGAAAGCTCTGATTCTGTGTGCAGCATTTGAAAATGTTAACTCTCTGAAGGCTTCCTGGAAAGAGGGGGATTGGAGAGAAGAATAAGGAGGGAAGGAGTGAGAAAAACATAATTAACTTCCTGCATCTTAGCTAGAGGCAGAGAGCAGCACCACAACCATCTCAGGCCATTAGAGAAGGCAGGCGGGCTGGAATAGAGCGTGAGTAGCATCTCAGGGTGGCTCTGAGAGGCAGCATATACAATGGCTTGAGAGCATGGAGTCTGAATTCAGGCTGCCTCTGGTCATGAATCCAGCTCTCTCTCAGGGGTTAGCTGTTTGTCCTTAGGCAGATTATTTAATTTTCCTGGGCCTCAGTTTATTTGTCTGTAAAACTGGAATAATAATAGATTGCTATGAAAATTAAAGTGATGGTTTCCAGCTTCATCCATGTCCCTACAAAGGACATGAACTCATCATTTTTTATGGCTGCATAGTAGTCCATGGTGTATATGTGCCACATTTTCTTAATCCAGTCTATCATTGTTGGACATTTGGGTTGGTTCCAAGTCTTTGCTATTGTGAATAGTGCCGCGATAAACATACGTGTGCATGTGTCTTTATAGCAGCATGATTTATAATCCTTTGGGTATATACCCAGTAATGAGATGGCTGGGTCAAATGGTATTTCTAGTTCTAGATCCCTGAGGAATTGCCACACTGTCTTCCACAATGGTTGAACTAGTTTACAGTCCCACCAATCATTCTCAGCAAACTATCGCAAGGACAAAAAACCAAACACCACATGTTCTCACTCATAGGTGGGAATTGAACAATGAGAACACTTGGACACAGGAAGGGGAACATCACACACCAGGGCCTGTTGTGGGGTGGGGGAAGCGGGGAGGGATAGCATTAGGAGATATACCTAATGTAAATGACGAGTTAATGGGCGCAGCACACCAACATGGCACATGTATACATATGTAACAAACCTGTACGTTGTGCACATGTACCCTAGAACGTAAAGTATAATACAAAAAAATATATATATATATATAAATTAAAGTGCTTAGAACGATACCTGGGACACTGTAAATGCTATATAAATGCTACTATACAAAGCAATATTAAAATTGCTGTTGTTATCTAAGATAACTTTTGGAAGATAAATTATTGTTCATAAAATAAAATTACTGTTATAATAAAAATATAAAAATTATTATTATTAAAAACTATAAAATATATGCAAGATGTGCATTTCTAATCCACAACTGAGAATAAATTAATTGTGGTTAACTATTAGTCAATTAACTATTTCCTAATTAACTTGTAGGAAAGACAGTGTGATATAAGGGAAAGAGAACTTGACTTTAGAGACCAAATACCTGAATTGAAATTAGGACTCTGCAGCCAGTATATTCCAGATTGAAGTCGTCCTCTTTTCCCCAAGACTCACTTTTTCTCTCATAGACATTCGTTCACTCAATGGCACCAACATCTCTGGAGTCAGCTGTGACTTTCCCTTCTCCCTTCCTGAATTTATCCCTTGCTAGGTAGAGATAAATGCTGTATGGGGACCCTTCTTGTGACCTGCCTCCACCACCACTGTTCTTGTGTGCTACATGAACGGAGCTTCTGCAATAATCTTCTATTCCAGATTTTGAGTATTCAAACTATATGATATTCTGCTATTGGATTAATTTTCTCAAAGCACCATGCAAATTTCCAAAGGTCCTCATTTTTTTAACAAAATAGAGATAATATTTTTTCAAGTGCTCTAGACTTTTCACAGCATGACCTCCCCCTAGCTTTTCAGCGTTACTGTATGTACCTTCTTGATCCCACCAAACTAAGCCAAATTAACTTCCCTCTGTATCATCGTTCATGTTCCTAGACTCCCCAATGTCACTACACAATTCCAAATTTGTCCTTTCTGAAGTCTTTGTTCTTATCTCTGATTTTCCATCATTCTAACCTCCTTTAAGATATTGTAGACATTCTAGGCCGGGCGCAGTGGCTCACACCTGTAATCCCAGCACTTTGGGAGGCCGAGGTGGGCGGATCATCTGAGGTCAGGAGTTTGAGACCAGCCTGACCATCATGGTGAAACCCCATCTCTACTAAAAATACAAAAAAAATTAGCCGGGCGTTGTGGCGCGTGCCTGTAATCCCAGCTACTCGGGAGGCTGAGGCAGGAGAATCGCTTGAATCCGGGAGATGGAGGTTGCAGTGAGCTGAGATCATGCCACTGCACTCCAGCCTGGGCAACAAGAGCGAAACTCAGTCTCAAAAAAACAAAAAACAAAACAAAACAAGACACTCTAGTCAATCATAAATTGTAACAATTGGTATTATAGTTACGTGTGTAGATACTTTACTCCATGTCATAAGTCTTTATATAAGCCTTGGGCTGGGTCTTTATCATCTTGATATTCTCCACAGTCCTTATGGAACTTCTTCCTTAAACTCAGTAGGCATTCAAATATATGATGACATAATAAATTAAGTTAATGAATAAATGCTATTAATTAACTATATGACCCAGGAAATCTCACTTTTAGCTCAAATTTTCTTATTTATAAAATAATAAGGTTGAAGGAGAATCTTGATATCTGTGTTTCCCTCCAACTTACAAAGGTTACAATTCTAAATCATCCCATATCTTCACATAAAGAGATACTACAGTATATTTTGAAAAAGTATAAAAAACAATATATTTGAAATAGGTATAAAAAACTCTTTGAATATAATTACTGCTTTTTTCCCCAGCTTTACACTTCTATTACTTTTAACTCTCTACTAATGTTAGCATATTAAGCACAAATACCATTATTGTTCACAAATTAATATAAAAAAAGCCTTTTTATCAAATAAAGGAATGCATAATGGGCTTTTCAGTGAGTAATAAACTAACAGAATCTGTTTATGCCAAGGTGTTCATGATCTGACAGATTTTCCCAAAATTTAGGGTTGTTGCTATTTAGTAAGAAGTAGGGAGCTTACATCTTTCTGTTTATTTTAATTTTAGGTAAGTTGATTAGTGCTAATGGTTTCTTTTCTTTTTTATACATTTTTTATTTCATCTTGTCAATGCTTTCTTATCAGTTACATCCAGTCTCCTGTAGAGATGCACTATTTCACCATTGCTGTCATGGTCTAGGACTAATGAGACATCTGACAGTTTTTCATGTTTGTGATATGTGTTCTGTATCCTTAGTTCACAGGGGATGTGCCCAGATTTGGAGAGTAACTGAACCTGTGGAATAGCAAGACACTTTCTAATGGCATTTGACTGTATTTTCAAAAACCGTTATGACAAGGGATGTTACTTTGAGTCATCATTCAGTTAAACAAATAGATGCATGCATTGGGATTCTTGACTTAGTGTGAAAGTTATATTTCACTTGGCATTTGACTGAATATTTGAATTTAAAAGTTTTATTACATAATATACAAGCAAAATAATCCCAGTGCTTATTTTGCTTACTACTTGAGAGAGGCAATAAGAATGAATTTCTGTAATGTGTTTGTAGCAAGACAGGTGTTTTGAAGTTATTTCATCGCATTATTTGATTTGTACACATCTGTGAGTTTCCAGGTATAGAAAGATTTTATTGACAATTTCAGTTCCTTTGGAGGTTGAAATATTTCAACATGCAGCTTATAATTGCTTCTTTACATTGTAAGAATGATCCTCTTTAGTTATAATTGTATGCTTTGTTCCCATTCTTACAATTTTGGAACACTCTTATGCATCAATATATTTTAATATATATATAGGGGAGAGAATAAATTATTAACCAACTGCTTAAGCTTTAGCTCTAAGAACTTTATGTTTATCCTATATGAATTATTTTCAAAATTATTACATAGTTAAGATCATTTCAACTGCAAAACTCATTGACCCCCATCTAGTATACTGGATAACATGAGGAAGTTTGACTTTGCTAATACTTGTCATTTTTCTAAATAGGCAAATTATCCTACCTGGTGTGTTGAAGGGACTCTACTCAATAGTTTGCATTTGGGAAATAACTTTAAGAAGTCCTGTCTAATCCAAATAAAATGCATTCTACATGCAGTTTAAAGATTCTCTTCTGTTCATCTTGGTATTCCCCGGTCTTGGCTTAGGCATAACCCAGGTTCTACAACCGGCAGCATTGAGGAATGGGCCAAAACATGGCCTATTTCTTCACTGGTTTTGTTCTATTTCTTCTACCACTTGTTAGCTGTTGCGTCTGGCTCCTTTAAGATCAGGCAAAGAAGAGGAACTAGAAGAAAAGCGCAAGGTTTAACTTGATCATTGCCATTGGAATCTGGCATTGAGGCCATCAGTTTGGCAGATGTGCAAATAAATGCTGGTTCTTTCTCTCAAAGAATGCTTTGTTGGACTCTATAGAATCCTTCCTACTGCCCTCCCCCTACCTACTCAGGGACCTCCAGCCCTATACCTTTCTCTGAGGTGGATGACATATTCTCTGGCTGGCCTGAATGGACATTGTCCCCTCAGTTACTGCTTCTAAGAGCATACCTTGCACATACTTGCTATAGAAGGCAGTTTTCCTGATCTGTGTACTTTACAGATGTCTCAAATCCAGAGACCTTATTCTAGCCAAAAACAAAACTCAGCACGTTTGTTTTTGTGTCTGAAACTTGGACATGCAACAGGTGCCATTGCAGCTTTTCCTTGGATATTTGCCATCCTGTGCCTTTTTCAGATGACAGTCCAAATTCTAGGCAATGCAGTTGAAGGTTCCAGGAGAATTCTTTTCTATATCCAGGTTCAGTAGTAACATTAAAGTAACCTATGAGTTTCTATAGCTGAATAAGCATGGGATCTGCGGGCAGAGGGGTTAAAAAGAGAGGCGTTAAGATGTTATTCTTTCCTTTGCAACCCATAGTTGTTCAGGCACAGTTACTCTAGAATATAAAGCAGTGTGTTTAGATACTTGAACCATTTTTAAATTAATGATTAATTTGTATTTAAGGGAAGAAAAATGATCTGTTTATGTATACACATACACATAGAATCATCATGAATAGCATAATGGTAAATGCATGATGTAAATATCTTGAATTCATGACTCAGGGACCAGTACTGTCATGGGTAATATGATTTTCTAACATTTTAATAAGTTTCTGAACAAAACAAATGGTAATGATTCTCAACTTACACAATAGTTGTATTCCAAGGAAATTCTTTGCATTTTTAAACCATGCTAGACTTTTACTTCCAGGTATGAGTGACTAAATTGTGGTCGTTGAAACCCCCTTCCAAAAGCCAAAGGGTAGGGGAAACTATTCAAAAACATCTTGGAGTCACCAAGGCAGCCAGAACTGAAGCAGCCATGATCCTGGAGAGAAGGAAACACACTATCATCTTCCCCTCAAAACACTGGCAAAGTCATAAGCAGTGAACAGTGAGAGGCTGGAAAGATGAGCAGAAACTGGTTGCCAACAGGGTAAAAAACTCAGCAGAAATTTTGGAAGTCTCATAGTGCTAGAGGGATAGAGCTAGAGGTTAGGTTTTGCCAAGGAGGGAGGGACTCAGGCTCTCCTTTGGGACCCTGAAGGCCTGTTGTCTAGAAATAACAGAAATAGACCAGATCATAAACACTGAGCCTTGAATTAACTCAATATCCAATTTAAATCCTAGCCAAATTCTAAAACAAATCCCCTTTGGAGAAAAATAACAACGTTGAGAGTCTCTACAGATTTTTATACCTAATGTTCAGCATTAGCTACAAAATTATTAGGTATACTGAAAAATGATAGCAAGAAAAAACAGACAATGGACGAAGGCCCCCAAGTGATATAAATATTAGACACAGATAATATAGTAAAATAAAATCATTTTATCAAGAAAATAGAAGAAAAGATGTAGACTTTTATCAGAGAACTATGCCCAACACACACACACAGACATAAACACACACACACTCTCTCTCTCTCTGCTCTGGTGTGAATGTTTGTATACCCCTACAAATTAATCTGTTGAAATCTAACCCCCAAGGTGGTAGTATTAAGAGATTGGGGCTTTCACAGGTCATTGTCATGAGGGCTGTGTCCTCATGAATGGCGTTAGTGGCCTTTAATAAAAAAAAGTTTGAGAGAGACTCTTTGCTCCTTTCACCATGTGAGAACACAGCTGGAAGGTGTCATCTATGAGGAACAGGCTCTCACCAAACACCAGATCTGCAGGCATGTTGATTTTGGACTTCCCAGCCTGTAGAACTGTAGGAAGAAATTTCTGTTGTTTGTAAATTACCCAGTCTAAGGTAGTTTGTTGGAGCAGTCAGAACAGACGAAGATGTACACATATCTATGTATATGTTATTAGTATTATAGTATTATATAAAACAGAGTTAGGTTCTAGGCTCAGATGAACATAAATATAACGTTAACATGAAGAAACAGAAACAGGTTTTGAACCTATATGAGAATGTTTGTTGGGACATTTGAAAAGCTGTGGGATTTGAAAAGATTCTTCATGGTATAGAGCTGTCAGGAGCATTGAAGGGTATCTAGTCTCCCTGCTTGGCCAAATGCCCATAGCACCTTAAAATCATCATGAAAACTGAAAACACTTCCACAAGATTTCCAGATACCGTGTAGGGACAGTAATGCCCCTGTTGAACACTACTGCTCAGTTGCTCAATCTAACACATTTTTATGGGTAGTGGTGAAGCCAAAGAGTTGTGATAGTTACACAAATCTTCATAGATCATACAGCTGGTTATCTACAGAGATGATGTTTGAACCTCCACCGCCTAACTTTTAATACTAACTTCTACCAACCCTCTATTCCACTGAACTTTAAAAATTCTTGAGAAATCTGATTTTGATTTCTAGGTTAATCAGAAATTTGAGGATTTTTGTGTATATGCCCACATAAATGAATGACACAAGATACATGAAAACTATTAATAACTGAAAACCAATAGTTAATTTTTAAACTCCCTTTAATATAGTAATGCAAATTCCTTTCCAAAATTCTAAAGTAGGTTCAGACTTTTGCTGAGAGTTTAAAGGTCTGAAAACATCTCACCCTGCTTCAGCTTAGGGGAATCAAAGGAATACTTCAAAGACCTCAAGTTTGAAAAATATCAGAAAGTCCTACTTATAGTACAGTTCAAAGCAATCATAGGTGAATCATGAGGGATTTCTATGGAAACTTAGTATCCAAATATATTTTTCCTTTGAAATTCACACAGGCTTCTAAATTCAGTTATATTATCATTTTTATAAATTCTTTCACAACTCCACTATTCTTCAGCATCACCTGAAAGCATACCCTCTACTTCAGCTTTAATGTTGAGATATCTGGCGTCTCACAGCCTTCTGAGATATGTTTTCCATGCATTTGCCCTCTGCTTCTCTTACATGTGGAAAATAGAGCTTGCATGAAAGATTTGATCTTTCTCTGTAACTTCACATTTGCATTTCTATTACTCCTGTCTCAAAAATGTTGGTATTACTGTTTAGTATTAATGGTTCTTTATTGATAATACTCAAAATTAGTGAATCATTTATTGGTCTGGGTAGGTTTGTATGCAAGCTATACTCTGTTTCTTATTTTTTTCCTCTGACCTAGTAGATTCCTAATATCTGCTAGTGATCTATATAGTATTATACATATATACACACATACATACATATATACATGCTAATAATATATATTAGTACTATATACATATATACTAGTAATATGTATATACTGTTGATATATCCAGGCATACCTTGGAGATAATGCAGATTTTGTTCCAGACCACTGCAATAAAATGAGTCACCTAAATTTTTGGTTTCTCAATGGATATAAAAGTTATGTTTCCACTCTACTGTAGTATATTAAGTATGCAATATGATTATGTCTAAAATTAAAATGTACATACCTTAACTGAAAAGACTTTATTGCAAAAAAGGCTGATAATCATCTGAACCTTCAGTGAATTGTAATCTTTTTGCTGGTGGAGAGTCTTCCCTCAATGTTGATGGCTGCTGGTTGATCAAGGTGGTGGTTGTGAAAAGTTGAAGTGGCTGTGGCAATTTCTGAAATAAGACAATGAAGTTTCCTGCATTGATTGACTTTTCCTTTCATGAAAAGTTTCGCTGTTGCATGAGATGTTTGATACCTTATGTAGAACTTCTTTCAAAGTGGAGTCAATCCTCTCAGACCTTGTCACTACTTATAAACTAAGTTTATGTGCCATTCTAAATGCTTTGTTGTCATTTTGGCAGTGTTCATAGCATCTTTACAGCAGTAGTTTTAATTTTAAGGTTCTCCTTTTTTTTTTGCTTACCCATAAGAAGCAACTTGCTCATCCCTTCAAACTCTATCATGAGATTATAGCAATTCAGTAACCTCTTCAGACTCCACTTTTAATTCTAGTTCTCTTGCTATTTCTACCACATTTGCAGTTACTTTCTCCACTGAAGCCTTGGATTCTTCAAAGTCATCTGTGAAGGTTGGAATCAATTTCTTCCAAACTCTTTAATGTTGATATTTTGACCTTCTTCAATGAATCACAAATGTTCTTAATGGCATCTAGACTGGTGAATCCTTTCCAGTGGCTTTCAATTTACTTTGCTGAGATCCATCAGAGGAATCACTATCCATGGCAGCTATAGCCTTACAAAATGTATTTCTGAAATAATAAGACTTGAAAGTCAAAATTACCCTTTGATCCATGGCTTCAGGGGTATTTTGTTAGCAGGAATGAAAACAACATTAATCTCCCTATACATCTCCGTCAGAGCTTTTGGGTGACTAGGTGCATTGTCAATAAGCAGAAATATTTTGAAGGAAATCTTTTTTTCTAAGCAGTAGGCCCCAACAGTGGCTTAAAATATTTAATTAAATTATTAAATATTTTAATCTGGTTTAACATATTTAATTAAATTATGCTATAAACAGATGTGCTATCATCCAGGCTTTGTTATTTCATTTACAGAGCGCAGGAAGAGTAGATTTAGCATAATTCTTAAGGGCCCTAGGGTTTTCAGAATGGTAAATGAACATTAACTTCCACTTAAAATCACTAGCTGCATTAGCCCCTAAAAAAAAAGGGAATCAGCCTGTTTTTTTGAAGCCAGTCATTGATTTCTCCTCTCTAGCTATGAAAGTACTAGATGGTGTCTTCTTCTAATAGAAGGCAGTTCATCTAGATAGCAAATCTGTTGTTTAGTGTGACCACCTTCATCAATCATCTTATCTACATCTTTTGCATAACTGGCTGTAGTTTCTCCATCAGCACTTGCTGCTTCACCTTGGACTTTTATGTTATGGAGATGGCTCTTTCTTTAAACCACATGAACCAACCTCTGCTAACTTCAAAGATTTCTTCTGTAGCTTCCTGACCTCTCTCAGCCTTCATAGAATTAAAGAGAGTTAGGGCCTTGCCCTGGATTAGGTGTTGGCTTAAGGGAATGTTGTGGCTGGTTTGATCTTCCACGCAGACCACTCAAACTGTTATCATATCTGCAGTAACGCTGTTCACTTTCTTATCATTCGTATGGTCACTGGAGTAGCACGTTTAAGTTCCTTCAAGAGTTTTTCCTTTGCATTCACAACTTGGCTAGCTATTTAGTGCAAGAGGCCTAGCTTTCAGCCTGTCTTGGCATTTGACATGCCTTCCTTACTAAGCTTAATTGTTTCTAGCTTTTGATTTAAAGTGAGAGACATGTGTCTCCTCCTTTTGCTTGAAAACTTAGAAGCCATGGTAGTGTTATTAATTGACCTAATTTTAATATTGTTGTGTCTCAAAAATATGGAAGCTGAGGAAAGGAAGAGAGATGGGGGATTGCCCAGTCGGTGGAGCAGTCAGGACACACAGCCTTTTTTGATTAAGTTCGCCATCTTACATTGGTGCAGTTCTTGGTATCCTAAAACAATTGCAAGAGTAATATCAAAGATCCCTGATCACAGATCACCATAACAGATATTAAAATGACGAAAAAGTTTGAAATATTGTGAGAATTACCAAAATGTGACACAGACACACAAAGGGAGTGCATGCTGTTGGAAAAGTGGTGCCCATAGACTTGCTTGATGCAGGATTGTCACCAACCTTTAATTTTAAAAAGACACAGTATCTTCAAAGTGCCATAAAGTAAAATACAAGAAAATGATATCCTCTTTCTCCCTATGTATATATCACTAGTGCAAGAGCTTAGTAATGAGCACCCCTACATACCTATAGAAAGTAATTACAAGGCCATTTAATTCATTTTATACATGTACACAAAACCAAACAATCTCACATTTGTCACAGCCTCAGTGAATTCCATCTCAATGAGCTTTGCTGAAAGGTACTGTACCCTCCAGAGGGGTTGACATTTACTTGCTAGACCTCTGGGTATGCCAGGGAAGCTTAGGAAATTGTGGATGCCAGTTGTTACCCTTCATTCACTTGCTATTTAGCAATGGCCTTGGTAGTAATATATCTCTGAGAGTGAATTTTCTTCATTCCTCCATTCAATAAATATACTTGAATGTATGCTTAAATGCAAGGCTCCTCTATTGGTGTATATGTGACCATAGGTTCATATTCAAATATTTCAGTCCTTGACTTTTTACATGCTTTTTGGAAATCTGCAGAAATATTATTTCAGTCCTAATTCTTTGCTTGAGTTCTTTTATGTAGCTGCGCCATTGAAGTGAACCATGTATAGTTCACAGCAGCTGTGAAGGTAGATTTCAGAGGTATCATGAAGGCCTCTGACTTCCCTATATCCTTACCCTCATTTTTCCTTTCCTACCAACTAAGAGATGCTTCTCCTACCAGCTCATGGGTGTGACTGTTCTATTTGGAATTGTTTATATGACTCAAGTTTTCAAAGTGGAAACTGAAGCCTATTATTTGGTTGCACATTAGTGTGAATTTGCCATTACTTTCAGGAGAGGATGTGTTGATAAGAAGGTGAAGGATTCTGGTTACTTTGAGGAAGGAAGTGCAACTGTTGAAGGAAGCCAGGAGTACCCAAGCCATCTAGAATAGATTCTGCTGATCACCATATAACTTACTGGTTTAGAGAGCTGTTACTGGAATTATGATTCTCCTCTTTTATCTCAGGAAGTGACAAGTATGTCATCTAATTGACTAATTATGTTGATGCTTAGACTTTCAGTGTGTGCTGGTCCAGGCTAGAGGAATTTACTTAGAATATCAGATTCAACAAGGTTTTTTTCTTTTCATAACCCAGAGTGAGAGTTGAGTACTCTCTCACCCTGTGGAAAAAGAATGGTAATACATTTTTTTCTTACTTTACAATAGCCTTATATTTTTATTAATTATATATTTCTCTAAAGGTTAGTGTTGAAAGTGTAGATTCTAGAGTCAAGTAGCCTATTTTCAAATCCTGGCTGTGCTACTTACTAATAGTGTGACCTTGAACAAATTAGCCTCATTGCACTTATGTTGCCTCAAAAATGGGGAAGAAGAATGGGATCTAACTCATAGGGCGATTGTGGTGATTAAATAAGAAAATACATAGCTGGGCATGGTGGTGTGCTCCTCTAGTCCCAGCTACCTGGGAGGTTGAGGCAAGAGGATGGGTTGAGCAGGAGTGTGAGGCTGCAGTGAGCTATGACGACTGACCCATTGCACTTCAGCTTGGATGACAGAGTGAGACCCTGTCTCTTAAAAGGAAAGGAAAGAAAATATGTAGATATAATTTAGCAGTTTGTGGAATGTTAGCATTAACTATATTAAAGTTTCATTTAACAGTTCCTTTATGATTTCATACAGCTTCAAAATATGGTTGATTAGCATCCACTTAGGTGTTAAATGCTTTTCTTATCCCTCTTTTTTTCCTTTCTTTCCTTTCTTTCTTTTTTGAGGTGGAGTCTTGCTCTGTTGCCCAGACTGGAGTGCAGGGGTGCAATCTCAGCTCACTGCAACCTCTGCCTCCCGGGTTCAAGTGATTCTCCTGCCTCAGCCTCCTGAGTAGCTGGGATTACAGGCACTTGCCACCACGCCCAGCTAATTTTTGTATTTTTAGTAGAGACGGGGTTTCACCACGTTGGTCAGGCTGGTCTCAAGCTCCTGACCTCGTGATCCGCCCACCTCAGCCTCCCAAAGTGCTGGGATTTTAGGCGTGAGCCACCACGCCCTGCCCATTTAAATGCTTTTCAATGGCTACTGACTATAGTATTTTCTTTATCCTTTTGCAATGCAAGGTATGATAGCTGTTTTCTGAATATATTGGTTCCAGAGAATTACTTGCTCTTTCAGATAGTTTTCCACCAGTGGCACCTTTATATGACAACATTGTACACACATGTTTGTGTGTCAGCTGTTTGTTATATCAACCTGTTAATCCTACATTCCTTAATTTAAAACAGATGAAAACTGTGACAAACGCATAAGCTGAGTTTATAATTGCCCAGCAAATTTTCCTTTAAACTTGCAAATATACAGTATCCCAAATATTCCCACTAGTGTAATCATCTTTTGTTTTCACCAAAGTAGCTTTACAAAAGACATCTTTCAAACAACTGTTTCATAGACTGAGTTACTACTTTCTTTAAAGTTAATCAACACTTGCTGTCCTTCCAAATGAAGTCTAAATCTGTTTACTTAGACCTGGTCTCTGAACCCTTATAAGCATGTCTGGTATATATTTCTAAAGTGAAGCTATTATTAAAAAGCTATTATTAAAAGCGTTTGTAGTAGACATAACTTGGTGTGGTTGCCTTGCTTGCAATAACTTTCCAGGTGGTCATGAATATGCTGTTTGGGTCACTGA
Organism: Homo sapiens; assembly: GCF_000001405.40. Taxonomy (NCBI): domain Eukaryota; kingdom Metazoa; phylum Chordata; class Mammalia; order Primates; family Hominidae; genus Homo; species Homo sapiens. The sequence goes on from NC_000006.12 coordinate 58,178,452, forward strand.
TTTCACTCTTGGCTGCGATTGAACAGGGTAGGCCAATCATAGTGCCTCCTTTCAGCTCACAAATGATTGTATTATTCAAAAGGTGGTGATAACATCCAAATCAAACTTGAGAAAAAACTGTTATTTTAATTTTTAATTTTTTCTTATCAATAGCAGTATGATGGTACTTCCAGTACCCCAGTGACACCTAGCCTGAGAAAGAAGCAGAGATAAAGTCTATAGAGGAAGAGAGCATCTGAATGACGTTTGAGTCCCTGGATCCACTGTGTGAAGCCAGAGCCACTCCTGCAAGTGTTTTGTTTAGGTTTAAATTTGATTGAGATTTTTATTACTTCAAAGTAAAAAATTCTTACTAATGCAATGCCTTCAGCCTTCCACCTCAAAGTCACTGAAAGGATCTTAATATTTTCAATGTATATATTTATAACTTATAATTTAATGTATTTATATTATAAATATAACTTATAATTCAATGTATTTATATTATAAATATAACTTATAATTCAATGTATTTATATTATAAATATAACTTATAATTCAATGTATTTATATTATAAATATAACTTATAATTCAATGTATTTATATTATAAATATAACTTATAATTCAATGTATTTATATTATAAATATAACTTATAATTCAATGTATTTATATTATAAATATAACTTATAATTCAATGTATTTATATTATAAATATAACATAATTCAATGTATTTATATTATAAATGTATTTATATTATAAATATAGTTTATAATTCAATGTATTTATATTATAAATATAGTTTATAATTCAATGTATTTATATTATAAATATAGTTTATAATTCAATGTATTTATATTATAAATATAGTTTATAATTCAATGTATTTATATTATAAATATAGTTTATAATTCAATGTATTTATATTATAAATATAGTTTACAATTCAATGTATTTATATTATAAATATAGTTTACAATTCAATGTATTTATATTATAAATATAGTTTACAATTCAATGTATTTATATTATAAATATAGTTTACAATTCAATGTATTTATATTATAAATATAGTTTACAATTCAATGTATTTATATTATAAATATAGTTTACAATTCAATGTATTTATATTATAAATATAGTTTATAATTTAATGTATTTATATTATAAATATAGTTTATAATTTAATGTATTTATATTATAAATATAGTTTATAATTTAATGTATTTATATTATAAATATAGTTTATAATTTAATGTATTTATATTATAAATATAGTTTATAATTTAATGTATTTATATTATAAATATAGTTTATAATTTAATGTATTTATATTATAAATATAGTTTATAATTTAATGTATTTATATTATATAGTTTATAATTTAATGTATTTATATTATATAGTTTATAATTTAATGTATTTATATTATAAATATAGTTTATAATTTAATGTATTTATATTATAAATATAGTTTATAATTTAATATATATAAAACTTATAAATATATTAATATTTTAAATATAACTCTTACTAGCAATTTGAGACTGGGAACACCTATGTCAGAATTTACCTAGTGTAGAACAGATAATTTACAACTTTTGTGAAATCTCTTACCATTACGTGTGTAAACTACAGCAGTAATGTCGCAAGGAAGGGCGAACTTAAACTCAACATACATCCTTGCTGAAGGGTCAAAAGTAGCATAGATCTAGGTTCAGATCCTGATGACAATGTATTGCCTAGGCGACCTTGGCCTGTCATTTACACTTTTCCTTTGTAAATGAGGATTGTAATGACCTCATAGTCTGGTCACGAGGGGTAAATGATGGCATAATGAATAAAGGAGAACTTAATAAGCTTTTTTTCCAGGATAAACATACATCTTTCTGCCCTTTTGTTGGCATTCAAACCTCTGTTCAGACTTTCATTCTGCTACAAAATATCTTTGTATGGGCAGAGGGTGGGTTGGATTGCAGCTGATCTTGGCAGCAGATCATAAGAACTTTTATGTACCTGGCCTTTCAGTTTACTGGGATCTTTTCACTGTTATTCAAGCCCTAAGCATCTGAGCTGAAGTAGTTGTCTGATTGTTCCATTGTCATGTATTCCTTAATACCTACTTTCCATAGTTCTGTACAGATGCTTTTTATGCAAGTAATCTTTGACATAGAGACAGAACGGCTGAAAATAGATTTTCCCTTAGCTGAAACTTCTCCCAGGCAATTTAATTCTTTATCATCACTTTAGTGTGTTTTTCTAGTTTTCTTTTGTTATTTGTCCCTAATATTGAGTCTAATGAAGATGCAAGTTTCAGTTTTCCTTCTCTTTTCCACAGCTAGACCTCCTCAGCCAGTAGGAAGCTCTACCCTTCCTCAGTCTCTGATCATCAGCACCCCAGACACCCATTATTAGCAGATTCTAGTCAAGGCATGTGCTTCCCTTTGATGCTTTTGATTCACTAGTCCCTGACACATTTTAAACGCTGAATAAATGGTAAATATAATTTTCATCACCATAATTGTCAGGCATACCATGTTTACAAGTGCTAAGAAACGATAGATGAACTGACATCTCTCACATCCTGGGTCACCAGATTCTATTTTTCTACTAATCTGATTGGTGGAGTGGGTATCTCTTTCTTTCTTCTCTATACCATGTGTGTCTTATCTGAAACAGTTCACTCAATCAAAAAGGATTACCTTTTTTTTTTTTTTAATAGAAGAAGACCTTCTTTTCTTTACCACATGGGTATATGAGTTAAGATTTTCTTCTGCTAGAATTTCCAAGAAGATTTAGCAGATCCACAGCTGTTAGACCTGTAGCAGTTAAACTTAAAATAATTCCTTATTAAGTCACTAAACCTGAATGTAGACTGTCATGTACAGATACTAGTAATAACCCTGTAAATAAACTCTCATATATTTTACATTCTTGATAAGAAAGAATAACAGTCAGTTATGATGTTTCTCCTTGGAAATATTTCTCAAGTTCAAGAATGGTTTTATTATTGCCTTTCTAAACAAGTGGAATATTTGGATGAACAGGTAATCAGTAAAATGTCCTTGCCTTAGTGCTAATAAACTTTGAAGAAGAGTTTTCAGCTGCTTTGAAGAATTTTTTTTTCCCTTCTGATACCTTGTAAGTAATTCAAGTTGTAATTTTCACTGTTGCTATAGCCTGGCTATCACTTTAACGTGAAGGAGCAAAAGATGAAACTTGATAGGAGTCATCTATCATAATAACTAGATCCAAGAGTTCAAAGGGGAAGCAGAAGAGACCAAGAAGAAGTGATTTTTTCTGTCAATTATACTGTGTTTTATCTGAAATGATATGTATTAGGAAGAACTGTGTCAGATGTTGGATTCTCTGCACTCGCAGACACACATCATCCCTACCTTTCCAAGCCTTTTTTTCAACTTCCTCCTAGTGGTGAAAAGTATGTATAGCACTTGTGAATTACCTTAATAGTCACTGCTTATCTATTGAGTTGAGGCATGTGTTAGCTATCATGCAAATTTAGAAAATATGATGCATGGTAACTATCACTTTGAGCAGTAGTATGTCAAAGTAAAAATAATGAAGAGAAGGAGATGTGATGTTGGAGCCAGTCCTGGAGACAACTAAAATGCCTCAGGTGGTGAGATATTTTGGCATTACAGATGGGTTTCTGGACCAATTTATCATAATCTTTCTTAGGACATCATTATATTTCAATCAAATCGAGCAACTTTATGTCAGGCAATTTAAAGAAGACATCCCTATTTGTCTTGTGTAATAAAATCAGCAAATAAAGAGGTGATACCAATTTGTTGATTCCCCTTTGTTCAACAGTAGGCCCGGGGAAAATGCCTTTCAGTGCAGGTTTTATTTCCACTGATGGGTCCACCTTTCAGTGAATGTGATGCTCAAGACTCTCTGGATCATTTTTCCTGTCCTGAGGACAGGGATAGGGTTGAATCTGAAGTCATCATAGGTACATGATGGATATAATGCAGCACCAGCAGCATCAGTCTGTGAAGAGGGCTAGGCCTTTCATTATGCCTATCTTCAGCTGCCGTTTTTCTCAGTAAGCTGGTGCCTCACAGGACCATCCCTCTCAATTCTGCTACTTTGAAGTGAAGTCAGGAGACTTATCTTTAATTAGTTTATTTAATCCTAATGTTGGTTCATGAAATGTTTGTGGAAAGACTTAAAATCAGTTTATAGTATTGGCAGTTGTGGCTTTTAGTGCTCTGATGAGCATGTTGTGTTACAACGAACTATTAGACAATTTGAAGAATAGTTTGCTTCAAATTAGAGTGTATCAATACTTTCTTAAGGGGTTGCACCTGTAGTTTTAGCCATCAAATAATTATGATTACAGTAGCCCCCTCTTATGCATGGTTTTTCTTTCTGCTGTTTCAGTCACCCACAGTAAGCTGCATTCTGAAAATATTAAATGGAAAATTCTAGAAATTCAGAAATTTTGAATTATGCATTATTCTGAGTGTGTGACTAAATCTTGTGCTGTATCAGTCCTTCCTACCTGAGACATGAATTATTCTTTTTTCCAGTGTATCCATGCCATATATGCTCCTGGTCCCTTAGACACTTACCAGCTGCTTTGGTTATCAGATTGACTGTCATTGTATCACAGTGCCTGTGGTGACTTGACCCTTGTTTTATTTATTGTGGCTATTTATTGTGGTAACCCGTATTTTACTGAATAATGGTACCAACACACAAGAGTAGTGATGCTGGCAATTCAGCTATGGCAAAGAGAAGCCGTAAAGAGCTTTCTTTAAGTGAAAAGGTGGAAGTTTTGAGTTAATAAGGAGAAAGAATATATGCTGAAATCACTAAGATCTATGGCAAAAGTAAATCTTTCATCCACGAAATTGTGGAAAATGGAAAAGAAATTCGTGCTAGTTTTGCTGCTGCACCTCAAACTATAAAAGTGCATGCTACCGTGTGTGTATAGAAAAAACACAGTATGTATATTGAGTTCAGTACTATCAGCAGTTTTAGGCATTCACTGGGGGTCTTAGGACTGTCATTGTCTAATTATATTTATTACTAAAATATAAAAAAAAGTACAAAGATTTCTTGAGTATCCTGGCTTCATTTTCTGAGGAAGCTGGCTCAACTGGCTAAAAGGGATGGCACTTTTCCTTTGTAGTTGACAAAATGGTGGCCTAAGTGCAACTGGGTTGATTCTTACCTTATGAGTAAGAATCACAATTTTAACAAGTTGTATTAGTTTTCTGTGACTATTAAAACAAACGATCACAGATTTGGGGTAATTTATTCTATCACAGTTCTGGAGGCAAAAGTCAGAAATCAGAGTCACAAGGCCAAATCAAGGCTGTGCTTCCTCTAGAAGCTTCAGGAGAGTTTATATCTTACCTCTTCCAGCTTCTGGTAGCTACCGGAATTTCTTGTCTTATGGTCCCATCACTCCAGTATGTGCTTCCATAGTCACATTGCCATCTCCTCTTTTATCTGTTATAAAATCTTCCTCTGCCTCAGTCTTATGAGGATACATGTGATTGTATTCAGGGCCCACACTAGATAATCTCAGATTATCTCCTTATCTCAAGATCCTTAACTTGATCACATTGGTAAAGACCTGTTTATTTTTTGTCATATAAAGTAGTGCTCATAGGTGCTAGGAATTAGAATGCAGATATCTTTTGGGAACCCATTATTCAGCCCACTACACAAGTGTCACCAGGATGTTTAATGGATAAATAACATGATCAAAATTACTAACAACAGTGCTTTTCAGGAATTAGCAACATTCTTTACTAAGAACATAGAAAATCTAAGGTGGCAAATTTGGGGGCAGTTTGGCATATGAACTAGAATGTTAAAAAATACAATTAAAAATGAAACTTGCAGACTTTGTATAGATTTGAGGTTGTCTGGAATCGTATATTTAAATTTTTATAAATTTTAGATAAGGCATTTGTTGTCTGTCCACAACTTTGAATGTTTTCCAAAATCTAGAGCTTGTCTGCTAGGTCACTATATTCTGTTCTGAGGATATTATTTGAGATGAGAAGGTTAAAATGGATATTTTTTCCTCATCAATACATAGATTAAATATATATTGGCATGTTCTGGAAGCTATAAAAAACACTGCACCAAAATTGTGAGTTTTTTCTCACATTAAGGAACTTATATCTTTCATCATTATAAAAGATTTTGTTTTGACCTAGAATTGATCCTTCAGTTTGTATATTGATCCCAGGATCCCTTTGTCAGATAATCTGACCCAGAATCTGATATAGAGAGGCAATTACTGAGTTCCCATGTAAAACTACAGCTCTCTTCCTGATTCTACCTGTTCTGTATCACATCTCTTCTCCATTACATATTATCCAGTTCTGAGGCCTTATGATTTGGTTCTTATAGTCATGGATTGCTCTCCTACAAACTAGTGGCTCGCTTCTTTATTGTCTGTCTGCAGATATTCTTGGGCAGTGACTGCTTCCCACCCTTTAACTTACCTGCCTCTCCAAGGTGTCTTGAAATATTATGTTTCTTTCTTAATTTTAATCCTCAATTATGGCAAAGTAAAAAATAATAATGTGAAGAAACTCAAACACAATGGTCAATAGCTTGAAAAGTCTTATTTCTCCTTAGTTGAATGATGAAAATGAATTGTTGAGGCTATAGTGTTCTAGTTATTGGCTTGTTAAATGTTGAATACAAGAAACAGTGATTTTACTAGCCTGTGGTTTAGAAAAGACTAATCCACAGACATTTATTAATTCATTCAACAAACAAGAGTATTTCATTTTCCAGGACATTTGCTAGGTGATGGGGGAAAATTACAAACAAAAACAGACTTGCTTTGTGCCCTCTTGGAGCTTACATGCTAGTATGGAGGGTCAGATATTAAGTAGTCACAAAACATTACACATTACAATTTTGAGTGATAAAAGACCTATTCCAGAAAACGTTAGTGCTTGTAATTGGTTACTCAGCCTAGTTGAAGAGAAGCATTCAGGGAGAGTTTCCCTGAAGAGGCAATATCTGTATGGGAATTTGAGACATGAATGGAAATTAGCAAAATGGAGCGAGTGGAGAGCATTCCATACCACGGGCATATGCGCAAACATCCTGTGGTGAGAGAGGGCATGGCATATCAAAGGAACTGTGAGATTGGAATAATTAGAAGTAGCACAGTAAGATTGGAAGGGTAGGTAAGAATCAGATTATATTAGAGTTTATATGCCTTTTAAAAATTTAGTCTTGCCAGAGAGTCATAGGAAACTATTGAATACTTTCAGCAGAAGTATCATGTGATCAGATTTGTTTTATTTTGATTAATCATTTGATTAATTGGATTGTTCATTATTTTACTCTAAAGTAAAGTAAAATACTCTGCAATGAAGTGTTTGAATACACAGGTAGCTCCAGTTACAATGTTTGCGCCTCATGCTGGTACGCAGTATGCCCACAGCCATAAACCTGTTTTCATTGTTACTGTTATTTTCTAATTTCTCAGAGTTTTATTTATTTTTAAATGTATTTTTATTTTATTTTATTGTGGTAATAACACTTAATATCAGATCTACCCTCTTAACAAACTTTTAAGTGTATAAGACGTTGTTGACTATTGGTATGGTGTTGTACAGCAGATTTCTCTAGAGCTTATTCAGCTTACTTAACTGAAACTTTTTGCCCATTGATTAGTATCTTCCCATGTACCTGACGGGGGAGACACCATGATCAGATTTATGTTTTAAAAAGGCCACTCTTCTGTGTAGAGACGAGTTTGTAGGAAAGCAAGAATGGCTGTAGGACACCTAGTTAGGAGACTACTGCAAAAATAAATATTAAAAAAAATTCACTCTACTCTTCTATATTCTTTGATTTCATGTTTTTCTGGTTTTCTGCATTGTGCCTGGATGAATATGTATTTGTTTAAAGAACAACAAGAGATTCATGAATGAATAATTTCAGCTATGGCTTGGTGCAGGAGACTCAGACCAGCTATCCTCTGTGTTTTCAGTGTCTCTGATGTTTGTCATTGATACCCATATTATATATCGAGAAACTCAAAAGTTCTATAGCATCATAAAAATACAGAGACATAAATGTTCTAAATACAACAAATCATTCATTGGTGTAATAAGGAAAGAAATTACAAAAGTTATAGGAATATAGGGCAGACATCCCATATCTCAAATCCTTGTGGACCAGTAAGTGATTAAGCAAAATTAAAGGTCTGATTAAGATGGCAAAGGGTATAGAGATTCCTGAGGTTCTTGGTAATTATGCAATAGAAATTTAATCCAAACTGTCAGGAAATTAGTCTTTGAAGGATAAGAAGATGATAACTAGGTCAGTTGACAATATGGTATGAATATTTTGTCTGAGCTTAAGAAGAGGTCATTCTAACTGCTTCATTAAGACTCAAATATTTTATTAAAATAGAGATATTCTAAGAATGTCAAGCTTTAGGAAAAAATCTAGGAATTACAAAAATATATTTTAAGTTGAAAGTGCTTGTTGCCCATCCAGGAACTGAATTGATAGCCACAAATATATACAGTTACTATTTCTGCTGAAAATTATCTTAAATTTACCACAAAATATATAACATATTGCAAGCTAAAACAGAAGCTTTGAAGTTTTTCTATGTTTGCTGTTTGAGTTGGATTCCATGGCATGTGGGTGTCTCAGTCAGAAGTATTGTTAGTGCGTCCTCCTGCTTAATGAAGGGGAGAGTGGAGGCAGCAAAGATTTGCCTTGATTGGCTTCTATCAGAACTAATTTTTTCCTATTTTTTAATTTTCAGAGATCAGATCCAGAGCCTGACAAGTTTATTTACTTGGAGAAGCAGATTCTAGGTTCTAGAAAAGAAGGCTGAAAATACAACTTTAAGGGAAAGGATAATCTGATGACTAATTCTCATTTATCAAAAAGCCACTTTGCCTTAGATCTATCTGTATAAACTCCATGCTTCACAGTAAAATCCTTCTAACTTTATTGAAAAAAGGGGGCCACCTAGCAAATAACACCAAGAGTATTATTTCTGGGGTTCAGTTAACCCAAAGACAATTATTTATCTTACTAAAATCCATTTCTAGGTCTATAAACCTATTGTGTAGTACATAAATACATAGGCTTTAGTCCTAGATAGTTGGAGCAGATCCTGGCTATACCAATTGTTAGCCATAAGCCACGATCAATGTACTTAACTTCTCCAAGTTTCTCATCTTTAGAATGGGGATAATAGTGCTATTTACTTTATATAATTATTGGGAGGAGGAAATGGCTTCATAAATATAAAGAACTTAGCATAGTGAATGCCACATAATAAACCCTAAATAATTGTAGCAACTGCTTTTATTAGGAAGTCTTCCAGATCTTTGTAATCTTTGTCCAGTTGTCATCACAGGCAGAAATAAAAGAATAAAAAATTTCCACTGAGAATTACGCTAATTATATAAACATAATGCATATTCTATGAAACTAACATTCTCAGAGGTAATTATACAATTTTAGGAGAAAACATTATTTTAAAATTTACCAGTAAAGCACTATTATAAATATCAATAAAAAACATTATTTTAAAATTTACCAGTAAAACATTGTTATAAATATCAATAAAATATTGTCCAACCTACTGAAACATTTAGAACGTTCTCTTCACTTTTCATAGCCATGGACTATGAAAGTGTTATGGCATATTATATGTTTTTTGTTATATTCAAAAATAGTTTATCCTTGGGAAAATACTAACTGTGGAAGGAAATTCTACAAAGTTAGTGACTGGAGGGAATAAACCTAATGCATATGTTGAATATCCTAGTGTTTTCTCAATTTGTTTAAATGGGATAAATCATGTGATATTTTTTGAAAAATGCAATTTATATGAAAATGTAATTTCTAGACATTCAGCAGCCCATTCACATGGTAAAAACTTGTCATAAATCCCCCAAAAGTACAATCTTACATTCTCATGACTATTTATCAAAAATGGAATATTTTTCTGTAGGCATGATAGACAATGTATTATTATACATTTGGGGTTTTTAAAGATGCATATTTTGTTTCAGAAACAGGCTATTATTTCTGATTGACTGCTTTGAGTTTTAAAACCAATATTGTCATTAGCAAAAAAGTATACCAAGTTATGTAAGCATAAACAAAACCAGGCTATATTTGAACAGCACCTCAAAGGAAGTTTCTCAAGAAGTGATTTAGGTAATTTAGAAAATATTTTTTTGTCTCTGATGTTTTAATATGTTACATATAGATGCAAGAATTTAATTGCCTTTGTGTTTAGTCTGTTCTGGCTGCTATAATAGAATACCATAAACTAGGTGGCTTATAAACAACAGAAATTTATTTCTCACAGTTTTGAAGCCTGGGAAGTACAAGATCAAGGTGCAGATTCAGCGTGTTGAGAGGGCCCACTTTTTTGTTCATGGATGATACCTTCATTCTGTGTTGTCACATGGTGAAGAGGCAAGGCAGCTCTCTGGGGCCTCTTGTTATGGCACTAATCCCATTCATGAGGGCTCTAGCCTTATGATCTAATCACTTTCTATAAGCCCCACCTCCTAATACTATCACATTAGTGATTATGTTTTGACATATAATTTTTATGGGGACTCAGACATTTAGGCTATAGCACCTTGGATGATCATTTAGAAATCACAAAACTAAAATCCTAATCCCTTTATTTCTACAATGCCTTACAATGTTTCTCTTGAGATCATCTGCTTTACCTCTTCTTAGGTAATTAATCCCAGAGAAGGTCTTCCAGGTATTCCTACCTACTCCATATGAAAGTATCTGCTGTTAACTATATTTTAAAGGAACCATATTATAGATATTTGGCAGTGTCTGCCTCACCTACCATCCTTTTCTGTATCACATGGTCCCCACCCTTTAAACCCTGACCATTGTTGCTTGGGCCAGAGCTAGACTGAGATTCATTCAGTAAGACCCTTTTCTCTATTACTTAGAAACTGAGTTTTTGAGCCAGTAATCTGTTGCAATTTCAATGGCTGACTTTTCATTTTTGGGTAACCCTCTTCCAAAATCTTAGAAAGAGGGATACCTAATTTTCAAAGAGAGAAGGACTAGACAGATTACACAAAAAAAGCAAGCATGAATTTCATGAGTCCCCAAAAAGAAAAGAGAGTAATTTTGTTTCCTGACACTTTGCAGCTGCTGATTCCAGTCCCTCAGGAGACCCAAGTATTCATGAGTTCTATGAGCTTTTCTTGTATGCTTATAACAAATTTATTTGTAGCTTAAGCTATCTTGTGTGAGTTTCTGCTATTTGCAACCAAAGTGCCTCTATTAAGAAAGAAATTCAAGTCTATGGCCTTATATGGGGGGAAAAAAGTGGTAAGGGTGACAGGATTTTTCCGTATGAAATTGTGCAAGTTGGAATTTATATATCCCTCAAAAGCATCTGAAACAGGGCATTTTGGTGAAAGGCACAAAAAACAAGTGTGAATAATAATTTTAGGAATTGCCGACCACTGACAAAATGTGAAATGATATTTTATATACCAGGAATGTTTTGTCAATCTTTGAGGAGGAATATAAAGAAATAATTTATGAAGCATGAAAGAGAAAATTTCCCTCTCCCTCTCCCTCTCCTCCTTCTCCACGCGGTCTCCCTCTAATGCCGAGCCAAGGCTGGACTGTACTGCCACCATCTCAACTCACTGCAACCTCCCTACCTGATTCTCCTGCCTCAGCCTGCCGAGTGTCTGGGATTGCAGGCGCGCGCCGCCACGCCTGACTGGTTTTCATATTTTTTGGTGGAGATGGGGTTTCGCCAGTGTTGGCCGGCCTGGTCTCCAGCTCCTGACCGCGAGTAATCTTCCAGCCTAGGCCTCCCGAGGTGCCGGGATTGCAGACGGAGTCTTGCTCACTCAGTGCTCAATGTTGCCTAGGCTGGAGTGCAGTCGTGTGACCTCGGCTCGCTACAACCTCCACCTCCCAGCCGCCTGCCTTGGCCTCCCAAAGTGCCGAGATTGCAGCCTCTGCCCGGCCGCCACCCCGTCTAGGAAGTGAGGAGCGTCTCTGCCTGGCCACCCATTGTCTGGGATGTGGGGAGCACCTCTGCCCCGCCGCCCCGTCTGAGATGTGAAGAGCGCCTCTGCGCGGCCGCAACCCCGTCTGGGAACTGAGGAGTGTCTCTGCCTGGCCACCCATCGTCTGGGATGTGGGGAGCACCTCTTTCCTGCCGCCCCGTCTGAGATGTGAAGAGCGCCTTTGCACGGCCGCGACCCCGTCTGGGAACTGAGGAGTGTCTCTGCCCCACCACCACCCCGTCTGGGAGGTGAGGAGCGTCTCTGCCCGGCCGCCCTGTCTGAGAAGTGAGGATCCCCTCCACCGGCCAGCCACTCCATCTGGGAAGTGAGGAGCCCCTCTGCCCAGCAGCCGCCCCGTCTGGGAAGTGAGGAGAGTCTCCGCCCGGCAGCCGCCCCGTCCAGGAGGTGGGGGGCAGCCCCCGCCCGGCCAGCCGCCCCATCCAGGGGTTGTACCCAACAGCTCATTGAGAACGGGCCATGATGATGATGGCGGTTTTGTCGAATAGAAAAGGGGGAAATGTGGGGAAAAGAGAGAGATCACATTGTTACTGTGTCTGTGTAGAAAGTACATAGGAGACTCCATTTTGTTCTGTACTAAGAAAAATTCTTCTGCCTTGGGATGCTGTTAATCTATAACCTTACCCCCAACCCCGTGCTCTCTGAAACATGTGCTGTGTCCACTAAGGGTTAAATAGATTAAGGGCAGTGCAAGATGTGCTTCGTTAAACAGATGCTTGAAGGCAGCATACTGGTTAAGAGTCATCACCACTCCCTAATCGCAAGTTCCCAGGGACACAAACATTGCGGAAGGTGGCAGGGCCTTCTGCCTAGGAAAACCAGAGACCTTTGTTCACATGTTTATCTGCTGACCTTCCCTCCACTGTTGTCCTATGACCCTGCCAAATCCCCCTCTCCGAGAAACACCCAAGAATGATCAATAACTACTAAAAAAATTAAAAAAAAAAAAAAGAGAAAATTGCGTGGGGATTTCTTAGGGTAATTTTTACAATTAGGAATTTTTACCTCTGATTTTAGAATCTAACCCCTTTGTGTAAGGCATGACTCCACTGCACAGTCTCAGAGAGAATTTAAGTAATGTCCCTAAAGTCACAGCAGGTGTTTGCTAGAACTGAGATCAATTCCAAGACACATTTCGTCGGCTACTTTTTTATTCTGCCTCCTCTGGTGATCCTAAACCTTGGAGTGTTTTCAGGCTTGACTCTTATAGGAAGTACATTTTTCAATTAGTGATCTGTTCAAAGAAAGGATATAAATAAAGGAAGCTCTGACATTCCTTATCTACATTCCTTGCTCCTTTTAGGTATTCATCTTCTACCCATCTCTGCTCTTTCCCAGGCCCACGGCTACTACAGAGGAAAACACTTGGGCATTACCATTATTTAGTAGCATGTAACTTCCCACCACCCATCTTTACTGCCCCTTCCTCTACTTTTCTTGTGGTTCTGCCAGACTAGAAGTCATATTTGAGATATTATAAAGTAGGATGGTGGCATTGAGAACCTTCAAAAAAATAGAGGCTTGTGGTATAATTCTTCTTTGTATACTGTGTAAGCTAACAGCTATAAGTATTGTTATGAGTAAATGACCACCTTTGTCAGCTATCACAATTCAAAATTGAGGCCTAGAGACTGAATATTTCTTGTTATTTTAAATATAGCTGATAGCATTAGGAGATTCCAGCATTAGGAGATTCCAGCATAATGTTTTAAAGTGTGTTTAGGTGGTTATCTATAGTTGATGATGACAAATGAGCACAGCTTACGGCTCTATTCATATCAATTGATCCATGCTAAAAATACCAGTATAGCTCCTATTGCAATATGTTGTGAGCATAAGAACAATGACAAATTTAGGATGATTCAGTTACCTGAGCTGTAGCAAGAAAAAAATTAGCCTGTTTTTGAAGAATATAAGAATAAACACCATAGCTATTGTAATGACTAAAATATCTCTGACAGAATTACTATAATTTTCTTCTCTAAGAGAAATTCCCTACCGTATGATTTGGGGGTCATACTTGTAGTGCCAGAGATCAGTTTAGGTGGAGAGATAGCAAGCAAGTTTCATAAGTTATTATTACTTCCAAAGTCTAGCAGGAAAAAGGAACAACATCAGAAATAATTGATAGGGAAGGGATGAGAGAGATAAAAAGAGATGGACTGGGAAGAATTTAATGACTCTTTGTGGCTTTACATCTGTCACAGTTTTTGTGCTACATTAAAGTTTCATTATTTTCACATTTTGTGCTTTCATATTTTTTCATCTCCTTCTTTCTGCTAAATTTACCAAGTAATGCAATGTAGATAATGGAGAGCTATTTCTGCAAATGTCATTGAATCTGTTACTGGAAATGAATAAAGTGTTTCACTGATGCATTTCCTTCAAAATACATTTTCAATTAGCAGGAGATGATTTGTGTACAAAATATACTCTATAAAATTAGATAAAAATACTTTAGTATGAAAAAAATGAAAACCTAAAGTCATGAATATGTGTATCTTTGTCTCTGTTTAATTTCATTGGATCAAATGATTGTGTCAACCTGCATTTACAAACTTTATTTTCTTGTAATATTTGGAATTTACCTAGAAATACACTCTACCTCAGCTCATTGACCTTTCACTTGACATGGCATGCATTTTAATTATGATTTCTATTAATTTCACCAACAGATTAAAGATATGTTTTGTATGAATATTTGAGGGCATTTGTTGAATGATTTTCATAACCATGTATTTGCATAATTATCTTGGAGTAAATCTTCATTCTGAGTTAAGAAAGAACAATGATTCTGTTCTGTTTCCATGACTGAATCATCATGTGACCTCTTGCAAGAACTTGCATTTTTGGTGCCTTAGTTGACTCAAGTAGAAGTGAATGGGTTTTAATAGCTTGCCTTAGGCATGTTTGTCTCATAAATGTGTGGAGGCACGCTGTAACTTAAGATGCTGTTACTTCAAACAAGCACTGAGCTTCTAGATTACTGTTGCAGGAAAAGCAGGAAGGAAGGGATCCACATCTTCATTCACCATTTCTTTCTTTTTATGTTTTTATTTTTGTCTCATTTTTAAAAATTTTGAGCTCAGGGGTACAAGTGCAGGTTTGTTACATAGATAAACTTGTGTCGTGGGGGTTTGTTGTACAGATTATCGTCCAGATATTAAGCCTCGTACCCATTAATTATTTTTTCTGTCCTCTCTGTCCTCTCACCCTCCACCCTCCAAAAGGTCCCAGTGTTTGTTGTTCCCTTCTGTGTGTCCATGTGTTCTCATCATTTAGCTTTCACTTACAAGTAAGAACATGTGGCATTTGGTTTTCTGTTTCTGTGTTAGTTTGCTAAGGATAATGACCTCCAGCTCCATCCATGTCCCTGCAAAAGGACATGATCTCATCTTTTTTTTTTTTTTTTTTGAGACGGAGTTTCACTTTTGTTGCCCAGGCTAGAGTGCAGTGGAGTGATCTCAGCTCACAGAACCGCCCCCTCCTGGGTTCAAGTGATTCTCCTGCCTCACCCTCCTGAGTAGCTGGGATTGCAGGCATGCACCACCATGTCCAGCTAATTTTGTATTTTTAGTAGAGATGGGGCTTCTTCATGTTGGCCAGGCTGGTCTCGAACTCCCAACCTCAGGTGATCCCCCCTGCCTCAGCCTCCCAAAGTGCTGGGATTATAGGCATGAGCCACCACACCTGGCTGATCTCATTCTTTTTTATGGCTGTATAATATTCCATGGTATATATGCACTACATTTTCTTTACCTAGTCTATCACTGATGGGCATTTAGGTTGATTCCATGTCTTTGCTATTGTGAACAGTGCTGCAATGAACATATGCATGCATGTGTCGTTTTGGTAGAATGATAATTGATATTCCTGTGGGTATATGCTCAGTAATGGTATTGCTAGGTTGAATGGTAGTTCTGTTTTTAGTTCTTTGGGTAATCACCACACTACTTTTCAGTATGGTTGAACTAATTTACACTCCCACCAACAGTGTATAAGCATTCCGTTTTCTCCACAACCTCATCAGCATCTGTTATTTTTTGACTTTTTAATAATAGTCATTCTGACTGGTGTGAGATGGTATCTCATTGTGGCTTTGATTTGCGTTTCTCTAATGATCAGTGATGTTCAGTTTTTTTCATATGACTGTTGGCTGCTTATATGTCTTCTTTTGAAAAATGTCTGTTCATGTCCTTTGCCCACTTTTTAATGGGGTTGTTTTTTCTTGTAAATTTGTTTATGTTGCTTGTGGATACTGTATATTAGACCTTTGTCAGATGCATAGTTTGCAAACATTTTCTCCCATTCTGTAGGTTGTCTGTTTATCCTGTTGATAGTTTCCATTTATTTCTTTTACTCCATATCTTGCCATGTACACAAACCTGCCTAGCTTTGGGAATCATGTAGGACTTTGTATCTTCAGGTGAGAATAATCTGTTTTATACATTTTCATTAGCCCTCTGGTCTGGCATAAGAAATATTAATTAAATGATCGCTAAATGCATTTTTGAATACTACATCTTAAATTCAACTCTGTTTACTTGTCTACATTCAAAGAAATCTAAAATAGCACCAATCACACAAAGTGCCTGTTGTTTCTAGAAAAAAATGAAAGAATTCCTCAAATTCCATTGCCATTTGTATTACTGATCTAGTTCAGAATCTATTTTTTACTTATCCATGTGTTACAGGTTAAAAGATGGAGATCCAGTCTTATGGAGCTAAATGATGGAAAAAAACATGATATTCGAGTTGAGAATTAAGCTTGTCCTCATCAAGCAATATTGTTGAATAACATCACTTTTTAGCCTATTTCACTCTTTTAGGGTGGCTTTTCATTTAGATATCATTCTCTCATTTTTTGGATTTCAATAATGTTTTTTAATAAGTGATATTAATTGTTAGCATCCAGTCTGCCTCTTTTAAGAAAAACTAAGGTGTCTTTGCTGTATCTTTGATTATAGGTGAGCAAGTTTAAAAAAATTAAGAATAGGAATCCTTTTATTGACATCTATTTGGAGTTTCATATTGCATCATATGAGAAAGACTATTATGTGATATCAAGGCAATTTGCTATATTCATAAACTGTAGCTTATTTTT
This sequence comes from Homo sapiens, assembly GCF_000001405.40. Classification (NCBI taxonomy): domain Eukaryota; kingdom Metazoa; phylum Chordata; class Mammalia; order Primates; family Hominidae; genus Homo; species Homo sapiens. The sequence continues at coordinate 58,195,613 of NC_000006.12, forward strand.
TATTGCTTTCAATAAACATTTATAACTTTTTTGATGCCACTTAAGTTTTGTGCAAGAAGATAAAACATGGCTAGAGCTACCAGGGTTACGGTGTGCCCTGTGGCTTACCACCTTCATATGTGATGGTCACAGTCATGTGTACCTGTGCTTGAACTTTCTAGACAGCTGTTGTAAAATTGAAAGAGCTATGTGTTTGGAGTTGGAAAACTGGGTTGAAATCTAGGCTCTGTTTCATGTTAGCTTTATGGTTTTGGTTAATTCCATTTTCTTTCTGCAGCCTCAGTACTCTGTTATGTCAAAAGCAGGCATATTTGTGTTAGGCTTGTGAGATAATTCATGAAAAGCACTTGTAAATTCTGGAGAGGTTCCCAAATTTAAGACATTAGGATTATTATGAAATGTGTAGGCAGTTATTGGTATTGAGGAAATGGAAAGTACTTTCAATGAAAATGCCATGCCAGCAGAGAGCTTGCCAGAATATCTCACCCAGGGCTTCTTTGAAAGCGGGCCTCCGGCTGGACTTGGGTACTTGATTGACAGTATCATGCTTGGAGCACTACATAGCCCTGCTTCAGTGCTCTGCATTTTCACACAGCTTGCTCATTGTTAATTAAACTGAGCCAGGAGTGTCAGCATTTATTAAGCTGGACTCTGACAAGCATGGAACTGTGAAAGCTAAAAAGAATTTAAAATTTGTGAAAGGTTATTTACAATACATAGGCTTTGAGGTTTACATAACTTACCTTCTTGTATATTATAATTTAAAATAGGCCTCTTACCCAAACAAAGAAAATGCAAAAGAAATGTCCAGCTTTGCTAATGCTGATGGGCACATGGGTCTTTCAGTGCCATTGAAGCATTTAGATTTTTATCCACAAGAGGCCTGCAGTCTTCACTCAGCTGGAACAAGTGGGAAAGGATTTCATTGATAACAACGTTACAGCCAGAACGTCTAGAGCCATTTTCATCTGCATGATGTGTTTACTTTCTTCACCTTTAAAGTGGAAAAAAAAGGAAAAAGCTTTGTTCCTTCTTTTTATTTTTTCCTAATTGAGTAGCACAACTCACATCTTGAAAATCTATTGACAGACTCCCATTTCTTTGACATATTTAACCAGAGGGGGCTCTCGATGATGAGAGATCATTTACAGATACTTTGAAAGGTGGGAGTTAATGGAAGTGAGAATAAAAGGAGAAATTAGTTTTATTCCTTACTATGACTTCCAGTTAAAAGATTTTTAGCCTCATCTGAAGGAAATGTGCTTCATTCACCTGCCTGGTGATTACTGATGAATATTGACCTATGTCTTTACCACACCAGCATTAATGTGTCTTGTTTTTTCTTTATGAACATTTCCTTATTTGAATCATTAAAGGCAGATTTAAGAGGGGTTTTCCCTACTCATTCTTAAAGCAGAACACAATTTTAAGGTGTCTGTATAGAAATAAATTATACTTTGATGCTTCTTTAATAGCCAAAGGTAAAAAATTGACAATTTCCTTAGAATTAGAAAGGGATGTACTCACACTTACCAGTATTTGTAAAAAACAAATATTTCTTAAACAAATTGACTAGTCAGTGACACACAAGCATATGCCATTGTGTCTGAAGTTTACTTTAGGGGCTCCTGTGTGACATGAAAGTGTTACTATCAGCTTCACATTTCTGCCTGCTAGCAGCTCCAATTTGTGCAAATTTAAAGGTTTAAATTTGTTGTATATATAAAGGATATTTTAAAAAATATCCTGCAGCTTATTATAATTCAAAATTATAATGAGTGAATTATGCACACTGAATTACATTAAAAATAATCTCACTTAAACCATAGAAACAAATGATATATAATTGTTTTACACAGTTTTGCTTAATTTTGTCATAAATCAGTTGGAGACCATTCTCTTACATTTTGTTTCTTGCCTCATATAGGTCAGACATAACATTGGTGCTTTTCAATGCTTCTAATTTTCAAAGTGGTTAAAATTTATTTTCCATTTTAGCAATTTTTAGGTACTCAGCCTATTTGTAACAACCAAAGGGAGAAATAAAATGTGTCTTATGAAGAGACATGCATTACTGGGCAAAATATACGGCGATTAGAAAAGTCTCTCTGAATCACAAGTCAGGGATGGCATTTAGTATCCAAATCCACCTCCAGACAAAATTAGCAAAGGCTGCAGTGAAGTTAAAGCCTGCTGGTTGCAAAATTGGAAATTGGTTTCCTGGGGCTTTCTGTAAACTCTTCATTATTTTACTAAATCATGGTTCATTAGTAAGTTAACAGACAGAAGACCAGTGCACATTGGGATATATGTGGAGCCAATCCTTCCCTCTCCCTGAACATCACTTAAAACTTGAATGACACAGCAGCTTAGACATTGCATCAAACTGCAGTTTCATACAATGCTGTACATGGTCAGTGGCAGATCATATTCACTTAACCTCCAAATACTGTCAGGTATCTTTGTTTTATCATGAATTTCATAGAGCAGCAAAGGTTTTAATTCGGGGCGACTGATGGAACAAATAAAAAATCTCAAAAGGCATCTGAGAAAGAAACTTGAAGAAACTCAGTTAAGAGACTCAACTAAAGTAGATTTAATGGTTCTCATTAACTTGGATCTAATTCACTGGAGGGGAAAAATCCATAGGGACATTAGGGCGTTTAAATGTGCTTCTGAAAATGGTTGGACAAACTGTAGCCTTGGCACATGAAATAGCGTTGCTCAACCTAAGCAAATGGCTTTGACTGTCAGATCAAAACAATTCATTTTATGCAGTTCATATCACAGGCAAGTATTTCTGTAGTCTTATGACTTGTGAAAAACACTAACTAGAAAATGTATGTAACTCCCAATGACTCACTAGAAGTTATGGTATATTTCTACTTTGGCCTGACGGGCATTTCTATTACTCAGCGGATCTGTTATTAGTTGTTGTCTAGACGGTCCATTACTCAAGTCTTACGTGTGTTTCATATTCTGAGAGTGTTTCATATTCAGTGAGTAGGCCTGTCAGATGAAATAAAATTGGATGGATGTTTAGTATGAAAAGGATTGAGTTTGATAGAAAGAAAAAAACATGTAACTATGGATTGTACATTATTTATAAAAGGTCAGTGTAGTAGCAGCTAGTCTCCAACAATAAGTATCAAAACAAAAATGGTATTTTATGTAATACTTATTTTACATAGGAGAAAAAAACAATGACAATGATTTATCTTGGCTTTCTTGAGATAAAATATTTTTCATTTTTTTCCCTCATTTTTGTTTCAGTAGAATGTTCCTTGCATTTATTTAACAATTTCTAGGTCAGCCTTCCCTACATCATTTTCTCATTTGTTTTCACATAAAGTTTTAGAGAATTTTATGAAACACAGCCTGCATGCTGGCAGGTGAAGACACAGCTGTCTGATCATTGCACTTTAGTGTCACCTGATAGATCCAAATTTATTGATTGGAATGAGATGTTCACCACAATTTTTAAAACCCCTAGTAAAATTGTATTCAATAACAGACAATTGAACTATATGTTTATGTATGTTCAGGCTACAGAATTCCATTGTCATTAATTTTTTCTTGACATTTTAATAAATGGATGAACAGGTCTTTTGTAGAAACTTATTCTATAGAGAAACCTCGTTGTAAGGTAAAAATTGCTCCATCCTTTCTGCCTCCAGAAAATTAAGCTCTTTCTGTTTTAAATTACGAAGAGGAGATCTGGTCCAGAAGGAACCCATGTTTCAAAGATATCTGGGAGTCTGAGATGGTCAATGGGCCAACCTGGGCTTCTTCTAGTTTACACCTAGAGAGGCTTATGAGTACTATACTGGGCTCAAATTAAGCTAAATTTTAGGTTAATGATTGAGAGTCAGGAGGGAGAGAGGTTTGAACTGGCCTTGAGACTTGCACCATTAGATGTGTTTGATTTATTTTGTTAGGCCTTAACAAGAAAGATGCCATATCATGCATTAAATTTCTGTCCTTTTTTATTTTGGCATCCTTATCAGTGCATAATTTGTTCTTACCTGTCCTCTATTTTCCTTCATACACTCCCTGAGAAAATTCAATGGCACTGTAAGTATAACTTGAGAATATTCCCAAATAGTAAGGTAAAAAAAGCTAATATAAAATATTCCTTGCATAAATCAGGCTGACTTTTTTACATTTATGCTTTTGGCACTATTGTTTAGATTACAAACTTTAAGCAAACAAGGATAATGCAAAGTTTAACTTTTATCCAATGCCATGTGATTAAACCTTAGTACATGTTGACTATTTTTACCCATTAACATAATCTTGTTTACCCAAATGCAAAATATTCTTTCTTATTTCTTTAATTTACACTATGTGCACTTTAAAGTGGAGTCAATAGGAAACCTTTTTTGTGCACTTACTTTTGGAGATTTTTACTTTTATCAGTATTTGCCCTCTCCTTTACCAGTCTTATTGGCAAAGACATTACTCTGCTATTTTCAGCAGGATTATTTTTCAGGTTGCCTTTTGGTTGCTAACTACCTTGTTTATAAACATCTCAAGAAATATTCTTCTCTTGTACGGAAGTACATAGTCTGTACTTCACAACTAAATGCCTAAGGGAGCTGAGTGTGGATGTTATCGATCTCAAATCTCTTGACACAACGAATTTATCAGCATGCACATGTTCAGTTTGTGGGGCTGTGCCACACTTCGATGGATTCTGACCTAATTATTTCTTCAGTAACACCTAATCTGCAGAGAAATATTTTTGTCTTGTTCTCTGAGAACAGCTACCTAATGAAACAGTTAATCACCTTCCAAATCAAAGGTAAAAATTTCAATTAACAGGCCTGCAGAAATGGAAATTATAGGTGATACATCTGAGTAGGAAAGTGAGTGAAGTATAGAACTGGTCAAACCCATTGAATAGGCAATGGATAATAATAATCTGTTTAAAAGAGAAGACTCAAGGTGATATTTAAAGAAAAGACTGAGTAGAATGCAGAATACCATGGGAAATTCTTTATATACAACATTTCTAGGGTGGGAGAGTGCTGAATACAGTGAGAAATTATTCATATTTCTACGGTGAGATGCAGAATGATATGAGAAATTCTACATAGGTAGCATCCTTCTTTGTTTTAAGAGGTCCTACATCTCAAGATGCACAGGGTCATAAACTGAGTTTTCTCATGATTTCTGAATATTCTGGCTCCCATATGTGTGTTTTTTCATCATTAGTAGATAGACATCGGTTTGTTGTTGTTTCAGCTTTTTAATGACAGGAAATCACTCTCCACAGAAGGTTAAAGGTAGCCCACTGTGTCTGTAGAGTTCTCTTGGAATCACTTAGGAGAACTGGAAACTAAGAGGCAGAAACAGAATAGAGGGAGAGAAAGGTCTGGTGAGATAAGCATCTTGAAAAAGTAATAGATAGGAAGAGAGAGTGGGCCAGGTAAAAGGTTGGTTTCAGACAGCAGAGAACTAAGAATCTTGGACTATGGACTTAGACTAGGGTGAGACAATGTAGGACTGTAGGAAGTGTACTAGGCTAGGACTTAGAAGGAGTGCATTCTGGGCTTGATGCTGCCACTAATGATTTGTGTGATGACTTTGGGCATAATATTTAATTTTACTGGCTCTCAGTTTGATTGTCTGTAAAAATAAATGGAAACACCAAATAATTTCTAAGTTTCATCACAGTTTCAAAATCTATGATTCTATAGTATGTCTCATTTTGAGCTCTTAAAAGGAATGAGGCTGCTTAAAGAACATTAGAATTAAGTGGAGAATGAATACACTAGATCAATCCTTTTGACGCTGATGGTTAGTTAGCAATTTAACAACTGTAGTCAGCAAATGAATTCATGAAAGAGATAAAGAGAGCACTCACCAAATACTCTATTAAGAAACACTTTCTATTTTATGTGCTGGCAGTAACAACAGATTAGAAAAGTTACTTAAGTAACTTGTGCATTTAAAAAAATTATTTAACAAAGGAATGCACTCATTTTAGATTTCATGTGACTATTTTTATTAAAAAATCATACTTGCACTTGGGTTGAAAGACATTTTCCTGTCTTCTTCTGAGCCCGCCAAACTGTTTCAACCTCTGCCTGTTACCCAGTTCCAAAGTTGCTTCCACATTTTCGGGTATCTTTTTAGCAATGGCTCACTCTCTTGTTACCAATTTTCTGTATTAGTCCATTTTCATACTGCTGATAAAGCGCTTAACAAAATAAACAAAAATGCTTAGAACAAAAGCACTAGAAACTTCATTTTACTTTTTTGCAAAGGAAATTATATTCATGTTGAAATCCTATCAAAAGTATAAATATGGTGCATGTTCTCACCCCTCTGAAAGCAAGTGTTGGAATGCAGACTCTATCGAAAACCAAATCTCCTAGATAGTTTAACAAAATATAAATAGGGAGAAAAATAGGTATTATTCAGAGGAAAATTGAAATTCAACTTGTACTATACTGCATCGAGGTGGCAGCTGCGGAACAGCTTAATCCTCACGACAAGCCCAGAACTCTACAATAACGGCTGGCACTGTCTGATGAAATTTCCAAGGACCCAGATGCCACAGCTGGGAACATTATCCTTGTGTTTCAGATCAAATTGATACAGCAAATGGCATTTCATTCTTAACTCTTTGGTATCTACAATGAACTTTCCTCAAAGAATTGAAATATTCTACTATAAAGGATAAGTTGCCAAGGGTAATGGGGAGGGATGAATGAAAAGAATAATACTTTTATTAGAAAAAGAAAGTGAAGAAGAAATTGTAACTATGGCTCAAAGAAGGAAAAATAGAAAATAAGAGTGATTTTTTAAAATGATAAACTACAGAGGGATAGAGGAGTTGTAACAACATCAGGTTGATGGATGCCCTAAAAATTACAGGATGCCCTAAAAATTCCTCTAAAGGTTTATGTTTCTATGAATTTATTCATTTCCTCTAGGTTTTCCAGTTTGTTAGTTTATAGCTGTTCATAAATGTCTCTGATGATCTTTTTTATTTCTGTGGTTATCAGTTGTAAGTCTCCTTTTTCATTTCTAATTTTGTTTATTTGGATTTTCTCATTTTTTAGTCTAGCTAGCAATTTATGTATTTTGTTTATCATTTCAAAAAACCACATTTTTGTTTTGTTGATTCTTTGTATTTTTTTCCATCTCTACTTTGTTTAGTTCTGCTTTTATCTTTATTATTTATTTATTTGTATGAATTTTGGGTTTGTTTTGTTTTTGCTTTTATAGTTCATTGAAGTACATTGCTAGATTGTTTCTTTGAAATCTACTGTTTCGATGTTGGCATTTATTGTATTGTTCCAGACTTCCCTGTTAGCACTGCTTTTGTTGTATCTTATAAGCTTTTGTAATGTTGTGTTTTTATTTTCATTTATTTTTAATAAATTTTTAAATTTCCTCCCTAATCCAGTGGTTAGGAGCATGTTTTCATGTATTTGTAGTTTCTGAAGTTCCTCTTTTTTATTGACTTATAGTTTGATTCCATTGTGGTTTGAGATACTTGAGGTACTTGATAAGATTTCAGTTTTTGAAAATTTGTTGAGACTTATTATGTGACATAACATATGTTTCATGTGGCAATGATAAGAGTGTGTATTCTGTCATTGTTGGGTAAAATGTTCTCTAAATGTTTTTTAGGTCCATTTGGCCTAATGTGCAGTTTAGATTCAACGTTTCTTTGTCAGTCTTTCATCTAGATGATCTATCTAATGCTGAGAGTGGGTCATTAAAATCCCCTACAAGATTGAATCAGGAAAAAAAAAGAAAACCTGAACAGAACAATAATAATTAATGAGATTGAATTAGTAGCAAAAAGTCTCCAAACGAAGAAAAGTCCAGGACTGGATGGCTTCATTGCTTAATTTTACCAAACTTTCAAAGAATGTGTTGGAGTCTGTCTTTCCCTTTAGGTCTAATAATATTTATTTTACATATCTAGGTGCTCTGGTGGTGTTTGCATATATGTTTAGAATTATCATATCCTCTTGCTGAATTAACCCCTTTATCATTACATATTAATAATTACCTTCTTTGTTTATTTTTACAATTTATGACCTAAAGACTGTTTTATCTAATATATTCATAGCTACTTTTGGTCTTTTTTTGTTTTCATTTGCATGGAATATCTTTTTACATCCCTTGATCTCAGTCTCTGTGTCTTTATGAGTAAGGTGTACTTGTTGTAGGGAGCATAGTTAGATTATATTTTTTAAATCCATTCAGCCAATCTATATCGTTTAAATAAAAAGTTTAATTCACTCATATTCAAGATTATTATTGATATGTGAGGGCTTATTTCTATCATTTTAGTAATTTAATTTCTGGTTGTTTTGTATATTCTTTCTTCCTTTTTTTCTCTCTCATGTTTGTCACTGTTTTTTGGTGGTTTTCTATAGTAGTAACATTCGAATCCTTCTCTTCCTTATTTGTGTGTTGTCTCTACCAATGATTTTTATACTTTCATGTGTTTTCATGATGGTAGATATCATCCTTTTGCTTTTGTATGTAGGGCTCCCTTAAACATTTGTTGGACTGTTCTAATGGTGATGAATTCCTTCAGCTTCAGTTTGTCCAGGAAACATGTTATGTCACCTTCACTTATGAAGGATAATTTTGCTGGATATTGTATCCTTGGCTGGCATTTATTTTTCCTTCTTCAGGCTTATGAAGTGTCTGCTGGGAACTCCACTGTTAGTTTGATAGGGGTTCCCTTGTAAGTGACTAGACACTTTCTCTTGCTGTTTTTAGAACTCTCTGTCTTTTGAGAGTTTTACTATAATATACTATGGATAAGACCTTTTTGAATTGTATCCATTTGAAGTTCTCTGAGTTTCTTGTATCTGCTATTATTTTGTGAAATAGGTTTTTTACCCTTTTTGTTTTATCTTTAACTTCTGGGACACCAAAACATTGAATATTTGGTAATTTATGATGTCCTATATGTCATATAGACTGCTTATTTGGAAATTTTTTTTCTTTTATTTTTGTATGACTGGATTATTTCAAAAGAAGTGTTTTCAAGTTGTAAAATTCTTTCTTTTGCTTAATCTACTGTTTTGCTGAAGCTTTCAACAAAAGCTATTTCAACTCCTTTTTTATTGGAAGCTGTTGCTATAGAATTGTTATGCTTCTTTGGAGGTGTCATATTTCCTTGCTTGTTCATGCTGCTTATGCCCTTGCATTGATAATTTTGCATTTGGTGTAACAGTGTCTTCTTCAAGTTTTTAAAATTAGCTTTCACAGGGGAGGACTTTTTCCTGAGGATGTGTCGATGGTGTTAGTTGGACAGGGTACTTTGGCTTTGATTCTGGATACATGCAGTTATGTAGTCTCCATATGATTTCTTTAGCTATAAACAGCATCAGTGGTGTCTGTGGTTTCCTGAGTGGCTGAGGGTCCTGTTGTCAGTGGAGGCTGTGGTGAAGTTTTTCTGGAGATGGTGATGTCAGGTGGACCTGTTCTTGTGCTCAAGTGGTGGCTGTGGTGGGTGGCATGTGCCTGTCTTTGAACTTCAGGGAGGCATATGCTGGCACTGGTGTTCACTGAAGTGTAATTTACACATAGTAAACTCTACCTTTTTTTAGTTAGTATATAATCTTCTGGGTCTTCACAAACATAATCAGCTTCTCAGATTGGCTTATTTCTATCCCCTGATCCTCTTATTGCCCCTCCTGCTGCTGTTCTTCCATTACTCTTCTGAACCCCACCCAACATTCCTGTGAATATCTGAAATACATGGATAGGTGCTCTTATAAGTTTCATAGTATTATACCTAATATGAAAAGAAATTGCTCTCTGGCAGATATAGAAAGATGCCAACTCCTTTCTTAAAATTTGATTACTAGGCTTGAATTTGTGGGAGAGTCTTTTGGATTTGCTGCAAACTACAGCATTTCTTTTTAATGTTTATGCTGTGATCTCTGGAGCTGTTGTATTTTATGTAATTTAGTAACCTGCACACTGCAATGCAGACATGGAAGCCATAGAGCCATGTGATCCTTATATACTGTGAATCCTACAGCTCATCTGTTATGGGGAGAAGGAGGATCTTTTTCTGTTTTCTTGTGATAGTGTTATTTTTCTACTTTCTCCTGTGACCTTTTTTTTCTCTTTACAGAGAGTTTCAGAATTTCTCCCCAGCAATCCTCTGAGGGGCTCTCTTAACCCTCTCACCTACTCTGCGCCTCAGTAAATTTCTGTTTTACAGCCATGTTACATATATGACCCCAAAGAGAAGAGAGGAGTGAAATAAAAAATAGTATGTTGGCATTTAAATTTAAAAGGGAAATATAAATGTGCCATATAATGAATACTTTGTGCATTTATCTTAAGATAAACTTGTGGAATTGCTGGATCTAACAGTATTATGGTCACAAAGACATAGCCCCCAAATTGTTCTCCTGAAAGTCTTCACTCTTAAATACCAATCAGTGTATGAGAAAAAAAATTTCACAACTTTCTTGCATTTCTTTGCTTTTATGTTTGTAACTTCCATGTTTAATACAGTTCTGATTTTCAGTAACTACAGAATAAACATTTGCTAAGCTGACTTGAACTAAAGATATCTTTGCCAAAGATATGCTATTTAAGGTAGATATGCTTAATTAAAAGAATAGATAATTTCAAAATGAAATGGATATTATTTTCCTGCTAGTCACTATACTATACTATGAAGAAAAATTGCTTAAGATAAAAATTAAGAATCCCAAATTGTGCTGACATAGAAAATACAATTTACAATAAAATGCTATCTATAAAATGTTAAAGTGATGATTCCCACATAAGAATAAGAGTTTGGCACCGTTTTACTAAAATAATTGCTCAGCCTCTGCCGGTACACTTTTCTATTTATGATGACAGGTGTCAATTCCCATTCATTTCTCATACATGTACTTTGGGGATTTTTCTAAAAGTTGATACCATTTTATCATTCAGTGCAATTGTATTTCTTGTAAACACAGTCAACAAAAAAGCTCTACACTAAAAAAAAAATGTCTAACAAAAAGCATAAGATTATTGAACATCATGAGAGTTTGCAGATTTTATGAGCAGTAGTTAAGGACAAGTCCATCTGGTTACATTTTGATGAGTTACTCACGGTTTGTGTGGGAGCTCCAGCCTGCTCAATCTTACCTGCTGATAATACCAATTGAATGGCTAGATCCTTATATAGAATGGTTTCTGTTAAGAAAGACTAGGAAGGAAGTTCAAATCCAGAGAGATGGCCAAATTATCTCTGATAAAATGGGACAAGTTCGCTTAGTGAGAAAAATCATGGATTTTAAAATTCAACTGTGATTCTGACTTTAGTTGTAGGAATATATGCACGACAAGAAATGAAGGGCTGATTTACATGCCATGAAAATTGGAACTCCAAATGCTTTTGTTTAAATTACTGAGGTGGAAAGAGAGAAATAAATAAATTACTGAGGTAAATCCACGTGAACATATGTGTATAGCGCCAGTTTACTATATATTTGTCTCAGGGCTTAAATTGTGTATGTATATACAGAAATCAGAGTATTATAAATTATAATGGCTTTACATAAAGAATGCTTTACTACGGAAATAAATGAAAAAGTGCTTTTGGGAAGAAGTCCAATGTTTTATTTAAAAAAAATCTGTATGAAGTAACTAAGGAGAAACAGATTTTAAGCTTCTAAAGTCTCTTTGCTTCAGTAGCTGTAGCCACAAAGGAAAATAAAACCTGAGGTAAGAAAAGCAGTAAGACTAAATTTTTAATTCTCAAACAATCTTAGGTATGGTTCTCTGTTCGGTTTGATAACAGAAATCATCTTTACTTTTGCTTATGCCAGACACCTAAAAGAAAATTCCCTTTGGAGTCTCTTAATCTCCCTTTTGTGCATTCTTTTCTGTACATTACTTGTTTAGAAGAGTTACCTTTCCTTTTTGTAACCAGGTAACTTCCCTTTAGTACTTTTATAAACATAGCTATTCTGTGAGTCTGTTGCAGTGACAACCCATAAAAAAAAAAAAAAAGACTGAAGACTGATGTTAAGCCAAGATTGAACAGTAGAAAAAAAAAATCAAGAAACCGTGAACCTCCTGAGACACAACCTCCTTGTCTGAACTATGGCTATTAATTTCATTTTATATATTATTCAGATTATAAACTCCCAGGGCAGAAACAGTAATATTTAAATAATACATTTCTAAAGAAAATTGGAAATACTTACAAATTGGCTTGTGTGTTGTTATGTTCAACAATATAAACTATTTTATAAATCATTTCAGTTTTGTTACTAAGAAACTTTGGCTCCACACAGCAGATTTCAGTGTCTTCATTAGTTATATTAATTTATATTAATTCTTTTATCTAAGTTATACAAGCACATGGATGAAAATTCAAATACCACAGAAGAGCTAATTATGAAAAAAATGTTCCTGAATATACCAATTCCCATCTATTCCTATCCAGGCCTGTTCCCAGGGGCAATAGTTCTAGCTGATTTCCTCCAGTACCCATACAGTTTAGTTATGTTCTTATCAACTCCAGACATTATCCATTTCCTGTAACAACGCATCTGATTTGGCTCATTTTCTAATCCCCCCATGTTTATCTCCCCTGCTTAATGATACTATTTTGTTTCCTCAGTTGTCAACCTGTATAACCTTGACACCTTGTTTCATTACCTACAGCCAGTATTTCTTGACTCCTTAGTTCATCAAGTGAGAAAATTAGGGCCCCTACCTGTTTATTTCCTTTTTCTTCCCTCCTTCTGCCTCGTACCTCTGTCACTCCAGTTTTATTTTTAAATTAGCAAGTTTGAAAACATTTGCTGTCTGTCCTGTAATCACATTTAATGTTTCTATATTTTTCTTCAAGTTGATGGCTGGTAATTGACATTTATATATTATGACCATGGAGTATTCCTCATTGGAGAGCCAAGCTGTGTGCTAGGATTTGTTGTCTTTCTCTAGGGTTTGATAACTCTGTTTCACTCGAAGACAATTGTTCAAATGGGTTTTTCTTTCCTTCTGCAAATCATTTCACATTAGCATTTGCCCCATATTCAGACTGTGTCTACTTTTACAGTCTCTACTGCCCTGGAACCCTGTGCTGGTTTTCCTGCTGATTTCTTATTAGGGAAAGAACTAAGGTTTTTGTTTTTGTTTTTTTTCCCACTAAAACTTAATGCTCTCAGCTGCTTGTTCATTCTGGGTCTTGCTTAAAATCCACTCCATTTTTCTTAAAACTCATTGATTTCCTTTCAGAATTTGGATTCACTGTGGTTTTATATTTCAAACATAGTTTTATTTTATAATGCTTGATTTTTCATAATTGAGTTTTCTTCTATTATTTTGTGCCTTTTTTATATCCCCAAGTTGTTCCAAGTTGTCAGTCTTACCATATGATCTCCTTGGTCCCTTTTTGGCAGATCTTCCTCCCAGAGTCTGCTGCTTTCCTCTTGTCCAGACTGGTCACTGCCAGCTGTCATCTTGGTTCTTTCCTTCACTGCTATTCTGGTTTGCCTCTTGTTTCCAGAATCCTATGTTGGCTTCTCGTATTTCACTTACTAGTTTTGTTGGGTGCTTTCTCAAGTAACTTCCAAAGAAGAAGTGTTAGAGTCTTGTGTGTCCCAAAATATCTTTAGTCAAAGAGAGAAATGAATCGATGATTTGGCAACTAAAGAGATTTAAAGGTCAGCAACATCTTTCTTCACAACTTGCAGGGGATTGGCCCGTTGCTCATTCCCCCCATTGCAGTCTATCATCCCTTTCCATTCTGAATCTAGAGCTTCTCCAAGGATCCATAGGGTAAGCTCGTTCTTCCCTTGACCTTATTCTCTTCTATGCATGTTTTGAAGATTTTATCCCATGATTTCCTCTCCTCAGCTTCTGTCAATTCTTTTCTATTTACTTTCTGTCTTGAAATTTCAAATCTGCTGATGACTCTACTCCCATTCTATTTGCTCTTGGGGGTTTCCAACTCAAAAAATAATTTACTATCATTTTTGGGAAGAAGAGAGGAAATAAATATAATGGCAGGCCTCAATATTTCAATATTTTAAAATATTTTAATTTAAAAAATTTAATATCTAATGACAAATATATTGGTTTATATTTTTGCCTTTAACCCTTACAACAGCTCCCTGAGGTATGTTCTTCATATGTCTAGATGTGAAAACTTGAGAATGGATAGATAACGTAATGTGCCAAACTTTTCTCAGGTACTGTTGGGTGATGTTTACAAACCTGGATGTATCTGGTTTGAAATTCCATGCTCATTCACTCTGCCTTGCTGGTTCATATGCTATTCTTATATTAGTAACTAAATTTGTTTCTGGAAACCCTTGAGAAAAGGTATGTCAGCTGGGTGCGGTGGCTCACGCTTGTAATCCCAGCACTTTGGGAGGCTGAGGCAGGCAAATCACGAGGTCAGGAGTTCGAGACCAGCCTGGCCAACATGATGAAACTCTGTCTCTACTAAAAGTACAAAAATTAGCCTGGCATAATGGCGCACACCTGTAGTCCCAGCTACTCGGGAGGCTGAGGCAGGAGAATTGCTTGAACCCAGGAGGTGGAGGTTGCAGTGAGCTGAGATGACACCACTACACCCCAGTCTGGGCAACAGAGGAAGATTCCATCTTGGGGGAAGAAAATAAAATAAAAAAAGAAAAGGTATGTCAGTACAGATTTTTCAAAATGGAAAAGAGAAAGAAAAGCAAACTTCTTAATTACATTCACATAAATCTCTACTTCTCAGGTAGATTATAGTATAATTAGAATATAGTTAGATACATTGTTGCATGATGATGATTTAGGATTATTTGAGATTTGGAGATGACTTCCCAGGTCTCTTCAAAATGTAGACATTGGTGGAAATATTTATATTATTTTAATATAATTAATAAACATGTAATAATAAATATGTATCAAGTATCTAATATGGGTAGAACATTATAGTTCATGCTGTGCTAAATACAAAGATGAGCAAGGTTTGCTCTTTGTCATTGATTTAAAGAAAAGTACAAAAATAGTTATAATGGAAAGCAATGTATAGGCATCATAAGAGACATATGATATGCCAAGAAAATTCAGGAAGAGAGATAAGCAAGGATCAGGGAGGGACGGGAGAGGGAATGGAAGAAGATTTATGAAGATGCTATCCAAAATGAGTTTTGTTAGATGTATAGGAATTTAACAGAAGGGAATGTCTGAGGGAAGAGTATGAGTAAAAGCACTAGTAAACCACAAACATAGTTAGGAAAGAGAAGAATACCCAGGTTTTGTTTATCACTTGGAAAATGCACAACATAAAAAATCAGGGCACTGTACGGAGTAGGCAATCATTTATTTAATAAGAAGTTATTGATTTATTACTAAGGTATGGGGGGATGCAACAGTGAACCAAGATGACATAGTCACTGCTCTTATTGAGCTCACCATATGTAAAGTGACCAAATAAGGGAATAAACACAAAATGAGTGCACATTATGCTAGTGCCATGAAGGAATAGTGCTGATCTCATGGAGTTCTGTGGAGTACCTGTGCTAACGTATGGAAAGCACCTAGAACCTTGCCTTTATTATTTTTGTGATAATTTTTGTTATATTATTAAGAAGTAAATAAACAGTGTGTTACATAGAATAACAAGGACCACCAGCTTTATATACAGGGGTTAGGAATGGTCTTTCTCCAATAACAGGCTCTGAAATTGAGGCAATAATTAATAGCTTACCAACCACAAAAAGTCCAGGACCAGATGGATTCACAGCCGAATTCTACCAGAGGTACAAACAGGAGCTGGTACCATTCCTTCTGAAACGATTTCAATCAACAGAAAAAGAGGGAATCCTCCCTCCCTCATTTTATGAGGCCAGCATCATCCTGATACCAAAGCCTGGCAGAGACACAACAAAAAAAGAGAATTTTAGACCAATATCCCTGATGAACATCGATGCAAAAATCCTCAATAAAACACTGGCAAACTGAATCCAGCAGCACATCAAAAAGCTTATCCACCATGATCAAGTGGGCTTCATCCTTGGGATGCAAGGCTGGTTCAAGATATGCAAATCAATAAACGTAATCCATCATAGGGAAACCAAAGACAAAAACCACATGATTATCTCGATAGATGCAGAAAAGGCCTTTGACAAAATTCAACAGCACTTCATGCTAAAAACTCTCAATAAACTAGGTATTGATGGGACGTATCTCAAAATAATAAGAGCTATCTATGACAAACCCACAGCCAATATCATCCTGAATGGGCAAAAACTGGAAGCATTCCCTTTGAAAACTGGCACAAGACAGGGATGCCCTCTCTCACCACTCCTATTCAACATAGTGTTGGAAGTTCTGGCCAGGGCAATTACGCAGGAGAAGGAAATAAAGGGTATTCAATTAGGAAAAGAGGAAGTCAAATTGTCCCTTTTTGCAGATGACATAATTGTATATTTAGAAAACCCCATCATCTCAGCCCAAAATCTCCTCAAGCTGAGAGGCAACTTCAGCAAAGTCTCAGGATACGAAATCAATGTGCAAAAATCACGAGCATTCTTATACACCAATAACAGACAAACAGAGAGCCAAATCATCAGTGAACTCCCATTCACAATTGCTTCAAAGAGAATAAAATACCTAGCAATCCAACTCACAAGGGATGTGAAGGACCTCTTCAAGGAGAACTATAAACCACTGCTCAATGAAATAAAAGAGGATACAAACAAATGGAAGAACATTCCATGCTCATGGGTAGGAAGAATCAATATCATGAAAATGGCCATACTGCCCAAGGTCATTTGTAGATTCAATGCCATCCCCATGAAGCTACCAATGACTTCTTCACAGAATTGGAAAAAACTACTTTAAAGTTTGTATGGAACCAAAAAAGAGCCCGCATTGCTAAGTCAATCCCAAGCCAAAAGAACAAAGCCAGAGGCATCACGCTACCTGACTTCAAACTATATTACAAGGCTACAGTAACCAAAACAGCATGGTACTGGTACCAAAACAGAGATATAGGTCAATGGAACAGAGCAGAGCCCTCAGAAATAATGCCGCATATCTACAACCATCTGATCTTTGACAAACCTGACAAAAACAAGCAATGGGGAAAGGATTCCCTATTTCATAAATGGTGCTGGGAAAACTGGCTAGCCATATGTAAAAAGCTGAAACTGGATCCCTTCCTTACACCTTATACAAAAATTAATTCAAGATGGATTAAAGACTTACATGTTAGACCTAAAACCATAAAAACCCTAGAAGAAAACCTAGGCAATCCTATTCAGGACATAGGCATGGGCAAGGACTTCATGTCTAAAACACCAAAAGCAATGGCAACAAAAGCCAAAATTGACAAATGGGATCTAATTAAACTAAAGAGCTTCTGCACAGCAAAAGAAAGTACCTTTGGAATGAACAGGCAACCTACAGAATGGGAGAAAATTTTTGCAATCTACTCATCTGACAAAGGGTTAATATCCAGAATCTACAATGAACTCAAACAAATTTACAAGGAAAAAATAAACAACACCATCAAAAAGTGGGCGAAGGATATGAACAGACACTTCTCAAAAGAAGACATTTATGCAGCCAAAAGACACATGAAAAAATGCTCATCATCACTGGCCATCAGAGAAATGCAAATCAAAACCACAATGAGATACCATCTCACACCAGTTAGAATGTTGATCATTAAAAAGTTAGGAAACAACAGGTGCTAGAGAGGATGTGGAGAAATAGGAACACTTTTACACTGTTGGTGGGACTGTAAACTAGTTCAACCATTGTGGAAGTCAGTGTGGCGATTCCTCAGGGATCTAGAACTAGAAATACCATTTGACCCAGCAATCCCATTACTGGGTATATACCCAAAGGATTATAAATCATGCTGCTATAAAGACACATGCACACGTATGTTTATTGCGGCACTATTCACAATAGGAAAGACTTGGAACCAAGCCAAATGTCCAACAATGATAGACTGGATTAAGAAAATGTGGCACATATACACCATGGAATACTATGCAGCCATAAAAAAGGATGAGTTTATGTCCTTTGTAGGGACATGGATGAAGCTGGAAACCATCATTCTCAGCAAACTATTGCAAGGACAAAAAACCAAACACTGCATGTTCTCACTCATAGGTGGGAATTGAACATTGAGAACACATGGATGCAGGAAGGGGAACATCACACACTGGGGCCTGTTGTGGGGTGGGGGAAGGGGAGAGGGATAGCATTAGGAGATATACCTAATGTTAAATGATGAGTTAATGGGTGCAGCACACCAACATGGCACATGTATACATATGTAACTAACCTGCACGTTGTGCACATGTACCCTAAAACTTAAAGTATAAAAAAAAAGAATGGTCTTTCTGCTAACATAGTATTTACGAACTTGAAATCTGAGAACATGCTAAGCCATGCATATAAATGTGGGAAAGAGTTAATTGAAGGAATGGAGGATCAAATGCAAGAAGGCAGAACATTTGGGGAGAGGCATACAGGAGGTGAATATTGATCCTGTTGGCTGCAGCAATTAGGTAGGGGAGATATTTATGAGATAAAGTTTTAGAGGCAGGGAAAAGTATAGTATGTGCATCTTTGTAGGCCATGATAACATTTAATAAAGATTTATTGTATGGATGAGGAAATGAAAGAATAAAGATCTACTGAACTGTGCCATAGTTGACAAGTCAGGAGAAGCCTATTATAGCCATGTGTAAGACCCTGAATGCTGGTCTGGAATGAATATCATCAGTTTAATAAACAATGAAAATGTGCTGTAAATATTCCAAACAAGGAAGTGGCGTGGCTGTGCTGTCTACATCATTTGAAGAGCTCAGTGCAAAATAAAAGTGGTGACTCTTGTTCATTAATTAAAAATTATAAGCAGGGAACAGCAGAACATTGAACAAAGCATGGGCTCTTATTAGTGTGGAGGCTTATGTGACTGAATAGGTTGTATACCCATGAAGTTGGCTCTGGACATAGCCAATAATCTTTTAGAAGGTTAGTCTTTCAAGACACAATGTGTATACAGGCAGACTACCTAACAAATAATTAAAATACTCTTTGTGTGAAGTAACAGGGAGTAGCTCAGTGGTAGCAGTGAAAAGGATAAGAAAGGCACCAATGGAAAAGCTGTGGCAGAAAACAGACTAGAAATGATGATATTGATTGGGTAGGTGGGGTAGAGTTAAATAAGGAAAATGCGAAGGTGATTTAGATATTAAAGCTGAGTGTCTTTGGAGAATAGAAACTACTACTTGTTAAATTGTTTACTATATGCCAGAATCTTGAAGGAGTTTAGGAAATGGCACCCCAAAATGTGCCACTTTGGTACACGGATTACTTCGAGCTCAAAGCACTGAAAATATAGCACACACAGGGAGAGCCTTTGTCTGAACTCCACTTATCTACCTAAAGCCACATACTCCAGAAAGAATTCACTTGTCATCCATTGGGATCCATAAGAATTTTGTCAACCAGGAAAGTTGAACCCTTATCACAGGATAGATAGACAAGAAGTCAGCACCACACCCTGATAAACTTTGTCATAAACAATCATCTATTCTTAGGGCCCATTTATTTTTCCCCAAACCATTTACTGGCATTTAAGGTACTTAAATCCCTCCTCCTCTCCCCCACTATGAAAAGGGCATATAAGCTTCTAAATATCACTGAGTTTTGGGGTATTTACTTTTCTGTGATGACCTCCATGCACATAATAAATTTCTATACCCTTTCTCCTATTAATCTGCCTGTTTTCAGTTTATTTCATAGACTCAGTTATTGAACTTTCTGAGGGTAGATTGAAAGTCTTTTCTATCCAATAATCTCTTTGGTACTTTATAAACATTTTATGCTCAAAACAACATATTTGTGTCAGTTATAATTATTGTAATTTTAAAGATAAAGAAACCGTGGTTTAAAGAATCCAAGATGGTTGTCTAAGGTCATAAATTTAACAGGTGGTGTTGCTATAAGGATTTCAACTGTAAGTCTGCTTCCAAAAGCCTGTGCTCTTTACACTGTATTACATTTCCTCTTTTCACCAAAAAGGCAAATTAGTGGTATTCCTTGTTTGAAGTATAGGTGGGTATTCTCTGGATCTGATTTCTTTATCACTCATTTATGCAATATATCCTTGCCTAGTGCCACCTATATGCCTAGGTTTGGTGCTTGGTAATGGTGATAAAAAGATAAAAGAATTTATTTTAGCAACTCCTATGTGATGAAGAATACAATGGTGATGCCTCTCAAAAATACTTCCTCTTGTTATTATGATTTTACTTCTGGACTGTACTGCTGACAGTTTTATACCAGTGATTAGAGTGTTTGCCAATCCTATCATATTTTATTATTTTATACTACATATATAGTATGTATTATGTATATGTATATATATGTGTATGTGTATGTATATATACATATGTGGCATCATAGCGTAGCTGCTTCAATTATGTAGCCAAATTCTCTGTCACTTACTAGCTACATGACCTTGGGCAAATTGCCTAACCTCTCCATATCTCCATTTCCTCAAAAAAAAAAAAAATGGGGATAGTAAGTGTGATGGTTAATTTTAGGTGTCAGTTTGACTGGATTAAGGAATATCTAGAGAACAGGCAAAGCATTATTTCTGGGTATGTCCCTGAAAGTATTTCCAGAGGAGAATGTTCCAGTGAATCTGTGGACTGAGTGGGGGAAGATCTACCCTCAATGTGAGTGGTAACCATCAAATCGACTGAGGGCCCAGATAGAACAAAAACAGCAGGGGGAAAACTGGTGTTTTCTTTCTTTCTTTCCTTTTTCTTTTTTTCCCCCTCTCTCTCCTGGATCTGGAACACTCTTCATCTCTTACCTTTGGACATCAGAACTCCAGGCTCTCCCGCCTTTAGATTCCAGGATTTACACCAGCAGTTCCCTGGGCTTTCAGGGCTTCAGCCCAGTCCCAAGAGTTACACCATTGGCTCCCCTGGTTCTCAGGCTTTCGGACTTGGACTGAGCCATGCTACCCACATTCCAGAGTCTCCAGCTTATGGACAGCCAGTTGTGGGACTTCTCAGCCTCCATAATCACATGAGCAAATTCTATTAATAAATCCCCTCTCATCTGTCTATACATTCTTTTACCATTTGTTCTGTTTCTCTGGAGAACTCTGACTAATACAGTCAGGGTGCTTACCTTGAAGTACTGTAAAAAGGCTAGTGAGTAAAAACATTAACTATCTTTAACAGTGTATTAATCGGTTCTTGCATTGCTATAAAGAAATACCTGAGATTGGGAAATTTGTAGGGAAAATAGGTTTAATTGGCTCATGGTTCTGCAGGCTATACAGAAAGCAGATGGTGGCATCTGCTTCTGGGGGGGCCTCAGGGAGCTTTTACTCAAGGTGGAAGGCAGAGTCCCAGCAGGAGTCTTATATGGCAGGAGCAGGATTGAGAGAGGGGAGGTCACTTTTAAATGACCAGGTATCATGAGAACTTACTCACTATCACTAGAATGCCAAGGAGGAAATCCACCCCCATGATCCAGTCTCCTCCTACCAGGCCCACCTCTAACATTGGTTATTACAATTCGTCCTGAGACTTGGGTGGGGACACAGATCTAAACCATGTCAAACACTATCTAGCACATAGTCAACACTCAATAAATGTTAACTCTTTTTATGACATTTGCCCATGCTTATTTTAGACGAGTCCTAGATTTCAAGTTGGTAAATTTTATGGCCAATATAAAGAGTAGATGAAAATGCATCAGGATAAAATAGGTTTGTGATTTTTATTCATTATAATGTAAGAAATTCTCAATGGAGCTTGTGGTAAGGAAAAAAATAAATTATGTTATTTTCAGACCAGTAAATAATAAACAACCAGAATCTAGTTTGTTAGTAGTTATTCCACTAGGCGTTAGCATGCTTTACCAGTTAGTCAAATAGTACTATCCATATATATTTTATGTGCTCAGGTACACATACACATATAAGGGCAGATAGATTTTGGATGCTAACTCAGCAGTGTAGTAAGTGGTGATAATGATTATTCATGCAGTATTCTCAAGAGTTTTCTACATAAGATTAGAGAAATATTAGTAATTAAGCCATAAACCTGTGTTTGTAAACTTTATTAGAGTTGTATAATATGTACTTGGTGATTTTCATTTCTCCTGCATTATACTTTATCTTATCTGTCTAGTCAAAATCAGACTATTTCAGTAAGAGTAAATTAATGGTAGTGTTATACAGTTCCTAAAAATAGTGCAGTAGTTTTCCTTTTTATGCCCCTTCCATTGAAGAATTAATTTGTTATGAATGCGTTTCATTAATTTTATCACAAAAATAGAGATAATTGATTATATCTTTTAACTGCATTGCCAGTGAGTTATTTGAAAAAAATCAGTGTCCGTGGACCATTTTTTGACTATTTTAGCTCTAATACTTCCTATTCTTTATTATTAATAAAGCTTCCACACTGATCCCCCCCAACCATTTTCCTCTCATAGGGTCCCCGTTTTCTTGAGTGCCTTGCCTTTCCATCTCTGTAACTGCAAACATTTACTTAATTACTTTATCTTAAAGCATTTTTTTATTTTTCTATATTCCCAATATTAGCATTTCTATCTGCATTTCTCTTTTAGCACTTATCACTTTATATCATATAAATATTTGAGAAAGGGGCAAAGGCCAAACTCCATACTTATAACATATTATATGACATCAACTTTGACTTATTGACTCTTAACTCTGCGGCTCTTGGAAGTTCTTTGCACCCTATAAAGCAAATCTAATGCATAAATTGTTAATAAAAATGAGTCAGGGGCTTCTCTATGACTCTTG
Source organism: Homo sapiens (assembly GCF_000001405.40). Taxonomy (NCBI): domain Eukaryota; kingdom Metazoa; phylum Chordata; class Mammalia; order Primates; family Hominidae; genus Homo; species Homo sapiens. The sequence goes on from NC_000006.12 coordinate 58,218,438, forward strand.
TGCCTTTGAGGGGGTTAGTAAAGGACAAGAAAATGTCAAATTTGTTTTTACATGACAAGTGCTGAGATAAGAAAACAAAAATAATTACCTGGTTTCAGGTAGTTACTATGAATCATATGCTCTCTTGCTAGTATTAAAGAAAATCTTGCTGGGCAAAATACAAATTTATCTAATAAAAATTAGTGATCCATTTCCAATGAGAAAGTCTTAAGAATAAATAAGCTGGTGGAAAGTAGGCCCCCACTTCTGGCATTATCATTTTGGTGAGCCTTTAGGAAGAAGGAATAGGCAAAATGGACCTGAGGCAGCAGTGGCAGGGAAGAGCCAGAAGAATGGCCCTGAACTATGGGGTGATAAAAGTGTCAACCCCCAACTTGACACCTTTGCTTCTGCTCTTAAAGACCTAGAAATTGGAGCCCAAGAGGAGTCAAATTCTGGGTGGAGGGGAGTCACCAAGAGCACACACATCATCACCTGAAATGAGTGTATAGCCAATCCTGTGGTCCCACTCAGGCCTAAGCCTGAAGATTAGAGGAAGAACAACTAGGATTACTACCTTCCCTTGTTTATTGTTCTTAGTTAAATGGAGTTTATTCTATGCTGAGAGCATGATATGCTATAAGGCCTTGTTAAGAGGTTAAGAGTAGATTAAATCTATGTGGATTAGTTATGGAGAAACAGAATAAGGTATTTACCCCTTTCTTTAAATTATTTAAATTATGGGATAGCTTAAACAAGAAGAAGGGACAGACAGTTACCAGGTAGGGAAAGTCTCTAGAAACTGGGTCAGAAAAGAAATAGCTGAATAAACTGGTTGTTTAATCTAGAACAGAGGATTTAACAGGTATCATGATAACTTTTCAAATAATTACAGACCCTTTATATGGGAAACTATGCTTTTTTGTTTCAACTAAAGAAGCAGTCCTAAGACTAATGAATATCCTACATTAAGAGGTAGATTTTAGGATAGTGGAAAAAAAAATCAGTCAATCACCAACTAACCAACAAACAAACATAAACTTTTACCACAAGAGAAAAAAATGCTTTCTTATGAATTAATGAGTTCTGGGTCATTAAAAGTGTTCAAGTAGAAACTGAATGACCACATTTAGGGAATAGTGCGGAAAAGAGTCTAACATCTGATAATGGTTGGGTTAAATGACCTGTAATATTTCTCTGAAATCTAACATTTTATGTTTCTTAGAATGTACCAAATTTGATGCCTTTAGATATAAGATTCAGGAAGCCATAATATTTCTAAGCAATTTCTCATGTCCCATTTAGTAAAAAATAAAGAAATGAACTAGTTCCTGAATGAGAAAGGAATAGACTTGGAGCTTTGTAAAATTTTCTGATCAAAAAAGGCCTTCAAAATCTTTTGTCCTATGGAATCTAAGAAAATAATGCACTAAATTCTGACAAATTTCTCATATATATATATATATATATATATATATATATATATATACATACACACATACACACACACTATATGTATGTGTGTGTCTGTGTGTGTGTGTGAAAGCTACTTTCATTTCTCATCTTGTGAGGAAGGTGTCATCTCTAAGATTTATCACTTTTTATGATCCCATTCACCTCAGAGAGCAGTTTCTCATGTGCAGTCAGCGCACCATTTAATTAGACTATCCTGGGGTGCTGCTTTAAAATTTAGATTTTTGGCCCTACTCAGGCATAATGAATTAGAATCTTTTGGATGGTACTTTTTGAATCTTAATATTTAACAAATACCATTGTGATTCTTATGCATATTAAAGTTCAAGAATATTTTCTGTAGGTCTTCAAGATTTGAGGTTTCAGTATATAAACATGTTTTATTTTCATGATATCAAGTATCCAAAAACCCACTTCTTCTTAATTTCAGGGGATAAAACTCTTGACAAAAATCAATAATTACTCTCTAAAAATATTTTTCTTGATGTAGTTTTTTTTCTTGCTTTCATTCGTCAACTTTAGAAAAAGAGAAAATCGTAATATATTTATTTTTACATATGAGCATGTAGTTCTAATAGGGGAATCACATCAGATAATTTTCAAAAGAAGGAAAAAAATTTATGTTTTGTTTATTCGTGTAAAAATAGTTGGTAGTGGGTTAGCTTATTATTTACAACAGCATGCTACTGAATTCAAAGATATGCCTGTATTCTATGTTGTCAGTAATAATGTTTCATTCCATGGTCTTAAAAATTCATGTTCTTATTTGAAGGGGTAACTGTGTTTACCAAGACTTTTTAAAAATTGCCAGTTACAGAAATGATACTCAACCCATCTAAAGAAAACGAAATAACCTCATAACTGGAAAGGATAGGATTGAACTTCAGGTATGTCTAGAGCTGGGGCTCAAATAATGTCATCAGAAGTTTGTCTTGCGCCGTCACTTAACTCTGAGATTTTTCTGGATTAACTTTGTTCTGTAAGTGCTCCCTATGTGGTCACAAAGATGCCTGTCACTGAAACCAGCCCAATTTCTCCATAGAACTGATATTTACAGGTTTTTTGAATAAACAAAGAAATTGACCCTTCTCGTCTTAAAACTTGAAACTTAAATTTGTCTTGCCTGAGATCTTCCTCAGGAAAGGGACTGAAAGTCACTAGATCACCTCATCCAGCCAGGTCCCTCCCTAATTTCTCTTTACCAACTCCTCTTCCTTACCCCTTCCTAATTTGTGTTTTCCATCATGTAGTTAAATTTCTTCCCTGCTATATAAACCTCTAGATCTGTTTGAGTTGACATCACTAAAATAAAAAGTCTTCTTCCCTGGCAATACTTATTGGCTCAATGATTGGCTTTCTGTATGGGGAGCAACAGGACCTAGACCAAACCCCTGGCATTTTTGTAACATCATCAGCATTAGGTTCATATTGTTCTTATACCTAACGGTCAAAGAGAAAAAGAAAAACTCCCAGGATGGACTCCTTGGCCCAGCCTGAGTTGTACACCTATTCCTGACTTACTTGCAGTGGCCAATAAAATGAAGTACTTGGAGTTCTCTAATTTTTTCATTCCTGGGTCACATATCCAACTTTGAAGCCAAGGTTTGTGTCACCTAATGGGAATCTAAGAGTATGTGTGAGCAGGGGCTTGGTTCTCCCAAAGAAGGAGATGTTGAGCAGAAGAAAGTAGATGATGTTCCCCAGTGGAACTACTTAAAAGTCCTTTCAATATATATTTATTGATTACAAAATATTGGAGCTATAGAGGGAAACCCCACACTGATCTCCTCTCATTATGCTCAACCCAGTGGATGGGATTAGTCTTTGACAATTGCTTTGTAAAGTGGTAAGGGCTATGGTGGAAATAGAAGTTCTGAGGGAGCCAAGAGGACTTTAGCTAAGTGGGACTCAGTAATTTGAAGAGAAAACACCAGAGGTGACAGGTGAACTGGATCTGGAGATATAGTGGGAGGGAGAACCCTGGAAGAGGATCATAATTTAAAAAGGAAAGTAAGTGAGAATATCATCTTCTTGTATGATAGCTGGTATTTATATTATAGTCAAAGTAGACATTTAAGCAAGCAGTTTGAGGAAAAGTCCTCAGTCAGGGTAAAATTTGAGTTGTTTGTCCATTTTGGCTGGGAGCCAATGTAACCTAACCTAGATAACTCAATTTCTACTAAAGCGAACTGTGATTCTACTTGTAAAGAAAGTCCTATATTGGGAATAAAGATTTTTTTCCAGATCATGTTGTTAAGATAAAATGCTAGAAAGCTCTTAAAAGCAATTGCAGTGAAGTTTAACACTTTTCCTTCATACTGAAGGAAAAAATGTGGCAGCAATTTAGGAAGGGCATGCTTAAAATTCAGTGAAATGCAGAAAAACACTGGAAGTTAAAAGTGAAACAATTCTCTGTAGATTTTGTTTGCTTTTAAAGATAAGGACAAGTATTCCATGAATGTGTCACTGGTGATGATTTAAATATGGAATATTCTGAATACAGTATTGATTCAAAATATAAAAACAAAAATATTCGTAATTATTTTGGAGTGGAATGGAGTAAAGTGGAGCCAGGAAAGAGACAGTGTAATAAGGTGGTACAATTGCAAAACTATATTTGGATATAATTAGCTTCAGAGAGACCAAGCAATCATAGAATGATAATGCAGGTGATGATATTAAGAACACTGCTTTAAACTCTATTCCCATATTGTTGTATTTAATCTTCAAAATGACCCTTTATGTAGGCTGCAGTATTTTAGCCATGAAATAACAAGACAAAGATAAACTGAGTAACATAGCCAAAGTCAGGGATCTGGTGTTAGAGCTGAGATCCTGACATATGCAGTGACACTGGAGTCCAACTTTGGATAATATTTGTTAGTATTTATTAAACATCTACGGTGAGTCCAGACTTATATTTGCATCTTCTGTTTTTCACAGATGCTTGATGAATACATATTATTTTATACCCCATTTTACAGATGAAGAATGACTGAGAAGCTGAGAAAATTGTCCAAGTAGAATTAATAAATCTAAAAATCTTGACTAAAAATAGATCTTCTGGACTTCACAGACTGTACTTGAATCACTACTCTATATGATCTCTTTCCTATGCTAGATACAATGATAATCATAAACAAGGGGTAATCTAGACTTTCATTGTCCTTGGTAAATTCACAGCAAATGCCCATTTAATTACAAGATACTACTCTACTGAGATTTTAATAGTAAAGAATTAATGAAGAATTTAAATATTCTAGTTACAAAAATAATTAATTTAGAACTATGTGTAGCAGTTTGAGATTTAAATTTATTTATGAAAAATTACATTAAAATGTTTCATATATTCTCAATACCGTTCTGAACTTTTTCTTATTCTTAAGATATTTCATTGAATTGTGATACTGATTTCAGATACAAAATTGTTAGAACTCTGGTTAAATACACTGGTAACATTTGTTAGCGGTTAAAAATTTAACATGGGCTTATGGTTCAATGTAGTAGATTGAGCATATGCTGATATCTACTGCTTTGTTCCAAAACTCATTTTAATAGGAATACAAACATAGAAATAAGAAATGGAGGAAGGGTGTCAATGGGGTATGAAAGCGTTTATAAAATCTTATGGGAAGTAATTAGTGGATGAAGGAATAGAAATACAGGAAACCACATCTTAGAAAATGTCCAAAGAGGAGCACATATCAGAAGAGCCTTACCTTGCCTTTCAAATACCAAGAGGTCATATGGGACTTGGAAATTCCAGGTTAGAATAGACACAGGTGTGTGTAACTTTTTGAAAACAAGGGAGTGGAGGATAATGGAAAGCCTGTAGCTGCATAATGTTCACTTCTCCCACATCTTCCTTTCGTTTGAACACAACTTGAAGCCAAAGAATGCCTCCAAACACCAACAACAAAAATATATATATATATGTAAATTAACTAAAAATGGGCACAGAAAGTAGAACAGTGGTTACCAGAGGCTGAGAGGAGGAATGGGAAGTTACTATTTAATAGGTACAGAGTTTCAGTATGGGATGATGAAAAAATCTGGAGATAGATAATGGTGATGGTTGCATAACAATGTGAATGTACTTAAGGCCACTGAAATTAGAAATGTTTTAAATGGTAAATTTTATGTTATTGGTATATTACTACAATAAAAAAAGTAAGGAGACTTCTTAAGTATACTAATTAAAAGGATGATATGGTAAAACAAGGATAGTTAATGTGGGAATTGCTATCCTAGTGGGAAGGCTTTAGCATTTCAGCCAGTCATAGTGGTTGACTTGCTACTACAGTCTCAACATAAGGTTAAGGCTTCCAGTTGATAAACTATTGCCCATGAATACGAAGGCCTCAGCTAGATTTTCTGCTGTCTCAACCCTAAATACAAACCAGGAATCAAGGATGGCCAGACAAATGAGGAATGTTTAAGAGAAAGGGCAAGATTAATGATTAACAATAATAGTCTGATAGGAAATAGTTAATCTAGTAAACAGAAAAGTACTTTAAAATTTTCTCTAATTAGTATCATTAGAGGGATGTTAGAGAGATCTTTCATTTATTAAATCATAAAAGTATGCTCTTAAAAAACACATAAAAATGTAACCAATGGGAAAAAAGTAAACAATCTCTTAGAATAAAAGGAGAAAAAAAAGCAAGAAAAGGAAAATGAGAATAAAGACAAGGATTAATTCAAAGTTTGCCACATAAATAATGGAAGTTCTTGAAAGAGAAAACAGAGCAAGCAATTATCAAATAAATAATGAAAGAGGTAACCCTGAGCTGAAGTATGAGTGTTTATGTTGAAAAGGCCCACTGTGTACTCAGCAAAGTGAAGAAAATGCATTTTCTGAAACATGTTATGAAAATTCAGAATACAAATGATAAAGAGAAGATGCTAAAGTTTTTAGAAAGAAAACAACAAAGGTAAAAAGCAGATCACCTTATAACTCAATAATGAAAAGACAAAAAGCCCAACTTAAAAATGAAGAAAGGATCTGAATAGACATTTCTCCCCAGAAGAGAGACTAATAGCCAATAAACATATGAAAAGATGTTCAATGCCAATAGCCATCAGGGAAATGCAAATTAAAACCTCAATGAGATATCACTTCACACTCTCTAAGATGGCTATGATGAAAGAGATAGTAAGTGGTGGAGAGGATTTGATATATTGAGACCTTGTTACATTGCTGCTTGGAATATAGAATGGCCAAACAATTCCACTCCTAGGTATATAACCCAAGAGAAATCAAAACAAATGTCCATACAAAAACTTGTGCATAAATGTTTATGGAAGTATTATTCATAAAAGCCTTAAAGTAGAAACAACTCAAATGTCCATCAACTGATGGATGGGTAAGCAAAACGTAGTATGTACATACAATGAAATAATATTAGGACATAAAAAGGAATGAACTCTCGATACATGCTACAACATGGATGAACCTTAAGATCCTTATGCTAAGTCAAAGAACCCTACATATTTGAGATTCCATTTTTAAGCTATGATCACAATGAAAATCTATAAAGATAGAATGCAGATTAGTGATTGCTGAGGGATATGGGGTTTGAGGGAAAATAGGAAGTGACTGCTTACTGGGGGCGGGATTCTTTTATTTTCTTCTTTAGATTTCAACTTTTATTTTAGATACAGGAGGTATATGTGCAGGGGTGTTACATGGGAATATTGGGTGATGTTGAGGTTGGGAGTATGGACCCCATCACCCAGGTAGTGAGCATAGTGCCCAATAGGTAGCTTTTTTCAACCCCCCACCCCCAGTAGTCTGCAATGTCTATTCCCAATAACCATGTGTGTTCAATGTTTAGCACCCACTTTTAAGTGAGAACATATGGTATTTGGTTTTTTATTCCTGTGTTAATTCACTTAGGATTATGGCCTCCAGCTCCATTCATGTTGCTGCAAAGGACATGATTTTATTATATTTATGGCTACATAGTATTTCATGATGTATATATACTGCATTTTCTTTATCCAATACACCATTGATGGGCACTTGGGTTGATTCCATGTCTCTGCCATTGGAAATAGCACAGCAATCAACATAGGAGTGCATGTGTCTTCTTAGTGGAATAACTTGTTTTCCTATGGGTATATACCCAGTAATGGGGTTGCTGGGTGAAATGGTAACTCTGTTTGAAGTTCTTTGAAAAATCTCCACACTGCTTTCCACAGAGACTGTAGTAATTTACATTCCCATAAACAATATATAAACATTCTGTTTTCTCTGCAGCCTCACAAGCATCTGTTAGTCATTGATTTTAATAGTAGCCATTGTGATTGGTATGAGATGATATCACATTGTGGTTTTGATTTGCATTACTCTGATGATTAGTGATGCTGAGCACTTTCTCATGTTTGTTGGCTGCTTGTGTGTTTTCCTTTGACAAGTGTCTGTTCATGTCCTTTGCCCATTTTTTAATGGTGCTATTTGTATTTTGCTTGTTGATTTAAGTTCCCTATAGATTATATATACTAGGCCTTTGTTGGATGCATAGCTTGTGAATATCTTCTCCCATTCTATAAGGTGTCTTTTGCTATGTTGAGTTTCTTTTACCGCACAGAAGCTCTTTAGTTTAATTAGGTCTCACTTGTTTATTTTTGTTTTTGTTGTGATTGTTTTTACGGACTTAGCCAAACATTTTTTACCATGGCTGATGCTGAGAAGAGTATTACCTAGGTTGTCTTCCAGGAGTTTGAGATTTTTTTAGGGTACATATGCACAATGTTCAGGTTTGCTACATATGTATACATGTGCCATGTTTGTGTGCTGCACCCATTAACTCATCATTTAGCATTAGGTATATCTCCTAAGGCTATCCTTCCCCCCTCCCCCCACCCCACAACAGTCCCCGGAGTGTGATGTTACCCTTCCTGTGTCCATGTGTTCTCATTGTTCAATTCCCACCTATGAGTGAGAACATGTGGTGTTTGGTTTTTTGTCCTTGAGATAGTTTGCTGAGAATGATGGTTTCCAGTTTCATCCATGTCCCTACAAAGGACATGAACTCTTCATTTTTTATGGCTGCATAGTATTCCATGGTGTATATGTGCTACATTTTCTTAATCCAGTCTATCATTGTTGGACATTTGGCTTGGTTCCAAGTCTTTGCTATTGTGAATAGTGCTGCAATAAACATACGTGTGCATGTGTCTTTAGAGCAGCATGATTTATAATCCTTTGGGTATATACCCAGTAATGGGATGGCTGGGTCAAATGGTATTTCTAGTTCTAGATCCCTGAGGAATCGCCACACTGACTTCCACAATGGTTGAACTAGTTTACAGTCCCACCAACAGTGTAAAAGTGGAGAGGTTTCTCCACAACCTCTCCAGCACCTGTTGTTTCCTAACTTTTTAATGATCAACATTCTAACTGGTGTGAGATGGTATCTCATTGTGGTTTTGATTTGCATTTCTCTGATGGCCAGTGATGATGAGCATTTTTTCATGTGTTTTTTGGCTGCATAAATGTCTTCTTTTGAGAAGTGTCTGTTCATATCCTTCGCCCACTTTTTGATGGGGTTGTTTGTTTTTTTCTTGTAAATTTGTTTGAGTTCATTGTAGATTCTGGATATTAGCCCTTCGTCAGATGAGTAGGTTGCGAAAATTTTCTCCCATTTTGTAGGTTGCCTATTCACTCTGATGGTAGTTTCTTTTGCTGTGCAGAAGCTCTTTAGTTTAATTAGATCCCATTTGTCAATTTTGGCTTTTGTTGCCATTGCTTTTGGTGTTTTAGACATGAAGTCCTTGCCCATGCCTATGTCCTGAGTGGTATTGCCTAGGTTTTCTTTAGGGTATTTATGGTTTTAGGTCTAACATGTAAGTCTTTAATCCATCTTGAATTAATTTTTGTATAAGGTGTAAGGAAGGGATCCAGGTTCAGCTTTCTACATATGGCTAGCCAGTTTTCCCAGCACCATTTATGAAATAGGGAATCCTTTCCCCATTGCTTGTTTTTGTCAGGTTTGTCAAAGATCAGATGGTTGTAGATATGCGGCATTATTTCTGAGGGCTCTGTTCTGTGCCATTGATCTATATCTCTGTTTTGGTACCAGTACCATGCTGTTTTGGTTACTGTAGCGTAGTTAGTTTGAAGTCAGGTAGCGTGATGCCTCCGGCTTTGTTCTTTTGGCTTAGGATTCACTTGGCGATGTGGGCTCTTTATTGGTTCCATATGAACTTTAAAGTAGTTTTTTCCAGTTCTGTGAAGAAAGTCATTGGTAGCTTGATGGGGATGGCATTGAATCTATAAATGATCTTGGGCAGTATGGCCATTTTCATGATATTGATTCTTCCTACCCATGAACATGGAATGTTCTTCCATTTCTTTGTATCCTCTTTTATTTCATTGAGCAGTGGTTTGTAGTTCTCCTTGAAGAGGTCCTTCACATCCCTTGAAAATTGGATTCCTAGGTATTTTATTCTCTTTGAAGCAATTGTGAATGGGAGTTCACTGATGATTTGGCTCTCTGTTTGTCTGTTATTGGTGTATAAGAATGCTTGTGATTTTTGTACATTGATTTTGTATCCTGAGACTTTACTGAAGACGCTTATCAGCTTAAGGAGATTTTGGGCTCAGATGATGGGGTTTTCTAGATATACAATCATGTCATCTGCAAACAGGGACAATTTGACTTCCTCTTTTCCTAATTGAATACCCTTTATTTCCTTCTCCTGCGTAATTGCCCTGGCCAGAACTTCCAACACTATGTTGAATAGGAGTGGTGAGAGAGGACATCCCTGTCTTGTGCCAGTTTTCAAAGGGAATGCTTCCAGTTTTTGTCCATTCAGTATGATATTGGCTGTGGGTTTTTCATAGGTAGCTCTTATTATTTTGAGATATGTCCCATCAATACCTAATTTATTCGGAGTTTTTAGCATGAAGGGTTGTTGAATTTTGTCAAAGGCCTTTTCTGCGTCTATTGAGATAATCATGTGATTTTTGTCTTTGGCTCTGTTTATATGCTGGATTACATTTATTGATTTGTGTATATTGAACCAGCCTTGCATCCCAGGGATGAAGCCCACTTGATCACGGTGGATAAGCTTTTTGATGTGCTGCTGGATTCGGTTTGCCAGTATTTTATTGAGGATTTTTGCATCAATGTTCATCAAAGATATTGGTCTAAAATTCTCTTTTTTTGTTGTGTCTCTGCCAAGCTTTGGTATCAGGATGATGCTGGCCTCATAAAATGAGAGAGGGAGGATTCCCTCTTTTTCTATTGACTGGAATAGTTTCAGAAGGAATGGTACCAGCTCCTCCTTGTACCTCTGGTAGAATTCGGCTGTGAATCCATCTGGTCCTGGACTTTTTTTAGTTGGTAAGCTATTGATTATTGCCACAATTTCAGAGCCTGTTATTGGTCTATTCAGAGATTCAAATTCTTCCTGGTTTAGTCTTGGGAGGGTGTATGTGTCGAGGAATTTATCCATTTCTTCTAGATTTTCTAGTTTATTTGTGTAGGGTGTTTATAGTATTCTCTGATGGTAGTTTGTATTTCTGTGGGATCGGTGGTGATATCCCCTTTATCGTTTTTTATTGAGTCTATTTGATTCTTCTCTCGTTTCTTCTTTATTTGTCTTGCTAGTGGTCTATCAATTTTGTTGATCTTTTCAAAAAACCAGCTCCTGGATTCATTAATTTTTCGAAGGGTTTTTTGTGTCTCTATTTCCTTCAGTTCTGCTCTGATCTTAGTTATTTCTTGCCTTCTGCTAGCTTTTGAATGTGTTTGCTCTTGCTTTTCTAGTTCTTTTAATTGTGAAGTTAGGGTGTCAATTTTGGATCTTTCCTGCTTTCTGTTGTGGGCATTTAGTCCTATAAATTTCCCTCTACTCATTGCTTGTAATGTGTCCCAGAGATTCTGGTATGTTGTGTCTTTGTTCTCATTGGTTTCAAAGAACATCTTTATTTCTGCCTTCATTTCGTTATGTACGCAGTAGTCATTCAGGAGCAGGTTGCTCAGTTTCCATGTAGTTGAGTGGTTTTGAGTGAGTTTCTTAATCCTGAGTTCTAGTTTGATTGCACTGTGGTCTGAGAGACACTTTGTTATAATTTCTGTTCTTTTACATTTGCTGAGGAGTGCTTTACTTCCAACTATGTGGTAAATTTTGGAATAGGTGTGGTGTGGTGCTGAAAAAAATGTATATTCTGTTGTTTTGGGGTGGAGAGTTCTGTAGATGTCTATTAGGTCCGCTTGGTGCAAAGCTGAGTTCAATTCCTGGGTATCCTTGTTAACTTTCTGTCTCGTTGATCTGTCTAATGTTGACAGTGGGGTGTTAAAAATCTCCTATTATTATTGTGTGGGAGTCTAAGTGTCTTTGTAGGTCACTAAGGACTTGCTTTATGAATCTGGGTGCTCCTGTATTGGGTGCATATATATTTAGGATAGTTAGCTCTTTTTGTTGAATTGATCCCTTTACCATTACATAATGGCCTTCTTTGTCTCTTTTGATCTTTGTTGGTTTAAAGTCTGTTTTATCAGAGACTAAGATTGCAACCCCTGCCTTTTTTTTGTTTTCCATTTGCTTGGGAGATCTTCCTCCATCCCTTTATTTTGAGCCTATGTGTGTCTCTGCACGTGAGATGGGTTTCCTGAATACAGCACACTGAGGGGTCTTGACTCTTTATCCAATTTGCCAGTCTGTGTCTTTTAATTGGAGCATTTAGCCCATTTACATTTAAGGTTAATATTGTTATGTGTGTATTTGGTCCTGTCATTATGATGTTAGCTGGTTATTTTGCTTGTTAGTTGATGCAGTTTCTTCCTAACCTTGATGGTCTTTACACTTTGGCATGTTTTTGCAGTGGCTGGTACTGGTTGTTCCTTTCCATGTTTAGTGCTTCCTTCAGGAGCTCTTTTAGGACAGGCCTGGTGGTGACAAAATCTGTCAGCATTTGCTTGTCTGTAAAGTATTTTATTTCTCCTTCACTTATGAAGCTTAGTTTGGCTGGATATGAAATTCTGGTGTGAAAATTCTTTTCTTTAAGAATGTTGAGTATTGGCCCCCACTCTCTACTGGCTTGCAGAGTTTCTGCTGAGAGATCTGCTGTTAGTCTGATGGGCTTCCCTTTGTGGGTAACCCGACCTTTCTCTCTGGTTGCCCTTAACATTTTTTCCTTCATTTGAACTTTGGTGTATCTGACAATTATGTGTCTTGGAGTTGCTCTTCTCGAGGAGTGTCTTTCTGGCATTCTCTCTATTTCCTGAATCTGAATGTTGGCCTGCCTCACTAGATTGGGGAAGTTCTCCTGGATAATATCCTGCAGAGTGTTTTCCAACTTGGTTCCATTCTCCTCATCATTTTCAGATACACCAATGAGACGTAGATTTGGTCTCTTCACATAGTCCCATATTTCTTGGAGGCTTTGTTTGTTTCTTTGTATTCTTTTTTCTCTAAACTTCCCTTCGTGCTTCATTTCATTCATTTGCTCTTCCATCACTGATACACTTTCTTCCAGTTGATCGCATCAGCTCCTGAGTCTTCTGCATTCTTCACGTAGTTCTCGAGCCTTGGCTTTCAGCTCCATCAGCTCCTTTAAGGACTTCTCTGCGTTGGTTATTCTAGTTATCCATTTGTCCAATTTTTTTTTCAAAGTTTTTAACTTCTTTTCCATTGGTTTGAATTTCCTCCTGTAGCTTGGAGTAGTTTGATTTTCTGAAGCCTTCTTCTCTCAGCTCGTCAAAGTCATTTTCCATCCAGCTTTGTTCCATTGCTGGTGAGGAGCTGCATTCCTTTGGAGGAGGAGAGGCACTCTGGTTTTTAGAGTTTCCAGTTTTTCTGCTCTGTTTTTTCCCCATCTTTGTGGTTTTATCTACTTTTGGTTTTAGATGATGGTGACGTACAGAAGGGTTTTTGGTGTGGATGTCCTTTCTTTTTGTTAGTTTTCCTTCTAACAGACAGGACCCTCAGCTGCAGGTCTGTTGGAGTTTGCTGGAAGTCCACTCCAGACCCTGTTTGCCTGGGTATCAGCAGCGGTGGCTGTAGAACAGTGGATCTTGGTGAACCACAAATGCTGCTGCCTGATTGTTCCTCTGGAAGTTTTGTCTCAGAGGAGTACCCGTGTGAGGTGTCAGTCTGCCCCTACTGGGGGGTGCCTCCCAGTTAGGCTGCTTGGGGGTCAAGGACCCACTTGAGGAGGCAGTCTGTCCATTCTCAGATCTCCAGCTGCGTGCTGGGAGAACCACTACTCTCTTCAAAGCTGTCAGACAGGCACATTTAAGTCTGTAGAGGTTACTGCTGTCTTTTTGTTTGTCTGTGCCCTGCCCCCAGAGGTGGAACCTACAGAGGCAGGCAGGCCTCCTTGAGCTGTGGTGGGCTCCACCCAGTTGGAGCTTCCCAGCTGCTTTGTTTACCTAATCAAGCCTGGGCAATGGCAGCCACCTGTCTCCCAGCCTCGCTGCCACCTTGCAGTTTGATCTCAGACTGCTGTGCTAGCAATCAGCGAGACTCCGTGGGTGTAGGACCCTCCGAGCCAGGTGCCCAGGTGCAGGATGTAATCTTCTGGTGTGCCACTTTTTAAGCCTGTTGGAAAAGCGCAGTATTAGGGTGGGAGTGACCTGATTTTCCAGGTGCCATCTGTCACCCCTTTCTTTGACTAGGAAAGGGAACTCCCTGACCCCTTGTGCTTCCCGAGTGAGGCAATGCCTCGCCCTGCTTTGGCTCGTACACAGTGCGCTGTACCCACTGTCTTGCACCCACTGTCTGGCACTCCCTAGTGAGATGAACCTGGTACCTCGGATTGAAATGCAGAAATCACCCATCTTCTGCGTCGCTCAGGCTGGGAGATGTAAACTGGAGCTGTTCCTATTCGGCCATCGTGGCTCCACGAGTTTGAGATTTTATATTCAAGTCTTTGATCCATTTTCAGTTAATTTCAGTTAATCCATTCGGAATAGGTGAAAGTAGGCGTCTAGTTTCAGTCTTCTGTGTATGGCTAGCCAGTTGTCCCAGCATTATTTACTGAATAGAGAGTCGTTTCCCAGTTGCTTTTGTCAGCCTTGTTGCAGATGGTTGCAGTTGTACAACTTTATTTCTGAGTTTTTAATTCTGTTCCATTGCTCTGTGTCTGTTTTTGTATCAGTACCAAGATGTTTTGATTACTGTGGCTTTATAGTGTAGTTTGAAGTTGGATAGTGTGAGGCCTCTGCCTTTTTTTTTTTTCTTTTTTTTTTTTTTTTGCTTAGATTATTTTGGCTATTCAGGCTTTTTTGTTTCCAGATGAAATTGGGAATAATTTTTTTCTAATTCTGTGATAAATGCCATTGGTGGTTTGATAGGAATAGCATTGAATCTGTAAATTGCTTTGGGCAGTGTTCCCATTTTAGCAACAATGATTCTTCCAATCCATGCGCGTGGAATGTTTTTCCATTTGTTTGTGTCATCTCTAGTTTCTTTCAGCAGTGTTTTATGGCTCTCCTTGGAGAGATTTTTGACCTCCTTGGTTAGCTGTATTCCTAGATATTTAATATTCTTTGTGGCTATTTTGAGTTGAATTATGTTCTTGATTTCACTTTCAGCCTGAATGTTGTTGGTGTGTATAGAAATGCTAATGATTTTTGTACATTGATTTTGTATCTTGGAACTTTACTAAAATAATTTATCAGTTCTAGGAGCCTTTTGGCAGAGTATTTACGATTTTCTAGGTATACAGTTATATCATCTGCAGAAAGAAATAGTTTGACTTCTTTTTCTATTTAGATGCCTTTTATTTCTTTGTCTTGCCTGACTGCTCTGGCTGGGACTTCGAGTACTACCTTGAATAGAAGTGGTGGGAGTGGGTATCTTTGTCTTGTTCCAGTTCTCTAGGGGAATGGTTCAAGCTTTTGCCCATTTGGTATGATGTTGGTTGTGAATTTGTCATAGTTGACTCTCACTATTTTAAGGTAGGCTCCTTCAATGCCTAGTCTGCAGAGCGTTTTTATTATAAAGGGATGTTGTGTTTTATTGAAAGACTATTCTGCATATATTAGATGATTATATGGTTTTTGCTTTTGATTCTGTTTATGAGGTTGATTGGATTTATTGTTTTTTGTATGTTGAACAAGCCTTGAATCCCAGGAATAAAGCCTGCTTAATTGTGATAATACATCACACAAGTATTAACTTGCTGATGTGCTGGGTTCAGTTTCCTAATATTCTGTTGAGGATTTTTGCATCTATGTTTATCAGGGATATTGGCCTGAAGTTTTGTTTTTTTGTTGTGTCTATGCCAGATTTTGGTATCAAGGTGATGCTGGCTTCATAGAATGAGTTAGGGAGGAGCCCGTGCTCCTCAACTTTTTTGGAATAATTTCAATAGGATTGGTATCAGTTCTTCTTTGTATGTCAGGTAGAATTCCACTGCAAATGTTTCTGGTCCAGGACATTTTTTAGTTGGTTGGTTATTACTAATTCTATTTCAGAAGTTGATATTTGTCTATTCAGGGTTTCAATCTCTTCTTGATTCAATCTTGGAAGACTGTATGCTTCCAGGAATTTATCCATTTCCTCTAGATTTTCTAATTTATGTGCATAGAGTTGTACATAGTATCCTCTGAGGGTCTTTCATATTTCTGTGGGATCAGTGGTAACATTGCCTTTGTTGTTTCTGATTTTGCTTCTTGGAGTCTTCTCTTTCTTCTTCTTTATTAATTTAGCTAGTAGTCCATCAATTTTATTTGTTTTTATTCTGGTTTAATTAATCTTTTGTATAAATTTTGCATCTCAATTTCATTAAGTTATTTAATTGTAGTTTTTTTAACATTTTCTTCTGCTACTTTTGGGGGTTGGTTTGCTCTTTCACTTCTAGTTCTTTTAAGTACAAATTTAGATTGCTAATTTATGGTCTTTCTGACTTCTCGTTCTTTTAAGTACCAATTTAGATTGCTAATTTATGGTCTTTCTGACTTCTTGATGAAGGAATTTAGTGCTATAAACTTTCCTCTTAACACTGCTTTGGACTGCATGCAGAGCTTTTTGTAAATTGTTTCCTTATTTTCATTAATTTCAAAGAATTTTTTGATTTCTATCTTAATTTCAATTTTCACCCAGGAATTATTCAGTATTGAGTTGTTTGATTTTTATGTGTTTGCATAGTTTTGAAAGATCTTCTTGGCATTGATTTCTATTTGTATTGCGTTGTGGTCGAAGAGTGTGCTTGGTATGATTTCAATTTATTGAGGCTTGCTTTATGACTTAACATGTGGTCGATTTTAGAATATGTTCTGTGTGCAGATGAGAAGAATTTACATTCTGTGGTTGTTGGGTGGAGTTTTCTCTATATGTCTATTAGGTCCAAATGTTAAGTTTAAGTTCAGAGTTTTTTTGTTTTCTGCCTTGATGATCTGTCTATCACTGTCAGTGGGGTGTTGAACTCACCCATTATTATTGTGTGGTTGTCTAAGTCTTTTGTAGTTCAAGAATAATTTGTTTTATGAATGTTAGTCCTCCAATATTGGCTGTGTATATATTTAAGATAGTTAAGGCTTCTTGTTGGATTGTACCCATTATCATTATGTAATGCCCTTCATTTGTCCTTGTTTGTTTTCATTGATTTAAAGTTTGTTTTATCTGAGATAAGAATAGAGACTCCTGCTCTTTTTGGTTTTCCATTTGTATGGTATATCTTACTCCACCCTTTTACTTTGAGCTTGTTGGTGTTACATGTAAGATGGATCTCTTGAAGACAACATATGGTTGGGTCTTTTCTTTTTATCCAGACTGCCACCCTCTTTCTTTTAAGTGGGGGCATTTAGCACACTTACATTTAAGGTTAGTATTGATATGTGTGATTTTGATCCTGTCATTGTGTTGTTACCTGGTTGTGTATGCAGGCTTGATTGTGTAGTTGCTTTATAGTGCCTGTGACCTATGTGCTTAAGTGTGTTTTTTTGGTAGCAGGTGTCATTCTTTGAACCTATGTTTAGCATTACCTTAAGGACCTCTTCTAAAGCTGGTCTAGTTAAAATGTATTCCTGCAGCATTTGCTCGTCTGAGAAGGATTTCATTTCTCCTTCACTTAAAAAGCTTAGTTTGGCAGGATATGAAATTCTTGGTTGGAATTTCTTCTCTTTAAGAATGCTAAAAGTAGGCCCCCAATCTCTTCTGACTTGTAAGGCTTCTACCAAGCCATCTGGTGCCAGTCTGATGGGGTTCCCTGTGAAACTTACCTGCCTCTTCTTTCCAGCTGCCTTTAAGGTTTTTTTCTTTTGCACTGACCTTGATGAATCTGAAGATTATATGCCTTGGGGATGGTTGTTTTATATAGTATCTTGCTAGGGTTCTCTGTTTTTCTTGGATTGGCATGTCAACCTCTCTAGTGAGATTAGGGAGATTTTCAGGGACTATATTCTCAAATTGCTTATTTTCTATTCCAATTCCAAGTTGCTTATTGTCTTTCTTTTTCTCTCAGAAATGCCAGTGAGTTGTAGATTTGGCCTCTTTACATAATCCCATATTTTTGGAGCTTTTGTTCATTTTTCTTAATTCCTTTTTCTTTATTTTTGTCTGACTGAATTGGTTTGAAGGAGCAGTCTTCCAGCTCTGGGATTCTTTCCTCAGCTTGGTCTGTTCTGCTGTTAATACTTCCAATTGTATTATAAAATTCTTGCAGTGATTTTTTTCAGCTCAAGAATTTCATTTTGGGTCTCTCTTAAAATGGCTCTTTTGTCTTTCAGGTCTTCAATCATTTTACTGAATTGCTTTGCTTCCTTGGATTAAGCTTCAGCTTTCTCCTGGATCTCAATGGTCTTCCTTGCCACCCAGGTTAGGAACTCCAAGTCTGTCATTTCAGACAATTCAGACTGGTTAAGCACCATTGCTGGGGAGCTATTGGGTTTCTTTGGAGGTAAGGGGACACTCTGGTTTTCTGAATTGTCAGTTTTTGTGCTAATTCTTTCCCATCTGTTATTCTTTTAACTGTGGTGTAAAGTGAGTATAGTCAATTGACTTTCTTTCTGGAAGTCTTCAGAGGGCTAAGACTCTATAGTAGGTCTTTGTTTATTGTTGAATTCTTGTCCTTGGCTTTGCAGTGGGGAGAATTAGTAAAATGTTTCTTATTGTAGTTTGGGCTGCAATCCAGTACATGGGACTTGAGAGCAATGGGTCTTGGATAGGCTCTTACACAGCTACATGGCTTCTATGTATGACTTTGCATTTGCAGGTGTGTTCTGTGGTGTGAGGAGGATAGTGCTGAATCCCTCACTGGGTCTGTTCTCCTGGACCTTAGAGGAGCCACCTCCAGTCATTGACACTGAGCGTGTGGCTTTGGTAGTTGTTGTTAGATCTTTTGGGCTGTGGGGCTTCCCTGAGGAGAGATCTAGCAGGGAGATAGACCACACCCTTACCAGACCAACCCTGTGGAGGGAGGCAAACCTAGGTCCCACACTAGCCTGAGAACCTGTGTGACTCACCTCTCTCAGTTTCTTGAGAATGCTGGCTCATCTCTCATTCAGGTGCTGAGCACAGATCATGGCTCAGCACTCCTAAGCCACAAACTGTGGCCCTGGTGTGTCAGAACCTGGTCATGGCTCCCTCCTCTGGACCCTCCTCTAGGTACACTGGAGGATCCAAAGGGCTCCCAGGCTGCTGGAACACACTCAGGTGTAAGAAAGCTTCCAGACTAGGCAGCAGAGGATTCACTGTGTACACACTCCTATGGGGTGGCCAAGTTGGGCCTCTAGGATGGGCTGGCATGCAGGGGGCTTTTAGGTAGATGTTCCCTAGTCCTGTGTGGAAGCAGATCCTGTTTTCTCCCTGGCAGTTATCTGGAGCCAAAGCCTCTCAGAGGGAGACAGGTAGCCCTGCAGGGTGGGCACTTATGGCCAGGTTCCACTGAAGCTGACCAGCACTCAGATGTCCCTGGTTCCATGCTTTTGCTGCATCTCCATTTCTGTCTAATCTCTGGGGAGATCCCCCTGCCAGTTCCCATGTCCTAGGGGATGTGGGATCTCCTGCAGCTAGGATCCCAGAGGTCTGTGGCAAGAGTGAGCAGTCCTCCAGTCCCTTCATTCACCCTTCCCCAGGCACCATCTGGGTTTCTTTTTTGGAGACAAAAAAAATCCTTGTAGGAGTGGTTGCACAGGTCTGTGAATATACTAAAAATTATTGAATTGTATACTTTAAGTGGGTGAATTGTGTGGTGTACGAATTATATGCCAATAAGACTGATATTAGAAAAAAGTCACACTGTTATCAGTCTTATAAATAGCATTAATTCTAGAAGTCCATATATAATGTGTCAATAAATAAAGACCACCCAGATGAGAAAGCAAAGGCAGTCTATTCAGGGCTTTCTATAGCAATGGAGTTAGCCACCATTACTTGGTTTTGGCAGAAATTGAAAAGAGAGGCAGAGATGTGGGAAAGTGTTATAGTGGAAAAAAGGGAAGGCTTCATGTATGCTGATTGGAAGGTGTTGGTATAAGGAAGCTGTAGGTAGGCTAACTAGAAGTAGGGCATCATATGTGATTGACAAGCAGTGTATACTGTATCTGGCTTTCTTTGGCTTGTACTAAGTTGGAAGCAGGGACAAAAATTAGGGAACCTGCAGTTATTAATCAACTGACCATTTGGGATCCATTTTTTTTTTCAGGAACAAGCAAACAATCCAAAACCAGATAATAACCATTTAGTCTTCTTAGATTGTTTGCTAGAGATAGTGGTTTGACTTCCTACATGTCTAAATGTCAGATGGTAGCCTGGCTTCCTGGTCTGGTTACTGTAGATAAGGGATTTGTTCCCTAAACTGCTTGTTGCAGATTGTGAGTCAAAGCTGTTTTTTTATATGTGGTCTGGTTATTGTTCATTTGTATATTTAACTTCTCAGTAAAAGTGCTTTTAAAGTTATAGAGGAAAAAAGCCATTAAAAATATGCACCCAAGAATTAATAAAATGTGATGGCCAAATAAAGCATTACATATACGGAGGGATCCATAAACTTTACTTAGGAAGTGAATTGAAGTTATATTTCAATAAATAAGCAAGAAAGAAGAAGAAACGACATTCAAAAAAAAAAAAGGTGATAGAATTCAGACAAGCAGGAACCTGAAGTTCTAGGAAGAGCATAGTGTGTCTTTTCCTAGAGAGCAGCCTAGAGACTAAGGATGCTAGTAAGGAATTCTATGTGGGGAAGGAAGGAAGGGAGTTTCTAAAAGAGTTGATATAAAAGGATGTTTCCAAAGAAAATAGGGATATGTAAGGGTGTGGGGAAAGAAAGACAGTTACTTTAAAAAGGCATTAGATCCTACAGGAAAAACACAAATATATTTAGTGTTTGCAGTTTTATTATTTTGAATGATTGTTCACAGCAGAGCCTATAATTTTAAAGCTGCAATAATACAAACATTGTTTTTCAATAAAGTTAAAATATAAAATA
The DNA here is from genome assembly GCF_000001405.40 of Homo sapiens. Taxonomy (NCBI): domain Eukaryota; kingdom Metazoa; phylum Chordata; class Mammalia; order Primates; family Hominidae; genus Homo; species Homo sapiens. The sequence continues at coordinate 58,239,277 of NC_000006.12, forward strand.
ACTTAGTTACGGAACAGATTGTATACATTATCATCCTTGATAAAGTAAAAGTACAGGTGACAGAAGTGGGGAGGTAGGAAGTGGGGAAAAAGTGCAGGGACAGGCAGAGGTGCAGATCTCATTGTCATAAGACAGGAAGCCTAGGGATACTATCCATAATTAGGAAATGAAAAATAAGCAGATCAGTTAATTTTTTTATTTTCTAAAATCTTTTAAAATCTGAGATTCTCTAATTTTTTTAAAAGAATATACTTTGAGTAGCCATCTACATATGTCTCCCCTTTTCTGACTAATCAAGTTTGAGATCATAGCTTACTTTCACTGTTGCCTGTTTATCTTCCATTCCCTCTTCATCATAATCCTTTTCTCAATCATTGACTTTTAATAGCCAAATCTGATGAATTCTTTTTAGATTTTTCTGACATATTTGAGTCATTTGCTAATGAGAACTCATTTTCTAAAAACAGAGAGACTTTAGGTTTCCTGTTACTACTCTCCAAGGAGGGTGATATTACTCCCAATATTGCAGGAGTTGTAAACATTTTGTGTGATATTTTTCCTAATATAAAGAGGCAAGAGAGGATAATATTACTCCCAATATCACAGGGGGTGTACATCCACCCTGTGATACTGTTTTTAATACCCAGGGGAAAAAACAATGGCATTACTCCCAATATCGCATGAGGTGAACTCACCCTCTATGATACTGTTCCTAATATTCAGAGTGGGAAAGGATGATATTAAGTCCAATATCTGAGAAGTGTACAAACCCCTGTGATATTGTTTCTTATATCCAGGGGGAGACAGGATAATATTACTCTGAATATCACAGGGGGTGTACACCCCCCCACACGATATTGTTTGTAATATCCAGGGGAGGAGAAGATGATATTAATATCACTGGGAGTGTACACCCACCCTGTAATATTGCACATAATATCAAGTGGGGGAGAGGATATTACTTTCAATGTCTCTGAGAGTGTACATACCCCTTGTGATATTGTTCCTAATATCCAGGAAGGGAGAGGATGATATTACTCCAAATATTGCAGGGAGTGCACAACTTTCCAGAGATATGGTTCCTAATATCCAGAATGGGAGAGGATAATATTACTCCCAATATTGCAGGGGGTGTACACTCCCTCCTGTGATATTGTTTCTAATATCCAGGAAAATAAAGAATGATAATAATGCCCAATATTGAAAGTGTACACTCATTTCCTGTGATATTGTTCCTAATATATGGGGGGGGGAGAGGATGATATTACTCCTAATATCGCAGATGGTTTACACCGCTTCTATGATAATCTTTCTAATATCCAGTGAGGGGGAAAATAATATTACTTCCAATATTGCAGGGTGTATACACCCCCCACCCCACGTGATGTTTTTCCCAATATCCAGGAGGGGAGAGGACAATATTAATCCCAATATCACAGGGGATGTACACCCCCCCGTAATATCATTCCTGATATCCAAGAGGGAGAAGGATGATATTACCCCCAATATCGCAGGGAGTGCACACCCTCTGTGATATTGTTCTTAATATATAGGTTTGGAGAAAAGGATATTAGTCCCAGTATCTCAGGAGGTGTACACCTTTTTGTCGACACTGTTTTTAATATACAGAGGATGATATTACTCCCAATATCGCAGGAGGTGTACACCCCCCGTGATGTTGTTTCTAACATCTAAGTAGGGGGAAAAGGGTATTACTCCCAATATCGCAGAAGGTGTACACCTTCCCTGTGATATTGTTCCTAATATTCAGGGGGTAAGAGGATGATGTTACTTTCAATATTGCAGGAGGTGTGCACCTCATCTGTGATATAGTTTCTAATATCCAGGAAGGGAGAGGATGATATTACCACATTATAGCAGGGGATGTACACGCCCTTGTGATATTGTTTCTAATATCCAGAGGGGGAGAGGATGATATCACTCCTAATAATGCACGGCGTGTACACCCCCGTTACGTTGTTCCTAATATCCAGAAGGGGAGAGGATGACATTACTCCCAATATCTCAGGGTGAGTACACACCCCCTGTAATATTGTTCCTAATATCAAGGGGGAGAGAGAATAATGTTACTCCCAATATCACAGGGGGTGTACACCTCCCCTGTGATATTGTTCTTAATATCCAGGGGGAAAGAGCATGATATTCCTCCTATTATAGTAGGGCTTGTACACCACCCATGTGATATTGTACCTAATATACAGGAGGGGAGACGATTATATTACTTTCAATATCGCAGAAAGGGTACATCCCCTTTGTGATATAGTTCCTAATATCCGGGGGAAAGAGGATGATATTACTCGTAATATTGCAGGGGGTGTACACCTTTTTGTAATGTTGTTCCTAATATCCAAGAAGGAAGAGGATGATATTACTCTCAACATAGAAGGGGGTGTACACTCGCCCTTTGATATTGTTCCTAATATCAAGGGGGGTGGGAATCATATTACTATCCATATCACAGGGGGTATACAACCCCCACATATGATATTGTTTCCAATATCCAGGGTGGAGAGGAAGATATTACTCTCGATATTGCAGGGTGTGTACACCCACCCTTTGATATTGTTCCTAATATCAAGGGAGGGAGAGGATCTTATTATGTCCAATATCACAGAATGAGTACACCCCCCATGAGATATAGTTCCTAATATCCAGGGGGTGGAGAGGATGATACTACTCCTAATATCACAAGGGGTGTACACGCCCCCTGTGATATTGTTTGTAATATCCAGGAAGGGAGAAGATGATATTACTTCCAAGATCGCAGAGAGTGTAAACCTCCTTTGTGATATTCTTCTTAATATCCAGGGAAAAATACGATGATATTATTGTTACTATTCCAGGGGGTGTACACCACCCCCTGTGATATTGTTCCTAATATCCAGAGGGAGAGAGGATGATGTTACTACTAATATCTCAGGGGGTGTACACCTTTTCTGTGATATAGTTCCTAATATCCAGGAGGGGAGAGGAGGATATTACTCTCAATTTGACAGGGGGTGCACATCTCCTGTAATATTGTTCTTAGTATTCAGTTTGGGAGAAAATGATATTAGTTTCAATATTGCTGTGGGTTTACACTTCCCCAGTGATACTGTTTTTAATATACGGCAGTGGGGAGGGTGATATTACTCCCAATATCACAGGAGGTGTACACCACTCCTGTGATGTTGTTCCTAATATCCGTCGGGGAGAAAATAATCTTACTCTCAATATCGCAGGGGGTATACACACCCCTGTGATATTGTTGATAATATTCAGGGGGAAAGAGGTTGATATTACCTTCAATGTCGCAGGGGTTGTACACCTTTCCTGTAACATAGTTCCTAATATCCAAGGGGAAAGAGCATGATATTACTCCTATTATAGCGGGGGTGTACACCCCCCCTCCATGATATTGGTCCTAACATTTAGTGGGGGGGGTGAGGATATTACTCCCAATATTTCAGGTGGTGTACACCCCTCCTGTGATATTGTTCCTAACATCCAGAGGAAAAGAGGATGATATTACTCCCCATATTGCAGAGGTTGTACACACTTCCTCTGATACTGTTCCTAACTTTCAGGGAGGGAGAGGATGATATTACATTCAGTATCGCAGGTGTACACCCCCGCTGTAATATTGTTCATAATATTAAGAGAAAAGGATGATATACTCCCAATATCGCAGGAAGTGTACATCCACTCTGTTACATTTTTCCTAATATCCATGAGGAAAGAACATATTATCCTCCATTATCCAGAAGGTATACACCCACTCTGTGATGTTTTCATAATATCCAGGGGAAGAGAGAATGATATTACTCTTAATATTGCATGGGGTATACACTCCCTCGTGATATTGTTCTTAATATCCAGGGGGAAAGGATTATATTACTTCCAATATCCCAGGGGTGAACAACACCCCTGGGATATTGTTCCTAATATCTAAAAAGAAAGATGAGGATATTAGTTTCAGTATCGCAGGGGGTATAAACCTCCCCTGTGTTATTGTCCCTAATATCCACGGGGGGAGGGGATGATATTACTCCCAATATCGCTGTGGGTGCACACCCCCACTGTGATATTGTTCCTAATATAAAGGGGGCTGAGGATAATATTGCTCCCAATATCGAAAGGGATGTACACCCCTGCTGTGATATTGTTCCTAATATCGCAATATCCTAACTCCCAATATTGCAGCAAGTGTACACCTCCCCAATTATATGTTTCCTAATACCCAGAAAAGGAGAGAATGATATTACTCCCAATATGCAGGGGGTGTACAACCCCCCACTGATATTGCTCATAATATCCAGGGGAGGGAGGATGATATTACTCCAAATATCACAGGGGGTGTCCACTCTCACGTCATATTGTTCCTAATATCCAGTGGAATAGAGGATGATATTACTCTTAATATCGCAGCAGGTGTACAACTTTCCTGTAATATTGTTCCTAATATTTTTGGGGAAGAGAGGATGACATAACTCCTAATATCGCAGGGGGTGTACACCACCCCTGTGATATTGTTCCTAATATCTTTGAAGGGAGAGGATGATATTACTCCCAGTATCGCAAGGAGTGTATACTTTTTTTGTGATATTGTTCGTAATATTCAGGGTCGAGAGGATGATATTACTTGCAATATCATAGGGAGTGTACAACCTCCTATGATACTGTTCATAATATTTAGGGAAGGAGAGGATAATATTACTCCCAATATCACAGGGGGTCAACACCACTCTGTGATATTGTTTGCAATATACAGAGGAAGAGAGGATGATATTACTCACAATATCACAGGGGGTGTACACCTGTGATATAGTTTGTAATATCAAGAAGGGAAGAGAATGTTACTACTCCGAGTATCACAGTTGGTGTACACCCCTCTGTAATATTCTCCATAATATCCCGCAGGGGAGAGGATATTAATCCCAATATCGCAGGGGTTATACACCCCCCTGTGATATTGTTGGTAATATTAAGGGGAGAGAGGATAATATTACTCCCAATGTCATAAACACCATGTGTGTACACCTTCCTGTAATCTTGTTTGTAATATCCTGGGAAGAAACGATGACATTATACCCAATATCGCAGAGGGTGTCCACCCCACTGTGACACTGTTTGTAATATCCAAAGGGGGAGAGGATGATACTACTTCCAATATGGCAGGGCATGTTCACCCTCCTGTGATATTGTTCCTAAAATCTAGCCAGAGGGGGGCGGGTAGAGGATATTTTTCCCAATATCACAGGGGGTTTACACCCCCCTATGATATTGTTTCTAATATTCAAGGGGTAAGAGGATATTACTCCCAATATCGCAGAGGTTGTACATACACCCTGGAATATTGTTCCTAACATACAAGGAGGAAAGGATGATATTATACCCAACATCGCAGGGGGTGTAAGACCCCCTGTGATATTGTTCGTAATATTCAGGTGGGGAGAGGATTATATTACTCTAAATATCGTAGGGTGGGCACACCCCCCTGTGATATTGTTTGTAATATTCAGGGGGGAGAGAGGATAATATTTCTACCAATATCATAGACGGTGTACACCCTCCTGTTATATTGTTCATAATATCTTGAAGAGGAGAGGATAATATTACTCCCAATATCGTAGGGGTGTACAAACCTTTGTGATAGAATTCAAAATATCTAGAAGCAGAGAGGATAATATTACTCCGAGTATCGCAGGGGGTGTACATCCCCCTGTGATATTGTTTGTAATACCCAGGGGGAAAGAAGATGCTATTACTGCCAATATCACAGGGGTTGTACACCCCTCTGTGATAGTGGTCTTTATATCCAGGAAGAGAGAAGATGATATTACTCCCAATATCGTAAACAACTTGTGTGTACACCCCTCTATGATAAACACCCTCATGGAATATTGTTTCTAATATCCAGAGGGCAAGAAGATTATATTACTCTCAATATCACAGAAGGTGTACACCCCTCCTGTGATATGCTTTATAATATTCAGGGAATTGGGGGATAATATTACTCCAAAAATCTCAGGGGGTGTACACTCCCACTGTAATATAGTTAATAATATCCAGGGAGAGACAGGATGATATTACTCCCAATATCGTAGGGTGTGCACACCCCTGCTGTGATATTGTTCCTAATATTTATAGGGGGAGAGGATGATATTACTCCCAATATCGCAGGCGGTGTGCACCCCCCAGTGATATTGTTCCTAATATTCAGGGGAGGGGAAAGGATGGTATTACACCCAATAACACAGGGGGTATACAGCCCCACTGTGATGTTTTTTATAATATCCAGGGGAGTAGAGGATGTTTCTCTTAATATCGCAGAGGGTGTACACCCCTCTGTGATATTGTTTGTAATATTTACTGGGAAAGAGGATGTTATCACTCCTCCCAATATCACAGGGGCTGTACAACCCCCGTGATATTGTTTGTAATAGCCAGGGTGGGAGAAGACGATATTATTCGCAATATCGCATGGGGTGTGCATCCCACTGTGATACTGTTCATAATATCCAGGGAAAAAGAGGATAATATTACTCCAAATATCGAAGGGGCTGTACACCCCCTCCCAGTGTTATTGTTTGTAATGTCCAGAAAGAAAAAGGATGATATTACTCCCAATATCCCACCGTGTACACCCCCGTGTGAGGTTGTTCATAATATTCAAGTAGGAGAAAATGATATTACTCCCAATATCGCAGGGGGTGTACCCCTCCCCGTGATATTGTTCAAAATATCCAAAGAAGGACAGGATGATATTACTCCCAATATCACAGGAAATGTACACCACCCCTGTAATATTGTTCTTAATATCCAAAAAGGAAAGGTTGATATTAATCACAATATCGCAGGGGGTGTACACTACTCCTGTGGTATTGTTCCAAATATCCATGAGGGAGAAAATGACATGACTCCCAATATCGTCGGGGCTGTACACCCCTCCTGTTATATTCTTCCTAATATCAAGGGAAGAATAACAATGTCACAGGGTGTAAAACCCCCTTGTGATATTGTTTTTAATATTTAAAGGGGAAAGAGAATAATATTACTCCCAATATTGCAGGGGGTGGACACCCCCTCTGTGATATTGTTCTTAATATCCAATGAAAATGAGTATGATATTACTCCCAATATCGCAAAGTGTGTACACTCCTTTTGTGATATTGTTCCTAATATCCAGGGGGGAAGACTATGATATTACTACCAATATCGCAGGGGGTGTATACTCCCCCTGTGATATTGTTCCTAATATTCAGAAGGAAAGAGCATGATATTACTCCCAATATGGAAGGGTGTGTACACCCCCTGCGATTTTTTGTTTTTTAGACGGAGTCTCACCCTGTCGCCCAGGCTGGAGTGCAATGGCGCGGATCTCTGCTCACTGCAACCTCCACCTCCCAGGTTTGAGCAACTCTCCTTCCTCAGCCTCCAGACTAACTGGGATTATAGGCACCTGCTGTCATGCCCGGCTAATTTTGGTATTTTTAGTAGAGACAGGGTTTCACGATGTTGGTCAGGCTGGTCTTGAACTCTTAACCTCAAGCAATCCACCCACCTCAGCATCCCAAAGTGCTGGGATTATAGGTGTAACCGCCCCCCTACCCCCAGCACCGTGATATTGTTCCTAATATTCAGGGAGAAAGAGAATGATATTACTCCCATTATCACAGGGGGTGTACACCTCCCCTGTTATATTGTTCCAAATATTCAAGGGGGGAGAGGATATTATTCTTAATATCGCAGAAGGTGTACATCCCCGCTGATATTGTTTCTAATATTTGGGGGTGGGGGGAGAGGAGGGTGATATTACTCCTTATATCGTGGGGTGTGTACACCTCCTGTGATCTGGTTTATAATATCCAGAGTGGGTGAGGAGGGTGATATCACTCCTAATATCGCGGACAATGTGCAACCCCCTGTGATATGACTTGTAATATCCAGGAGGGGAGAGAAGGTTGATGTTACTCATTATATCTTGAGGGATATATGACCCCCTGTGATATAATTCATAATATCTATGGGGATAAAGAATGGTGATGTTACTCCCCATATCACGGGGCATGGACACCCTTCTGTGATATGGTTCATTATACCCAGGTAGGGAAAGGAGGGTGATATTACTCTCCAAACCCCGGGTGTGTACACACATCTGTGATACAGTTGGTAATACCCAGGGTGGGAGAGGAGGGTGATGTTACTTTCAATATCCTGGAGGGTGTACACTTCCCTGTGATATGGTTCATAATATCCAGGAAGGGAGAAGTGGGTGATATTACATCCCATATCACGGGGGGTGTACATCCTTGTGATATGGTTTGTAATATCCAGAAGTGGAGAGGGAGACATTACTTCTCATGTCGTGGGAACCCTACACGACCCTGTGATATGATTCGTAATATGCGGGGGGGGGGGGGGAAGCGGAGAGGGTGATATTACTCTCTGTATTGTGGAGTGCATACACCCCCCTGTGATATGGTTTGTAATATCCAGGGGAGGGGGAGAGGGTAATATTACTCCGTATATCACAGAAAGTGTGAAAGTGTGATACGGTTCATAATCTCCCAAGTTTGAGAGGCTGCTGTTACTCCCCATATAGCAGGGGGCATACACCCCTCTGTGATATGATATCTAATATCCCAGGGAGGAGAGGGTGATATTACTTCCCATATCACAAGGGGCAAACACCCTCCTGTGATATGGTTTGTAATATCCCAGGGGGGAGAAGGTGATATTACTCTCCATATTGCAGGGACGTACACCCGCTTGTGATATGGTTTGTAATATTCCGGGTGGGAGAGGGTAATATTGCTCTCCATAGCATGAGGGGTGGACAACCCCCATATATGATTCTTCATATTCCAGGGGAGAGAGGATGATATTACTCCCCACATCACAGAGGCATATACCCCTCTGTGTATACATACACAGTATACATACAAGCATACATACTTGGGCGTATACCTCCCAAGTAATATCTTGGGAGAAAGAAGTTGATATTACTTTCCATATCGTGGGGGCATACACCCCCTTGTTATATGGTTCATAATATCTCGGGGGGTGGGGGGAATATTACTCTCCTAATCACAGAGGCGTACACACCTCTGTGATATGGTTCATAATATCCTGGTGGGGAGAGGGTTATATTACTCCTTATACCGTGGGAGGTGTACACCCCCCTGTGATATGGTTCATAATATCTCGGGAAAGAAATGGTGATATTACTCTTGGCATCCTGGAATCTTACACCCCACTGTGACATGGTTCATAATTTCCAGGAAAGCAGAGGGTAATATTACTCCCCATATTGCAAGGAGCGTACACCCCTATGTGACCTGGTTCATAATATTTCGGGGGAAAAGTGTGATATTACTTTCCATATTGAGGGGGGTGTACAGCCCCGTGTGACATGGTTAGAAATATTCCAGGGGTGCGTGGGTGATATTACTCACCATATCGTGGAGGACGTACACTTCCATGTGATATGGTTCGTAAATTCTGGGGGGCATAGGGTGATATTACTCCCCATATAGCGGGGATCCTACACACCCCTGTGATATGGTTCATAATATGCAGAGGGAGAGAGGGTGATAATACTTTTCATATCACAGTGGGCGTACAACCCCCTACACCCCCTTTCGATAAGGTTCATAATATTCCAAAGGGGAGAGGATTGTATTACTGCCCATATAGCAGGATGTATACACTCCTCTGTGATATGGTTCGTAATATCCCAGGAAATAGAGGGTGATATTACTCCTCATATCATGGGAGGTGTGCACCCCTCATGATATGGTCCGTAATATCTGGAGGGGCGGAGAGGGTGATATTACTCCCCATACTGTGGGGGATGTACACTCCGCTTTTATATGATTCATAATATCCAGGAAGGGAGAGGGTGATATTGCTTCCCATATTGAGTGGGGAGTGGTGTACACTCCCCTGTGATATGGTTTGTAATATCCAGGAAAAAAGAGGGCGATATTACTCCCCATATCATGGAGGGTGTGATGTGCCTCCTAATATCTTGGGGGCAGAGGGTGATATTACTCCTATTACTCCCCGTATCGCGGGGGTTGTACAACCCTTTGTGATATGTTTCATTATATCCTGGGGGGGACTAGGGTGATATTACTCCCCGTATCGCAAGGGGCATACACCCACCTGTGATATGGTTTGTAATAGAGGGCAAAAGGGTGATATTACTTCCCATGTTGCAGGGGTTTACGCCCCCCCTGTGATGTGGTTAGTAATATCCCGGGTGGGAGAGGGTGATATTGTTTTCCATATCACTAGGGGCATACACCCCCCGTGATATGGTTTGTAATATTCCAGGGGAGAGAGGTTGATATTACTCCCCATATCACTAAAGGCTTTTACCTTCCCCCACCCCTTGATATGGTTCATAATATCTTGGGAAGGAGAAGTCGATATTGCTGCCAATATTGGGGGAGGGGGGGACGTACACCCCTCTGTGATACGGTTCATAATATCCCAGTGGGAAGAAGGGACTATTACTCTCCTTATCGTGGGGGCATACACACCCCTGTGATGTGGTTCGTAATATCTTGAAGGGAGAGGGTGATATTAGTCCCCATATCGCCCATGGTGTACACCACCTAGTGATATGGTTTGTAATATCCCACAGGGGAGAGGGTGATATTACTCTAGCTATCATGGGGCATACACCCCCTGTGACATGGTTCGTAATTTCCAGGAAAGGAGAAGGTGATATTACTCCCCATATCGCGAAAAGCATACACTTTCCTGTGACATAGTTCGCAATATTTTTGGGGGGGAAAGGGTGATATTACTTTCCATATTGTGCCGGGTGTACACCCCCCTGTGACATAGTTTGTAATATCTTGGGGAAGAGAGGGTAATATTACTCCCCATATCGTGGAGGGCATAAAACCCCTGTGATATGGTTTGTAATATTCCAGGGGGGGAGAGGGTGATATTTCTTCCTAAATGGCGTGGGGTTGGGGGGAGGTACACCCCCTGTGATACTCCTTTGTGTATGGTTTGTAATACCTCGGGGAAGCAGAGGGTGAAATTACTGCCCATGTCGCAATGGAAGTACACCCTCTTTTGATATTGTACATAATATGCCGGTCGGGAGATGGTGATATTACTGTCCATATTGCGGGGGGCGTACAGCCCCTTGTGATATCGTTCGTAATACCCCGAGGGGGAGAGTGTGTTATTACTGTTCATATCGCCAGGGAGTACAACCTCCTGTGATATGGTTTGTAATATCCAGAGAGGGAGAGGGTAATATTATTCTCCATATCACAGAGGGCTTGTACCCCCTTGTGATATGGTTCATAATGTCCAGGGGAGGAAGAGGATGATATTACTTTCAATATCACAGGGGGAGTACACCTCCCTGTGATATTGTTCATAATATCCAGAGAAAAAGAACATGATATTACTCCCAACATTGCAAGAAGTTTACACCCCACTCTTATATTGTTTGTAATATCTGGGAGTTGGGGAGAGGATATTACACCTAATATCACAGGGGTTGTACACCCACTTGTAATATTGGTCGTAATATCCAGGAGGGGAGAGGATGATGTTACTCCCAATATTCTAAACACCCTGTTTGTACACCCACCGTGATATTTTTTGTAATATCCAGGGGGAGAGAGGATGATATTACTTCTAATATCCCACCCTGGGGTATTGTTCTTAATATTTGGGGGTGTGAGGATGATATTACTCCCTATATCGCAGGGTGTGTACACCCTCTTTAATATTGTTTGTAATATCAAGTGCAAAGAGGATATTACTCCCAATATCGAAAATGGTGTGCACCAACCTGTTATATTGTTTATAATATCCAGAAAGGGAGAGGAAGACATTACTCCTAATAAAGCAGAAAGTGAAAAACACTTTGTGATATTGTTCATAATATCCAGGGAGGAAGAGGATGATATTACTCTCAATATGGTAAACACGCTGTGTGTACACCCTCTCTGATATTGCTTCAAATATCCAGAGGAGAGGATGATATTACTGCCAATACGGCACAAGGTGTACATTCTTCCTGTTAACATTGTTTCTGATATCCAGGACGGAGCCGATGATATTACTCTTAATATTGCAGGGGGTAACCCCACCTGTGATATTGGTCCTAATATCCAGGGTGGGAGAGGATGATATTACTCTCAATATCACAGGAAATGTACACCTTCCCTGTGATATTGTTCGTAATGTTTAGGGGGTGAGAAGATAATATTACTCCCAATATCACAGGGGGTGTACACCTTCCCGATGACATTGCTCCTAATATGGGGGAGAAGATGATATTACTCCCAATATTACAGAAGGTGTACACCCCCTTGTGATATTGTTCCTAACATCCAGAAGAAAAGAGGATAATATTACTCTCAATATTGAAGGAGGTGTACACCCACCCTGTGATATTGTTCTTAATATCCAGGAAGAAAGAGAATGATATTAGTCTTGATATTGAAGGAGATGTACACACCCCCGTGATATTGTTCCTAATATCTAGAAAAGGGGACAATGATATTACTCCCAATATCGCAGGGGGTGTACACCTTTTCTGTAATATCGTTTCTAATATCCAGGGGGAGGAGAAATAGTATTATTCCCAATATTGCAGGGGGTGTACAACCTTTCTGTGATATTGTTCATAATATCAAGGGGGAGACAGGATGTTATTACTCTCAATACCACCCTTTGTGATATTGTTTTTACTATCCAGGGTAGGAAAGGATAATACTACTCCCAATATCGCAGGGGGTGCACACCTGCCTTGTGATATAAAGGGGGAAAGGATGATATTACTCCCAATATCACAGGCAGTGTACACCCCCCTTTTGATGTGGTTCATAATATCCGAGGGGGGAGAGGATAATATAAGTCTCCATATCTCAGGGGGTGTACATCACCATTTGATATTGTTCATAATATCCAGGGGGAGAGAATGATATTACTCCAATGTCACAGAATGTTTACACCACCCTGTGATATTGTTCATAATATCCAGAGGGAAAGAGGGTGGTATTACTCCCTATATCGCAGGAAGTGTACACCTCTTTGTGATATTTTTCATAATATCCAGGAGGGAGAGGATAGTATTACTCCCAATATCACAGAAGATGTAAACCCCCCGGGATACTGTTTGTAATACCTAGAGAAAGAGAGGATGATATTACTCCAAATATAGGAGGGGGTTACCCTCCCCTGTGGTATTGTTTGTAACATCCAGAAGAAAAGAGGATGATATTACTGCCAATATCTCAGGGGATGTACACCTTTCTATGATATTGTTCATAATATGCAGAAGGGAAGAGGAAGATATTACTCCCAATATTGCAGGGGATGTACACCCCCTTGTTATATTGTTCATAATATTCAGAGGGGAGAGGATTATATTACTCCCAATATCACAGAAGGTCTACCCCACCCTATGATATTGCTCGTAATATCCAGGCAAAGGAGAGGATGATACTACTCTCAATATCGAAGGGGGTGTACACCCATCCTGTGATATTGTTCCTATTATACAGGGAAGAGAAGATAAAATTACTACAAATAACGCAGGGAGTGTCCACTCATCCTGTGATATTGTTCCTAATATCCAGGGGCTATCCGCCTTCCCTGTGATATTGTTTCTAATATCCAGGGTGGGAGATGATAATATTACTCCCAGTGATGTAGGAGATGTACACCCTCCTCCGTGAAACTGTTCTTAATATCCAAAGGGTGAGAGGATATTACTCACAATATTGCAGGCGGTGGAAACTCCTCCTGTGATATTGTTTCTAATATCCAAAGGAAGAGAGGATAATATTACTCCAAATATAGCAGGGGATGAACACGCCCCGGTGATATTGTTTCTAATATCTGGGGTAAAGAGGACGATATTACTCTTAATATCACAGGGGATGTATATCTACCCTGTGATATTGTTTGTAACATCCAGAATGGAATAAAATAATATTACTCCCAATATCGGAGGGGATGTACACCCGCCCTGTAATATTGCTCCTAATATCCAGGGGATAGAGGATAATGTTGCTCCCAATATCGCAGGATGTGTAAACTACCCCTGTGATATTGTTCCTAATATGCGGGGGCGGGAGGAGGGATGATATTACCTCCAATATCACATCTAATGTACATCTCCCCTGTAATATTGTTTTTAATATACAGAGGAGGGGGAGAGGATGACATTACTCCCAGTTTTGCAGGGGGTATACACCCCCCCTGTAATATTGCTTCTAATACCCAGGGGGGTAGAGAACGATATTACTTTCAATATTGCAGGAGATGTAAACACCTTTTGTGATATTGTTCCTAATATCCAGGATATTACTTTCAATATTGCACTGGATGTACAACCCCCCTTGATATTTTTCCTAATATCCATGGGGAGAAAGGATGATATTATTCCAAATATTGCAGGGGCTGTAACTCCCCACCCCCCTGTTATATTGTTTCTAATATCCAGCAGGGTAGCAACTGATATTACTCCCAATATCACAGAAGATGTATGCCCTCCCTGTGATCTTGTTTCTAATATCCAGGGGGAAGAGGATGATATTATTTTCAATATCACAGGAGGTGTAATCCTTTTCTGTGATATTGTTTCTATAATCAAGGAAAGAGAGGATAATATTACTCCCAATATCACAGGGAATGTACAACCCCCTCTGATATTGTTTTTAATATCCAAAGGGAAAGAGCATGATATTACTTCCAATATCGCAAGGGGTGTACATCCCCCCTGTTATATTGTTCCTAATATACATGTGGGGAGAGGATAATATTACTCCCAGTATCACAGGGGATTTACATTTCCCTGTGATATTGTTTCTAACATTCAGGGAGGGAGAGGATGATATTAATCTTAATATCACAAGGGGTGTTCACACCTCTGTGATATTGTTCCTAATACCTGGTGGTGGGAAGGTAAATATTACTTGGAATATTTCAGGGAGTGTACACACCCCTTATGGTATGGTTCCTAATATACTGGGGAGAAGAGGATGATATTACTCCAAATGTCGCAGGGGGGTGTATACCCCCCTTGTGATATTGTTTTTAATATTTAGGGGAGGAAAGAATAATATTACTCCCAATATTGCAGGGTGTGTACAACCCCCTTTGATATTGTTCCTAATATTTAGGGAGGGAGACGATATTACTGTCAATATCGCAACGGGTTTACACCCCGCCGTGATATTGTTCCTAACATCCAGGGAGGGAGAGGATGATATTACTCACAATGTACACCCTCCCATGATATTGTTTTTAATATCCCAGGGGAGGGCGGTGATATTATTCCCAGTAGAGCAGGAGTTGTACACCTTTTGTGTAATATTTTTCTAATATCATAGGGGAAGAGAGGATGATATTATTCCCAACATCACAAGGGGTGTACACCCACCCTGTGATATTGTTTTTAATATTGAGAAGAAAAGAGAATGACATTACTCCCAATATCGCATGGGTTGAAGACCCCCTCTGTGATATTTTTTCTAATATTCAGAGGGTGAGAGGATGATGTTACAGCCAATATCGCAGGGGTTGTACAAACTCCTGTGTTATTGATTCTTATATCCATGGGGAGACAGGATGATATTACACCCAATATCGCGATTTTGGGAGTAATATCATCCTTTCCTCTCCTGGATATTAGTAACAATATTATGGGGGGGTGTACACCTTTTGCAATATTGGGATAAATATCATTCAATCCACCCCTGGATATTACAAACAATGTCACAAGAAGGGGTGTATACCCCCTGCAATATCGGGTGTAATTTAATCCTCTCGCACCCTGGTTGTTAGAAACAATATCACAAGGGGGTTTACACGCTTGTAATATTGGAAGCAACATCATACTTTCTTCGACGGGATATTAGAAACAATCTCACTGGGGCACTGCATACCGCCTGCGATATTGGGAGTAATATAATCTCCCCACCTTGATATTAGAAACAATATCACAGGGAGCATGTAAACCCTCTGTGATATTGACAGTAATGTCATCCTTTCCCTCAATCTATATTAGGAACAATATCACAGAAGGGATGTACACCTTCTGTGATATTGAGGGTATTATCATCCTCTTCTCTCCTGGATTTTGGGAACACTATCACGTGGTGGGTCTACACCCCTGAAATATTAGGAGCAATATCATCCTCTCTTCCACTAGATATTAGGAACAATATCACGTGGGCGGGGTCATGTACAATGCCTGCGATATTGGGAATAATATCATTCTCTCTTTCCCTGGATATTAGGAACAACAACGGGGGGGGGCGGGGTGAATACACATCTCCTGTGATATTTGAAATAACATCATTCTCTCATCCTTTGGATATTAGGAACAATATCACAAGAAGATTGTACACCCTTTGCGATATTGAAAGTAATATAACCCTCTCCTCCTGCATATTATAAACAATATTACGGGGGGTGTACACCCCTTGCCATATTGATGGTAATATTATCTTCTCCCCCTCTGGATATTTAAGACAATATCAAAGCGAAAGTGTACACCTTTGCGTTATTTGGAGTAATATCTTTTTCCCTCCCTGGAAATTAGGAACAATATCCCAGATGGGGTGTACACTCCCTGCGATATTGAGAGTAATATTACTCTCTCCTCTCCTGGATACTAGGAACAATTTCAAAGAGGGGGTGTACAACACCTGGGATATTGGGACTAATATCATCTTCCCCTCCCCCTAATTAATAGGAACAGTATCACAGGGACGGTGTACACCCCTGCAATGTTGGGAGTTGTATCATCCTCTTCTCCCGCTGTGTATTAGAAACAATATCACAGAGGAAGTGTACACCCCCTGCAATCCTGGAAGTAATATCATCCTCTCCCCACTTTAATCTTAGGAAAAAATATCACTAGGAAAGTGTACAAAACTACAATTTTGAAAGTAATATAATCCTCTTCCTCCCTTCATATTAGAAACAATATCACAGGGCAGGGTGTAAACTCTCTGAGATACTGGAAGTAATATTATTTTCTCCCCCAGTGTATATTAGGAAGAATATCACAGGGGGTGTGTACACCCCTTGCGATATTGCAAGTAATATCATCCTCTCCCAACCTGGATATTAAAAACAACATCACAGGGCTGTGTACATGCCCTGCGATATTGGGAGTAATATCATCCTCTCCTCTCCTGGATATTAGAAACAATTTCAAAGGAGGAGTGTACACTCCCTGCGCTATTGAGATTAATATCATTTTCTCTCTCCCTGATATTAGAAACAATATCACAGGGAAGGTGTACAGCCGTTACGATATTGGGAGTAATATTTTCCTCCCCCCTCTGGATATTAGAAACAATATCACAGGGATGTGTGCACCCCCTGTGATATTGAAAGTAATATCATCCTCTCCTTCACTGGAAATTAATAATAATGTCACACGGGGTTTGTAAACCACCAGTGATATTGGTGGTAATATTATATTCTCCCCCCTGGATATAGGGAACAATATTACATAGGAGTGTACACCCCCTGCGATATGGGGAGTAATATTATCTTCTCCACCCATGAATATTAAAAATAATGTCACAGGGAAGTTGTATACCTGCTATGATATTGCAAATAATATCATCCTTGTTCCCCCTGTATATTAGGAGCAATATCAGCAGGAGGGTGTACATCCCCTAATATAGTGGGAGTAATATCCTCTGTGCTCCTCATTATTAGAAACAATATCACCGGGGGTGGTGTACTCCCTCTTTGATATTGGGTGTAATATCATTTTTTCCCAACTTAAATAATAAGAACAGCTCTCCCTCTCCCTCTCCCTCTCCCTCTCCCTCTCCCCACGGTCTCCCTCTCCATCTCTTTCCACGGTCTCCCTCTGATGCCAAGCCGAAGCTGGACTGTACTGCTGCCATCGTGGCTCACTGCAACCTCCCTGCCTGATTCTCCTGCCTCAGCCTGCAGAGTGCCTGCTATTGCAGGCGCGCGCTGCCATGCCTGACTGGTTTTCGTATTTTTTTGGTGGAGATGGGGTTTCGCTGTGTTGGCCGGGCTGGTCTCCAGCTCCTAACCGTGAGTGATCCGCCAGCCTCGGCCTCCCAAGGTGCCGGGATTGCAGACGGAGTCTCATTCACTCAGTGTCCAATGTTGCCCAGGCTGTAGTGCAGTGGCATGATCTCGGCTAGCTACAACCTCCACCTCCCAGCCGCCTGCCTTGGCCTCCCAAAGTGCCGAGATTGCAGCCTCTGCCCAGCCGCCACCCCGTCTGGGAAGTGAGGAGCATCTCTGCCTGGCTGCCCATCGTCTGGGATGTGAGGAGCCCCTCTGCCCGGCTGCCCAGTCTGAGAAGTGAGGAGTGCCTCTTCCCGGCCGCCATCCCGTCTAGGAAGTGAGGAGCATCTCTGCCCAGCCGCCCATCGTCTGAGATGTGGGGAGCGCCTCTGCCCAGCCGTGATCCCATCTGGGAGGTGAGGAGTGTCTCTGCTTGGCCGCCCAGTCTGAGAAGTAAGGAGCCCCTCCACCCAGCAGCCGCCCCGTCTGAGAAGTGAGGAGCCCCTCCGCCTGGCAGCCACCCCATCTGGGAAGTGAGGAGCGTCTCCGCCCGGCAGCCACCCCGTCCGGGAGGGAGGTGGGGGTCAGCCCCCGCCCGGCCAGCCACCCCATCTGGGAGGGAGGTAGGGGGCACCTCCGCCCGGCCGCCACCTCATCTGGGAGGTGGGGGGCGCCTCTGCCCGGCTGCCCCTTCTGGGAAGTGAGGAGCCCCTCTGCCTGGCCACCACCCCATCTGGGAGGTGCACCCAACAGCTCATTGAGAACAGGCCATGATGACGATGGTGGTTTTGTGGAATAGAAAAGGGGGAAAGGTGGGGAAAAGATAGAGAAATCAGATTGTTGCTGTGTCTGTGTAGAAAGAAGTAGACATGGGAGACTTCATTTTGTTCTGTACTGGGAGGGGTTCTTCTGCCTTGGGATGCTGTTGATCTGTGACCTTGCCCCCAGCCCTGTGCTCTCTGGGGCATGTGCTGTGTCCACTCAGGGTTAAATGGATTAAGGGCGGTGCAAGATATGCTTTGTTAAACAGATGCTTGAAGGCGGCATGCTCGTTAAGAGTCATCACCACTCCCTAACCTCAAGTACCCAGGGACACAAACACTGCGGAAGGCCGCAGGGTCCTCTGCCTAGGAAAACCAGAGACCTTTGTTCACTTGTTTATCTGCTGACTTTCCCTCCACTATTGTCCTGTGACCCTGCCAAATCCCCCTCTGCGAGAAACACCCAAGAATGATCAAAAAAAAAAAAAAAAAAAGAACAATATCACAGGGAACTTTTCCCTCTTACGATATTGAGAGTGATGTCCTCTCCTCCCCTAAATATTAGGAAAAATATCAAAGTGGGGGTGCACAACCTCTGGGATATTAAAACTAATATCATTCTCTCTCCACCTAAATATTAAAAGCAATGTCGAAGGGAGGGCATACACTCTTTCGATATTGGGAGTAATATTATTCTCTCCCCCTATATTAGGAA
This sequence comes from Homo sapiens, assembly GCF_000001405.40. Classification (NCBI taxonomy): domain Eukaryota; kingdom Metazoa; phylum Chordata; class Mammalia; order Primates; family Hominidae; genus Homo; species Homo sapiens. The sequence goes on from NC_000006.12 coordinate 58,258,813, forward strand.
CAATGTCACAAAGCAAGTGTACACTCCCTGAATTATTAAGAATAATATCATTTTCTCTCCCCGTGGATATTAGAAAAAATAACACTGGAAATGTGTACAACCCCTGCAATATTGAAAGTAATATAATCCCTTTTCTCCCTTCATATTAACAAAAAGTCACAGGAGGAGGTGTAAACTCCCTGCGATATTGAGAGTAATATCATCCTCTCCCCCCTTTATGTTAGAAACAGTATCACTGGAGGTGTGTACATCCTGTGCGATATTGCAAATAATATCCTTTTTCATCTTGGATATTAAAAACTATATGATAGGGGGGTGTACATGCCCTGTGACATTGGGAGTAATATCATCCTCTTTTCTCTTGGATATTAGAAACAATATCACAGGGGCAGAGTACACCCTGTGCGACATTGAGAGTAATATTATTTTCTCTTCACCTAGTTATTAGAAACTGTATTACCGGGTGGGGGGGGTTGTAGAGCTCCTGCGATATTGGAACTAATATCTTATTTTCCCCTGAATATTAGGAACAACAACACAGAGTTGTGTACACCCCCTGCCATATTGAAATAATATCATCCTCTTCTTCACTGAAATTAAGAACAATATCATAGGGGAATGTAAATCCCCTGTGATACTGGGAGTAATATCATCCTCTCCCTTCCTGGATATTAGGAGCAATATTACAGTGAGGGTGTACACCTTTTGTGATATTGGGAGTAATATCATCCTCTCCCCACCCAGATATTAAAAGCAATATCACAGGAACGTTGTACACCTGCTGCATTATTGGGAGTATTATCACCCTCTCCCCTCTCTGGATATTAGGAACAATATCACGGGGGTGTGTGTACACCCCCTACGATATTGGGAGTAATACCATCCTCTCCCCTCCTAAATATTAGTAACAATTTCATAGGTGGGGTGTACACCCTTTGTGATATTTTTAATAATATCATTTTCTCCCCCTCTGAATTTTAGAAACAATATCACAGAGTGAGTGTACACCCCCTGTGATATTGAGAGTAATATCATCCTCTCACCCCCTGGATATTAGAAATAGTATCTCAATGGGGGTGGTACACTCTCTGCAATATTGAGAGTAATATCATCCTCTCTCCCCTGGATATAAGGAACAATATCACAAAGGAGTTTACATCACTTGCAGTATTGGGAGTAATATCATCTTCTCTTCCACTGGATATTAGAAACAATCTCACAGGGAGTGTGTACACCCCCTGCAATATTGGGAGTAATATCATCCTCTTCCCTCCTGGATTTTAGAAACAACATCCCAGGGCTGTTGTACACCACTTGCAATATTGACAGTAATATCATTATCTCTTTTCCTAGATATTAAGAACAATATCACGGCGGGGGTTGTGTACATACCCTGTGATACTGGGAGTAATATCCTCTCTTTCCCTGGATATTAGGAACAAAATCACAGGGGGGTTGAAGACTTCCTGTGATATTTGGAGTAATATCCTTCTTTCCCTTCCTGGATATTAGAAATAATACCACAAAGGAGGTGTTCACTACCTGCGGTTTTGGGAGTAATATCAGTCTCTTAGCCTTTGGATATTAAAAACAATATCACAGAGGGGGTGTACATCCTCTTGGATATTGAAAATAATGTCACCCTCTTTCTCCCTGGATATTAGAAACAGTATCACAGGAGGGGGTGTACACCCCCTGGGATATTGGAAGTAATATCAACCTCTCTTTCCCTGGATATTAGGAACAATATCACAGAATTGGTGTGCACCCCCTGAGATATTGAAAGTAATATTATCCTGTCCCTTCCTTCATATTAGGAACAATATCACAGGGGTGGGAGGTAAAGTCCCTGTGACATTCGGAGTAATATTAACCTCTCCCCCACTGTATAATAGGAACAATATCACAGAAGATGGTGTATACACCATGCGATGTTTTAAGTAATATCATCCTCTTTCAACCTGGGTGTTATAAACAATATCACAGGGTAGTGAACACGCCCTGCAAAATTGGGAGTAACTTCACCCTCCTACCTCCTGATTATTAGAAACAATATCCCAAAAGGAGTGTACACCTCCTGTGATATTGATAGTAATATTATTTACTACCATTCTGGATATTAGAAACAATATCACACGGGGTTCGTACAGCCTCTGTGATATTGGGAGTAATATTATTTTCTAACCCCCCCCAATATTAGGAAATATGTCACAGGTACACCCCCTGCGATATTGAAAGTAATATAATTCTCTTCTTCACTAAATATTAAGAACAATATCACTGGGGGTGTGTAACCCCCCTGAGATATTGAAAGTAATATCCTCTCCCCCTGGGATATTAAAAACAATATTACACGAAAATTGTACACCTTCTGCGCAATTGGGAGTAATATCATTTTTTCCCTTGCTGGATATTAAGAACACTTCCTTCGATATTGGGAGTAATGTCATCTTTTTCTCTCCTGCATATTAGGAACAATATTAGAGGGGGTTTGTACACCCCGTGCAATAGTGGGAGTAATATCCTCTTCCTCCCTGCATATTAGGAAAAATATCACAGAATGGGTATACACCCTCTGTGATATTGAGAGTAATATCTTCCTATTCACTCCTGGGTATTAGAAATAATATCACAAAGTTGGGGGTGTACACCCCCTGCGATACTGGAAGTAGTATTATTTTCTCGCCCCCTGGATATTAGAAATAATATCACAGGGGGGTTTACACCCATGAAATATTGGAAGTACTATCATCCTTTCTTCTGCTGGATGTTAGGAACAATCTCACAGGAGGGGTGTACACCCCCTGCGATTTGGGGAGTAGTATAATCTCCCCCCTTGATATTAGAAACAATATCTCAGGGGGCGTATAACCCCCCTGTGATATTGACAGCAATAATAATCTTCTCCCTCTTTGGATATAAAAAAGTCACAAGTGGGGTGTACACCCCCTGCGATATCGGGAGTAATATCATCCTCTTTTCTCCTGAATATTAGGAATAACATCAAAGGGTGGTTGTACACCACCTACGATATTAATAGCATCTTCTCTTTCTGTAGACATTAGGAACAATATCACAGTGGGGGCGTACACTCCCCCCGTGATATTGAGAGTAATATCATCATCTCTTTCCCTGGGTATTGGGAACAATATCACAGAGGGGTTTTACACCCACTATGATATTTGTAGTAATATTATTCTGTCCCCTCCTGGATATTAGGAACAATACCACAAGAAGGTTCTACACCATTTGTGATATTGGGAGTAATAGCATCCTCTCTTCCCCTGGAAGTTAGGAACAATGTTACAGGGAGCCTGTACACCCCCTGCCATATTGGGAGTAATGTCATCTTCTCTGCCCTGGATATTTAACGCCATATCACAGGGATGGTGTACACTACCTGCAACATTGGGAGTAATATAATCCTTTCCTCTCTTGACATTAGAAACAATATCAAAAGGGGGTGTACACCCCTTGTGATATTGGGAGTAATATAATCCTCTCTCCACTTGGATATTAGGAACAATATCACAGGGGTGTGTACACTTTCTGTGATAATGGGAGTAATGTCGTCCTCTTCCCCCCTGGATATCAGGCACAATATTACAGGGTGTGTGTACACTCCCTGCGATATTAAAAGCAATATCATCCTCTTCCCCCCTGGTTATTATAAACAGTATCACAGGGGATGTTGTACACCCCCTGCAATATTGAAAGTTATATTATCCTCTACGCCTCTGAATATTAAAAATATTATCACAGAAAAAGTGTACACCTCTGCAATATTAGGAGTAATACCATCCTCTTGTCTAATGGATATTAGGAACAATATCGCAGTGGAAGTGTACACCCCTGCGACATTGGAAGTAATATCATCCTCTTTCCCTCTGAATATTAGAAACAATATCAAAAAGAGGTGTACACCCCCTGCAATATTGGGAGTGATATCATTTGTTCCCCTTATATATATTAGAAACAATATCACAGGGACAGTGATATTAAGAGTGATATCATCCTCTTTCTCTCTGGATATTAGGAACAATACCACAGGGGAGGTGAACACCTCCTTCTATATTGGGTGTAATATCATCCTCTCTCTTCCTGGATATTAGAAGTTATACCACAGGGGCGTGTACAATCCTTGTGATATTGAAAGTAATATCATCCTCTTTCCATTTGGATATTAGGAACAATATCACAGAAGGGGATGTACACCCCCTTCGATATTGGGAGTAAAACCATTTTTTCCCCGCCTGGATATTAGAAACAGTATCACGGGGAGGGGGCGGTGTACACCCTCTGCGATAGTGGAAGTAATGTCATCCTCTTCACCCTCGGATATTAGGAACAATATCACTGAGAAGGGTGTACGCACCCTACGATATTGGGTGTAATATCATTTTATCCCACCCTAAACATTAGGAACAATATCACAGGGAGGGTGAACACTCCTTGTTAAATTGAGAGTAGTATAAACCTGTCCTCCCCTGGATATTAGAAACAATTTCAAAGCGTGTGTGTACAACCCTTGTGATATTGGGAGAAATATCATCAACTCTCCTTCTAAATATTGGGAATAATATCACAGGGAGGGTGTACACTCCCTCCGATATTGAGAGTAACATCATCCTCGTCTCCACTGGATGTTAGGAACAATTTCAAAGCAGGGGGGTGTAGGTACGGATATTGGGAGTAATATCATCCACTCTCCTTCTAAATATTAGGAACAATATCACAGGGAGGGTGTACACCCCCTGTGATAATGGGAGCCATATCATTTTCTCCCCTCATATGTATATAAAAACAATATCACAGAGGGAGAATACACCCCCTGAGATATTGGAAGTAATATCATCCTATCCTTTTCTGAATATTGGGAAAAATATCACGGGGGGTGTACACCTTCTGCGATATTCAAAGTAATATCATCCTTTTCTTCCCTTCATATTAGTAACATATCACGCTGGGGAGGGCATAAACTCCCTGCTATATTAGAAATAATATCATCCTCTCCCCCCATATATGGAGAACAATATCACAGGGGTTTGTACAACCCGTGTGATATTACAGGTAATATCATCCTCTCTCAACCTGGATATTAAAAACAATATCACAGGGTAGTGTACACCCCATGTGATATTGTGATACCTTCTCTTCCCCTAAATATTAGGAAAAATATTACAGGGGGAGTGTACCCTCCCTGTGATATTGAGAGTGATATCATTTTCTCCTCCCTTGTATATTAGAAACAGTGTCACAGGGAGAGGGGTACAGCGTCTCCGTGTTTGGGAATAACATTATCCTCTCCCCTCTTGAATTTTAAGAAGAATATCACAGAGGAATGTACACCCCCTGCGATATTGAAAGTAATATTATACTCTCTTTCACTGGTAATTAGGAACAATACCACAGGGAGTGTGTAAACCTTCTGAGATATTGGGAGCAATATCATCCTCTCCCCGTCTGGATATTAGGAACAATATTACAGGGGGGATGTACACCCCTTGCAATATTGGGAGTCATATCATCCTTTTTGCCCCTGGATATTAAGAACAATATCACAAGGAAGTTGTCCACCTGCTGCAATATTGGGATTAATATCATCCTCTCCCCCTCTGAATATTTGGAATAATATTACAGTGGGGGTGTACACAACCTGCGATATTGAGAGTAATATCACTCTCTTCCCTCCTGCATATTAGAAACAATACCACAGGGGGGTGGTCTACACTTTCTGCAATATTGAAAGCAATATCATACTCTTCCCCCCTGAATATTAGGACTAATATCACGGGGTGGGTGTACACCTTCTGCGATATTGAGAGTAACATTATTTTCTCCCCCTCTGGATGTTAGAAACAATATCACAAAGGGGTGTATACACCCCTTGCGATATTGGGAGTAATACCATCCTCTTTCTGCCTTAATATTAAGAACAATATCGCAGGAGGATTTACACCTTCTGCGACATTGGGAGTAATATCATTTTCTTTCCACTAAAATAAAAACAATATCAGAGGGTGAGAGTATACTCCCTGCAATATTGAGATTAATATCATCTTCTCTTCCCCAGGATATTAGGAACAGTATCAAAGGGGAAGTGTACAATCCCTGGGGTATTGGAAGTAATGTCATCCTCTCCTCTCCCTTAATATATATTATGAACAATATCCAAAAAAGGATGTACACACCCTGCGATAATGGGAGTAATATCCTCCTCACCCCCTGGATATTAAGAAAAATATCACTAGGAAGGTGTAAACCTTCTGCGATATTGAAAGTCATATAATCCTTTTCCATCCTTTATATTAGGAACAATATCACGGGGGGGGGGGGTGTAAACTCCCTGTGATACTTTAAGTAATATCATCCTCTCTCATCCTGTATATTAGAAACAATATCACGGAGGTTGTGTACACCCTGTGCAATATTGCAAGTAATAACATTATCTTCCAACCTGGATATTAGAAACAATATAACAGGAGGATGTACAAGCCCTGTGATATTAAGAGTAATATCATCCTCTCCTCTCCCAAATATTAGAAACACCCCCTGCAATATTGGTAGTAACATAATTTTTCTCTCTCTAGTCCCCTGCTTCTAATAAAAACAAATCATAATAAGACAAATTTATTTGTTAAATGTTTTTGTCTTAAACTTGGTCTGATTTTTGCTCAAAGTACAGCAAAAATAGTAAGTGGCCATGTAGCCTCTTTTTAACTTGGCTTAATGGGAACTTTTTCATAAGAGGTTTCAGATTAGATTTTTAAAAACCTCTGAAGGTTTAGGAGCTAACCTAAAGACAATGTCTGTAATATCTCTACAAATTGGGTGAGTTATTCCCTTCTCAAGGACTCCAAAATATTTTGAGGTTCTTAAGCCTATTAGAAAGTGACATTTTTTTACTTACCACAAGATCAGGAACTCTGTAAGGAAACTGTAAACAAGGTACCAGACCAGTTCTTTTCCAAATCTATTGGCTTTAAAGTCAACCTCAATTTCTTAAAGCAGTGTGGTCATATCTGAATATGACATGCCAGTCAAAGCTGTAGTAAAATAACTATCATTTCTAATTGTGTCCTGATACAAAAAAAAATCTGATTTTTATTGAACTTCTACAAATGACTATATTGCCATAAAATAAGAACACTCAAAAATAATTTTCAAATTCTGGAGAACTCAGATAGAAAGAAAGGTAAATGTTTCCATTTTTTCTTATAAAAGTATACTTTATTCAATTTCTATAAGCTATAAATAACCTAAAATAATAAAGGTTTCTTAACTCTGGAAAACAAAACATAAAAAGAAGCAATAATATTTCAAACAAAAAGTCATAAAAATTATTTTAGTCCTCTATCAATTTTCTACCATGTAATTAATTACCGTTCTGCTTATGAAACTCATAAAAACTATTTTATATATCCAATTTTTTTCCATTGGAGTTTTTGAAATTTTTACCTAGTCAAGTTGAATAATTTCAAAGTTATAAGCAGAGGTCTGTATTTGAGAGTATCTATCAGGGTTGTTTATCCTTTCCATGAATCTCCTTGAAGACACAACACTGTAGAATTTGCAAAGTGCTTTTAGAAAAATAGCTTTCAAATAAAGCTATTTAATATGGTCAACAAAACTTAAAATGGTCATGGTTAAAGATACAATTGACAACACACAAAAGAAACTACCATCAGAGTGAACAGGCAACCTACAAAATTGGAGAAAATTTTTGCAACCTACTCATCTGACAAAGGGCTAATATCCAGAATCTACAATGAACTCAAACAAATTTATGAGAAAAAAACAAACAACCCCATCAAAAAGTGGGCAAAGGACATGAACAGACACTTCTCAAAAGAAGACATTTATGCAGCCAAAAAACACATGAAAAAATGCTCACCATCACTGGCTATCAGAGAAATGCAAATCAAAACCACAATGAGATACCATCTCACACCAGTTAGAATTGTGATCATTAAAAAGTCAGAAAACAACAGGTGCTGGAGAGGATGTGGAGAAATAGGAACACTTTTACACTGTTGGTGGGACTGTAAACTAGTTCAACCATTGTGGAAGTCAGTGTGGCGATTCCTCAGGGATCTAGAACTAGAAATAACAGTTGACCCAGCCATCCCATTCCTGGGTATATACCCAAAGGACTATAAATCATGCTGCTATAAAGACACATGCACACGTATGTTTATTGCAGCACTATTCACAATAGCAAAGACTTGGAACCAACCCAAATGTCCAACAGTGATAGACTGGACAAACCACATTTCTATCTGACCATATTCTCTATGGTCTCAGCTTCTTATCTGATGTTCTGCAAGCAAAGGCCAAAAATCTGATGTGTCTCATTACCAGAAGCAGTTGGCAAGACAGAAAATCAAGAGTTGGCCATGGAAGGGAAAGGAATCAACAATGAGTGGGTATCCTAAAAAGTCAATAGTTGCACAAATATCAAACCAATTTTTATAAATGTTTCTTCTCCAGAGTTAAAGGACTTTTATTTCCAAGGGACTAGTTCCCTTTACAGGAACTGAACACCAGTGCATGGTGGTGAATGCATGGAATTTTAATTCCTTGACTAGAAGACAATATGGCCTTCATTGCAAATCCCACAGGGGATCCAAAGCAGGCAGTTCGAGTGTATGAATAATTTTGCTTTCTTTTAAAGCTGATTGCTGTTTTCTTTTAAAAACAATCTGTCAAGGGAGTTTCTAAGGCCATACTTATTTTTTAAGTCTTTTCCTAGGTACCATTAACATGGCTGGCTGTTTAAGACAAGAGTGCTCTAAAAAGCTTTCCTTTAAATACAGCCAATTCATTCATTTACTAAGTGAACTAGTTCAAGTATATTTTTGTCCTGTTAATCCAATTTGGGGAAAGAAAAAAGACAAGGCTCTTACCACCCTCATTTGACCTGGGGTCCTAAGCAGAGATCTGGGAGAACTGACTTGGTAAAAAAAATTCTTATTTTCTTTGTTGGCTTTGTGTCAGTTGTCCCAAGATCCCATCTGTAGGCTCCAGAATAAAGTTTCCTACAGTGGGTAATATTAACTAGTAAATTTGTTAACCTATTCACTGCATCAAAACTGTAGGGAAGTTTAAATTTTCCCCCTGAAGAGTGAAGAATTTGAGTCTGTAAAACAAACTGATAATAGACAGATTAAAGGGGAAAAAAGGCATATGAATTTTATTACATGTACTTGTTTGCACGGGAATTATATGAAGTATAAAAACTTAAGGAAAGGTAACATAGTTGATGCTTTTATATCATCTTGAAATTATAGAAAGAACAGGGACTTGGAATGTGACAGATTATGGGGGCAAAATGGGTTATGAAAGGGAGAGAAAAGAAAGACTTGGCTAGCAAAGGTGGTCTTACCATGCAATGAAAACCTTGAAGGTAGAATCCATCAGAGAGAATAGATGCTAAATGTTTTGTCAGACCTTTAAAAGCATGAGACTCTCAGTAAATCTTTCCTAGATTCAGACAAGGGGTGGTGTGGTTCAGAGAGAGCCTGTTTGCATCTGTTGCACCCTTCACTTTATTTCTTCTACAGATGCAAATCTCCACAAAAGTCAGCTTTTCAATTATTCTTGTATTTCTATCTTCACTGAAATGCCATCTTGAAATACATCATAGAAGTATATTATAGGGTTTAATATTTTGGTTTCCTACAGTGGGTAATATTAACTAGTAAATATGAGAGATATTCATTAAAAATATTAATTCTATTCAATTAGAAACAGGTGTCCTTCCTAAATCCAAACGTTCAGAGAAAGTAGTAGGAAGAATATCAGATCATAGTCAGAAGACCTGGGTTTGAGTCTTAATTCTGCTTTATTAGTTACATGAGTTGGGCAAAACCTTTTGGAATAGACCAGTGTCACCAAGACAACAGGACGGTTATAGAAAGGCAGAAAAACAATGTAAACAAACATTTTATAAGCATAAATAATAATAGTTATTCTTCTATATACATTCAGTGTCTCTAAGCAGATCCAAAGATTTGCCAAGTTTTAATGAGATGGAATGTGGGTTGTTTTATCTTAATTTATTTGTAATATGCCTAAAAGTAGATATATTGAAGCTTAAGGATTTATCCATCATATTCTTTTGTATTCTGAGGATCACCCTTTATGAGAATGAATGGAATACATGAATATGTCTACTTTCATTACCTTAGTCTATTTAGACCATTTTAAAATAATTATGAAAGTGACTTTGCAAGAAGAGCATAATGAATTTCACATCCGGGAGATAATCCACTGTGATGAAAAATTATCAAAATCAGAAAACAATGTTTATTTTCTCCCTGTGACAATGTGAGAATTGTTAAGTGGGAATATTTCTTCTTTCACTTCTTTGTATTTGTTTCTATTCTTTGGTAAACATAATAATGTTGAGGAAATATTTTGATAATTTATTGGGTACATTATTTATTTCTTATTTTGGAAGCCTTGGAGCTGAATTCAGGCTTCTCTAAATGGCCTATATATTTAACTTTATAATTGCAAAATGTTCCCCCTTTTAAACAGTATATTGTAAATCTGAAAATACAGTTTATACTTCTTTCAATATACTTTCAACAAAAACATTAGATTTCCTGCCTTGCTAGTGAGTATATTTAAATATTCCATAAGTTTTCACAAGCACTCTTGAAAAATGGTCTACTTTTTTATAATAATATTGATAATTTTGTTAATATTGCTAGCATACAAATTGAGTTATATTTTTAGTAAAGTAAAATAGGTACAGTTGGAATTATCCTTATTTCTAAATGCTACTTATTTTTTAACAGTATTCATGCATATGTTTTCAAAAGCTAAATGACACAAAAAAGCTTAAAACCAAAACCATTTCCTCATTTTGTCGGTGGGGGTGGTGATCAGGAGTGGTGGGTTTTCCTAGTGGGGGCCACTTTGAATATTCACATTTCTAAGCCATATACTAATGCTCTAATTTCTAATATCTCCATTCTATACATTGTTTGCTGTCTTCCAGAGTGCAACTTGAAGATTTTGTTTCTTTGTATTATTATAATGCCTTTGCATCTTTCCCTAGTATCTTGATTTTTGATTAATTGAATTTTTGCACTGTTGATTGGGACTATGTAAATATTGTTAACTGCTGAGCCAAACAGTATATTATTTTTATTAAATATTATTCTTTACATACTTTTTTCTGGGCATTTACCTCTTTTTTGCATTCCTATTTTTTGTGTACTCAATTTTAATTTTATTTGTACATTTTCCATTAGCGTCTTTAATACAGTTTTCTATGGGGTTTAACCAATTATCAGTCAGAGTTGTTCATTAGGCCATGCTCCCGGATTCCTTCTGTACTGGTCTAGACCAGTTGCTCTCTATACCTGTTTTACACCTTTGCTTGGCTTTTCATGTTCTTGGGAATTCCCTTTGCTTTGCTTTTATATTGAGTCCCTGGTTTCCTGGATTCCATTATAACTCTTTCTTGGTTTTATCTCTAGATCTCCAGTAGCTTCCACTGAAAAGGTGAGGAGAGGTAACTGTTTAGAGGTACTTCATTCCCAAAAGTATTTTTATTTTATCTTTGCATTTGATTAACGGTTTGTCTGTAAAAATTTGGGCTAAATACCATTTCCTGTCAGAGTTTTCTTTATCCCTAGTGCTGTGACATTTCAGAATAGGCTGTGATATCGTTTTTTTTCTACTGATGCTAAAAATGTCCTTTCAATTTGTAGACATGGATCCTTTAGCACAGGGTAATTTCTTGTATAATTTTTTGATCAGTTTTCTACATTTCTGATAATGTATTTTCTTTCAGGAACTCCTGTTAGGCAACTGTTAAATCTCTTGAAAAATTCTCTTAATTCTTGCAGGCTTTTGTTTCTGATTTGTTTTCCATTTCTTTGTTTTTATTCTGCTTTTTTGTGAGATTTTCTCAAAATGGTCTAAGCCTTTGTCTTCTAATCCTTCTATTGAGTTTTAAAGGTATTTCATCTATTTAAAAAAATATTTCATTTTGAATAACGTCCCGTTTTTGCTGCATAGATGTAATATTTAATGTTTTGGGAAGTTCATTTCAATTTTTGACAAATTTCTCCTGTTCACTCTATTGTTTCAATTGTCTCACATTTCCGCATTTTTTGTTAATTTTTGTGTCTGTCTCATTCAGGCTTTTTCCTCAAATGTTTGTTATATTTGGGTGTCTGTGAGTGAGCACCGAGAAGCCAGATGGAGATTGTGTGCATGGGAAAAGCTGTGTACTAGGACCTTCATGAAAGTGATGTTAGCGAAATTTGACAAATTTTATCCTATTGGAAATTATCGAATGTCAGTATCTATGTTTCTTTCTCTGGGATTTTTTTGGTTTCTTCAGAAAGTGCTTCTCCATTCTTCTGTTTTAGGGTCAGTCTGGCTAGGGAAGGTGGTAGGGTCTCAGCATTAAGTGTGTAGTTATCTATTGATAACTTGCGTTTTTAGGCCTGAGCCTTGCACCTGTCTCAGCTATGCTTAGTATCTGAGGCTGTCACCTATTTTCAATTCATCCAAGAAGAACCTGCCAGGTCTCCTTTGTACAGGGAAGAAGTGACTACCTGCTTAGGTGGATCAGGCAGAGAACTGGGAAACCTTTGAGATTATTTCTGCTCCTTTTACCTCTGTATCTTACTCTCCCCTGTGGTATCTAACATTCCCATCAACTTTGCCTTTTGTAGGTTCCGAATGGTCACTGGTGTGCCTCTTTCTTCAGGCACTTGATTTTCACCTCCCTGTGCTCTTCCACTGAAGTTCTCTCTTAGTTCTTCATCTTCCAAAATTTCCTGACATTTCATGTTGACTCCTCTCCTATTCACTCACCCTTGAGGGTTTACATATGTTTTAGTCATTTACTTTCATCTTTGTGCTGTGAGGGTGAGAAAGATGGATGTTTACTAATTCCACAGAAAGTCTACTTCTATATTTATAAAACTCCAATTTTAAATCTTTCAGCACAAAAAGGGAGATAATCTCCTCAAACACAAGAATATCTTTTAAAAACTACATTTTAAGCTTCTCTCCTAGCTCAAAAATATTTTAAACATGCACATGAGAACATCTTTATTTTAAAATGTGGCCTGCTAGCTTATCCTGAGGTGTTGAAATAAGGCTATGGGTCAAAACATACTAATGGAAGTTGGTAACCAATGATTGTAGCCATAGTTTACATTTTAAAAAGTATGGATCACTAAAGCATTGATTTTAAAAAGTCAAATTGTTTTCAGCACCGGTTGTAGCTTCTTCTTTAACAGATAAAATATTGCATGAACTTTAGTCTTCTGACGTCAAAATCAGTGTTAAATTGCTCCAACTTAGTTCAATAACAGCATTTAGTCTTGGGTGATTTTATCTAGCTCTCACCGTGAATTGGCCTCCTGAGCCTCTGACTTTGTTTCTTTCGGTCTTATCATTCAGTTTAGATAGTACAAAGACTTCATTCCAGTGTTGAAGTGTGAAGGTGTGAGACAAAGATCAAATTACCTGTACAAGAAAGAGAAATGGATGACTTATCATGTTTTCACATTCTTAAGATTTCTAGGTGAAACTTCCTACCCATAAATGTCAGTTAAATAAATGTCTGAAACTGCTTGACTTTCTTTTGCTAAAAATGACATTAGAATTGCTATGACTTATTTTGCCTGTAGGACTAAATTACAGACAAAGCCCCAGAATTTTTCTGCTATTACTTTTATACTTTTAGAAGTGAGATTTATTTAATTAAAATTATTGGAAAAGGTTCACAAAGACAGTAGCCATATAAATAGTGAGGATGTTATAAATAATCTCTGTTACAAAGATTTTATTTCAGAAACTAAATATTCAATTTTTTAAGTGGCTTTCTCTCCTTGCCAGGAAGACATGGCTTAAATAATTTTCTGTGATGAGTTTTAAGGCAACATTTAAAAAAAAAGAGATAACAGTCATATATTGTTGCTTCTCTGACAACTCATTTCACAGCAAGTGAAGGCCAGTACATCTTAGCGGATAAGAAATACACATGTAAAAGAAAAACCACATTTAAAAAATTTAAAAACCAAATCCTACATTTATAGTTATAAAGATGAACTCTCAGGGTACATATTTTGTACAGTGTGTATCTCTGTCTGCAAATGTTTTCAACCCTATCGGAGAAGTGAATACTGCTAATTTAATACAAGAAAACACTCGCTGTGATTGGGGCCTGAAATATCTACTCCAATTCTTCAAATGCATTGCATGTGTGCTCATTACACCAAGAATGAGAGGGAGCATATCTAGGTGAACGCCACAGCTTGACTCACATCACCCCAAGATTTTGCCATGGGATAATCTTGAGACCATGTCCAAAACACAAAATGTTTTATTTTCCTGGATCTCTCACTGATGAATCATAATCATTAAGGAAATAATACACTGTTCTTGATCTTAAATTGCATTCAGTAGTCTCAGAGTTTGTAAATCACAGAATCTGTTGTTCCACAGAGTCTGATTGATAAATACAGATCTTGGCATAGTGGGCTGTGCTCTAGCAAGGTTTACCTGCTATTCAAACCTATCACGAAAGCTGAAAGTACTGACTCACATGCCTAAGGCCCAAAATACATTAGGACGGGCCCACAAAAGGGTGAGACAGCAAAACTAATGAGGAGTAGGTAGGGAGCCCACAAAAAGGGGTAATATCCTCTACTTCCCCTTCATACTCTCTTTTGATTAGTTTTTCTATCGGGCTCTTGGGAGCAAATCCTGGAGTGCATGTGCAACTGGAGGATGCTTGTGCTCTGCAGTCCAGCGTTATGGGAGCAGTAGCTGGGGATTGTTAAATGTGGATGGGAATAATACAAACTTTGCAATCTGTATAAAAACTTTGTAAGTCTACAGAGTTTTGAAGACTCTGTACAGTATTATTTCAGCAGGAGTGCATGATTATAGCCTAGAAATCTAAGTTAGACTAAATAACCTCTGAAGTTAAGGTTAGCAGTTTGAATTTGTGGTTTGTTTTTTCCTCAACATCTATCTTAAAGGTAATCCAGTTGGTATTTTTGAATGGGTTTTCTATAAGACATAATTTCTTCATCTAATTGGATAATGTAAACAAAGGTGCAAACATTATGGCTTTCTCAAAATTTCTAACAATTTTAAGTTTGTATCAATTATATAACTTTTGAATGAAAATAATGCATCTGCAGATGGTGCTGAATTGCATGAAATTAATTACTTCCTTTACAAGTTTTCAGTAATTAACTCCAGTGAGGCCTGTAAAAATCCATTGTGAGCAGAATTACATGCTTCTTAGCCTCTTCTCTTCTAATCTGAAAATTGTTTTTTTGTTTTTTGTTTTTTTTTACTTTTGAGAACAGGTTAAAGTGAGATGGAATAGTAAAGGTCATTTAAGGGAAATGTATTATGCCCTTGGGACGTAAAAGAACCAAGTTCTTAGATTATGGTGAGTTCCTGCAATTTTCACACCTTGTAGGTTTTGATTTAAAGGGTGATTATCTCTCAGAGATGGGATGGGAAAGTCAATAATGGCAGTGCCAGTGCTGCTGCCTTGCATATGTTGTCCAGTCATGCCTGGACATAGATTGACAGTGGGATTTGTCCAAGGTCTCAGTCCTTGGCCTTAGTGCTTCTATGGGATGTCCATTTCCCTCTTATTTTCTGTGGTCTTTATAAAAGAATGTTTGCAATACAAAAATGTCATTCATGCTGTTGAATATTTTGAGTGCAATATTAAATATATTTTGTCAAAACCAATAAAGTGTCTGCATTCATTAGGAGGCTACTGCTATTGGATAATGAAGAAACAGGATAATTTCAGACTTTTAATTCAGACTGATAATGTTTAATAATGAGAATTTTTACTAGGCATGTAGGTTCTATTATGATTCATGTGCCTTCAAATCTTTATGAAGTTTGGGAATTGTGAAAGCTTCTAAGCCACTCTCCTTTCAGCCACATGGGATAAGGCTGTCTCTGTTATGCAATCTGATGCTAGATTTGGATAATGTTTAAATAAAGGCATTTGGTTTATCACTTATCCATGTGAATAAAATTAAGAACTGTCTTAATAGATAAAAGAACTTTAAGTATAAGCTTGGAAGACCCTTAAAAACGAACTGCTTTTCATAAGATACAACGCACTACCTTTTAAGCATCAATATTCTATTTATTTATGCGCGCATACAATGGTGACTCTCCATCTCGGCCACACACACAATTAACTACGGGGCTTTTAAACTAAATTTGATGCTTGGGCCTCACCCTAGAAAAAGGGCATGACACACACATCTACATGCACACTTAACCACTCATTCAGTTGTTACTAAGCTGTCTCTTGGCTAGCTTGCTTATAGAAACCTATGCCAAATGATTGGGGAAAAGTTTCCTACTTCTTTTGCTTTATATATATAACCTTCATTCCAGGCTCCATGAGATATCCCATGGTTGGGGACAGATTAGGATAAATTACAGAAAGAATTCAAATATTACCATTAAGTAATATTCAGTTTCTCACATTCAAAAAATATAACTTATCAATAAAACAATACATTATATGCAAAATTCTTATCTTGAGTAAGCATTCTATAAATTACTTTAACTCCATTTTAAGGGACAGTTGTAGCAGTTGACACCTTACAGTTTTAGATAAAATAGGTACAGAAGAGGAGAAGAAGGAAAAGTCTTCTCTTTATGACCCTGAGAAAATTGTGAGCAGAGGAGAAAGAGTGATTAGCAGTGCAAAATGAGTTAATGTGTAAAACTTTGCTTCTCCAAGCTTTGTTCCTCAATAGAAGATACTTTTTGTCCTCATGCTTCCTATTTGGGACACTAAGAAGAGGCCACTTTGCAATCCAACGATTTGGACCACAACTAAAACGAATAAAGTCAGCATCTCACAAAGGTTGGAAAGATACGGGTCTTAAAGGGGAACTTTCCTGAGCTTCTCTTTGAGCAGACTCAGAAGTAACTGCAGGCTGACAGGCAAACTGGTCAGAGGAGGGAACATGTTGGAGCAGAGTAAACTTATACAGTGGCATAGAGGAGACACCTTGTGCCGAGACTGAATGGGAGTCAAAACTAGATGACAAAAACCAAGGTGAAGTCAAGCAGACATAATAGACATCTACAGAACTCTCCACCCCAAATCAACAGACTATACATTCTTCTCAGCACCACACCAAACCTATTCCAAAACTGACCACACAGTTGGAAGTAAAGCACTCCTCAGCAAATGTAAAAGAACAGAAATTATAACAAACTGTCTCTCAGACCACAGTGCAATCAAACTAGAACTCAGGATTAAGAAACTCACTCAAAACTACTCGACTACATGGAAATTGAACAACCTGCTCCTGAATGATTACTGGGTACATAACGAAATGAAGGCAGAAATAAAGATGTTCTTTGAAACCAACAAGAACAAAGACACAGCATACCAGAATCTCTGGGACACATTCAAAGCAGTGTGTAGAGGGAAATTTATAGCACTAAATGGCCACAAGAGAAAGCAGGAAAGATCTAAAAGAGACACCCTAACATCACAATTAAAAGGACTAGAGAAGTAAGAGCAAACACATTCAAAAGCAAGCAGAAGGCAAGAAATAACTAAGATCAGAGCAGAACTGAAGGAAATAGAGACACAAAAAACCCTTCAAAAAATCAATGACACCAGGAGCTGGTTATTTGAAAAGATCAACAAAATTGATAGACTGCTAGCAAGACTAATAAAGAAGAAAAGAGAGAAGAATCAAACAGACGGAATACAAAATGATAAAGGGGATATCACCACCAATCCCACAGAAATACAAACTACCATCAGAGAATACTATAAACTCCTCTATGCAAATAAACTAGAAAATCTAGAAGAAATGGATAAATTCCTCGACACATACACCCTCCCAAGACTAAACCAGGAAGAAGTTGAATCTCTGAATAGACCAATAACAGGCTCTGAAATTGTGGCAATAATCAATAGCTTACCAACCAAAAACATTCCAGGACCAGATGGATTCACAGCCGAATTCTACCAGAGGTACAAGGAGGAAATGGTACCATGCCTTCTGAAACTATTCCAATCAATAGAAAAAGAGGGAATCCTCCCTAACTCATTTTATGAGGCCAGCATCATCCTGATACCGAAGGCTGGCAGAGACACAACAACAAAAAAGAGAATTTTAGACCAATATCCTTGATGAACGTTGTTGCAAAAATCCTCAATAAAATACTGGCAAACCGAATCCAGCAGCACATCAAAAAGCTTATCCACCATGATCAAGTGGGCTTCATTCCTGGGATGCAAGGCTGGTTCAACATATGGAAATCAATAAGTGTAATCCAGCATATAAACAGAACCAAAGACAAAAACCACGTGATTATCTCAATAGATGCAGAAAAGACCTTTGACAAAATTCAACAACACTTCAAGCTAAAAACTCTCAATAAATTAGGTATTCATGGGACATATCTCAAAATAATAAGAGCTATCTATGACAAACCCACAGCCAATATCATACTGAATGGACAAAAACTGGAAGTATTCCCTTTGAAAACTGGCACAAGACAGGGATGCCCTCTCTCACCACTCCTATTCAGCATAGTGTTGGAAGTTCTGGCCAGGGCAATTAGGCAGGAGAAGGAAATAAAGGGTATTCAATTAGGAAAAGAGGAAGTCAAATTGTCCCTGTTTGCAGATGACATGATTGTATATCTAGAAAACCCCATGGTCTCAGCCCAAAATCTCCTTAAGCTGATAAGCAACTTCAGCAAAGTCTCAGGATACAAAATCAATGTGCAAAAATCACAAGCATTCTTATACACCAATAACAGACAAACAGAGAGCCAAATCATGAGTGGACTCCCATTCACAATTGCTTCAAAGAGAATAAAATACCTAGGAATCCAACTCACAAGGGATGTGAAAGACCTCTTCAAGGAGAACTACAAACCACTGCTCAATGAAATAAAAGAGGATACAAACAAGTGGAAGAACATTCCATGCTCATGGGTAGGAAGAATCAATATTGTGAAAATGGCCATACTGCCCAAAGTAATTTATAGATTCAATGCCATCCCCGTCAAGCTACCAATGACTTTCTTCACAGAATTGGAAAAAAAAATACTTTGAAGTTCACATGGAACCAAAACAGAGCCCGCATTGACAAGTCAATCCTAAGCCAAAAGAAAAAAGCTGGAGGCATCACGCCACCTGACTTCAGACTATACTACAAGGCTACAGTAAACAAAACAGCATGGTACTGGTACCAAAACAGAGAAATAGATCAATGGAACAGAACAGAGCCTGCAGAAATAATGCCACTTATCTACAACCATCTGATCTTTGACAAACCTGACAAAAGCAAGCAATGGGGAAAGGATTTCCTATTTAATACATGGTGCTGGGAAAACTGGCTAGCCATATGTAGAAAGCTGAACCTGGATCCCTTCCTTACACCTTACACAAAAATTAATTCAGGATGGATTAAAGACTTACATGTTAGACCTAAAACCATAAAAACCCTAAAAGAAAACCTAGGCAATACCATTAACAACATAGGCATGGGCAAGGACTTCATGTCTAAAACACCAAAAGCAATGGCAACAAAAGACAAAATTGACAAATGGGATCTAATTAAACTAAAGAGCTTCTGCACAGCAAAAGAAACTACCATCGGAGTGAACAGGCAACCTACACAATGGGAGAAAATTTTTGCAACCTACTCATCTGACAAAGGGCTAATATCCAGAATCTACAGTGAACTCAAACAAATTTACAAGACAAAAACAAACAACCCCATCAAAAAGTGGGCAAAGCACTTCTTAAAAGAGGACATTTATGCAGCCAAAAAACACATGAAAAAATGCTCAACATCACTGGTCATCAGAGAAATGCAAATCAAAACCACAATGAGATACCATCTCACACCAGTTAGAATGGTGATCATTAAAAAGTCAGGAGACAACAGGTGCTGGAGAGGATGTAGAGAAATAGAAACACTTTTCCACTGTTGGTGGGACTCTAAACTAGTTCAACCATTGTGGAAGTCAGTGTGGCGATTCCTCAGGGATCTAGAAGTAGAAATACCATTTGGCCTGGCCATCCCATTACTGGGTGTATACCCAAAGGATTATAAATCATGCTGCTGTAAAAATACATTCACACATATGTTTATTGTGGCACTATTCACAATAGCAAAGACTTGGAACCAAGCCAAATGTCCAACAATGATAGACTGGATTAAGAAAATGTGGCACATATACACCATGGAATACTATGCAGCCATAAAAAATGATGAGTTCATGTCCTTTGTAGGGACACGGATGAAACTGGAAAGCATCATTCTCAGCAAACTATCGCAAGGACAAAAAACCAAACACTACATGTTCTCACTCATAGGTGGCAACTGAACAATGAGAACACATGGACACAGGAAGGGGAACATCACACTCTGGGGACTGTTGTGGGGTGGGGGGAGGGGGGAGAGATAGCATTAGGAGATATACCTAATGCTAAGTGATGAGTTAATGGGTGCAGCACACCAACATGGCACATGTATACATATGTAACAAACCTGCACATTGTGCATATGTACCCTAAAACTTAAAGTATAATAATAAAATTTTAAAAAAAAGAAGACATTTATGCAGCCAAAAGACACATGAAAAAATGCTCATCATCACTGGCCATCAGAGAAATGCAAATCAAAACGACAATGAGATACCATCTCACATCAGTTAGAATGGCAATCATTAAAAAGTCAGGAAACAACAGGTGCTGGAGAGGATGTGGAGAAATAGGAACACTTTTACACTGTTGGTGGGACTGTAAACTAGTTCAGCCATTGTGGAAGTCAGTGTGGCAATTCCTCAGGAATCTAGAACTAGAAATACCATTTGACCCAGCCATCCCATTACTGGGTATATACCCAAAGGATCATAAATCATGCTGCTATAAAGACACATTCACACATATGTTTATTGTGGCACTATTCACAATAGCAAAGACTTGGAACCAAGCCAAATGTCCAACAATGATAGACTGGATTAAGAAAATGTGGCACATATACACCATGGAATACTATGCAGCCATAAAAAAGGATGAGTTTATGTCCTTTGTAGGGACATGGATGAAGCTGGAAACCATCATTCTCAGCAAACTATTGCAAGGACAAAAAACCAAACACTGCATGTTCTCACTCATAGGTGGGAATTGAACATTGAGAACACATGGATGCAGGAAGGGGAACATCACACACTGGGGTCTGTTGTGGGATTTAGGGAAGCAGGGAGAGATAGCTTTAGGAGATATACCTAATGCTAAATGACAGGTTAATGGGTGCAGCACACCAACATGACACATTTATACATATGTAACAAACCTGCACGTTGTGAACATGTACCTTAAAACTTAAAGTGTAAAGAAAAAGAAAAGACCACTACAATTACCACTACTGCTACCATTATCATCACCTCCACAAAGACAAACAGAGTCCTCACACATACAGGCAATATCATTTGAGAGAAGAAAAATGGTATGAGATTTTTTTTTTTTTACCTAGAAAAGCAGAATCTTCTATAAGATATTATCTAAATATGCCCAGTGGGGACTTCAATTTTAAATAAAATGAATATTCAAAATGGAAGACACTTGAATTTTCTTCTAATGTGGTGGGAAATGAGAGTGAAGGACTTTTAAGGAAGATTACCTGAGTCCTAGAAAAGCTGCTATTTTTTTTCCACTTGTGAGGGAGGTGTTGCATCAGTTCAAGTCCTCTGAGAAGACTCTCAGAATTCTAGCACAGGAGATTTATTGAGTGCAACACCTGTAAAGGATAAAGTTAGAGAGAGCAGAAGCGGGCACAAAAAACCTTCAGAGTGTGATGTTGGTCAGATATCTATGAAAGGAGAGTCAGAAAGAAGGAGAATTGGGAAGGAAAGGTTTGAGATCATAGCATGCTTCTGATAAAGCCTTAGTCAAGAGAAAGGGAATTTCCAAGCAAAAGTTGCCCACTGAAGGTGTTCCACATTGCACAAGAATAGCTCAGCTCCAGGACTCTGGCCATGCTCAGTTATTGGCTGGGAATAGCCCAAAGAACTGTGTTCTCTGACTGTGTACAATGGTAGATCCAAAGGAACAGCAGCCGGGGCTGTCAGTCAACTATGTTCCCTATAGCAGATTGCTTGAAGGGACATCTGAGTGAGATATCTGCATGGTCACCGTAGATGTGTATGAATTTTCTGATCCTGCTTCATGGTGTTTAAAGGCATAAATACAATTCCATCCACACCCTTGAAAATACATAATAGTATAAAGCAAACAAATATTTACGGATTTGAAAGGAGAAATAGACAGCTCTGATAATAGTAGGAGACTTCCATACTTTCAGTAATCTATGGAATGATCAGACAAAAGATTGATAAGGAAATAGAGTATTTGAACAATAGTATAGACTAATTTAATCTAACAGACATACAGAACGTTTTACACAACAGATTACACATTTTTCTCAAGTGTGCAAGGAACACTATCTAGGATAGGCCATATATTAGGTGACCAAACAATTGTTAATAAATTTCAAAAGATTAAAATTTTAAAAAGTATCTTTTGTGATCAAAATAGAATGAGTATAAATCATTCACAGAAGAAAAACTGGAAAATCTATAAATGTGTGGAAATTAAACACATTTCTTAAAAACCAATGGGTCAAAGAAGGAATGGGAAGTTAGACAATATTTCAAAACAAATGAAAATGAAAACACAATATACCAAAATGTATGGGATGCAGCAAAAGCAGTAAGAGAAATTTATATGTATAAATACTTATATTAAAAAAGAAGAAATATCTCAAATCAACAGCCTAACTTGACACATTTAGGAACTAAAAAAGAAAACATGACATGGTTTGGCTGTGTCCCCACCCAAAATCTCATCTTGAATTGTAATCTAAACTGTAATCCTGATGTGTTGGGGGAGGGACCTCATGGGAGGTGATTAGATCATGGGAATTTTTCCTCTATGCTGTTCTTGTGATAGTGAGTGAGTTCTCATGAGATCTGATGGCTTTATAGGTGGTTTTTCCACAGCTTCACTCTGCACTTCTCTTACCTGCCACCATGTGAAAAAGAGCATGTGTGCTTCCCCGTCTGCCATGATTGTAAGTTTCCTGAGGCCTCCCCAGCCATGCTGAACTGTGAGTCAATTAAACTTCTTTCCTTTATAAATTTCTCAGTCTTGGGCAGTTCTTTACAGCAGCATGAGGGTGGGCTAATACAGTAAATTAGTACTGCAGAGAGTGGGGCACTGCTATAAAGATAATTGAAAATGTGGAAGCAACTTTAAAACTGGTTAACAGATTTTTGAACAGTTTGGAGGGCTCAGAAGAGACGAAAACGTGGAAAAGTTTGGAACTTCCCAGAGACTTGGAAGGCTCAGAAGACAGACAGATGTGGGAAAGTTTGCAGCTTCCTAGGGACTTGTTGAACGGCTTTGACCAAAATGTTGACAGTGATATGGAGAAGGAAGACCAGGCTGAGGTGGTCTCAGATGGAGATGAAGAACCTGTTGGGAACTGAAGTAAAAGTCACACTTGCTGTTCTTTAGCAAAGAGACTGGAAGCATTTTGTCCCCGCCCTAGAGATCTCTGGAACTTTGAACTTGAGACAGATGATCTGAAATTGAAACTTATGCTTAAAAGGGAAACAGAGCATAAAAGTTTGGAAAATTTGGAGCCTGACAATGCAATAGAAAAGAAAAACCCATTTTTGTGGGGGAAATTCAAGCCAGTTGCAGAAATTTGCATAAGTTAACTCACAATGTTAATCACCAAGACAATGGAGAAAATGTCTCCAGGGCATGTCAGAGACCTTTGTGGCCCTGAGGCCTAGGAGGAAAAAAAATGGTTTTTTAGGCTGGGACCAGGGGCTCCTGCTCTATGCAGCCTCGGGACATGGTACCCTGCATCCCAGCTGCTTCAGCTCCAGCCATGGCTAAAAGGGGCCAACATACAGTTCAGGCTGTTGCTTCAGAGGTTCAAGCTCCAAGCCTTGGACGCTTCCAGTAGTGTTGGTCCTGTGGGTGCGCAGAATAAAATAATGGCGGTTTGGGAACCTCCACCTAGATTTCAGAGGATGTATGGAAATGTCTGATGTCTAGGCAGAAGTCTGCTGTAGGGGTGGAACTCCCTGCTGGGTCAGTGCAGAAGGGAAATGTAGGGTCAGAGGAGCCCCAACACAGAGTCCCCACTGGAGCTCTGTCTAGTGGAGCTGTGAGAAGAGGGCCACCATCCTCCAGACCCCAGAATGGTAGATCCACCAACAGCTTGAACCATGTGCCTGGAAAAGCCACAGACACTCAGTGCCAGCCTGTGAAAGCAGATGTAAATGGGGCTGTACCCTGCAAAGCCACAGGCCTGTAGCTGTCCAAGGCCATGGGAGCCCGCCTCTTGTATCAGTGTGACCTGGATGTGAGACATGGAGTCAAAGGAGATCCTTTTGGAACTTTAAGGTTTAATGATGCCTTGGATTTCTGACCTGCATGGGGCCTGTGTAAGGTCAGCCAAGAGAAAGGACGAGAGAGACCCAAGTTCAGGCAATCCTTTATTCAACCTGCTGGCTGCCCCCTCAACAGTCAAGGAAAGCAGCCCCAAGCTTACAGAATGAGGGGTTTATATTGGGACAGGGAGTTCGAGGGAGTCCTTTGGTATGGCTACATCTCGGGGTTGTTTTCTGGTTAATCCTGCCACATATTACCTTGTGACATTTATGGTACCAGAGAGTGTGCATAAAGTTTGTTTATGCTTCCACGAGCTCCCACTGTGTGGCCTGGATGGTTTGTAATTGGGGTCTGCTTGTCACAGCAAGGTCTGATAAGTGAAGTCTGCTGGCTCCACCATGGCACATAGATAAGGGGGCTTAGAAATGTTGAAAGGCTTGGAGGAAGGGGAGGGGTGGGCACAGAGAGGTTTGGGGTGGGGTATCGGCAGTACTAAGAAGCTTTTTGGGGCGGTTTGTCCCTAACAGCCTGTAGCCCCATTGTTTTGGCCAATATCTCCTATTTGGAATGGGTATATTTACCCAATGCCTGTATCCCCATTGTGTACAGGAAGTAGCTAAGTTACTTTTGATTTTAGAGGCGCACAGGCAGAAGGGACTTCCCCTGTCTCAGATGAGACTTTGGACATGGACTTTCAAGTTAATGCTAGAATGAGTTAAGATTTGGGGGGAGTTTTGGAAAGGCTCCCCCTTTCCAAAAAAAAAAAATTGTGTTTTGAAATGTGAGGACATAAAATTTGGAAGGGGCCAGGGGTAGAATAATATGATTAGGCTTTGTCCCCACCTGAAATCCAATCTTGAATTGTAATCCAAATTGTAATCCCCACGTGTTGGGGGAGGGACCTTGTGGGAGGTGATTAGATCATGGGGGTGGTTCCTCCATGCTGTTCTCATGATAGTGAGTGAGTTCTCATGAGATCTGATGGTTTTATAAGAGGCTCCCCCTACTTTGCTCTGCACTTCTCCTTTCTGCTGCAATGTGAAGAAGGATGTGTTTGCTTCCCCATATGCCACGATTGTAAGTTTCCTGAGGCTTCCCCAGCTATGCTGAACTATAAGTCAACTAAGCCATTTTCTTTTATAAATTACCCAGTCTCGGGCAGTTCTTTATAGCAGCATGAGAACAGACTCATACAATACTGTACCTAAAGCTAGCAGAAGAAAGAAAATGATGAAGACGAAAGCAGAGATAAACAAAGAACAGAAAACAATAATGAAACCAAGTGTTGAGTCTTTAAATGATAAACAAAACAGTTGAAACTTTAGCTCGATTGATGAAAAAAAGGAAGACCCATCTAAAATCAGAAATGAAAGAGATATAAAAATATATAAGAGATTACTATGAACAATTGTATGTTAACAAATTGGATAACCTAGATACAATGGACAAATGCCTAGAAGCATGCAACCACCAGACTGAATCATGAAGAAATAGAAACATCTGAGTTAGACTCATATCTGGAAAGGAGATAAAATCAGCTAGTAACAAAAAAATCCCACAACAAAGAAAAACCTGGGATTGGAAGGCTTAACTGGTGAATTCTATTAAACACTCAAGGAAGAAATAACACTAATCCTCCTCAAACTCTTCCAAAAAATTAAAGACAAAGGAACACTTCCAAACTCATTTTATTAGGCCCTCATTATTCTGATACCCAAACAAGACAAAATCACTTCAAGAAAATAAAGCTACAGATCAATATCCCTGATGAATATTGATTCAAAACTTCTCAACAAAATACTAGCAAGCAAAAGTCAACAGTTAGTTAAAAGTCTTATACACATAACCAAGTGGGATTTATTCTGAGAATGCAAGGATGTTTCAACAGATAAAAATTGATCAATATCATATACCATATTAATAGAATGAAGGAAAAAATAAGCATGATCATCTCATGATGAAGAAAAAGCACTTGACAAAATTTGACATGTTTTCAATATGAAAACTGTTAACAAACCAAGAATAAAAGGAAACTACTTTAACATAATACAGACCATATATTAAAACCTGCAGCTCACATCATATTCAGTGATGAAAAATGAAAAGCTTTTCCTCTAAGATAAGGAATAAGGCAAGGAAGCCTTCCTCTTGCTTCTTCTCTTTTACATAGTACTGAAAGTTCTAGCCAGAAAAATTTATGCAAGAAAAAGAAATAAAAGGCCTCCAAATTGGAAAGGAAATAGTGAAATTGTCTCTGTTTGCAGGTAGCATGAACAACTGTAGAAAACCCTAAAGATTTTACAAAAAACTGTTATGACTATAAATAAATTTAGCAAAGTTGTAGAATATAAAACCAACACTCAAACGTCAATTACACTTCTATATACTAACAATGAACTTTCTGAAAAGAAAATTAAGAAAAAAATTCCATTTACAATAACATCACAAAAAAATAGTTAAACTAAGAAGGGAAAATGTTTGTTCCCTGAAAACTGTAAAATGTTCCTGAAAGAAATTAAATAATACTTTTTGTCTCATTTATTAAATAGCTAGTTATAGCTGCCCAGTTATAGCAAAGGATTCTAAAGTATATGCTCAAAGAATATGGTGTGTGTGTTCTCTCATTAGCATCCTGAGATGTTGACCAACACAAATGCAGGGAGCTTGAAATAGTACTAGATTGGTATTCTTGATGGAAGGCATTCTAGGGCTTCTTTGAAAAAAGTTTAAATTATTTGATTTACCTAATGACAGATTTTAAACTTATTTATTCATTAATCTTTCTACATATGACCTAAACAGGACCACAAATGAAGTATAAGATTTATTTATCTCTTCTGTGCCCTTCAGTATTTGCTTGATAGATCTGCATATTGTTTACATAGATTCTGGCCTGAGGAAGAGGGATAGCTTTGAAAGCAGAGAATATATGTTATACTTTATGTGTTATGATATGCATCATAACTGGGAAAGACTTCTTAATTTATATATCTCCTCATTTTAAACTAATAAATTACCATTCTTCAAATTGGCATTAGCTTGAGAATTCTTTGTTGCAAGATTAAGCTACTGGTAGATCTTAAAGAAGGACAATATATTTACTGTCATAATAGGGCTTGGGAGGCAATAAAGTTTGCCAGGAGATAAGGGAAAAAGTAAGAACTAGATCTAGGATTCAGAAAATTTTCTGAGGTTAGAAAAAAGTTATAGATCTAACAGGAGTAAGGCCAAGGATACAAACATGAGTATGTATGAGTGGAGAAGGAACTGTGAAACAGAAGATCAGTTGGATGAAAAGCAGGGAAGTTCCTTCATTTCTAAATGGAGCTAGAAGCTAGTATCATCTTGCTCTTCATTTTTGAGTATCATAGTGTAATTATGTTAATGCTTTTAATGGTGCCTGGTATGCAGGAAATGATCAATGACAGGCATCATCATCATTATCATCATCACCATCATCATCATCACCATCATCATCATCATCATTTTTATTTGAATTGAGGAAGCTGTCCTGGATAATATCTGCCAATTATGAAAATTTATATATGGTTTCTTGTATCCTTTTCTAAACTTAAAAACGTAAATGAGTATTTGTGTATGCTATTCAATCTTAATGCCATTGCCGCTCATGTCACATGCTCATTCATCTTTATTTTTATCGCAGAGGGATGTAGTCTCTCCTATCTATGTATGATGAGTTCAGTGATTTAGAAATCAAGCCCTGTAGCTACATTACCTATTCAGTTGCTGAACTGTGACACACGGTTTCATTAGTCATACCAGGTTGTTTTGGAAATATGTCCCATCAACCTATAAATTATGGAGCTGCTCTTATAAATTCATAACACAACTATATGGTAAGTTTTAGATTAAGCTCATATTCTCTTTGCCTGAATCAAAATATGAATGAGCTACTTTGCATCCCAGACTTTGGTTCACTGAAAGTCTAAATTGGGAGGATGATCTTAGAAAAAGTATAACTGAGAACACAGTATTATTTGAAGTCCATATCCAACCTGTCATTTTGACAGATGCATGTTCTTGGCTTATTTTAACACTTACATTAAAAATTTTTTAAGTATTATAGTTCAGTATTCTTATGGCTTTTGAAATCTATAAAGATTTTTACTCCCATTGGAGACAGAAGATTATGAGAAACTCTAAAGTATAGGAGGACATTTTATGCCTGATCATGATTATTAATCCAGGATGTTGTTTATGGCTCTACTAACATATTGCCTTATTTTGCTAAGTCCTTAATCCAATCAAGGAACAAATATATGGTGAATGCTAGGTTATATAGTTACTATGCTTCACACCAGCCTTCAAGTGGGATGTGACACAGATATACAAAAAGACAACAGTGGTATAGGGTCTATCGTATTGTTAAAAAAATGATACTGCTAGCAAGGGCTGTTAAACTTCAGAGTAATGTCTTTCATTCTAAAAATGTTACAGGGATTTTATTCCCAGACTGGAGGTAGTGCCTCTTTGTAAAAAACTCCAGCCTTGTCTCCAGTTTTGACCTGTGTACCACACTGGGGTTATTCATCTCTCATTGCCAGAGTAAGATTTAACCATAGGAAGAGAATTATATACTGAAGCTAAATATATAGACTCTTTACAATATCTTATATAGTTTTAGACCTTCACTTCCCCCAAATTTGTTGTCCAGTGATGTCAGGTTCCCTGTTTGTAGTGATAGTGCTTAATATTAGTGCTTGGCCCAAAGTAGAAATTTAACAAATGTTTATATAATCAGTGGTTTCTAAAGTTGTTTTAATCCATATTTGAATGTCATTATTTATACATTTTAAATACACAATTACTACATTGAAATTTTGGAGAAGCTCCAGGACCACATACCAGATTTATGCCACTAGTCATAACAATCTTTGTACACTATTCATATACCTCATACTCTATGCATGTCCCTTAGAAAGAATTTTTGCATGTACTTTACTTTCTACATTTACCTATTCAATTTTTCTTTCAGTATATACATTTATTGAATACCTATAATTCTAGGCACCAGAGATACAGAAATAAACAAGAAATACAAAGCTTCTGCTCTTGCATTCTATTGGGAAGATGAACAATCAACAGAGACATAATATGTCTGTAATTATGAAGGCTAAGAAGAAAAACAAATCAGGGTAAGAGGATGCAAAGGGATTTTAAGGGGAGGGGTTGGTCAAAGTCACCCTCTCTAAAAAGATTCTATTTGAACAGAGATTTTAATATAGTGAGGGGGTAGCTGACAGCACTCAGGCAGAAATAGCAAGGTAGGTACTGAAGCTAGAGAGTGACTGGCATGTTCAAGTAAGAGCAAGGAGGCCACAGGGCTGGTTCGGATTGAGGGAGGCAGATAGTAATAAAGTATGAAGTTGCAGAGTTAGTAGAGACCTTATTGCAGAAAGATTTTTAGACTACCATAAGAACTTTGGATTTACCCTGTATGAGATAGGAAAAAGAAACAACAAGGTCTGACTTGTGCTATAAAAGGAAAACTCTGACATGTTGGGACTAGAATTTAGGAAGTCAAGCTAGAAGAAGTGTGAACATTTAAAAAGCTTTTGCAATAAACCCAGCGGGAAATGATGGTAGCATCAGCAGGAGTGGTAGCTGTTAAGTGGGAGAAGCAATGAGCTTTCTTGATATATTTCAAGGGTAGTTCTACAAGACTTGTTAATGGATTGGATGTGGGTTGTGATCAAGAAGAGTCAGGATGTCTCCAAGATTTTTGGAAGCCTAGAATTCTATTTCCTGAGGTAGTGAACACTGGGAAAGTAGCAGGTATATTTGCGTTTAGGGCCAAAAAAAGTTTTCTTTTGGATACGTTAATTTTGAGATAGCTATCAGATATGAAAGTGGAGAGGTTAAATTGACATTTAAATATATGAGCTTAGAGTCAGAGTAATGCGGCCTGAAATACAATATTGACAGTCTTTTACATGTAAATGGTGTTCAAAGAATGCAGCTAGATGAGATCACTTAGAGAGTAAATGCTTATAGAGAAATGAATGAGCCAGAGGACTGTCGTTAGGGCACCCCAAATATCAAGGTAAGGGAGGTGAGGAGGGATTTCTTACGGTGCCAGGAGAAGCAATGAGTGAGGAAGGAAGAGTCCCAAGACAGAATGCCATAAGACTCAAGAGAAAAAGATGTTTCAGGAAGAGGAAAATTATGAGATGTATTAAATGCTGCTGAGAGATTTAGTAAAATGAGAACTAAGAATTGACAATAAGATCATTGGTAACTCCTTTCCTGAAATGCCATTTCCCCACCTTTTCATCTAGCTCAGTGGTCCCCAATCTTTTTGGCACCAGGGACTAGTTTTGTAAAAGACAGTTTTTCCACAGACTGGGGTTGGGGCATGCTTTTGGGGTGATTCAAGCACATTACCTTTACTGTGCACTTTATTTCTATTGTTATTACATTGTAATATATAATGAAATAATTATAAAACTCACCATAATGCAGAAAGAGTGGGAGCCACAAGCTTGTTTTCCTGCAACTAGATGGTTCCATTTGGGGTTAATGGGAGACATTAGATTCTTATAAGGAGAGCGCAACCTAGTTCCCTCGCATGTGCAGTTTACAATAGGGTTCATGCTCCTATGAGAATCTAATGTCACCGCTGATCTAACAGGAGGCTGAGCTCAGGTGGTGAAGCAAGTGATGGCGAGTGGCTGTAAATACAGATGAAGCTCCACTCACTCACCTGCCACTCACCTCCTGCTGTATGGCCCAGTTCCTAACAGGCCATGGACCAGTACCGGTTTGTTTCCCAGGGGTTGGGGACCCCTGTTTTAGCTGATTCCTCCAAACCTTTAAGTCCCTGTGGTACAAGAATATTTATCCAAAAACAGAACAAACAAAAACAAATAGTGAGAGAACAGGAGACAAAACACAGGGCAGGGAGGGCAGGAGAGAACAGGAGACAAAAACACATATAACTGATTGTTACATGCAAAAATGTAAAAAAATTAAAACACTAAAAGAGGGGTGAGCTCTAGACAGAGGTCTAGGCTAAGTGACAGCACTGACAGATATTATGTTGTGGAGGTGAGTCATCAGCTAAACATGCCTATTAACCAGTGATATGGGAGAAGACATCAATAATATTTTGAGAGCTTGTTATGATAGAACATGAACTAACACATAGAAGACTATTAAAACAGAGCTTTGCTTTCTTTGCATCACAGCCTAATCTGATGACAAATTAGGGTCAATGTTCAGACATTTTGTCCTTGCTATCCAAAGAAAACAATGTGTTAGTATCATTGTATAAGGAGATTTTTTTTTCCCACAAATATTCTGGGAAATAAAAAAAATAAGTATCCTGAGAAATAGTCCTTGAAAGTACAATAGATACTCCTATTTGATTAGAAAATAAAACATTTGAGATACAGTGTTGCTTTCTTAAAATAATCTTTGATAAGAAAACTAGTACAAATGAATAAAAAGGGAAGTGATTGGAGCCTCTCCAATAGAGGTCACACAGATGATACACTAGATAACTAAGTATATTAAGTAAAATATAGTTATCAATGGCTCCACAGTCTATCTAGATACTTAAAGGAATTATGTGATGGATTAAGCTAAGCCCTTTGACAATTGTTTTCTTAAGTCTTGTGGTATTAGGAGAAAACATAATTGAGATTTAAAAATTCTCTTACTTCAATATAAAGCTAAAGGAAGGCAGATGCACAGATAAAAATTGGAGCGTGTATACACAGTGCAAGAGAAAAACAGGGCTAATAGAAACAGGATACTGAATTTTAAAATTAGTCATCCATTTTTAATCCCAACTCCTTGGGAGGCTAAGGCAGGAGGATCCCTTGAACATAGGAGTTGTAGGTAAGCCTGGGCAACACAGCAAGATGCCATCTCAAGAAAAGAGTAGTCACCTGTTTTTAATTTTATTACAATTTCATGAGATGCTATCATACTCATTAAGTGAAGAATGTTGACTGCTGTTCCAGGAAGATATTTATTTACTCTTATGAGTAACAATACAACAATCCTAGAGATGTTATAAGAGATGTAAGAGTTGATGCTACAAATTTTGGGGTCTAACCCAGTGCTTCTGAAACTTGAATATGCAAACATACCAAACAGGGAATCTTGATAAATTCAGATTCTGTTTCAGTAGGTCTGGAAAGGGATTTAGATTCTGCATTTCTAACCAACTCCCAAGTGAAGTCAATGCTGCTGACTGATGCATGCCACTTTGAGTCAGAAGGTACAGAGGAATTGTGCCTGGGCTGACTCACAGACAAGTTGTACTTGGTTCTTTCTCACAGTGAATGGCTTTGGAGCTGACTTCACTTTATCTGCTAGTATCCTTTGAATTTGCATTGTTTCTTATAGATGAAGATGGCCAATAATTTGGCCAATAACCGAGCATGTTTCCAGTAGATGTGATGGATTTGCTGTGGTCTGTTCCTGCTCATTATGCAGGCTTTTTTTTATGGCCAAGAGGAAACACTTTGAGTGTTGGGGAACATCCTGTGGCCATAAGATAAAATAAAATCAGTGGTCCTGTGTAAAATTTGTGATCATGGCCTCATTAGCACTGTGCTTAAATCTATTCTTTATTGAGTTTTGTCAATCAGTCCAATTTTATTGTCTAATGAGGCCAAAGGTCAGACCAATGATCTTTATCTTGTTTCATGACTGCAGATAGCATGCCAAAACAGAGCTGTCTACTTCAGAAGTATGGTCTATGGTTGTCTGAAGAGGAAGTGTATTTAATGAATAGAAAAACAAATACTGATACTGATAAAACTACCCCCACACACACACCTCAAAAGCCATTAACAAATTACTCTGATTGGATTAAACAACTAATCTTCAATATTATGTATTTACTTTAGTGAATTTTTGCTTCTGAAGGCAATTTTTTTCTGAACTCATCATCAAATTCTGGGATGCCGTACTTTTTCTTCTATGGACCAGCCACACCATTTAAATTAAAAAGCGCATAAGTTGACTCTGACAAAAAGAATGTGATGGTAGTGACATTTAACACATCAATCCCCTTACAAAAACCAGTCAAATCAACTAGATTAGTGTTTTAGTCCATTCTCACACTACTATAAAAAAACTACCTGAGACTGGGTAATTTATGAAGAAAAGAGGTTTAATTGACTCACAGTTCCACAGGCTGTACAGGAAGCATGGCTGGGAAGCCTTAGGAAACTTACAGTCATGGCAGAAGGTGGAGGGGAAGCAGACACGTCTTCATACAGCCAGAGCAGGAGGAAGAGAGCTGTGGGGAAAGTGCTACACACTTTTAAATGATCAGATCTCATGAAAACTCAATCACTATCATGAGAACAGCAAGGGGGAAGTTCACCCCCATATCCAATCACCTCCAAACAGGCCCCTCTTCCAACATTGAGGATAACAATTCGATCTGAGATTTGGGTGGGGTTACAGAGCCAAACCATATCAGTTAATAAAAACAAAGCTCATGCATGATGTGTTCAACAAAGCTTGATGACCAGAATTGCCACATACGTAAGAATACAGAAGGATGTAGCAAACACTCAACACAGGAGGCTAGGAAAATAAAAAAGAACCAGAGAAACATAAAATTATTCACAGACTCTAAACTGCAGATGAGAGGGCAAAGCTATAAGAATCACATGGAGTGGGAAGCAGCCTAAGCCTTAAAAATCTCAAAGCATTCAATAAAATCTTGGTTTTAGAAGGATAGAGAAGAAACTGAAGAAAAGACTATTAAGAACAGAATCTAAATTGAGCAAACTGCTGGGGAAGGGACTAGCAGAGAAAGACCTCTGAATATACCATAACCACAAAATATAATTTTTGAAGATAAGAGCACCACTGCAGAAGGCCACAAAGCTCTGAATGTTTCAGAGGTAGAGGCAGGACAACTTTCTGAATCAAGCTTAGCCTCAAAAACCAAAAAGAAACTATATTTCTGAATAGATCATGGTAACAACAGAGGAAGGAGCTCTTGAGCCATGAATTTGTAAAAGCAACTTTGGCTTTTCTCTGCTCTTCATGTAGAAACATTCTCTGAATAGTTAAAAGAAACTCAACTTTATTTAAACACAGAAAAAAAATTTATAATCCAATTCCACATAAATAAGTTGTAAGACAATATATAAATAAACCAAATAGTGTCCCAACAAATAATGAAAACACACCCAATAACCATAGTGATGAAGAAGACAAAACCAATACTTTCAGATTTTTAGATAGTCTAGAAAAATTTTTAAATGGTCAAAGCTTTGTGAGAAAAGCATAAATCAGTAATAGAACAGCTCTGAAGAGAGGTAACTAAACAATAATAGAATCTGTAAAGAGAATGGAAAGGAATTAGTAATGAACTAGATAAATGTAAAAGAAAGACATTTTAGAAATGAACTTTAAAATAGAAGAAACACAAGAAAAAATAGTTGCACACAAGAAAAAGTGTAGTACAGGAATTAAGGTACAGAATAGAGGAATGCACATTTAATAAACAACAATGAGAACAATAACAACAACAAAATAAGGTAAAAATGTTTCAAGAGAAAGTTATAAATATAGAAGATAGAGCAATACATTGGTAATTTCAATAAATACAAATTGATTAACTCACTTCTTAAAAAGAGAATGTTAGTTTGGCTAACAAAGCAATATTCAATTTTATTGCTGTAGCAAGAAACATAAATAAAAGATTATTAAATTTTAAAAACAAAAGGGATGGCTAGAGGTATACATCAAAATGAATAATGGCTGCAAGCTATTTTAAATATGTTGAATATATTTTAAAGTCACAAATAATGATAATAAAAAAAACAGAGATAAAAGACATTGTAACTCATGGAAAGTTGCCAGAGCACCCACTTATTATCCTGAAAATAGATCATTAACAAAAAGAAATAGCATTTATCCTACCCTTACAATGTAACCTGTATTTCAGGATAATTAAATACACTTAGTAGATACATTTTTCAATGCCTAAGCTCTCCAGCTAACTGCCACAAAAGGAATAATGAAATTATAAAAAATAACAATTTTGTGATTACTAGTATGGTTTGGCTCAGTGTCCCCACCCAAATGTCAA
The DNA here is from genome assembly GCF_000001405.40 of Homo sapiens. Classification (NCBI taxonomy): domain Eukaryota; kingdom Metazoa; phylum Chordata; class Mammalia; order Primates; family Hominidae; genus Homo; species Homo sapiens. Next base: position 58,294,392 of record NC_000006.12, read on the forward strand.
TTGTAATCCCCACGTTCAAGGGAGGGACCTGGTGGGAGGTGATTGGAAACTGGGGGCAGTTTCCCCCATGCTGTTCTCATGACAGTGAGTGAATTATCACAAGAGCTGATGGTTTTAAGAGTGTTCGGCAGTTCCCCCTTTGCTCTCTCTCTCCTGCTGCCCTGTGAAGAGGATGCCTACTTTCCCTTCACCTTCTGCCATGATTGTAAGTTTCCTGAGGCCTCCCCAGCCATGTAGAACTGTGAGTCAGTGTTTATAAATTACACAGTTTCAGGTAGTATCTTCATAGCAGTGTGAAAACAAGCTAATATAATTACTAATAAAATAAATGATTCAGACTATGATCATTAATAGATAATAAGGCTACTAGTGAAAGTTGATGGGGAACTTTTCAGTGAAGAGATCATGTTGTCACCATTGATCAACTTTGTTATCACTAAGAGTGAGGTTCTTAGACATCATGTGCTTTTTACATAATGATGCAACAGGAAAAACACAGAATGACCCTTGAAGTATTCTTCTCTTTCTCTTGCACGCACACCCGTGTACACACAAAGAACTTGAATCTGATCAAATCTTCAGATCTAATTTGCAGTCTATTGAAAATATAGGGGACAGAGGCACAAGTTAAATGATATCGACAGGAAACAATCAGTCAAATCCAGAATGAAGATATTTTGTAGGAAAAACTGAACTGCTTCTCCAATGGCATTAAGAAAAGGTGAGAGTAGATCACAAGTAATTTTAAAAAGACAAATGTAGGTGAGCATATTTACCAGTTGGCTGGGACAGTCATGGTTTACTCTTGTTACCACAATGTAATTGTTATTTATTCTCCCTTTTAGCTCAGAGGCATTTAGGGTAGGGCTACAGATTATATGACCACTATACTTAAAAGACATAGAACCAAATATATTGAGAAGACTTTATTTGGATCTGATCCTCACAAGCCAAAACAACAAACAAACTAAAATCCATGATGTTTCAGTTTATACTCACACACACATTTTTTAACAATTGAGAGAATTTGAATATGAATTTGCATTTACGTCATGTTATGCAATTTCTGTTAGAGAATTCTGTGTGACAACAGAATTGCAGTAATATAAGAATGTATTTTTTACTCTAAAGCTTATCTCAGTATCTTGGTAGCTGGGATTTGCAATAAAATATTTAAGCAAAAAAGGAGAGAGTGCATCCAGTATGGAAACAAATATGACAAACATTAATAGTTATGGAAACTGAGAGATGGGTACATAATATTCATTTTCTCTCTGATTTGGTGTATGTTTGCAAATTTACAAAATGGAAAGTTAAAATAATTGATTTTATAAAAGAAGAATTGTAGTAACTGATCAAACTTGAGATCAGCTTATTATGGACATAAATTGTCAATGCTTATGCATCTAATAACAGAGCTTCAAAAGAGAAGAAAGAACAGACAGAATTGCAAAGGGTAATTTAAAAACACAATATTAGTCAGTGATTTCCAAACCAAACCCTCTAAAAATTGATAGAACCTGTAGTCATAAATTAGTAAGGATATAGAAGATTTGAACTACACTATTAACCTGCTTAACATTTATAAAATACTCAAACCAATAAAAGCAGAATAAACATTCTTTTCAAGTGCACATAGAACACTTGCCAAGATAGACCATATTTTGCACCATTTAACAAGTGTCAATACATTTAAATAATTTAAGTCATACATAATAAATTTTCGAAGCAACTAAATTAGAAATACATAACAGGAAGTTCTCTAGGAAATTACCCCAAATATTTGGAAATGACATAATGCATTCTACATAATCCATGGGTCAAAGAAATCAAAGAAAATTTAGAAAGTGTTTTGGACTATTCAGTTCAAATGAAAATACTGCCTATCAAAATTTGTGCCATGTTGCCAAAAAAGTATTTGGGGAACATTTATAGTACTAAATACTTGTACTGGAAAGGAAGAAAAGCTTCAAGACAAAGACCTCAGCTTCTACCTAAAAAAATTGGAAAATAAGAAAGAAATATGCAGAAATATCTCTGAAATGTGAAGAAGGGAAATGATAAAGATTAGAGTCTGGAAATTAATGAAATAGAAAAGAGAAAAACATAGACAATAAATGGAACCAATAGCTGGTTATTTGATAATATTAAGAAAGGATAAACTTTTAGCCAGACTTATTATTATTATTATTATTATACTTTAAGTTTTAGGGTACATGTGCACAATATGCAGGTTAGTTACATATGTATACATGTGCCATGCTGGTGTGCTGCACCCATTAACTAGACTTATTAAGAAAAAAAGAAGTTACAAATTGCCAATTGCAGGAATGAGAGAAATTATATTACCACAGATTCTATATATTTAGGAAGAAATACCTAATATGAATAACCCTATATCTATTTTAAAATGTTCATTTTTACTAAATACCTTCATTAAAGGTATAACAAAAAGGTATTATGGAAAACTTTATGATAATAAATGCAAAAATTCAGATGAAAGGGGCAAATTCTTTGAAGAGAAAAAAAACCCACCAAAGCTCATTTAAGAAGAAATACCTATTATGAATAACCCTGTATCTATTTTTAAATGTTCATTTTTACTAAAAACCTTCCTACAGAGAAAATGCAAGGTTCAGATGCCTTCCCTAGTGGATTCTACCAAACATTTAGGGAAGAAATAATATCAAATCCATATACACTATTTTACATATTTTAAAAGAGGGAATACTTCAGACTCATTCTATGGAGCCAGCATTACCTTGGTTCCAAAATCAAACACTACATAAGACAATTACTGACCAATATCCCTTATAAACATAGGGTAAACATGCTGAACAAATTTTTTTCAAATTGAATTCAATAGTACAGGACCGAATGGACTTTATTCCAGGAATAAAAATGTTGGTTGATTTGAAAATCAATCAGTGCAATTCATCACATTAACAAAGTTAGGAAAAATAAATGATAGATTCAATATCTATTCCTGTTAAAAACTCTCAGCAAGGTAGGTATATAGAAGGAATATTATTTTCCTATGGCTGCTATAACAAATCACCACAAATTGGGTGGCAGAGAACAATAGAAATTTATTATTTCACAAGTCTGAAGGTCAAAAATACAAAATCAAGGTGTCAGCAGATCCACACTCCCCAGAGGTTCTTAGGAAAATTCTTCTCTGCCTCTTCCACATTTGGGTGACCCTTGGCATTCCTTGGCTTTTTTGGCTTGTGGTCAAATCACTCGAATATCTGCCTCCATCTTCACAGCACCTTCTCCTCTGTGTGTCTGCATCTTCTCCTTTTCTGTCTCATATAGACACTTGTCATTGAATTTAGGGCCCACCTGGGTAATCCATAATGCTGTCGTTTCAAGATATTTAACCTAATTACATCATAATTACTTTTTTTTCAAATAAGTTAACGCCCACAACAAAAGGAAGTTCCACATCCTTACAAAGGGCATCTACAGAAAAGCTACAGCTAGTATCATACTTACGTGAAAGACTGAATGCTTTTCCCCTAAGAACTAGAACAAAACAAGGATATCCACTCCCACCACTTCTATTCAACATTGTACTGAAGGTTCTGGCCAGTGTAGTAAGGCAAGAAAAAGAAACAAAAAGCATCCAGTTTGGAAAACAAATAAGTAAAGCCATTTTTAGTCAAAGATTAAATGGTCATTTATATAAAAAATGATGGAATCTACCAGAAAACTATTAGAACTAATGAAGGAGTTTACATTGGTTATAGTATATAAAATCAATATACAAAAAACAACTGTTTTTCTATCTACTAGCAACAAACAATTAGAAAATGAAATTGTACAAAATAATCTCACTACAGTTGCATTCGTGACCGGAATTATTATTAGTTGTTGTTGTAATAGTACTCTAAATGACACTTTTGAAACAGCAGCAAAATAGAAAAAGTGTCAGTCAACTGTGTAATAGTATTATATCAATATTGATTTTCTGATTTTGCTAACTGGACTGTGGTTATGTAAAAGACTGATCTTTGTTTTAGGAAATATTTGTTGAAATATTTAGGTGTTAAGGGCCATCTCAAATCATTAGGAAAATGCATAAAATGTACATATTTGAGAGAAAGAAAGAGAAATAACAAAGTAAATTATAATAAGGAGACAATTATGGAATTTGGATGAAAGGTATACAAGATCTCTTCACAATATTCTTAATCTTTTCTGTAAGTAGGCCTGACATTACTTCAAAGAAAAATATTATAAAACAGAATGTGAGGAAAGGAATTGAAAATGATGCATCTAAGTCACTCTTGAGGAATTTTCCTGCAAATGGAGCCATAGTTGATAGGACAGATAGGGTCAGGAGGTATGAAACTTCACTATAATGCCTGGCACAGAGAGATGCTCAAGCTATGAGAGACATTAGGGCAGGAAGATAAAACTCAAAGAAAGCCTTATCCTGATCACTCTGTGGCCAGAAGATGGGTCAGCAATGCTATTCTTTTTCTTTTTTGATTCTCTCTTCTCTCTGATTCAAACAGTTGGGTTTGTGTAAGTTAAGTGCCTCCATTATACACTTAACATTTTATTTATCAATTCTCATACTCAAGATCAGAATTTGCAATGTACAGCTATATGACTTAAAATGCCAAACATCACAAAGTGTAATAGGATAACTTTTGTTTTTTACAACGTCTTCATAGATCTCTAAACTGGAATGAGGCAATTACCATCAAGCTTTATCATAATAGCATCTATAGAAACAGAAAGAGGGGAGAGACACAATTGCTTTTTCAGAACTAACTAAATCATTTATGAGGATGTTTCCCCACCTACTGTACTATCCTCCAAGAAGAGTAGAATAAATGAATGTGGAATAATAGTTCTTTTGTAAAGGATCCCGATACTTCATCAGGCTGCAAGATGCTGCTTTAATGCTCTCAGACCATTCTGGGGAACATGGCACATGAGGTCTTGCCTCTTGTATTCTTTCCCACTGCTGTGCAAGGAGGTTAATCAGACAGGCTAGGGAAAGGGTGGTAGGAATCCTTGCTCTGTGAAGGCTGCAGTCAATATTCCAAGTTAAGTTATATATTGGAGAGAAAAGTACTCATTATATGGCAGTTTTCTTAGACTTATGTCAGATTATTGCCCTTCAGTTATCAACATACATTAATCTTTGGCACCTTACAATATTATTACTAGGTGGCATATATTTCAAGTGTCTCCTCTCTTCTTAATAAGATTCTGAAGAAACTATGGTTCTTTCAACAACACATAAACAAACTTTTCCTTTCTTGTTTTGTTTTGTCTTTTTCCTGCAGTGGATGAGTCTCTTTTATTAGTTTTTTTTTCCTATTTCAACATTAGAATATGAATGAAGTCTAGGAATACTTTACTATATTTCAGTATCCATAGGGCCCAAAATTTAGACTTCTGTAAATGATATTTAAAGTATCATTAACACGGTATAATGAAAAGAACACTTTGTTGTCAGGAGTGTGTGTTTAGGTGGGTGAGAGGGTAGCAGGGGAAGAGAGGGTGGGGAAGAGAAATAATCCCAACATGGCCACTCATTGATGCTTGGGGATCAAAGCAAAGATAGAAATCAATCATAGAGTTAAAATCAGGATTTACTAAGGTAATAGATGTGAAAATGATTTTAGACATTAAAAAATGTTATGTAAATATTTGATATCTTTATTGCAAAAAAGGAAAAAAACATCTAGCCATAAGCAGTTTTGAGATAGTGATAATACATTTTAAGGTGTATTTTTGATCTTTGCAAGCTGTTTATTTCATAAAATTGAACTAAGCTGCCTATTTGGTTAATGTTTATTGATAAATTCAGATCTACTAAAAGGCATGCAGAAGCCAGGCATGGTGGCTCATGCCTATAATCCCAGCACTTTGGGAGGTGAAGGTAGGTGCATAGCTTGAGCCCAGGAGTTGAAGACCAGCCTAGGCAACATGGTGAAACCCCATCTCTACAAAATATACAAAACTTAGCCAGGCATGATAGTGTGTGCCTGTGGTTCCAGCTACTCAAGAGGCTGAAGTGAGAAGACCTCTTGAGCCTGGGAGGCAGAAGTTGCAGTAAGCCAAGTTCTGGCCACTGCACTCAAGCCTGGGAGACAGAGCGATGAGACTCTCATCTCAAATGCGTGGTGTGTGTGTGTGTATAATTAAGGGGAATAATACTTAAAGAATATCAATTTTAAAAGCCTATATAGGTAGAAAAGATGATCTAGATAGGGCTGTCTGATTAAAAATAAATTGGGATGGTAATACACAGCCAGTATGAGATTAATTCAATTTTTACATTCAAAATAAGGTAATACTATTTTCTATGCTTTTCTGGACAGATCATCTTTGTAAATGGTAGTCTTTTGACTATTTTAATAACAGCCAGCAGCAAAGGAATTTTGAGAATATCAAGTAAGTAAACTAAAAACAAGAAAAGTTTGACTTCCAGTAGAAGCAAAGAACAAAAATTATTCATTTTACAAAGCCTGGCCAAATTGAAATGGCCTTAGACAAGAATCTGTAGGATGTTAAGGAGAAAGAAAAATTGTTTAGAATGTAGTAATGGAATGCAATTAAGGGAAAGAAAAGGTAGGCTGAATATCAGAAACAATTTCTTAATAGTCTGTTAGACTGTACATTAGTTTCCCACAGGAAGAAATGGAAGCCTCATTGCCTAAGTCATTTAGAGCTAGTCTGATTCCCAGAGGGTGTGGCAACTCAGAAGGAAATGAAAACTGTAGAGTCTGAAAGTCAGTCTAAGTTAATTTTATAGCACCGTGCACTGCTGCCGTAGGTACTGAAAGGGGTGTAAAACCACTGTAATAGACATATTCTATCACTTTAAAATGAATGGCTCACATAGCTACGTACCAGCAGCAGCATCAGATTATGCTGTCAGGTATACCCAGGACTGCCCCTGGCTGAGTGCTAGGACAACACAACAACAGATGTTATTAGAATGTGAAAAGAATGTTAACATGGCTGCAACTTCTGTCACACAGAAAGACATGGGGCTGATTTAGACCATCTAGCTGCCTAAGTATATACTTGCTTCTCCCCTCTTTGCCTCATGTGTCTCCCCCAAAGCTACTGAAGAGCATGGACTTCGTAAAATAGGCTATTCCAAGACTAAACTTCTAGCCTGAAAGTACTTTGGGGATCAACTTGTACTCTTTATTTAACCACATTAATGACAGCGATCTTCTTGTTTTAGATTGCATGGAACATTTCTTTTAAATGTCTTTTAGTCTTTTCTAATTCCTCCATCTTTCTTCTCCTTACCACGAAGGTGAGATTCTACAGTATAGAAGCACACTTATTTCCCCATGCCAGAAAGAACTTTCCAGATACTTCAGGATCCAGCTAGCATTAATATAAAACAGAATCCAAGATTAATGTAAGACATTGTTATGACTCACAAAGAAAGAAAAAAAATGCTGCCTGTAAAACTGTGTCACAATACTTTTTCTTAGAAATGTATCTTACGATTATTGGAATAGCCTTTTAAAGACTTTTTATTGTAGATGATTTACCATCATCAAATTTGTGTATATTTTTAAATTGGTGAAATAAATTTCTTAATATATTCTTAAACAATTCCACATTTAGACTGCAACTTTTCTGCATCCTTTCAAATCCAGGGGTTTCAATACTTATCTGTGTTTTATCACTAAAAATGGTCCTCTGTGCCATAAAGAGCATTAGTGATGAAGCCAGAATTTCTTTTAAAAGTGCTCCACTATAGTCTCTGGGATTTTCTCACAAGCTGTTGACACCTGTTCTGCAAAATTTGCTGCTGGCACTTTCTTGCTTGGCATGTAATAGTCAATAGAAGCAAAAGATAACACATCTTTTTCTCCCTATGGAGTCTTTCTTTCTTAACTCCAACAAATCACTTTATTTTTGATTTCCAAGAAAATTTTAAAATTTCTTTCATTGCTCTTAGGATAGATATTTGTTTCTGGACTATCAAATACATGTCCCACTGCATGGTTTCTGTTTCTTTCTGTACATACAATAATTTTTCATTTTAGTACAGAATCATAATATAATTTTTGAAGACATTTTTAAAGGCAATTAAGCATAATGCCTGTAGTACAAGCATAATTCATTTAAAATGGCAACATGAACAACTATGACCAAATTTGCTTATGTGCAATAAGTGACGTCTATGTCATAACTGCCACCTGGTTGACAATGACAGGAGGATGTGGAAACTGTATTTTCCAGAAATATCTTTAATCCCTTCTTCTTTTAACATTTTCCCCAGGCCTTATTCACCCCAGCTGGAAAGTTTTATTGGTCCTTGAGTTAAAGCTAAGTTATTGAGAAATAACCACTGGCGTCTTTCTTTAAAAAAACTACAGGACTCTTAAAAAAAAAGTCACTCATGGCAAACATCCTGTTTGAAGAAAACACACAAGTTAGAGTGCTTGAAACTTTGCTTGCCATTTTAAGCATTTTTGTTGCTTGTTATCAGAAGGGCTGTGTTCCCCTCAATACGCTATAAAACTACTTCCTTGTAAAAGGTATTTGAAGAATTTTTGCAAAGGCATTCTTCCTTGCTGTACTCAGTCAATAAGGAGTAAATTTTCATTCCTTCAGATCTCCTCATTGATTTCAATAAATATTATTAATTTTAATATGAATTGTTATTCTTGATGGGCTAAACTATGGGGAAAGATGTATCTTAAAATTGATATAATAAAGCATCTGTCATTATATGGCCTTTCTTTCCTATTCATTTCTACTCCAGCTAAAGTCAGGTACCATGTGTGTACTGGGATTCTACTGCCAGTGAATGTTATTTGGATACCACTTCCTTCCTATGAATGATCCCTAGTTACCGCAGGATTAGTGCACATACTGTGTGTGTGAATACCATATCCACTATTGTTCAAAGTATCTTTAGCAGCTACTAATATTACTAGGGAATATGTATATGCTTAACCTTATAAATTCATGCACCCATTTTCCAGCGAACAAAAGTATATTAAGTACCAGCCATGCACTAAATTTAGTCCTCAGAATGAGAAATAACAATGAACAAAACAGGCATGATTTCTGAGCTTTCCACATCTACAGACTTGTTCTATACAAAGTCTTTATGGAATGATGAGGAGCTGTTACGTAATTCAGATAGCTCCAGATACCCAAGATATGCCCCTGAAATTACTAAGAAAGTGGACCTGAAACTATTCCCAAACAAAAGCACTGGAATAACTGTGATCTGCATCATGGGCACTTTGGAATTGCGTGTATGAACGTGCATATGTGCATGTGTGTGTGTGTACTCATGTTAAAGGATATAGAATACACCCAGAATCCTGGTTGAAAGGCAGAAGACCCAAAGCCTTCTGAAAGAAAGCACTGGAAATGGCGTATTTTTATGTGGGGGCTTCTCAAAATATCATGCAAAGCCTCTTCGTGAAGTTAAAGGGCCAAAAATTGAGGTCATTAGAATCATTTTGCTAATCTCTGTACACTTTAAATAAATTAAATGTTAATAATAATATGTTTTATAGTTTCAGTAGCTAGAGGAGAATATTGAACATCTTCAACACAAACAAATGATAAATAGTTGAGATGATGGATATGCTCGTTACCCTGCTCCAATCATTCTACATTATATATATCACAGTATCATATGTTCCCCATAAATATGTACAATCATTATGTATCAATTTAAAACATTTTTAAAATTAAAATTAAAAAACTAAGGGCAAAACAAAAGTATATGGGGGATGTGCATAATTTCTATGCAAAAAAAGAGATAAAAGAAAGAAATTAAATGGAGAGAAAAAAGTACCTATTTAAATTTGCCAGGAAAGTGCTTTTAAGAGACCAAATAATCCCCTTCAAAGCATTCTAAGTTTCAAAAGGGAAGAAAATTGTTAGTTGAATGTTTAATTAACATTTATTTCAAGCATATTAGTTTTACATGACTCACATTTAGTAATACAGTAGGGTTGTGTTCTTGCTACCATATGTGCACTTTATAGCATATTCAGTCCCTGTATATAATTAACACATACGGTTCATTTATGCCCATTTTGTAACACTTGGAATATAATTTCCCTATTTCAAATGATTATAGGGTTTATAGTTCTATCAGTGCTTCCACTGAATTCAGCAACAATTTATTGAGGAAACAAAGTGTAAAGTACTTCGCAAATGATGCTGTGAGAGGCATAAAGATGAAATAGGTATGCTTTCTATGCTTAAAGAATTTGGAATCTGAAGGGGAGAGTGGGTACAATTATGCACCTGTATGTACCTTGTGCTGTACTGGGCAAACAGATAACAAAAAAGAGTATGGGTGGTTGCTACTTTTCAGCAGTTTAACTTTAGTCGGGCATTGGAAATAAATACAAGGGTGTTGAAAGGTTCAGAGGCAAAAGAGATCAGGCAAATTTGCAGGAATGGAAGTGTGTTCAATATGTATTAAGAAGAGAATGCAAAAGGTGAGGGAAATGACTAGAAATTAAATCACAGAAGTAGGCAAGGATCTGACAGCTATAGACATCACACGTTATGAAATTTGGAAAAGAATTATGGATAGTCATGGTGAGTTTTAAACTGGGGGATGACATGGGTACCCTTTTGTTGTAGAATTATTATTCTGGCAGGGGTAGAGGGGATAGAGAGACAGACTGAGGAAGATTATGCCACATTTCTTAATCTAATGCATAGAAGAGGTGGGGGGAATGGAGAGGTTAGGATTATGAATTCCTACTAATAGCTCCTCAATTCTATCTTTTTCTGATACACCCCTCTCTAAATCCCCAACCCAGATAACATTATCGTTGCTTCTATATGTATGTCTGCTCCATTATTCCCTCATTATAACAAAATTATCCTTTCCATGTTTCATATTTTCCAGTCCAAATCATAGAGGAAGCTGCTCTAACTGATTTAATTAATGTCTTGGTAGCAGCTCTAGAGCCCTACATCCAACTGCTTATTATTGCCTGGATATTTCAAAGGCTTCCCAGGATTTAAAATAGTTAAATACTAATTCATAATTTTGGGCAATTACAAAGTTCCAGCCAATGTACAAAGCAATTGCTATTCACCGTATCATTGAGATCATGTTGAATTTGGAAAGGACCTAGGTATAATGAGGCTCTTTAGTCCTGTCTTGCTTCCTGCAGCTATGCTGTCCTAATTCCAGGGCTAGTATATCATTATCATAAACCATAAGCTCCTTTCGCTGAAGTTGGTGTGATGTTTAATTTTATGTGTCAACATAAGGCATTAGTACCCAGTAATTTAATCTAGGTGTTGCTGTGAAGCTATTTTGTAGATGTGGTTAACATATACAGTCAGTTGACTTTAAGTAAAGCAGATTAATCTCGATATTTTCTTTGGGCCTCATCCAACCAGTTGAAGTCCTTAAGAGCAAAAACTGAACTTTCCTGAAAAAGAAAAAATTATGTATCAAGATTTTAAGGTGGATATCCTGCTCATGTTTCCAGCCTGCCAGCCTGCCCTACAAACTCAAGACAGCAAGAACAATTCATACCTGTGTTTTCAGCCTGCTGATCTGTCCTACAGATTTTGAATTTACCAGCTCAGTGCCCACAATTACATGAGCCAGTTTCTTTAAATAAATCAGTATATTTGAGATATATGTGTGTATATATGTATAGGCATGTATGTGTATATATATGTGTGTATATGTATATATGTGAAACGTATGTATGTGTATAAAAAACGATTGCTCTATATACACTTATTGCTCTTTGTTGGTTTCCTTTAGGAAGCCTGACTGATAGAGTTGGCTTAGCTGCCTGACCTAAGGATTCTTTCCCTAAGGAGAAGAGTGGGGAGGAAAAATAGGGAAGATATTCCATCTATTCCAAGAAAAGTGTGGCATGGGACCCAAAGATTGAAAATGTTTGGAATTAACTTATCCTGACAGTGGTTCCTATTCTTTTCAATTTCTGGACCTACTCATCCCTTTTATTATGTAGCCTATCTCATATTCTTCCATTGAATCTAAATTTCCATGAGAAATAAAAGTCAATTTTTATGTGCTAATTACACCATATATTTTCATGAGATATGTGTAACAGTTGTCTTTAGTTAAATGTATAGTAAAATTATTTTAGATATATTTAGATACCAATGTAGAAAACAAGTAGCTTTTTATCTCTTTCACATTTATACACTACTTACATTCTAAATGACAGATATTAAGTGTTCCAATTTCCATAGGTGACTTTTTTTTTTTTAAGATGGAGTCTCACTCTGTTGCCCAGTCTGGAGTGCAGTGGTGCCATCTCGGCTAACTGCAACCTCTGCCTCCCAGGTTCAAGCAATTCTCCTGCCTCAGCCTCCCGAGTAGCTGGGACTATAGGTGTGTGCCACCAGGCCCAGCTAATTTTTGTATTTTTAGTAGAGATGGGGTTTCACCATGTTGGCCAGGATGGTCTCCATTGGTGACTTTTTTATTAGTGTTTTCTTTGCAGGGTAAAATGTTCACAACCATTCCTAAATATAAAACACAGAGGCACTATTTTTTCTCCCCATGACTTCCATCTTAATGCTACTTTCAAAAGCAGGAAAAACTTTTTATATACGTTGAAACCCTGTGGGTAATGATCCTAAAAAAATGTTAGCCATTCTCTCTAGTGCCTCCCCAGGGAAGAAGTGGTGAAAGTAGGGGAAAAATTGATTATATAGATATTCTATGGATTAATACTGCTACAATAAAAGCAAACAACAGGAAGATAATTTTTAAATTACTAAATTAGTTCAATGGAAGCCAATCAATTGACTCATACGCTATTCAGAGGCAACATAACTGCTGCTCTTCATAAGTGTTTCAGAATGGTTTATCACTATCAGTAGAGTTGCAGATTTAAACAGCATGTTTCTGTGGCAAGAGGCACAAAGGAGAATCATGCGTTTTTGAATTCTAATCCTGGCTGTTTCATGTGCTTTGGACACTGATTCCATATCCATTTAAAAAATTATGATGGTAAATGACATTTTTAAAGCTTTAAAAAACACAGTGATAAGTAGAATATTGAAAAGTAGAAACGAAGAAATAGGAACTCCTAAAATTGGAAGGTGATATAAGGCACAACACTGAACCCCACTCTGCCCCTACTCACAACCTTTTTTGGAAATAATAATTCTTTTAATAACTTAAATATACATCTGCATGTGTTGGACTAGAGCAGAAATTTGTAAAGTCACTTCAAAGAAAAAAAAAATAGCCTGTCGTTAAGATCTCCAGTTGAGAATAGTTGACTGTTAACATTCAAAAGTTATTAAAATTTTTAAAATAAACTGATTACAATCCAAAGAGGTTTGGCTTCTCTTTCTATTTTGTTTTTTGATCTGAATACTATTTTTAAAAGTTCCTTAGGCTAAAATGTCATCAAAGGTGGCTTCGTTGTCATAAGATCTGGTGGTTGCACTGAGTCCTGTGCTCGGAAAAGCCCCACACTTGATTTATTGCTCTGCTGAGAATGTCTTCAAATTCTTAATAATTTTATGTTTGAACTTTTGTTTTGCAAGTGAAGTCTGGTGGGATAATGGAGTATGTGTGCAGGCAGGGGAGACACATATATGGAAAATGTGTTCCTGCCATTCCTTGCTTCTTCATTCCCATAGAGTATTCATTATGCCCATGTGAGCACAGAAATATTGTGGACTCAGAGTGTGGAGCAGTTCAGGGAGACACAAAGCAAGTCAATGAATGCCTGTTACATCATGACTGAGTAAGCAGGAGCACAGGCAATCCTGAGAGGCTACATTTCCATTTGAACCAGAACTTGATTCAAATGCACAAAGAAGGCAATGACATTCTAAGAAAATAAACCACCATGAAACTCTGCCATATTCTTTCTTACTCATTACTTTAAAGTATTTGCCAACCAGCTACAATAAAAATGATATAGAAGAAAACGATATAGAAGAAAAGAGAAAGAGCTACTCATAGTTACTTTTTCTTTCCTTCTGTACTCAACAGTAAGCCTGAGGTAGACAGTATTGTTAGAATGTGTGCATATCAAGAACTGAAATAAAAATAACTGAGTTAGTTTTATGCAGTGTTTTCAACTGCCTGTTAACAGCAAAATATATATGCATGTACAAAGTATAAAATACAAATTGTGCAATTCCGGTGATTCTACTTAAATGGTTAACAGTCTTACATTTGCATTTAAAACTGGCATTACACAATATAAATGTGGGTGGCAAAGTTCATGCTAATGAATAAAATTTTTATTTTTTTTTACTTAAAGCAACTTCAAAGAGCAAATTTAAACATACACACACACCTCATGACAAGTCATGGAAGAGGCCACAGAAGAAAGGAAAAACATTTTTAGATTTTTAGTATCCCTTATGTAAATATTTTTCTGCATTTTGAACAAATGGTGTCACATTTTCATTTGGCACTGAGTCCCACAAATTATGCAGTCAACCCTGAATGTCATCAGCTTTTTTCATACTTCGTCACTCATTTGGCTAATACAGACCTTATAGGCAATTTCTTTTTGGCTTTCATAAGAATTGCCTTCCTATTGGTCTCAGCTTGATCTCCCATTCTGATCCCACATGTTCAAATTTTGTGGGTTGCTTTGTTTTATTTTTCTTTCCATCTGAGTATAAGATGTCACATTCAAATCTTTTAATCTTGTTATAATTCCCATTGGCAAAATTGATTTTGTATTAATTAACTCTACTATAGTAACAACTGGAACAATGGAAGCCCACATTTATCAAAATAAGAGTAAACTCAGAGCTAGCCCTCCTCATTTTGGCAAAATATCTTTATTTCCAAAAGATCTTTTACTCCAATTCAGTGTTCTCTGCTGCCAAAGATAGTTCTTTCTTTGCCTTGCATTTATGTTTCTTTCCCTAAAATTCACAAGAATTTTATTCATAATATTTTGGATTGCTCCAATGACACAAATGGTGTCTATTACTTGTCTCACATTTAATCACTAATTATATGCATAAAGTATAATACAGCAGTTTTCCAGCTGTGTAAAACAACCCATGATGCTAATCTTTAAGAACTAATACAGTTTTTCCTACTTTAATCCATTTAATTAAAAAACTCCAAAATTATTTCCAAATAATGTTAATAAGTATGTATGTGCCTTTACATTGTAATTGGATATTGTTTATTTGTTGTATATTTACATTCTTTACATCTCTTTTCCTGACACATACATTTATTTTTACTTATGCAAAGAGTAAAACATGTACCCACTTACATAAATGTTACTTAACAGTTTATTACCAGCTAAATAACAATTGAAAAATTTATTTATGATGAAGTGCCAAAGACAGTACTTTATAAAATAACCTTTGCTCAACAGACATTCGAAGAATTTCGAACTGACCAATTGTATAATCTTGGACAAGTTACTTAACTACTAAGGTCTCTACCTTCCTTCTTTGTAAAATAAAGTTAATAATAGTGCCTAACTTGAACTTTTGTTAGAAGCATGGTTGTTACACCATAAGCATTTAATAAATGTTTGATAATATCTGCTCATTATTATTATTGGTGGTGGTGGTGTAGTTATTATTCTTATCACGTGTAGCTAATTGCTACAAATGTCATTTTTTCTTTCTTCCTGGATAATGGAAGTTGAATTTGGAAATAAAGCAGTGATGTGTTCACTTCAGGTAATGGACCATTATTAGTCTTAGGCAGGAATAATAATCTTGTTTCTCACTCTTGCTTAATTTCCCAATATCCCTTGCAGCAAGGGCAGCCAAAGGATCCAAGTTAGGCAAATAAGATTTACACAGAAATTTTCTGATGATGTTTCTGAGAAGGTACTTAATTACCTTGTAAAAGGAGACAGATGTGCCTGGCATAGTCCCTTACCTCTTCTGTTTGCCTTCCTTGAATGTGAATCAGGTGCAGCAGCCATCTTTTGACAAGTCATGAGGATAAAAGCCAACACACTCACCATGGCAAGCAAAGAAACAGAAAAACCCTGCACGTCCGATGACATAACTGAGCAGTGAGGCATAGTTCAGGTACATCCTATGTCTGCTAAGGGATACATAATGGCATCATTTAAAATACTTTGGATGCTTCTAATAACTTATTCTTCATGATTTTTCAGATAAATAATTTTATTTTCAGTGTATAATTATAATAGCATACAGTAAATGGGAAATAGTCATAGAAATGATTTTAAGGGGAAAAGTGAGTTACATCTAGTATGTCTTCCAGATGAATTTAGATGATTTTCTTGTAAAACTGGCTGAATACAAACTCTTAGAAATTTTAAGATGGGCTGGATATTGTCTACATACTATAGGACATACAAAAGGCATTTAATTTAAATAATTACACATTATTATAAAGAATTATTTTTAAACTTATAGGGCAATGGTTCTCAACTGATTGCACCTTTGCATTTGGCAATGCATAAAGAAATTTTTGGTTGTTACACTGGAGGGAATTCTACTTGCACCTAGTATGTCTAGCCAGATATTTCCTCCCAACAAAGAATTATCCTGTCCAAACGCCAAAGTGCCAAAATACTTGCAAATAATTTGGAATGCATCTATTGGGAATGTTAAGGGTAGTCTTTATAAAGATTAAATTAATTAAACTATTTCTTATAGTCATAGTTAATGGCCAGATTATACCTGTGACAGTTAGTGCCAAATTTCAGGACTCTTAATATTTTTTGTAGTTGAAATGATATCATTTAAAAATAGTTTTAATTAGTTGGCTACGGATGAGAGAAAAATATGAAACAATAACTACACACAGTAGAAATCTGAGATAAAACACATAGTGAGACCATCTGATGTTCAAAAGGGCTTCTACACTGCTGACTGTTGAAGAACTTTTGTCATTATTTCTGCAACCTTATCTCCTGAAAATTTTATACCTTTATGACACAATAATAAAAGTTCAGAAGTTAAAAATATGTTCTTACCTTGGGCAGTATGGCCTTTTTCACGATATTGATTCTTCCTACCCATGAGCATGGAATGTTCTTCCATTTGTTTGTATCCTCTTTTATTTCATTGAGCAGTGGTTTGTAGTTCTCCTTGAAGAGGTCCTTCACATCCCTTGTAAGTTGGGTTCCTAGTTATTTTATTCTCTTTGAAGCAATTGTGAATAGGAGTTCATTCATGATTTGGCTCTCTGTTTGTCTATTCCTGGTGTATATGAATGCTTGTGATTTTTGCACATTGATTTTGTATCCTGAGACTTTGCTGCTTAAGTCGCTTATCAGCTTAAGGAGATTTTGGGCTGAGATGATGGGGTTTTCTAGATATACAATCAAGTCATCTGCAAACAGGGACAATTTGACTTCCTCTTTTCCTAATTGAATACCCTTTATTTCTTTCTCCTGCCTGATTGTCCTGGCCAGAACTTCCAACACTATGTTGAATAGGAGTGGTGAGAGAGGGCATCCCCGTCTTGTGCCAGTTTTCAAAGGGAATGCTTCCAGTTTTTGCACATTCAGTATGATACTGGCTGTGGGTTTGTCATAAATAGCTCTTATGATTTTGAGATACATCCCAACAATACCTAATTTATCGAGAGTTTTTAGCATGAAGGGTTGTTGAATTTTGTCAAAGGCCTTTTCCGCATCTATTGAGATAATCATGAGGTTTTTGTCTTTGGTTCTGTTTATATGCTGGATTACATTTATTGATTTGCATATATTGAACCAGCCTTGCATCCCAGGGATGAAGCCCACTTGATCATGGTGGATAAGCTTTTTGATGTGCTGCTGGATTCGGTTTGCCAGTATTTTATTGAGGATTTTTGCATCAATGTTCATCAAGGATATTGGTCTAAAATTCTCTTTTTCGGTTGTGTCTCTGTCCGGCTTTGGTATCAGGATGATGCTGGCCTCATAAAATGAGTTAGGGAGGATTCCCTCTTTTTCTATTGACTGGAATAGTTTCAGAAGGAATGGTACCAGTTCCTCCTTGTACCTCTGGTAGAATTCGGCTGTGAATCCATCTGGTCCTGGACTCTTTTTGATTGGTAAGCCATTGATTATTGCCACAATTTCAGCTCCTGTTATTGGTCTATTCAGAGATTCAACATCTTCCTGGTTTAGTCTTGGGAGAGTGTATGTGTTGAGGAATTTATCCATTTCTTCTAGATTTTCTAGTTTATTTGCGTAGAGTTGTTTGTAGTATTCTCTGATGGTAGTTTGTATTTCTCTGGGATCGGTGGTGATATCCCCTTTATCATTTTTTATTGTGTCTATTTGATTCTTCTCTCTTTTTTTCTTTATTAGTCTTGCTAGCGGTCTATCAATTTTGTTGATCCTTTCAAAAAACCAGCTCCTGGATTCATTAATTTTTTGAAGGTTTTTTTGTGTCTCTATTTCCTTCAGTTCTGCTCTGATCTTAGTTATTTCTTGCCTTCTGCTAGCTTTTGAATGTGTTTGCTCTTGCATTTCTAGTTCTTTTAATTGTGATGTTAGGGTGTCAATTTTAGATCTTTCCTGCTTTCTCTTCTGGGCATTTAGGCTATAAATTTCCCTCTACACACTGCTTTGAATGTGTCCCAGAGATTCTGGTATGTTGTGTCTTTGTTCTCGTTGGTTTCAAAGAATATCTTTATTTCTGCCTTCATTTCGTTATGTACCCAGTAGTCATTCAGGAGCAGGTTGTTCAGTTTCCATGTACTTGAGCGGTTTTGAGTGAGATTCTTAATCCTGAGTTCTAGTTTGATTGCACTGTGGTCTGAGAGATAGTTTGTTATAATTTCTGTTCTTTTACATTTGCTGAAGAGAGCTTTACTTCCAAGTATGTGGTCAATTTTGGAATAGGTGTGGTGTGGTGCTGAGAAGAATGTATATTCTGTTGATTTGGGGTGGAGAGTTCTGTAGATGTCTGTACATGTCTATTTACAGATTCAATGCCATCCCCATCAAGCTACCAATGACTTTCTTCACAGAATTGGAAGAAACTACTTTAAAGTTCATGTGGAACCAAAAAAGAGCCCACATTGCCAAGTCAATCCTAAGCCAAAAGAACAAAGCTGGAGGCATCACACTACCTGACTTCAAACTATACTACCAGGCTACAGTAAACAAAACAGCATGGTACTGTTACCAAAACAGAGATATAGAACAATGGAACAGAAAAGAGTCCTCAGAAATAACGCCGCATATCTACAACTATCTGATCTTTGACAAACCTGAGAAAAACAAGCAATGGGGAAAGGATTCCCTATTTCATAAATGGTGCTGGGAAAACTGGCTAGCCATATGGAGAAAGCTGAAACTGGATCCCTTCCTTACACCTTATACAAAAATTAATTCAAGATGGATTAAAGACTTAAACATTAGACCTAAAACCATAAAAACCCTAGAAGAAAACCTAGGCATTACCATTCAGGACATAGGCATGGGCGAGGACCTCATGTCTAAAGCACCAAGAGCAATGGCAACAAAAGCCAAAATTGACAAATGGGATCTAATTAAACTAAAGAGCTTCTGCACAACAAAAGAAAGTACCATCGGAGTGAACAGGCAGCCTACAAAAATGGGAGAAAATTTTTGCAACCTACTCATCTGACAAAGGGCTAATATCCAGAATCTACAATGAACTCAAACAAATTTACAAGAAAAAAACAAACAACCCCATCAAAAAGTGGGCGAAGGACATGAACAGACACTTCTCAAAAGAAGACATTTATGCAGCCAAAAAGCACATGAAAGAGTGCTCACCATCACTGGCCATCAGAGAAATGCAAATCAAAACCACAATGAGACACCATCTCACACCAGTTAGAATGGCAATCATTAAAAAGTGAGGAAACAACAGGTGCTGGAGAGGATGTGGAGAAATAGGAACACTTTTACACTGTTGGTAGGACTGTAAACTAGTTCAACCATTGTGGAAGTCAGTGTGGCGATTCCTCAGGGATCTAGAACTAGAAATACCATTTGACCCAGCCATCCCATTCCTGGGTATATACCCAAAGGGCTATAAATCATGCTGCTATAAAGACACATGCACACATACGTTTATTGCAGCATTATTCACAATAGCAAAGACTTGGAACCAACCCAAATGTCCAACAATGACAGACTGGATTAAGAAACTGTGGCACATATACACCATGGAATACTATGCAGCCATAAAAAATGATGAGTTCATGTCCTCTGTAGGGACATGGAGGAAACTGGAAATCATCACTCTCAGTAAACTATCGCAAGAACAAAAAACCAAACACCACATATTCTCACTCATAGGTGGGAATTGAACGATGAGAACACATGGACACAGGAAGGGGAACATCACACTCTGGGGACTGTTGTGGGGTGGGGGGAGTGAGGAGGGATAGCATTGGGAGATATACCTAATGCTAGATGATGAGTTAGTGGGTGCAACGCACCAGCATGTCACATGTATACATATGTAACTAACCTGCACATTGTGCACATGTACCCTAAAACTTAAAGTATAATAATAATAAATAAATAAATAAATCAATAAAAATAAAATGTGGCCCATATACACCATGGGATACTATGCAGCCACAAAAAAGGATGAGTTCTTGTCCTTTGCAGGGACATGGATGAAGCTGGAAACCATCATTCTGCGCAAACTATCACAAGGACAGAAAACCAAACACTGCATGTTCTTGCTCATAGGTGGGAAATGAACAATGAGAACACTTGGACACAGGGTGGGGAACGTCACACGGGGGCCTGTTATGGGCTCAGGGGGCTGGGGGAGGGATAGCATTAGGAGATATACCTAATGTAAATGATGAGTTAATGGGTGCAGCACACCAACATGGCACATGTATACATATGTAACAACCCTGCACATTGTGCACATGTACCCTAGAACTTAAAGTATAATAGTAATTAAAAAAAGAGAATGGTAAAAAAAAAAATTTCTTATACTTTGATTGTATCTATTGTCATACATATATTGTATTAATTAGATGACTAGTAATAGTTTACATTGCAGCCAAAAACTTAGAGGTGCTACCGTAATCTAATGCAGGAACAGAATTGGAACCCCAGGCATGGAGGGGATCAAGTTTGCTAGGCAAATTATAGTGCTAAGAAAGATAAACATATATGGACACACTTTTTTTTATTTCATTTTTCAGTATCTTCTTTCCATTTCTGTACTTTTGGCTCTTCTAGAATAGCAAAATATTCTATTTTTGTCTTCCTAAAAAAATGTATGATACCATACACAGAATAACTGCTTTTTATTAAGGAGTTGAGCTACATTCATCACTCATTATTTTATGACACTGGGGTCACTCTCTCAGAATTTTGTATAATAAAGATTGCAATAAGGATTAAATGAGATTATGCAAGCAAAAAAGTGCTTCATTTTCTACCTGGCATAGAATGAGGTTCTCAATAATGCTAAGTTACTTTTCTCTCTGCTGTGGCATTCTTGCTCCAGTAGAAGTGCTTACAATAATTCATGGTTTGGTTGGGCATGGTGGCTCACGCCTGTAATCCCAACAATTTTGGAGGCCAAGGTGGGCGGATCACCTGAGGTCGAGAGTTTGAGACCAGCCTGACCAACATAGTGAAACTTCATCTCTACTAAAAATACTAAAAATAGCCAGGTGTGGTGGTGTGTGCCTGTAATTCCAGCTACTCCGGAGGCTGAGGCAGGAGAATCTCTTGAACCTGGGAGGTGGAGGTTGCAGTGAGCCAAGATCTTGCCACTGCACTCCAGCCTGGGTGACAGAGCAAGACTCCATCCACCGCACCACCCCCCAAAAAAAAAAGAAAAAAGAAAAAAATACAGGTGACAGAGGGGTGGGTGGCAAGATGGCTGAATAGGAACAGCTCTGGTCTGCAGCTCCCAGTGAGATCAATGAAGAAGGGGGTGATTTCAGCAATTCCAACTGAGGTATCCAGCTCATCTCATTAGGACTGGTTAGACAGTAGGTGCAGCCCACGGAGGGCAAGACAAAGTTGGTTGGGGCATTGCTTCACCCAGGAAGTGCAAGGGGTGGGGGAACTCCCTCCCCTAGCCAAGGGAAGCCGTGAGGGGCTGTGCTGTGAGAAATGGTGAATGCTAGCCCAGATAGTTTGCTTTTCCCATGGTCTTCACAACCCACACACCAAGAGATTCCCTTGGTTGCCTACACCACCAGGGCCCTGGGTTTCAAGCATAAAACTGGGCAGCTGCTTGGGAAGACACTGAGCTAGCTGCAGGTATTTTTTTTTCATACCCCTGGGGCACCTGGAACTCCAGCTAGACAGAGCTGTTCACTCCCCTAAAAGGGGGGCTGAAGTCAGGGAGCCAAGTAGTCTAGCTCAGCAGATCCCACCCCCATGGAGCTCAGCAAGCTAAGATCCACTGGCTTGAAATTCTTGCTGCCAGCCCAGTAGTCTGAAGTTGGCCTGGGATGCTCAAGCTTGGGGGTGAGAGGGGCATCCGCCATTACTGAGGCTTGAGTAGGCGGTTTTCCCCTCACAGTGTAAACAAAGCTACCAGGAAGTTTGAACTGGGCAAAGCCCACCACAGCTTGGCAAAGTCGCTGTAGCCAGACTGCCTCTCTAGATTTCTCCTCTCTGGGCAGAGCCTTTCTGAAAGAAAGGCAACAGACCCAGTCAGAAACTTATACATCAACCTCTCACCTCCCTGGGACAGAGCAACTGGGAGAAGGAGTGGCTGTGGGCACAGCTTTGGAAGACTTAAATGTTCCTGCCTACCAGCTCTGAAGAGTGCAGTGGATCTCCCAGCACAGTGCTCTAACTCTGCTAAGGGACAGACTGCTTCCTCAAGTGGGTCTCTGACCCTGCATACCTACTGATGGGGAGACACCTCCCAGCAGGGGTTTAAAAGACAAGTCATATAGGAGAGCTCCGGCGGGTATCTGGTGGGTGCCCTTCTGCGATGAAGCTTCCAGAGGAAGGAACAGGCAGTAATCTTTGATGTTCTGCAGACTCTGCTGGTGATACTCAGGCAAACAGGGCCAGCCTGACTGTTAGAAGTAAAACTAACAAAAAGGAATAGCATCAACATCAACAAAAAGGATGTCCACACAAAAACTCCATCCGAAGATCACCAACATCAAAGACCAAAGGTAGATAAATCCATGAAGATGAGGAAAAACTGGTGCAAAAAGGCTGAAAATTCCAAAAACCAGAAGGCCTCTTTTTCCCCAAAGGATCACAACTCCTCACCAGCAAGGGAACAAAACTGGTCGGAAAATGAGTTTGATGAATTGACAGAAGTAGGCTTCAGAAGGTGGATAATAACAAACTCCTCTGAGCTAAAAGAGCATGTTCTAACCAAATTCAAAGAAGCTAAGAATCTTGAAAAAAGGTTCGAAGAATTGCTAACTAGAATAACCAGTTTAGAGAGAACATAAATGACCTTCTTGAGCTGAAAAACACAGCACGAGAATTTTGCGAAGCATACACAGGTATCAATAGCCGAATCGATCAAGCAGAAGAAAGGATATCAGAGATTGAAGATCAACTTAATAAAATAAAGCATGAAGACAAGATTAGAGAAAAAAGAATAAAAAGGAACGAATGAAGCCTCCAAGAAATATGGGACTATGTGAAAGACCAAACCTATGTTTGATTGGTGTACTTGAAGGTGATGGGGAAAATAGAACCAAGTTGGAAAACACTTCAGGATATTATCCAGGAGAACATCCCCAACCTAGAAGACAGGCCAACATTCAAATTCAGGAAATACAGAGAACACCACAAAGATGCTCCTCGATAAAAGCAACCCCAAGACACGTAATTGTCAGATTCACCAAGGATGAAATGAAGGAAACAATGTTAAGGGCAGCCAGAGAGAAAGGTCAGGTAACCCACAAAGGGAAGCCCATCAGACTAACAGCAGATCTCCCTGCAGAAACCCGACAAGACAGAAGAGACTGGGGGCCAATATTCAACATTCTTAAAGAAAAGGATTTTCAACCCAGAATTTCATATCCAGCCAAACTGAGCTTCATAAGCAAAGGAGAAATAAAATCCTTTACGGACAAGCAAATGCTGAGAGATGTTATTACCACCAGTCCTTCCTGAAGAAAGGAAATGTGGAAAGGAAAAACTGGTACCAGCCACTGCAAAAACATACCAAATTGTAAAGACCATCAACACTATGAAGAAACTGCATCAACTAATGGGCAAAGTAACCAGCTAGCATCATAATCACAGGATCAAATTCACATATAACAATATTAAACTTAAGTGTAAATGGGCTAAATGTCCCAATTAAAAAACATAAAGTAGAAAATTGTATAAAGAGTCATGACCCATCAGTGTGCTGTATTCAGGACACCCATCTCACGTGCAAAGACACACATAGGCTCAAAATAAAGAGATGGAGAAATATTTACCAAGCAAATGGAAAGGAAAAAAAAAAGAAGGGGTTGCAGTCCTAGTCTCTGATAAAACACACTTAAACCAACAAGTTCAAAAGAGACAAAGAAGGGCATTACAAAATGGTAAAGAGATCAATGCAACAAGAAGAGCTAACTATCCTAAATATATATGCACCCAATAAGGAACACCCATATTCATAAAGCAAGTTCTTGGAGACCTACACAGAGACTTAGACTCCCACACAATAATAGTGGGAGACTTTAATAGCCTGCTGTCAATATTAGACAGATCAATGAGACAGAAAATTAACAAGCATATTCAGGAGTTGAACTCAGCTCTAGACCAAGCAGACCTAATAGACATCTACAGAACTCTCCACCGAAAATCAACAGAATATACATTCTTCTCAGCACATCACACTTATTCTAACACTAACCACATAATTGGAAGTAAAACACTCCTCAGCAAATGCAAAAGAACAGAAATCAACAAACAGTCTGTCAGAACACAGTGCAATCAAAGTAGAACTCAGGATAAGAAACTCACTCAAAACTGCCCAATTACATGAAAATTGAACAACCTGCTCCTGAATGACTACTGGGAAAATAATGAAATTAAGGCAGAAATAAATAAATTCTTTGAAACCAATGAGAACAAAGACACAACACAGCAGAATCTCTGGAACACAGATAAAGCAGTGTTTAGATGGAAAATTTATAGCACTAAATGCCCACAGGAGAAAGTCAGAAAGACCTAAAATCGACACCCGAACATTACAGTTAAAAGAACTAGAGAAGC
Organism: Homo sapiens; assembly: GCF_000001405.40. Lineage (NCBI taxonomy): Eukaryota > Metazoa > Chordata > Mammalia > Primates > Hominidae > Homo > Homo sapiens. The sequence continues at coordinate 58,319,510 of NC_000006.12, forward strand.
AACAGCAAACAAATTCAAAATCTAGCAGGAGACAAGAAATAACTAAGCTCAGAGCAGAACTCAAGGAGATGGAGACATGAAAAACCCTTCAAAAATCAATAAATCCAGGGGCTGGTTTTTTGAAAAGATTAACAAAATTGATAGACTGCTAGCCAGACTAATAAAGGAGAAAAGAATGAAGAATCAAATAGAAACAATAAAAAATGATAAAGGGGATATCACCACTGATCCCACAGAAATACAAACTACCATGAGAGAATACTATAAACACCTTTGTGCAAATAAACTAGAAAATCTAGAAGAAATGGATAAATTCCTGGACACATACACACTCCAAATACTAAACCTGGAAGAAGTCAAATCCCTGAATGACCAATAACAAGTTCTGAAATTGAGGCAGTAATTAATAGCCTACCAACCAAAAAAAGCCCAGGACCAGATGGATTCACAGCCAAATTCTTCCAGAGGTACAAAGAGGAGCTGGTACCGCTCTTTCTGAAACTATTCCAAACAATAGAAAAAGAGGGAATCCCCCCTAACTCATTTTATGAGGCCAGCATCATCCTGACACCAAAACCTGGCAGAAACACAACAAAAAAAGAAAATTTCAGGCCATTATCCCTGATGAACATTGATGCAAAAATCCTCAATAAAATACTGGCAAACCGAATCCAGTAGCACATCAAAAAGCTTATCCACAATGATCAAGTCGGCTTTATCCCTGGGATGCAAGGCTGGTTCAACCTACACCAATCAATAAACATAATCCACCACAGAAACAGAACCAATGACAAAAAACACATGATTATCTCAATAGACGTAGAAAAGACCTTTGACAAAATTCAACACCCCTTCATGCCAAAAACTCTCAATAAACTAGGTATCAATGGAAAGTACCTCAAAATAATAAGAGCTATTTATGACAAACCCTCAGCCAATATCATATTGAATGGGCAAAAGCTGGAAGCATTTCCTTTGAAAGCCAGCAAAAGACAAGGATGCCCTCTCTCACCACTCCTATTCAACATAGTATTGGAAGTTCTGGCCAGGGCAATCAGGCAAGCAAAAGAAATAAAAGGGATTTAAATAGGAAGAGAAGAGGCCAATTTGTCTCTGTTTTCAGATAACATGACTGTATATTTAGAAAACCCCATCATCTCAGCTCAAAATCTCCTTAAGCTGACAAGCAACTTCAGCAAAGTCTGAGGATACAAAATCAATGTGCAAAAATCACAAGCAGTCGTATACACTAATAATAGATAGCCAAATCCTGAGTGAGCTCCCATTCACAATTACTGCAAAGAGAATAAAATACCTAGGAATACAATTTACAAGGGATGTGAAGGACCTCTTCAAGGAGAACTAAAAACCACTGCTCAAGTAAATAAGAGAGGACACAAACAAATGGAAAAATATTCCATGCTCACGGATAGGAAGAATCAATATTGTGAAAATGTCCATACTTCCCAAAGTAATTTATAGATTCAATGCTATCCCCATCAATCTACCACTGACTTTCTTCACAGAATTAGAAAAAACTATTTTAAATTTCATTTGGCACCAAAAAAGAGCCTGCATGGCCAAGAAAATTCTAAGCAAAAGGAACAAAGCTAGAAGCATCATGCTACCTGACTTCAAACTATACTACAAGCCTACAGTAACCAAAACAACATGGTACTGGTATCAAAACAGATATATAGACCAATGGAAAAGAACAGAGGCCTCAGAAATAACACTACACATCTACAACCATCTGATCTTTGACGAACCTGACACAAACAAGCAACAGGGAAAGGATTCCCTGTTTAATAAATAATAGGAAAACTGGCTAGCAATATGCAGAAAACTGAAACTGGACCCCTTCGTTACACCTTATACAAAAATTATCTCAGGATGGATTAAAGACTTAAACGTAAGACCTAAAACCATAAAAACCCTGGAAGAAAACCTAGGCAATACCATTCAGGACATAGGCATGGGCAAAGACTTCATATCTAAAACACCAAAAGCCATGGCAACACAACCTAAAATTAACAAATAGGATCTGGTTAAACTAAAGAGCTTCTGCACAGCAAAAGAAACTATCATCAGAGTGAACAGGCAAAATACAGAATGGGAGAACAATTTTGCAATCTATCCGTCGGACAAAGGGCTAATATCCAGAATCTACAAGGAACTTAAACAAATTTACAATAAAAACAAACAACCCCATCAAAAAGTGGGCAAAGGATATGAACAGACACTTCTCAAAAGAAGATATTTATGTAGCCAATAAACATATGAAAGAAAGCTCATCATCACTGGTCATTAGAGAAATGCACATCAAAACCACAATGAGATACCATCTCATGCCACTTAGAATGGCAATTATTAAAAAGTCAGGAAACAACAGCAGATGCTGGAGAATGTGGAGAAATAGAAACATTTTTACACTGTTGGTGGGAATGTAAATTAGTTCAACTATTGTGGAAGACAATGTGGCGATTCCTCAAGGATCTAGAACCAGAAATACCATTTGACCCAGCAATCCCATTACTGGATATGTGCCCAAAGGATTATAAATCATTCTACTATAAAGACACATGAACACACATATTTATTGCAGCACTAATCGCAATAGCAAAGGCTTGGAACCAACCCAAATGCCAATCAATAATAGACTGGATAAAGAAAGTGTGGCACATAAATACCATGGAAGACGGTGCAGCCATAAAAAAGGGTGAGTTCATGTCCTTTGCCGGGATATGGATGAAGCTGGAAACCATCATTTTTCAGCAAACTAAGACAGGAATAGAAAACAAAACACCACATGTTCTCACTCATAAGTGGAAGCTGAACAACGATAACACATGGACAGAGCAAGGGGAACATCACACACGGGGACTTCTTTTGGGGGGTTGGTGGCTAGGGGAGGGATAGCATTAGGGGAAATACCTAATGTAGATGACGGTTTGATGGGTGCAGCAAACCATCATGGCACATGTATACCTATGTAACAAACCTGCACATTCTGTACATGTATCCCAGAACCTGATGTGTAATTTTAAAAAAAGACGACTTCCTGCAAAAAAAAAAAAGAGAGAGAAAGGATATGTAAAATGTTTTAAAAGGAAAGCCAGTGTTTCTAAAAAAAATCAAATACTTGAAAGCCTCATCTATGCCCATAAAGTATCTCTTCTCTGCACTGTCCCCTCATAATTTACTCACTTGTGCAAGTTAAAGAATGGAAAGTAGTAGAATGAGTAGCTCAGAGAGGAGGAGCTGCATGAGAAGATGAACCAGGGAAATCGTGGAATGGGCCTGCCCTCTCTGAGGCTTTTCCCTTGCTGTTTATAATGATAGCGGGCATTGCGACTTCTCAAACACTATCTCTGGTGGTAGTACCATAAAAACTTTTTATCAACAGTAAACGTCTGTGGACTCTTGAGTATAGCTGGCCTTGATAGCTAAACACTGTTTACTTATCATCTTTGCTTGGCCATGGTCATCTCTTTACACTCCAGTTGTCTCTACAAACATATGTTTGATCCTTGTGAAATTCATAATGAAAAGTTTGCTTGATCATTAAAAAAATTTTCACAAGTAGTGATTTACCTCTGTTTGGGAAGGCAGTTGTGGCTCAATGTGCTGATATTATGCAATCTCCATAATATATTATTAAATGAAAAAAGCAATAGACATAGGAACCTATTGTGTATGCTCTCATATGCATACAATGGGGTATATGTGTATGTATGTATATATATTTGGATATCTATCTACCTATCTTCTTGGCCACACATAGATTATCTTTTTGAAGGATTCAGGAGAAACTCTTGTTGATCACCTTTGAGTAGGGCTTAAAGTTCTGGGAATGAGGTTCTTTTTTCCAGCATGCCATTTATTCTAGTTGAGTTTTTGACAGCGTAAGTGAATTATTTTCCCATTAATAAAAAGTTGGTTAATAATAAAACATGTATTTCATCACTTTAGTTGAGATATTGAATATTTTCTACTTCATCAGAAATTTACATTAGTCTAATTATTTTTAATTATTTTTAGGTAGCACCACTAATACAATGGGATTTCATAACAAATATTACCCTTTGTTTTGTCACTTTGTAAACCTATAGATATTTTACTTAAAAATATTTACAGTTATATAATAGAATACTATAGACTATATTTTTTAACATTTATTATGCCTTGCTGTATTTTTACCTCTTCTATTCCCCTTTATTTCCCACATCAGCCCCTTCCAACCTTTCAAAATATCCTCCATGCTCAAAGATTCATGTAAAACACCCATACACATAAAGGTGAAATATTTGGAGTCATTTTAAAAGAGAAGGAACCATGCCATGGGCTTTTCTCTGCAACTTGCTTTTCTTGTAGTGTATTATGAAAACCCCTTCAAGTCAATTAATGTATTGTTGACTCTTTTTTTTATAATCTGTGATAATATTCCATAGCATGAATATAACACAACTTTATCAACCATTCTTTAGTGGCCATTAAAATCATTATTATATTTAGCCACCACAAACCATGTTGTAATAAATATTCTCATCCTAATCTGATAAACTGGTGCTGATATTCCTTAGAATAGGTGTGAAATTGCTGGGCCAAAGGGTAGGCATGCTTTGAATTTAACAGATACCATCAAAGTATATTCTAAAATATGAATAGTAATGCATATTCATACATAGCAGTGACTTTTTCTTGACACATTTACCAGGTATAGCTGTTTTCATTACTTTAATTTTTTAATTAACACAATATTTAAAAAGTAGGATATTATTATTTTAATTCTTAGTTCCTTGTACTATCGATGAATGAATGTTGATTCATCATTCTATTTGCCACATAACTTTTCTCTTCTGTGACTTGTCCATTCATTTCCTTCATCCATTTTCCAATTTGGTTGTTTTACTTTTGTTATTATTTATAGGAGGATGATTTTGCCCAATTTTATTGCAAATCACAACACAAAGTAATGAAGTTGAAAATTTGTCAAATAAAGATGAACTCTCAAAAATATCTCAGCAAGTCTATAGAGTCTATGACTCCAATATTTTCTTTGTTAAAACAGCAGGAATGAAAATGTTAGTGAATTATTATTCTCAAACAGAGGTTAGCTTATTGACATAAAATTTCTAGATATCTGTAAAATTATTCTAAATTTCTCTTAAACTCCTTATATTTTGTTTAATGCAGTAGTGTCCTACTCCATGACACACTTAATTACAAACTTTACCCCTATAGAGGCTATTTATTGGGTACAGTGAGCCTATAAGACCAATGTTGCAAAATGGCTCCTCCATAGGCCAAGCCACTCCTCTCCTTTAATGACCTATGAATCATCAGTTTTTCTAGTGATTTGGAGGATGATACTGGCTTCATGCTTCTTTTGCTTATGAGAGAATATGCTTCTGCCTCTGATCTGTTTATTTTCTTCTTTAGCACACTTCCAGTTCTGTAGTGAACATATGTAGGCAGATCTAAAGCCAATGGATACCAGAAATGGGCATGAGGAGGCTGTGCATGAATTTTCATGAGGAACATTGAGAGACTCCTCAGCTATAGACCAGTCTCCAGAGTCTAATTTCAATCACCCTTCAGAGTCTGGGCTCCAAAAATATTCAGCAATTTTTTTTTCGTATACTTTCCTCCTTCCAACCTTTGCTTAGTTAATTTCTTCCACCTAGAATATTCTTTCTTCACATTTCCATGTGCCTCAATTTTACAAATTTTATAAGGCCAATGTGGTAGATTATTTCCAAAGATAGCCACCAATAATTCTTCCCACAACCGTATACACATGCTATTTTCCCTCCTTTTGAATATAAACCACTCTTGTGATTTGCTTTAGCCAATAGAATGTGGCAGGCGTGACACTTTGCCAGGTATAGGTCTAGATTTTACTGAGCCCGCTGCTTCTACTTTCACCTTCTTTGAAACCAGCAACCATGTAAAGAAGTCTGATCTTCCTCCTAGAGAGAGAGACTCTGGAGGATGAGAGACCATGAAGGGCAACAGAGAAAGACCCAGCCAACCCAGGTAAGATGCCAGACATGTGAGTAAAGAAATCTTGGATCCTCCAGTTTTAGTCAAACAATCCTAGTAAGCACGACTTGAAGCAGAGACAAGCTACCCCTATTTAGCCTTACTGAAATTGCAGAATTTTGAGCAAATTAATGGTGATTGTTGTTAGGCTCTTAAGTTTTAGGCATGATATTCTCATATGGACGTGATCTGAACTCTACCCCTCTGTGAAATCCTATGGCATTTTATTTCTCACTTTTTTGTGGTATATCACTTCCTACACTGTGTAGAATAAAATATCTCTCAGACTAAATTATGTGTAAAATTCTTGAGAGAAATGTATTATGTCATATTTATCTTGTATTTCCAAGCTAGGGCAATATTTTCTTGTATGGGACTCAACATTTATACATGAGTGATTGTGTGTGTGTGTTCATATATGCTATTCACACATACGAACTCTACACAATAAAATTAAGTAGGGATGATTTCCTCCTCACCCAAAGCAATCAATGTTTTCTTTAGAAACTAAGGATAATACTGTATCAGCTAGATCAGCCCAAGGTTGATACTGAGGTATTCTTAACAGTATTGGTGTTTTCTTCAAAACAGCTTGAAATATTGAGATAAAGTTAACCATTAGAATGCATTTGTTTTGGGTTTACCTTCTTGCAGATATATTTTAAAGTCGAGTCACCATCCTAAGTTCCATTTTCCAGTTTTTTGCATATGCCTTATCATTTTTCTGTGGATTTTTGAAGTGTTTTACGGTGACATAGATACTTTCCACCCCAAAATATGCATTGACAACACTGATTACATTGGCTCATATTGGCTCTCAGGAAAGGTTTAGTATACCCAACAGCATGTCATTGGCCTTATGACATAGATAGAGACTTTACGGTAGTGAGGAAACAAGCAAAATATGGAGCGAACATCAGCAACACGGACACATCCAGCACAAAGTCCCAACTGTAGTGTCTGGGCACCTGCCAGTAATAATGAGTCAAAGAAAAAAGAGCAGGGGCATAACTTGTGCAATGTGATCAGAGGAGAAATACCCAGAGCCACATAGAATATGGCATTAATTGGGTATGTCAGGTACAAGTGAGGGGAGAGAAGTGGAAAGCAGATGCAAAGAGTTCACAGGATCCTTTAAGTGAGGGCAGGTCAACTCTGCCTACGTGGGTCCCAGACCCGTATTTTTCATAAATGCCAAGGTTTCTAGGTGATGGGATAATTGACAGGCTGCTGTCCTCTTTGGAAAAGGAGTAGGAAGTCAAAAATTCAGCAAGCTAGATTTTTAGAAGTACCTCCAAAATAGCAAGTTTTGGCTTCAAACTCCAGGATCCCTCAGCCTTTCTGGCATAGAAGAGGGGAGCAATATTCTTGAGTATCACATATGTAATGATAGCTACCACTTATTGCTGGCTACTATATCAATCCAATAAGCTAGATCACATATGTGACGTTAATAGACAGTCACCGCTTATTGCTGACTACTATGTCAACCCAATAAGGTAGATAATATTTTCTAGATAAGGAAACTGAGTTTATGAAAGGGGGAGTCACTAGCCTAGGATTTGAACATAAGTCTACTGGCACAAAGCCCAGGCTCACCCACAAAAACTCTATCCCTGCCTACCCCACTTTGGAGAGCTACAGTTGCTCCCCAAGATCAGGTTCCAAGGTGTTGAAACAGGAAAGCCTACAGATAGAGGGGCCTGTCACTAACAGAGTTTTGTTAAGCCTAGGGTAGGAATTGACACCTTCATCAATATGGCACATTTATTCCAGAACAGCTTGAGAGGTATCATGCCCAAAACAATGAACTCTGGATTTAAGGGAGGAGGGGCAAAACTGTAACACTGTGGATTCTGAAAACACCTTCCAAAGAAATAGAGTTATTGAAAAACACACACATGCATACATACATACAAACAAACTGCTTTTTACTTTTGATTAAGATGAGTTCTGCGTAGATAACTAGAAATTATTCTTCATGTTCCAGAGCAGGAAGAAATTGAAAGAACTTATTCAATTAACACAAAGTTTCCTTGTGTTCATCACACTGTTGATTTTCAAATTCCTTTTTTGGATTTGATTTGAAATCATCTGGATGAATGTCTTTAAAATATATATGTTCTTTCTCCAATTGGCATGACATGGCACCCTGAGCCTTCAAAAAGTACTTCAAAAATGAAGTACTCATCTTGATTTCTTTAGACATATTCCTGCTGCTTTAGGAACCATCTTTATAGTAACTTCTTTTAGTATTTAAAAGCTTGAGCTTTGAAATGAGATAACCCTGAGTTCTAATCATGACTCTGTCACCCACTAGCATTGAGGAAACTCCTTAACTGAGGAGTTTCCAAACCATATCAGTATTATTGGCCCTTTTTAAAATATAGGGACATCTGAGAGTTGACGTCCCTATAATTTAAAAGGGGCCAATAATACTGATATGGTTTGAATCTGTGTCCTCACCCAAATCTCACGTAGAAATGTAATCCCCAATGCTGGAGGTGGGGCCTGGTGGGAGGTGATTGGATCATGGGAGCGGATTTCCCCATTGGTGCTGCTTTCATGATAGTGAGTGAGTTCTCCCGAGATCCAGTGGTTTAAAAGTATGTAGCACCTCCCCTCTCTCTATCCTTCTCCTGCTTTGGCTATGTGAAGTACTGGCTCCCCCTTTACCTTCCACCATGATTTTTTTTTTTTTTTGAGATGGAGCACCATGATTATAAGTTTCCTGAGGCCTCCCCAGAAGCCAAGCAGATGGCCAGCATCATGCTTCCTGTACAGTCTGTGGAACCATGAGCCAATTAAACCACTTTTCTTTATAAATTACCCAGTCTCTGGTATTTCTTTATAGCAGTACAAGAATGGACTAATGCAGACACCGATCTCATATACTTGTACTCCCGCCACTCCTACTGCAGTTACCCCTATTACTGCTGCTATTGCTCCAACAAGAACAACCATAGAATGCACTATATAGTCAGTGTTTAGTATGTTCTAGGCACTAGATTAATTACTTTATATATACTCTGACTAATGCCCATGCCAACTTTTCAGAGAAGCAGGATATTTATCCCTTCTTTGTGGCTGAAAAGACTTAAAGACTAAGTATCTTAAGTAATACAATTAGTTACTTCTGAGAAACTGGGAGGAAAATCCAGGTTTATAGGGTTTCAGAATGGGTACAGTTAACTAGCAGGCCATTCTCCCTGTGATAATGAAGTGAGCTAGTATAAGTGAAGTGTTTGGCACTACCCTAGGAGTGAGTGGGTCCTCCATAGAGGGTTGTTGAAATTATCTTTCCTCCCAAGGTGAAGCCGTTTTCACCTTCTGGAGACAATCATTCATTCTTCTGTGCTCTCGAAGTACATATTTGTACATATGTACATATCTTTGTCTTTCTGTACATATCTTTACCGAAGCATCTTTCTTGTTAAAATTAAGTATATATCTGCATCCCCACAAGCCCATGGGCTACTACAGAAGAAGAACCCTTACACAACCCTATTTTGCACTACCCCCATCCTCACTGCCTCCCTTCCATGCCCAGGCAGCATTCTAATCTTTTCCTTTTAAGACCCTACACTGCTATAAACTATGTTATAACACCAATCATATCACAATTACTTACTTTTATGCCAGTCCTTGCATAAAGGCAATAATTTAAATTCCCCTATACTTTAAGTAGCATGCACATTGCAGAAACATAATAAATGTTCAATGAGTGAATGAGGTGATAAATGAATATATTTAGATTTCCTTACAGTTTCCCTTTCTCTTACATTTATTTAATAGCAATGAGTTATAAAAGCCTTAATCTGAAATTCATACCCCATGGATTAAATCCTAAGCTGGAATGAGATCAATCAGTATGAAACATTATTTATATGGTTGTAGCAAATTTTATTTTAAATAATCTATGTGAGCTAGCAAACCCCAAAGGATACAACAAAAATGATTTTTATTTGTATTGTGCTTTTAACTTTTACAATGATGTGGTGGAAAACAATCTCTCGTTTTCCCTTGGTCCATAAGTAAACTAAGGCTTAGAGACAGATGAAGTGATTTGCCATACGTTCCAGGGCTGATAATTGACATAGTTTGTCCTCAAGTCCAGTCCTCTGATATGAAGTCTGGCCTTCTATGTGAACTAGAACTACCTCTCTTGATATATCTAAGAGAAGTTCTGAACATGGCCACCAAAATAAACCTGAATTAAGCTGAAAAGCTACATAACTGAAGGGAAAAAAGGAAAAAGGGAATTTTTTTCAATTAAGTTATCCAGGCAAAATTTTCAAATTTATAATTGTGTGAATAGCAGTTTTGCAAATAAAGCAGCCTTTTTCCCTTCCATCTATAAGTTTGAGAGATGTACGCCTCATCCCTTTATTGGCTAACTCTGGAAAAGACAGACACTTCCTCAGGTACACAGGCATAACTGGGCATAACTTATTGTGTCCAGGGCTAAGTCAATAGCCACACACAGCTAGTTATTCTTAAACCTGCAAGGTGGTTACTTAACAGTCAAAAAAATTACTGAAAACTAGCCTCCAGTTGAAAAAAAACAAACAAAAAGAAAACCTTTGGATCTACCCAAAACACTGACCTAATTTTGCATTCATATTACTTCTACTACAGCAATATAGTTAAACTTATATATTTTGGGAAGAATTGGCATATTGGGGAATAACAGGCAATTCCCCAAAGGCATTAATTTTTTATTGAGTGGTAAACCTCATCACCTAAACCATTATAGAGAGAAACCATTCTGGAATAAGGTACCTGAAAATAAATTATTTCATAATTCCTAAAGACTAGCTAATGCAGCTGTTCTGACAATGTCATTTGAATATTTGAAAATTCATTATGGAGAACAATAACTCATCTCCCCATAAATTGTTTCCAAACAAATTAACCCAAAAGCTATTAATGCAACAGCTGCTGCAATTAACCAATTCTTCCAACTTGCTGAGTTGTCCCATTTGGAATAGAGAAGGGATATAGGGAAGCTGAGAATACGTACTATTTTCATGTAAAGACAAATCTCAATTTCAAAATCACTAATTGTATAAAGAAGAAACACTTACACCATTATGTAAACAGACACAGAGCACATATACTTCCAGAATGCCTGGCCATGTTTACATTTAGAATTCAGAATTACTGAAACCTGAAGACATGCATGGAGTCAGTGCTCATCACATCACATCCACATCAGGTTTACCATGTTAATTCCTGAAGGTGACTGCAATGTTCTATAATGTTTTATTCCATAATATTTCAGACCACAAATTTGCTGCACAGAAACATGTTTCCACCTCTGCTACAGTTTTTATATTGGATCTCTAACAGGCTGCTCCCAGCCTGTATCTCTTATGTAAAACAATCTGTTTAGCACTTTGGGGCTTCTAAGCCCCGCTAAGCATGTTTTCGGTTTGTTGTTGGTGGTGGTGGTGATTGCATTTCTCCCCTTTGAACTAATGCTCTGCTAAGAATTGCAGCTAAACCTACACATGTAAAGATTAAAGGCAGGTCTAGTGTGGCTCTTGAACATCAAACAGCCAGAGTTGTACATGACTCAAGTAAATTGCAGGGAGCTGGCTCTATTATTTTCCTTCATGCTAGAAAACTCTTCATTATCATTTTTGTTGTAACTGCTCTTATCCACTCGCCTGGTGATGTTAGATACCCATAAGAAGCGATAAACGCCTTCTACCAAGAGAAAATATGTTCTAATGCACAGCACAGGAGTAAGCAGGAAGCAAAGAGGGGAGGGGAAAGATAAGAGGGAGGACTGGCAGGAGAGGGAGAGAGGGGAAATTTGAACTGACCAACTAAAGTTTTTAGAAAAAGTCACATGTATTCCTGAGAGAAAAGATATTGTTTGCGGAACAAGTGCTGCTCTGAATCCCAATATCTGATTATAAGCATGATCTGAATTTGATATAATTTATTCATATTAAAGAAAACCTCCTGTGGAGAATAAGCCTTTGTTGGAGAGAAGAAACCAATGCTAAGATGCGCCTGCTTCAGTCGGATATAATTTATCGCTTATCTTCAAGAAAAAGAAACTCAAGTAACAAAAAAGGTAAAGAAGTCTCATTCTCGCACAATCTTTAGAACCTTGAAGCTGAACCACAGGATCAGTGAGGTTGCTTCTTAATGCAGGCCCTGATGTTACTAAACTTGAACCTACGTCTCTTCTCAGAATCTTTCATATTCAGTTTTTCAGACAAAATGTAGTGAAGGATATGATGTTTCCTGTATAATTAATGCTCAGTAAATGCTGTTGACTATGTAAAACAACCTGTTTAGCACTTCTGGGCTGCTAAGCCCCTCTAACCTCCGTACAACAAAAACTTGTTTCCTGTGAGTCCTACAGGGAGTCGAGAAATGTGAAGGAAAAACATATTTTCCTTTTGTAGAAATTCCCACAATTTAAACTCTTCCAATTAGCACCTAATTGGCAGGATGCAATTTGAAATCATTGAATTAAACTGCTTTAAAAAAATCCATTGTTTTGTTAATATTTCAGAGGCCTGATTTCCTTTATGTGTTCTGGATTTTCCCTAATCCTGATTTAGTCTTTCTTGTTCATATCATTCAGGGAGCTCAGAGAATCCTAACTTTATGTGCTTATCCACCCACTCCTCTTAGTCACTTACTTTGTGTCCATTTCTACCCCAGAAGGTGAGAGAGTAGGTGCTGTTCATCTGGTCTAGCCTCCTCCTGTGCACCCACACTCTGTCTCCTCTTTTACTGCTTCTGCATTTGCTGTACACATGTCATAAATGCACAGGAGCCTCAGGACTGGTTTGCTCCTTTATGCAAACACATAGTTCTGATATGCTCAGAACAAAATTCCATAGGCCTTCTTGGAATCTTGAGGCTGCAAGTGTACACTAACATGATTTCAAAATACAGCTGTTGCCTCACTTTCCCTTAGAAGATTAGTTTCTTAGAGACAAAAAAATACTTGAAGAGATAGATGAAGTTTAAGGCAAACAAAAGTATATAGTCTTTTATTAGCTTCTCCTACGCATATTCACCTAACTAAAACTGATTCCAACCCCCACGTCAATCAAAGAACAATGACCTACATGAACAGGTCTTCCAGTGTGTCCTTGAGAAGTCTGAGAAATGGTCCTGCCTTATTCTCAGAGGTTCATATTTACATATTCTTTATGGTCTCATCTCAGGTCTCCCCAAAGCAATTAAGATTATAGCAATAGACAAGAACCATGGTACTCTGTCAAATGGTGGTTTCCTAGCTTGACTAAAGAAAGCCAGTCATCCATCCTAGGACCCTTGCCCTCCTCAGCCAATCATAACAAGCATTTGTCCCAGGCCCTGTCTTTGCAGCAGTCAGTACCTACAGCTGTACTCAATGTACTGAAAAAAATTACAAGAGCAGTAATGCCCAGAAACACACCAGTGTAAGAAATGCTAACAAAATGATTTTCTTACTGAAATCCTATTTTTTATAATAATTAAACAAAAATTCTAGTTAATTATGGCTTAGAATCAAGAAGTTTCCTTAAACTGTAGTACCACTACTGCACAAACTATTATGTGGGCCTGCTGGTGAATCACAAATTTCAGCTATTATGGGAGGAGCACTCTTAAAGTCAGGGTATTTTCTCCATTCATCTTTTTAAAAAATTGTACAATATATTAGTCTGTACAAGAATTCACTTTTAAGCCTAAGAGAAGCTGTTAAGATATCACTTACAGTACCATTTAAGTGCTCACTGCTGAATCTGTAGCCTTTGAACATATACTGAATTATGGCTCTGTCAAACTGCACACATCCCAGCCAAAGGGTAGTCAGGGGAGGGAGCCAGGGGAAAAGCAGTGAAGTACCCCCATCTATATTCATTTGTCTCTGCTTAAGTTGATTTTAATGTCAGAGTTTGCTTACACTTTTTAAACTGTGTAACATATTTCAAAGAGACAAGTTCAATTTTCAAGTCAAACAGCAGATAATGGCATCAGGGATGCCTGCAACCACAAAGGAAATATACATAAAGAGGGCAAAATGCAAGTTAAATGTTTGCATAAGCAGCCAGATGGAAATGAGATTTCAAATGGTCCCCTCACTACCTGGAGCTCTCTCGGTACTGTATGTTTTTAGGACGCTTTCTAGTCACTAAAATCATACTGCATTACTATTATCTCTATTATACATGCGCATCAGTTAATAAGAAACCAAAATATTAAGTAATTTTTCAGTGGCTATACTTAGCAAGAAAGTGACAAAGATATGAATGGCCCTATTCAGATGAGAACTAAAATATTTTGCTCACTTTAGGGACACAGAATTCATTAAATACCCAAGATTTAAAGATTTATGTTCAGAAAGCCTAAAGGAAGTTTGGCTTTGAATTAAACCTGTATGAGACAAAAGTATAGTCTGCCTTATTTACTGTTATGTCATTAGCACATAGTCCAATGTCAGGCCATCGAATGAAAAAACAAACAAACAAACAAACAAATGAATGAATTAAACATCAATTGCAAATTAAGCTTTCTGACCTACAGGAACTGGATGAGCATACCCAGTTATTGTCTCAAGTAAGAATTTAAGAAACCAGAAGAGCATGTCCTCTAATTTGGATTTTCCCTACCCAGTACATTTTTGCTTTTGTATCTGCCTTGAAAGAGGAGCAGAGGGGGAATGTTCCTGAAAGAACAGCATATGTGGGAGAAATTACACATTCCTATAGATAGAAAGTCATGAGACTGTAACCAGGTTTTGCTATGTAATCTCTGACAAGGGGTGACATTTCTGAGTTTCAGGCTCTGGAAGACAGGGCAACCATAATATACTAAGGTGACTCAAAAGAGTGAACAGCAATTGGGGGAAGGTGAACTTGAAACCACCAAACTCCTTCAGACCACTCTGTGGTTGAAGTTTGGACCCTTTTGTAAGCCAAAAGAATGGTGAGTTCATTTCAAAGATGACCAAATTGGCTTTACTATCAGCTCTTATGGCTGTGGGCAAAGGAGAGAATGGTAGAGAACCTGGTCCTACATGGTGATAGGCTAGGGGTAAAAAAGGGGAAGAAGTGAAGATGAAAATAGATGAGTTCAAGGAGACAACTGTGGCATTGAGAAGGAAGGAGAGAAGAATTATCTAAAGATATATAGATTGGATTTTTAATATTTGTGGGTCACAATACTCTTTGAGAACTTTTAAAACAATAAGTATTCAATTCAGAAAAATATACCTACAAAACACATTATTTCTGGAGTTTCAAGCACCTTTTTAAAATACATGCTTGCAGGGAATCAGGACTACATGCCAGATGTCTACAAAGACACCTATATATCTGATAACAATGATCTGATAAAATATATTTTTTGGCTGAGGCAGGAGAATCACTTCAACCCGGGAGGTGGAAGTTGCAGTGAGCCGAGACTGCGCCACGGCACTCCAGCCTGGGTGACAGAGAGAGACTCAGTCTCCAAAAAAATCATCTATAGATATATAGATATAGATATAGATATAGATATAGATACAGATATTTTAACCTGATGACATTCCCGAGATGTATTGAAGTACTGCATATCACAAAGTTTTATTCCTCTTAAAATGACAGCCCAAAATTATTTTTCTATGTTAAATTTGCTTACTAAAGCAAAGTTTGAGGTTTCCCAAATATACTTTAAGTTATAAGGGACCAAATATGTCAAAATTCCTAAATTATCATAAAATTGTGATTGAGAGTGAAGAAACTATTATCACACTGCATGAGTTTGAATCCCAGTAGACCCGTTTTGTGACCGCAGATAACTTACTACTTTGTGCCTCATTCTCCTTACCCATAAAGTAGAAATAATAACAGAACCTACTTCAAAGACTAAATGAGTTTGGATTGCTAAATGTGTTTATACATGGAAAACATTAAGAATAATGTCTAATATATCTTGAATTCTCAGTACATGTCAGACTGGGCACCATCACCATTATTCTCTTGGGAACTCACCGTATTTGGAATTGCCTTAGCCCCATCTTCAGAGGAAGATGCTGTTTTAGGAGTAATGGTTCACCTCTCAGACAACATCTTCTGACGATTAAACATGTTGGTACCCACAAAGCTACTTCAAAGTTCTCTAGCCAGATTGAATTCTGGCCATAAATTCCTGAAATCTCTGTCTAAAATTGGGGTCTGACTACCACACCCACTGCCCCCAGTCTTTATGGTATTATAAAGCCTGACTTGGAATAAGCCGTGATTGCAATAATTGTGTCCTTGTCTATGCCATCCTGTGGCATCACCCATGAGTCTAATTAGTGTCAGTATAGCCAACCTATGTATCACTTTAAAAACACAGGGTAAATGGGCTTGGTACATTTTTAAGTGTGTGTAGTAATTACTGCTCTGGTACCTACTTCTTTACATTAGAGCAGTTTTAGTTACTTACTGGGATTTGAGGACAGCCCAGAATTCATTTCACAGTTGGAAGGATAACATAATGTCAAACACTCAGAAGGTGTAAGACACTGAATATTGTCTTCACTCTTTTTTTTTAAATTTTATTATTATTATACTTTAAGTTTTAGGGTACACGCGCACAAAGTGCAGGTTCGTTACATATGAACTGAAGCACATGACCAAAGCATTAAGTCATTTTCTGAAATCCTGCTGCTACTAGCTGACTCCACAAGCATGCACTTAGCCATATTCTCCTTGGGCTTGCCACTCTGTAGTAGTAAATAGACACCAATTGAAGCTACATTAACTCTTTCAACTGCACTTCCACTCCTGCCACTGAACAGAAGGTATAAAAGCAGTAATTTATCATATGATTTTGAATTATTCTCAACACAATTCTTGGAAAATGATGGTAAGTCTTAAGGTATTTCAAAGGTTTTAAAATCAAAGAGAAGTATTAAGAAAAAAATTATAACACTTAGAATTTCTCTTAGCTGTAAGAACAGATACTAATTCTATGCAAACTGTGTAGCAAAACATGCATGTTTTCTACTATAAAAATAACTCCCTAAAAAAGTTCATGGTGGAAGTGTAAAACAGCTCTATTTGGATCACTAATTTGCTCAATGACATTGTTCTCAAAACCAAAATTGTCATGTCCTTTTTGTCACTTTTAAATATAAGGAATTAACCATGACAGTAGATTCCGAATGACATAGATGGCTCATTGACAATTGTGAAAATTATCAGAATATAGCCAAACACTCAATAAGCATGTATAAGCTACATAGTGAATTAGGAAGGCAAGATCAGACAAATATTCTTATGGGAATCAAAAATTGTCCTCACGACTGTCATTACCTCTTCCTGAATGTTACCACTTGAATCCTTAGAAATAATTACATCCCAGTAATGGGATGGCGCATATTCTCACTCATAGGTGGGAATTGAACAATGAGAACACGTGGACACAGGAAGGGGAACATCACACTTTGGGGAATGTTGTGGGGTTTGCGGGCGGGGGAGGGATAGCATTGGGAGATATACCTAATGCTAGATGACCAGTTAGTGGGTGCAGCGCAACAGCATGGCACATGTATACAAATGTAACTAACCTGCACATTGTGCACATGTACCCTAAAACTTAAAGTATAATAATAAATAAAAATAAAAAAAAGAAATAATTACATCCCAGGTTCCTAATTCCCAGCTACATAATTTGACCAATGTTGTGGTGTTTGAAAAACCTTCATTTAGCATCTTTGAAATTTCATTTGAATGCTTTTTACAATCTCTCCCAGATTATTGATTAAGGCATTCTAAGAGGCCAGTCATCTGGTCTCACAATCACCACTTCCTTCAGACTCAGTAGAGGGTTATTTATCAGCAATCTTGGCGATCATTCAACCCTTTTTCGAGAAGTTTTTAATCCCTAGCAACTTCTAAACACAATGAAACCTTTAAAAACTTCAAATAGAGAAGCATTTTATCTCCCTTCAAAGCAGACTGTTTTAAATTGCCAAATTTTGTGGTTTAATTGATCTTTTTCATCTTTCCTCAAGATATCTCTATAAAACAAGAATGAGTATTCTGTTACTATCACACTATGCATCTAATGACAACAGAAGAGAATTTTAGGCTATAGCCCTTTAGACTGAACAGGTTTAAAATTTAACTGGTATCCCAAGGTCAAGTTATTCAAATTGCTCACAAATAGTTTTTCTTTTCAGACTTTATTTATCCTAAGATAGTATCATATTTTAATGATCTCTATGGTAAGCATATGTTTTTAAGATGACATAATACATGAGTTAAAAATAATATTACTTGCAGGAAAAGAAATTGTTAAAATACTTCCCTTTCTCAGTGCTTGACAAATAGTAGTTACTCAATGAGGTTTCTTAAACAAAGTGGATCTTTTTCATGTGGTTGTATCTAGGTATACATGAAGCACACCTTTTACTTACATATTGCATTAGTTAACATAAGGACTTTATTCTGAGTTGGAGAAACTATGCAGGTTTGAAGACACAGTCTCCAGAAGCCCACTCTCACTTCAGACACCAGCCACAAGCTTGAGGGCTCCCAGGCCACCCTCACTTCAGACAAGCTGGCTATAAGTTTCAGAGTTTCCATGACCACTGTCAGGTTGGATAATTTACTAGAAAATCTCAAAGAACTCACGAAAGCACTCTACTCATGATTAAAGTTTTATTATAGTGAAAAGATACAAATTAGAATCAGCCAAATTGGAAGAGATGCCTGGATGCCAGAATCTCAGAGAGGGCCAAATGTGGAGTTTCAGGTCATCTTCTGTGGCATCTTGAATGATGGATATAGTGTGTGACAAGAGTGATCATTGCCAACCAAGGAAGTGCACCCTTGAAGCCTAGAGTTTTTATTGAGGATTGATCACACACTGCCCAAGTGGCTGACCTTTAGTCACCAGCCTCTCCTAACAGTTCAATTTAATACCTTTAGTCACCAGTTTTTCAGGAGGTGGGAACTCATCGCATATTACAGCAACCCCATTACAAATCCCATTGTTACACTTTCCAATGGCAAAAGTCCCTAGAGAAAAAAAAGAAAAAGAAAAAGAAAAAGCCTTCTGTCAAGGAATACATTCCAGGGAGATAGAGGTCACCTCCCAGTAGCCAAGAGTGGAAGCCAGATCTCTATTTGGTTAAAGTTAATTGTTTACTATATAAACATCATCATTTCTTAATGGAATATTGGATATTAGATAGGAAAAGGACACTAGACTTACAAACAAATCTTCCCCAATATTCAGGAAGAATTATATGCATAAGTATATCATATCCAACTTTAGCCAACAAGTTCAAGCCAATAAGCTTTAAGGATGACAAGTAGCAAAAATTATTTAAATGTTTTTTTAAAAAAATCAGGTATATGATTAAAATGAAAAGAGTTAAAGAAAATTGGTCCTGAAAAGATAAAACTATAAGTGAAGTAAAAAATCTTAAAGCAAAATTAATTTTACTTAGCAGTTGTTAATGGACCTATGCAGATCACATACTTTGTAAGGTATTTCTAATACTCACAAGAATTAGAAATAAAGTTTCAGGGCCCCGAGTAGGGAAAAACAATTTGGCTCATGTGAGAATTAAGACGATGACTTTTGCTGGACATTGCAACCAATTGATCTTTTTTGAAAATGAAAAATAATGTATAGACAGAAAAGAAAATTCATCTAGAAATTAATATAGTCCTGGAGTGAAAGGATGATTCAACATTTGGACAGCACTAAAAGATATAACACAATCTCAGCACATAGAAAGCTTTTAAAATGGGATCGATAAGGCAAAGATTTTTTTATAAGAACAAAATGACATTCAGGCATAAATTTGAACCATATAACACTCTGGGGACCTTGACAGTATACAATTCTACAAGTTTCTAAATAAAACAAAAGCAAAAGCAAAATTCTTAGATTAGACATAAAGTAGCTTAATATTAAATAATCTGTCTAAAATAAAGTAAAATCTTTGTGACAAATTTTATTAGGAAGAATATTAAGAAACATCTAATTTTTAACATTACCTTTTAAATAAAATTTTATAAAAAGAACATTGGGTTACTCCTGGATAAGCCAAATAGTAATATTAAACAAAATAAATGTTGAAGTGATGTTTTAAAACTAGAACATTAGTTAAGGAGCCTAACCAACAAATACCTTTTGTTAAAAGTATAAGCAATCAAATAATTTAACCATGCATTTTTCAACATTTTCTTAAGCATATCCAAGGAAGCTTTCAGAGTTAGATTTCATAGCCTAGGTAAAATCAACCTAAAAATGTCAACAACTAAATTTAACAAATGTTTTTCATGGCTTAAAGATGTTTTTAAATGGTAAGTGCTCCCTCTGCTCTTATAGTATTGAGAAACTTCCTATCGTTTTATGAGCTTATCTCTGTATGGAATGAACTACAAAGAAAGATTCAAAGCCTGAAAGAGAATCTGTTCTGCTTGAGCTGAATCATCTACTGCTCCCTATCCCATCCTCCCAAAGAGGCTCAAATAAGTTTTAAAAGCTCAATAATGATGAATAAATGAAAAGATACATCATGTTCCCAGAAAGAAAGACTCAGTATTATGAAGCTGTCAATTCTATATAATCTACAAATTAAGTGTAATTAATTTAATCTAAAATTTCATTTGAACTTTTTATAAACTTAATGAATTTAATTCTGAAGTTCTTCTAGAGGAACCAGGAAATTCTAGAAAAACAAGAATTATGAGGAAAGGGGATGAGCCATATTGATAGCAAATCAATGGCATCATAGTTACAATAATGTAGACACTAGTTTCTACTTTATAGAATTCTATATTGCATGACAACTTTTTGTAATAAACATGAATTAACATTAGAATAAAAACCTCAAAAAAATCCTTTTGGGAAAAAAAATCCCATGTTCTTATAATTGAAATTTTGCCCTAAAAATTAATGATTAAGAAAGAATGAGTTCTATAGATCTAGTTATAGGATGGCAATTTATTTTTCCTAAAAATAAAAATTCTTACTTGCCATATTCTATACTGTATAAAAGCAGCTACTTATTATGTACAAAATGTTACATCATTTTATATGTTGAGAAATATAAATATATAAAATTATCATTTCAGACTCACCTTAAGCCTTCCTTCTCTATAAAATTCTGATATTCTCCTCACATTGTGCAGAATTGGCCACTCTCTTCTAATTTATCCCAGTGAATTTCTTATATAATTATATTACCTATTACTGTTACTGATGGTGCAGGAAAATATACATTTAATTTATGGTAAGAATGTACATTACATCTGTCCTTTTGGAAACATCTATTATAATTTTAAATTTTTATGCAATGACACCACTTTAGTCTAGACATCTGACACACCTAGTATATACTTTATATATTCCTTCAGGAGCTCTTGTAGGGCAGGCCTGGTGGCGACAAAATCTCTCAGCATTTGCTTGTCTGTAAAGGATTTTATTTCTCCTTCACTTATGAAGCTTAGTTTGGCTGGATATGAAATTCTGGGTTGAAAATTCTTTTCTTTAAGAATGTTGAATATTGGCCCCCACTCTCTTCTGGCTTGTAGAGTTTCTGCTGAGAGATCCGCTGTTAGTCTGATGGGCTTCCCTTTGTGGGTAATCCGACATTTCTGGCTGCCCTTAACATTTTTTCCTTCATTTCAACTTTGGTGAATCTGACAATTATGTGTCTTGGAGTTGCTCTTCTCGAGGAGTATCTTTCTGGTGTTCTCTGTATTTCCTGAATTTGAATGTTGGCCTGCCTTGTTAGATTGGGGAAGTTCTCCTGGATAATATCCTGCACAATATTTTCCAACTTGGTTCCATTCTCCCCATCACTTTCAGGTACACCAATCAGATGTAGATTTGGTATTTTCACATAGTCCCATATTTCCTGGAGTCTTTGTTTGCTTCTTTTTACTCTTTTTTCTCTAAACTTCTCTTCTCACTTCATTTCATTCATTTGATCTTCAATCACTGATACCCTTTCTTCCAGTTGATTGAATTGGCTACTGAAGCTTGTGTATTCATCGCGTAGTTCTTGTGCCATGTTTTTCAGCTCCATCAGGTCATTTAAGGACTTCTCTACACTGGTTATTCTAATTAGCCATTCGTCTAATCTTTTTTCAAGGTTTTTAGCTTCTTTGCAATGGGTTTGAACTTCCTCCTTTAGCTCGGAGAAGTTTGATCGTCTGAAGCCTTCTTCTCTCAACTCGTCAAAGTCATTCTCCATCTAGCTTTGTTCCATTGCTGCTGAGGAGCCACGTTCCATTGGAGGGGGAGAGGTGCTCTGATTTTTAGAATTTTCTGCTTTTCTGCTCTGTTTTTCCCCATTTTTGTGGTTTTATCTACCTTTGGTCTTTGATGATGGTGATGTACAGATGGGGTTTTGGTGTGGATGCCCTTTCTGTTTGTTAGTTTTCCTTCTAACTGTCAGGACCCTCAGCTGCAGGTCTGTTGGAGTTTGCTGGAGGTCCACTCCACACCCTGTTTGCCTGGGTATCAGCAGCAGAGGCTGCAGAACAGTGGATATTGGTGAACAGCAAATGTTGCTGCCTGATCATTCCTCTGGAAGCTTTGTCTCAGAGGGGTGCCCAGCCATGTGTAGTGTCAGTCTGCCCCTACCAGAGGGTGCCTCCCACTTAGGCTACTCGGGGGTCAGGGATCCACTTGAGGGGGCAGTCTGTCCATTCTCAGATCTCAAACTCGGCGCTGGGAGAACAACTACTCACTTCAAAGCTGTCAGACAGGGACATTTAAGTCTGCAGAGGTTTCTGCTGCCTTCTGTTCAGCTATGCCCTGCCCCCAGAGGTGGAGTCTACAGAGGCAGGCAGGCCTCCTTGAGCTGTGGTGGGCTCCACCCAGTTAGAGCTTCCTGGCCAATTTGTTTACCTACTGTTTACCTACTCAAGCCTCAGCAATGGCCAGCGCCCCTCCCCCAGCCTCGCTGCCGCCTTGCAGTTTGATCTCAGACTGCTGCTCTAGCAATGAGTGAGGCTCCATGGGTGTGGGACCCTCTGAGCCAGGCGCAGGATATAATCTCCTGGTGTGCCGTTTGCCAAGACCATTGGAAAAGTGCAGTATTAGGGTGGGAGTGACCCAATTTTCCAGGTGCCATCTGTCACTGCTTCCCTTGGCTAGGAAAGGGAATTCCCTGACCGCTTGTGCTTCCCAGGTGAGGCGATACCTCACCTTGCTTCAGCTCACACTCAGTGCGCTGCACCCACTGTCCTGCCCCCACTGTCTGACAAGCCCCAGTGAGATGAACCCCGTACCTCAGTTTGAAATGCAGAAATCACCGATCTTCTGCATCGCTCACACTGGGAGCTGTAGACTGGAGCTGTTACTATTCCCATTTGAATATTGTCCTAGTGGCAAAAAAAAAATAAAATTAAATTCTCAACTGAGTAAAAGTTAAATAAACTTTTATGTAAATTTTCTTTTTCCACATGCAATATAATACAAATACTAGAATAATAGTTGCCAAAATTGCCTAGAGAGGTTTCCATGAGGATTTGATAAGTAAAAAAAAAAATGTGAGAAGAGGAGAAACAAATATAATATAATCTCATTTTTACAAAGTAAAGAAATGACAAAAATATATTCATGTTCACTCTCTCTATATGTGTATAAAATGGATGTATAAGTTATGGAGAAAATTACTGGACACTACACATCTCATTAACCTATGTTACTACCTGGGAAAGAAGAAAAGTTATGTGATAAGGATAAAACAAGACAAACAAACATAAAGATTACATAAACTTTATTAATGTAATAAATTTTTTTAATTGAACTATCATTGAGTACCTATAATAAACAATAATAATGTATTATTGGACAGTGCTAGATCCAATTTACTAATATTTTATTTGTTATACATCTTTTTTTTGAGTTAAATGAAACTATTTTGGGGTTACATCTCTAATCTTTTTGGGGACACTCAATAATGTATGTTATGGCTTACGTTATTAAGACTTTTAATTGAAGTATAATGCACATGGAGAAAGGTACATATTATCCTAAGTATATCACTTGATACGTTTTCACAGAACAAACACACTCATCAAAAAACGGAATAGAATCAGAACCACAGAAGCCTTTCTTGTGCCCCCTTGTGTTTTTTTCTGCTTTTCCTCCTATGCAGGTAACCTCTATCATGCCCTTTAACAGCACAATTTAGTCAGTTTTGTATTTTTATATAAACAAAATCATACAGCATATTCTTTTTTGTATATAGCTTTTTAATTTCAATATTGTTTTTGAGATATATCAAATTGCTGTATAGAATTCTACTGTGTGAATATACCACACTACGCCTTTTACAGTTGATGGCCATGAAGGCAGTTTTAGTTTTGGGATATTACAATCAATGCTGTTCTGAACATTCTAGTACATATTTTTGGGTGAACATAGATAGGTATTTGTGTTAGGTGTCTATCTGACAGTGGAGTTTCTGGATACGCAGTGTTTCACTTTGGTAGATTCCACGAGCTAAAGGGGTTATATCAATTTACATATCAGTGTATGAGAAATCAAGTTTTCCCACATCCTCTCCAGAAGTTATTATTTTCTGACTTATAAAAAACTTTAGCCATTCTGCATGTCTAGTGATACCACATTTAGATTTTGATTTGATTTTTGATATGGCTTACATTTAACCGAGGTTCGAGGAGACTCATGTTGAATCTCTGTTATAAGTGGTTGTACTGCTGCAATCACTGGTCAATTCGGATAAAACTAGGCATGATTTGTGGAATCTAAAATGTTTATTTGCTTAAAAAAAATCTACTCTGTGAAGTTTTACTTGAAATTTTTATTATTGACACTTACCCTTCAAGCTCTTTTTTTTTTTATAAGGTTGGTTCCTAATACTGAAGTCCAATGGAAATATAATGCAAGCCAAGCCACATATATAATTGAAAGTGTTCCAGTATTCACTTTAAGAAAAATAAAAAATAAGTGAATAAATTTTAATAGTATATTCAACCTAATATAGCAAATGTAATATAAATATAACATATCAAAATAAAAATTACTGAGATATTTCATATTTTGTTCTAAGTCTTCCAAATTTGTATGTATTTTACACTGAGTATATCTCAGCTTAGATGTTAAT
Source organism: Homo sapiens (assembly GCF_000001405.40). Taxonomy (NCBI): domain Eukaryota; kingdom Metazoa; phylum Chordata; class Mammalia; order Primates; family Hominidae; genus Homo; species Homo sapiens. Next base: position 58,344,648 of record NC_000006.12, read on the forward strand.
ATTTTGATGGTTTGATAATTTGGGGGAGAAGTTGGCTTAAAAAATGTTAACATGAGAAGCAGCTTCTGCTGACCAAAAGGCAGCAGACAAGTTCTCAGAAAACTGGTAAGAAAATCATTGAGGAGAAAGGATACCTGCCTGAATAGATTTTTTAATGCAGATAAAAGTGCCCTATAGGGCATTTATTAGTAAGAAAGAGAAGCAAGTACCAGTATTTAAGGCATGATTTAAGGCTAACTCTACTGTTTTGCAAATGCAGTCAGGCTTATGATCAGTCCTGCCCTTATCTGTAAAGCTGCTAGCCCTCACATATTGAAGGGAAAAGATAAACACTAGCTGCCAGTCTTTTAATTGTACAACAAGAAGACCTGGACAACACGCGGCATTCTTCTGGATTGGCTCCACTGATGCTTTGTCCCTTAAGTCAAAAAGTCCATTGCCAGTAATTACCTTTTAAAGGTCTTTTGATATTAGACAATGCCTCCTGGCTACCCAGAGTGCCATGAGTTCAACACCGAAGGCATCAAAGTGGTCTACTTGCCTGCAAACACAGTGTCTCTAATTCAGCCTCTAGATCAGGGAGTCATAGAACCTTTAAGGCTCATTACCTATGGCTCCCTATGAAAAGGATTATCACCACTATAAAAAGAGAACCTCAATAGAGGGAACATCATGAAAATCTGGAAGAATTATGCCATTGAAAGTGCACCATCATTGTTAGTGAAACAATGATGTGAAAGTGATTTCACGATTGTGAAAGTTATCAATCCTGAAACAACAAATTTTTACTGGAGAATACTGTGTCCAGATGTTGTGCATGACTTCATAGGATTTTTGAAACAGCCAATCGAGGAGATCATGACAGAGATTGTGGATATAGAAGAAAACAAAAAGTGGTTAGGTGAACGATTTCTAGATAAGCATTTTGGAGAAATTCAAGAGCTAATAGGCACCACATCAGATGAATTAACAGAAGATGACTTGGGCAATCTGGCAGAAGGATTCTTATTATTTAAGACTACTTTTGATTTATTTTATAACATGGACTCTTCCATGATATGGGCATCAAAACTGAAGCAAATGGTGGAAGGAGGAACTATATTGTATAGAAACATTTTTAGATAAATGAAAAAGCTTAAGTCAGACAGAAATTACCATGTATTTCCATAAACTTACACCGAGTGTTCCTGACTTTCATGCTTTCTATTCCACCTCCTCCACCTCTCCTGCCTCTGCCACTCCTGAGACAGCAAGGCCAACCCCTCCTCTTTCTCCTCCTCAGTGTACTCCACATGAAGGTAACAAAGATGAAGACCTTTATGATGATCCACTTCCACTTAATGACTAGTAGATACATTTTTTCTTTCTTATGATTTTCTCTGTAACATTTTCTTTTCTCCAGCTTACTTTATTATAGAAAAACAGTATTTATTACATACAACTGACAAAATATGTGTTAATTGACAGTTTATATTATGGGTAAGGCTTCCAATCTACAGTAGGCTATTAGTAGTTAAGTTTTCGGGGAGTCAAAAGTTTTATGTGAATTTTTGACTGCCCGGGAGGTCAGTCCCCCTAACCCCTGTGTTATTCAAGAGGCAACTGTATTACCAAAAGTCATTTCTTTTTCCTCCTGGACAAACAGCTAGATTATATTTCCAGCTTCTCCTGCAGTTAGATTAGATTTGTGACTAAACTCTGGCCAAAGGAAAGTACTCTTAAAACCTCCTATGCAATCCTCTGTATTCTGTGTCTTCCATTGCCTGCCTGATAGAGGTGGAAGAATCAGATGAGGACTCCCAAGCTTTAAAAAATAGATAAAATGGCTACTGGATGGAAGTAGTCTAGCTCCATGAATGAGTGAAACAGATCCCCTTCGCCCTGACTTATTTGTATTAGACTGTGAAACAAGACGACATCTATTGATATGGTTTGAATATGTGTCCCTGCCCAAATCTCATGTTGAATTGTAATCCCCAGTGTTGGAGGAGGGGCCTGGTGGGAGGTGATTGGATCATGGGGGCAGATTTTCCCCTTGCTGCGCTCATGATAGTGAGTGAGTTCTCACAAGATCTGGTTGTTTAAAAATGTGTTGCACCTCCTCCTTTTCTTTCTTCCTCCTGCTCAGGCCATGTAAGATGTACCTGCTTCCTCTTTGCCTTCTGCCATGATTGTAAGTTTTCTGAGCCTTCCCCAGTCACCCTTCCTGTACAACCTGCAAAATCGAGTCAATTAAACCTCCCTTCTTAGTAAAATAATCAGTTTTTGGTAGTTCTTTATAGCAATCAGAGAACAGATTAATACAGGAAATTGGTACCAAGAGTAGGATATTGCTACAAAAATATCTAAAAATGTGGAAACAACTTTGAAACTAGGTAATGGGCAGAGGTTGGAAGAGTCTGGAGGGCTCAGAAGAAGACAGGAAGATGAGGGAAAGTTTGAAACTTCCTAGAGGCTGTTTAATTGTTGTGAACAAAATGCTGATAGTGATATGGACAGTGAAGTCCAGGATGAGGAGGTCTCAGATGGAAATAAGAAACTTATTGGGAACTGGAGCAAAGAATTAACTAATACATATACCTTTTATCCATTGTTAAGTAACTGGGATTTGGAGGGGTTTTTTTAGTAGCCCTTAGCCTACCTTAACCATCCACGCTTTGTTGTTCAACTAATCACAGAAAACTGCGTCAACAAACAATGTTCAAAGCTAAACACTGACTAAATATATCAAGTATATTGTATAAATATATTGTATATCAAGTATATTGTATAAATAATCATACTTTTAGAAAGTGTACAGCATAGATAGCAATGTTTTCAGAGATAATTGTGAACATGAACCATTCAGACTTATTGAAGATCATTAACAAAAACATAAGAAACATACTCGATTCTTTCTACTAATTACCTCCAAACGGGAAAAAAGTCATTTCTTATATTTTCTTTAAGTGAAGGGTTAAAAGGAGAAGAAATAAAGAAGAAAGTAAGAAATGATTCAGCATTTTATAAAAATAAGTTTGCAGCCAACATAAATTACAGTAATTCTATACTTAGATCAAATGAAGAGCTGTCTGGAAGCCTGCCACCCCTCCTCACCACCTACCACTGCCAACTACTGTTAATTATGAGAACACTTTTTCTCTTTCTGCTATACTGGACTAAGTTTTTTTTCCCCAATTTCCAGTATTGAGGGTAAATCCCTGCCACTTTCTTCTAATATGTCACCAATTCTTACTTATTTTACCATTAAATATTCTCTATTCATCCATTTCTCTACATGTACATCAACTACAACCTTGTTTATGGTATCATTTCTTACCTGGGCTGCCTCAATGGCCCCTGATGGGTCTGCTGCAGCCTCTAAAGTCCCTTCCAATCCATAATCTTATATGTTCGTCAGAATGGGCTTTTCAAACTGGAGGGGTATCAGATCATGTTACCTTGATTTCCCCATGTGTCCTCCCCAACTCTTGCCAAGCTTCCTATTGCTCTTTAGATAAAATTCTTAACATGGTTCATGTTTGCATGAACAATTTTTTTTTTTTTTTGAGATGGAGTCTTGCTCTGTAGCCCAGGCTGGAGTGCAGTGGCATGATCTCGGCTCACTGCAAGCTCTGCCTCCCGGGTTCACGCCATTCTCCTGCCTCAGCCTCCCAAGTAGCTGGGACTATAGGCGCCCGCCACCGCACCCTGCTAATTTTTTTTTTTTTTTTTTTTTTTGTATTTTTAGTAGAGACGGGGTTTCACGGTGTTAGCCAGGAAGGTCTCGATCTCCTGACCTCATGATCTGCCTGCCTTGGCCTCCCAAAGTGCTGGGATTACAGGCGTGAGCCACTGCACCCGGCCCAAATTTTTTATTTGTTTCTTTGGTTTGAATTTTTAGCAGCTTTTCCTCCTGCTTAGAATGCACTTTTCCTCCCTTTTTATTTAAGAGCTAACTTCTTTGGCTATAAAACTAATCATCACTTTCTGCAGGAAGTCTTTCCTGACTTCCATGACTAGTTCAAATTCCCTGATAATCAGTCAATGCATTGTGTGGGCCTTTATCTCACAGCATAGGTAACAGTTGTTATTTCACATGTGCTTGTAGATTGTTTGATCTGTATCTGTAAGCCCATTGGAGTGTAAGCTTTATGAAGAAATAGACTATTTTTTTCGGGGGGCATGGGGAGATATATTTTTGCAATAGATGCCTGGCAGTTGGTGATTAAGGAATAAATAGTGGTTGAATAAATCAGTGAGTCACAATTCCTCATTCTGAAATTATCCAGGGATTGACCATGATTCTAGATGTGGTCTGTGATGACAAGAGACTGCAAGTGACAGAAAGAAAGAAGGGTATTGGGGCTCATAATCAGGATTCCAAATCATCCCACCATTTCACCACCCAGCATTATCAAAGAGATTCAGTTCTCTTAGTATCTGATCTCATACCCAGTTATATTTCTTATTTAAAAGCCCTTGATGGGCAACCTTTGAAATGTATTCAATACTTCAGTTCTTCATCTACATAAAGAACAATCACCTGCACAACTTTGCCTTTTGCTACAAGTTTTGAGTAAAACATAGTGCAAAATATAGCAAAATGATCAACCTCATGCCTATACTATTAGCTAGACCTAGAATAGTTTAAATTCCAGGTTTTGCTTTATATCCACTACTTTCTTCTCAAAGAACCACAAGATGTACATCATGATCACTGTTTTAACGTAGAACCAAAGCCAAATGTTTTACGTAAACTGCACAAAAGCATTCAGATAATAAGAGATAAATTCTCTTTCCTCTGAAGACTTACAGAACTGCTGTTACACAATCTCTGGAGTCCACAAAAAAACTATTGAAGAACCCTGTGCTTGCTTAGCAGATGCAATGGTAGAGGAGAAGCCATGCAACTGTTTTTGGTAGTCTGGTTAAGGTAAAGAAGATTAAATTATTCACTGGAGAAATAGATAATGGCAGAAGTAGAAAGCAAGGAGGATTTCTGAGACGAGAGCCTTCATAGAATCTAATTCCCTCCATTTATTTCCCTGCAGTCACCTTCCTGCAGATCACAGAAGTTACCCATGGTAGCTTGGATCTCTTGGCAGGTGTAGAGTGGGGAAGGTGTGTGTGCTTCTGCTATCTGAGGGGAGAACTCCAAACACATTCTTCCTTTTGAAATATCATTTATCATTATTCAATGATTAAAGTCTTATACTATTTAGATAGACCATTAGGAATTTGGAGTTTAAAAGATTTTGTTTGTTTGTCCTGAAAATGCAATCATAATATAAAATATTTTATTTATTGGAAAATACACTTAGTATTTTAAACAACTTAATTAAAATTTTTTTCTAGAAACACAGCCCATTAGGAATGTGTAGAATCATGTGTAGAAGTCCTGAAAATATTTAAAATCAAGGGCAGAATTCTTAGTTAAGGGAACAGCCCTCCCATTTGCTTAGAACAAATTTTCTTTTTCTAATTAGAAAAATACCCAGAAATTGCTAGCTTATTTTGTGAATTCAAGAAATGGATCTGTATGCTGAACTTACAATTTACTTTCTTATTAATTTAATTTTTAAAAACTATTTGCAAGGTTGTAACTACATTCAGCATAATAAAACAAATGTAATATTCATGTCAAAGACATGTTGCTGTTAAGAACTGATGTTCTAAAATCAATTATATGTGAATATATACATTAGCTTGAGATACTTTAAATGTCAATAGTTTATTATTATGTTCAGAATAGAACTAAATTAGACCAATTTTAAAATTAGATTGAATGTATTTCTCGGTGATTATTTTCTCTCCCTATTACCAGTGATATAACCACAGCTAAGGATTGTATTCATTTAGTCTTGTGAATGAAGTATCTAAAACTTTTCCCAAGAGCTTCAAAATATTTATGTATTACAGTCCATGTGCATTTTCTTTTTTAAAAAAGAAAGATGCTGTGGACAATTTAAGTTTTCCTTGAATCTTTATGTATATGCTATACATTTTTACTTCTTTTATGCCACTTAATTTTTTTCCTAGATTATAATTTCTTGGTGATTGTACACATTGAGAAGAGATAGACAAAAGTCATGTCTACATAATTCTTTGTCTCTTCGGATTTGGCAAAATGCTTTTCATAGTATCAACTCACGTTTTTATATTTAAAATCCTGAGTTATTCATCACTTCTGAAGAATTCTTACTGTCAGATCCCTATAACCTATTGTCATTTTCCCTTTTATCCTGGTGTTTTGATCAACAATTTATATTATTAGATCCTAACAATTCCATTAGTAACAACGATAACTCTTTTTGGGGAACTTTTACTCGGAAAATTTTCATAGAAATTCAAATACCCTAACTTCTCCTAATCTTCAAAATCCTCTATTTTCTAAAATTTATTCATTCATCAAAATGCTAAAAGTAGAAAGTTTTGAATGTATCTTAAGGACGTAAAGATAAAATTAACCAAACATACACTTAATTTTGTGCCTTGATTTTTCCCACAATACAGTTAAACCACAGAGGGTTTAAAACCTTTTTACATAGGCCCCCTCAGTGATTTTTAAAGTCTTTTTTGAAAAGTAAGAGCCAAGACAAACCAATTGCTCTATTTCTGGCCAGCTGAGCAGCGATAACCAGAGGATGGTCATTAATCATCAACAAATTACAAGGCAATCACTACACCAAGTCAAAGGTAAAATCAATTACAGTGACAATTAAAGTACCCAAACGTCAAGCTCAAAGCCCCTGTAGTTAATAACCTAATATGACTTTATAGGGAATTCAAGCATAGAATTTTCTATAATGGTGAAATACAAAACTAGATTTAATGAAAGGGTATACAGCAATAATTTATATTGTAAGTCGAGAAAAGAGCCTCCTATGGCAATAAAATTGACTGTGATTTGACCCACTGTTTTGTCAATCAGTTATTTATATTGTGGAAAGTAACGGTGATTACATATTGATTATAGTGCTTTTGGTGCAATCACATCTTTGTGAAGAAAATTCCATGCGCCCTGCCTTGATGTTGGCATCTAGCACCAAGATTCAACAAAATAAGTTGCAAAGAGTTTTGAGACTAAAAGGACAATCTTATCACTTTATGCTGCCAACTGTATTTTTGAACTCTTTGGTGACCTTCAAATGAAATCACCCAAGTGAGTAAGTCCAGAGAAATGTAGAGATTTATAGATCTGCACTTTTCCCAGATGAGTTACATTGTTATTCACATTTCTGCTACAGTCAACCCACATGAATATTTCTTCTAAGATTCTGAAATAAGGAAAAGCTTCCCCCAGTGAGGTCAAGAGAGAAGATAGGCACTTGCTTCTGCTGTCTCTAGTTGATCAGGATCAGGATAGGAACATTCAGATTCAGTTTATTAAAGCTGAAAAATGCTGTCACACTTCTTCCACTTAATCTGGCTGTGTAAGCATTTTCCAAAAAGAAATAAAGTTAGTATTCAGAGATACGATCACTCTAGACACAGATCTGGTAAGAAGATCAAGATAGGTGTGTTTTAATTCCAGTCTTATTACTAATTAATTGAATGACAGCCTGGATTAACTATTTAACCTATCTTCTTGTAAATTTTTTAAATCTCTGAAATGAAAAAAAAAGAGATCATTTCTAAGTATTATGTAGGGAAATTGAATAAATACCTGATTATAGAAATGATCTTAAGATAGAAATTAGAAATTAATGGATTAATCAAATGTATAGTACCTGTAAACTTGCTTAAATATATGTGATATAACACTAAATTTCCAAATTATCAACAGCCATTTACATGGCTCCAAAAATCTTTTTCAGTTTACTTGAAAGAGTTATTTTTGTTACTTGTTTTAATGTATGTTGGTAACATGGAAAGTCATTTTATCAATAAAATTCCCTCTAAAGACAAACCTATTCTTAGATTTCGTTAACTGATATCTTGCCAAGAACCCTGATATTTTCAGTTTATCCCTGAATCACTGACTCAACAATCTATCTAGTACATACCCGCAAATCTTCACACTCCCTCAGCTCAAAAGACCTAGTACCTATATAAAACTTGTTTTATCAATCTGTAAATAGATTGGGTGTGAAATCACCTCTCGAGAGAGCCCTTCAAATAGACAGTTTTAAAAAAGGGGAGTACATAAGCAAACCTTTCAATCACTTAACAAGTATTGACTGGCTACTACAGGGCAGGCACTATTTTAGGCACAGGGGCTAAAGCAGCAAACAAGACACAGAAAGTTCCCTGCTCTCATGAGGCTTACATTCTAGCAGTGAAGGGCAGGCAATAAATAATAAACACAATAAATAAGTAAATTACACTGTGTATTAAAAAGTGGTAGGTGCTTTGGAATAAAGAAAAAATGGAGCAAGGTAAAGAGGATTGGGAATGGAAGGGAGGGGAGTAGGAAAAGGGCATGATCCAGTGTATTTGATCAGTCATAAGGGGCAGAGGTAGTAGGACATGGTCAAAGTAGAGACTCAGATAACACAAGGCCTCATAAACTTTGGCTTTTACTCTCTATGCAGTGGGAAGTCATTTCAGGGTTTTGAGCAGAAAAGTGGCATAATCTGACTTATATTTCTAGTGATTCCTCTTTCTGTTGTGTTGAGAATCAACAGAGGAAAAGCAAGGCAATGCAGGGAGAACAGTTATGAAAATAGGTAAGAGACCATTGCTACAGTCAAGGAGACAGGTGCTGGTGGCTTAAACCAGGGGAGTTGCTGTAGAGGTGGCAAAAGATATTTGGATTTTGAGGTATATATTAATAGGAATTCCTAAAATATTAGATATAAGATCTGAGAAAAAAAATAATAAGGATGTCTCCTGGATTTGGCCTGATCAACTGCAGCACCATTAACTCGGATAGATAAGGATGTATGGAGGCCAGTTCTGGAGCATAGATCAGGAACTGAGCTCTAGGGCTTAAATTTAACATCCAAGGGAAGATATTAAGTTGGACTATGTATACAGGTCAGGAGTTCTGAAAAGAGATGGAAATGTGTGAGTTTCAGCATATAGAGGTATTTAAAACCATAGCCTGAGTGAAATCATAAAGGAAGTGAGGATAGATAGAAAAGAAAAATAAATTTATCTTCCATTATGATTTATAAGTATCTTAACCCTTTCAACAGAGATTTATTTCTTTTCTTAGTCTATTTCATGTTGCTATTGATAGATATTTAAAGCAGGATAGTGTTTTCTTTCTTTTATAAAATAAAATGAAAGTTCAGTGTTTGAGGCTCTACATGTGATTATTTCTCATTTTCCTTTGGGCTAAAAATCTTCAGTTACTCTCATTCTATAATACATCACCTCCTGATTGAAAACCCTAGCTCTCATATACACTTTAAATCAACACCAATGAGCCAATGTATTATTACCACTCTGAGAGTAAGAACACAAAATGTCCATTTCTGAAATTTGGATCCCTATCTTATAGATGCTATTATTACCCAATGGAAGTATTTCTAGAAGTCTAGCTTCTCTGTCTTTAACGAAAAATTCTGTAATAGGTATTTGAAACATAATAAAATTGAACTTTAAGGAATATCTTTTTTTATTTTCCAGTGATGAATAAAAATAATTGGGAGATTTAAACAACTTAATATAAAAAAAACAGAACCTTTAAACATACAAATTGTAAGTGAAATGTAGAGTAAATGTTAACACCTCACTTTTTTCCTTGACAAGCACTTTCTCTCATATTCATTTTTAATGTCAGAGAATTCACAGAACTAAGATCTTTATTCTAAACCTCCACAGCTTGCTTCAGAAAGTAATTATGTAGGTATTTGTCAGAAACTCAGCTAATAGGCTTAGGAATTTAAAGTAATATGTAGAATATAGTTAACAAAGATATCTACCACAACCCACTCTCCTCCCCTCTCTTCTCTCTCACAGTGAGGCATCACTCCAAACCAATTCTGGACACATTCTCCTTTAAGAATCAGAGATGGGGGTGGGGCATTATAAAATCTAGTAAAAGTAAAGATTCAATGAAACAAGTATGCAAGTATACAGATGGTAGGCATGTAAGCTGATTCAAGCTTTGTGGAGAAGACATTAGCAGCAAGGTCCTAGAGCTAGTTTCCTTTGGTGCCTTCATGTGAAACTAAGTGTTCCTTGTTTTCCCTCAGCCAGCTCCTACCCCACTGTCCTGAGCTGATTTCTACTGTGCCACAAAATCAGAAGATGCATGGGTAATTGTGTTTGTCAGTCAGGGTCCCTGCAGAAAACAGATGGCTCATTCAAACTGGATACTTTGAAGAGAATTTGATAAAGGAACTACGTAGAAAGACATGGACAAGATTAAAGGAGTCCCACAATGCCAGTCAAGTAATGGGGTGGTAATAATGGGGAGACATCTTGAAGAAGAGGAAGGTAGAAAGCAGTTACCAAAACCCGGAAAAGGCAGCATTATGAGAAGGATTCAACATGGGCTGTGCCTTTTGTGGAGCAATTAATCCTCCACCCTTACTGTCTTCCCACCCTTTTATTTCTTGCCAGTGGCTCTCTTCGGCTAAATCAACCTAAAACCAGGGAGAAGGAGGCTCACTGATGGTAAGCAAATGGGTTAGCTACCTTGACAAGACTTGTTAAGCAATTTTTGTGGTTCGGTGAAGAATGAAAATGCAGGGCTCCTTTGTTTAAAAACAATTTTTAGGAATTTCAAGATGGTAATAGCAAAACAATAAATCAAGTGTAGGATCCCACTGAGTGTGGAACCCTGTGCAACTGTGTAGGTCACATGCTCATGAAGCCAGCCTGCTCCCAGGACACATAGAAAAATGAATAGGGATACAGAAGGATATGAAGGACATAAAGGTATACAGCACCAATGTGTTACCTTGGACAAGTTACTCAGGTATTCTATATCACAGTTTACAGGTCTGTTAAGTGGAGATGACAAGAGTATTTTATATTGTTATTCTGAGGATTAATTGAGGTGATACATGCAATTTTCTCAAGTCAGTGGCTGGCAAAGAAAAAGTAAATGTCAACTACTAGTATTAACTTTAACACTTAATATCAATATGCAGAGAGATATATTCATATGTAATTGCATTTTTATAAGTTATGCAATTTTTATCATTTTGAAAACTTCTAAATTTGTTTACTATTTTTCAGGGAAATTTTTATATTTACATAATTTTGAAGAATCCTGGAATGTATGGTGAATAGGTACTCTGTAAAAATGAAAATGTTTTCCTGATATTACTGCCACCTTCTTAAAACTGAGGATATTAACCTTTCATGTAAGAATCAGAATAGTTATTTTATGGTACCTGGTTACCCAAATGTGAATAAATTGCCCCTCCCATTCCTCTTATCAAGACTTGTGTGTGTGTATGTGTGTGAGACCTATAAAAACTTCTCTTTTCTAATGACACTTTTTCTTATCCACCCCATGCCACTGATCTCCTCCTTTGGCTGTTCTTGAGGTCTTATTTTTGTATCATGCATTTTCCACCATGCATGTTCCTGGGTGCCATGGAGGAGAGTGGAAAGAGCAGGATTTTAAAGCCAGACAGGCCATAGTTAGGATTCCAATTTTGCTAATTACCAGTTGTTCAAACATAGACTGAGTTTCATGTTATTCATCTGTAACACGGGAATTCTTGAGAATCAAATTCTTTAATTATATTGAACACAAAGCCTGACATCCATGAGGTACTCAATAGTTCTTTTCTTCATTCCTCCTTATTTCAGTCTTAGTTTCTAACTATATTTTAAACTGCTAGAGGGAGCAGTAATTTGTCTTGCCTAATATCTTTATTCCATTCAACAGCTTCTCAAAACATGTTTTTTACAAAAGTAACATTTTAAAAATGTAAATAGAATCACTTTCTTCTTTAATAAACATACTGAATAGACTCAGAAATGATAATATAATGTCAAACTGGTAATCAGGAACTAATGGCAGAGTTTTATTTCCACCATGAACTAATTGTGTGGCATATGAAAGTCTAGCAATATTCTTATGAACTACGTGATATTGACATACAAGTCAATTTATGAACTGACTTTTGCCTAGAAATTAGGAGGTCCTATTTAGCTATTTTCCCCAGTACAAATATAAAATGATCAATAAGGAATCATAATATTTTAATTTTCTAATACAGTTGTCACACAAAGGAATACACCGGTCATTGCAAACATTGGCTTACCAGTTAACTCAAACCACTGAAAAATCATAGTTACTCCAAGTCATTAAGAAATAAGTCTGCATAGGTAAATTCTTCAAAGACAAAACTGTTTGGTCTTTTCTGACAAGAGTTAAAATATTTTTTATTATATTTTCTAAAAATGCATTTATTACTGTACATTACTTAATCTTTTCTAGATGATTCAGGATGTAATGCTAAACATCAATAAAGGGCCTGTGCTGTAAGCACCTGTATATACAGGGAACACTAAGATTAGTAATGTTTTGCCATATATTAAAGGGCCAAACAATTTGCTTTTGTTCTTTGTGGGTGTGTGTGTTCGTTTTGGAGAAATATCTCTTGCCTTGCTGCCATATTAGCTCCTTACTTTACTGTGTGTCTGCTTGTAACAATGACGCTTCACTATTCAACTGTGATATTCTTGATCTCCTGGGATTTAAAAAATGAGATGATGAATCTTATTGGACTGCTATGCAATATAAAACTAAAATTAAAGGCAGTACTTATAAGGCTTTCCTAGCAGTAAAGTATCCAGGCTTTAGTATTATTTATCATCAATTTTAGCTGTTTTAAAATTGCTTCCTTCCTGTTTTCAGGCCAAATGCTGAATATCTGAGTTGTTAATATGTTATAACAAGATTAAATGACATTTAATTACTTTAGTCATATATACCAAAGTTCCCATTTTAGTTTAAAAATTCAAATAAAGCAAAGGAATGTCTCAAATTAAAATTTCTGAAAAGTTTAAATTCTGCTTGGTCATTAATTTAGTACAGACATACTGCTTCTCACTTCAACTTAGGTCTCTGAAAAATAAATAACATGGTTTTCAAAAGACAACAGAGAAAAAAGTTGATGATTACAAAGCAAAAATATATACCCATGTATTTAATTTACATATCACTTTACTTTTACTATATTCTATGCAGTAACTAAGATTACTCCAGTAATTCTAGTTGAAATGGGGACATTTTCTCATTATTGGAAGCTCCCTAAAAGAAAAAACAATATGCTCTCATAAAATATCTGATTTTTAAAATGGTGGATTATAAGAATTTTACATTATAAGGATTCCTTATTTTTTCTTTTTCATGGCAGTCTTACAGTACCCCTAATATGTTATACCTGATTCTTTTCACTGTTGTGATTCAAGGTCACTGTATAAAAAAATTTTGCATTGCTGGCGTGCAAAATGTTGAAGGTGGTTGCTGTCACCTTGAATCATTTTGCACATTTCTCTTTCTTTTTTTAAAAAAAGTGGAGTAGCAGTGACTTTATCTTGTACTAGTCTACTAAAGATTAATACTACACTTTGAAATTATTGAGAAAACCTATTTTCTAAAATGATTCTGCCTTGTTACTGAAAAGAAAAAATAAAAATCTTCACATTACACGGTAGGTGCAGATGGATATACCTAGGAAAGGAGCACTCGACCTTGGCAGCAGAACCTGAGTGCTTTTAAGGAGAGGTCAAAAAGACAGATCGTTAGTTCAGCTTCATGTCTAAGAAACATGTGCTGCCTTGAGTTAAGCATGGGGCCTTTCATGAGAGGCCACTTTTGTTGCTGGGCACTTCAAATTCTTCTCAAACCTCTCTTAACAATTTAAACAGCCATTTTTACTTTATTTTCCATACCTCACTTATGATTGCATTTTTCCTAACAGAAAATAAACTCAACTGTTTCATGCTCCACCCAAAATCTTTGTGTGCACTGGTCTTTCTTCAGAGCTCAGCTTACATACATCATCATTCAGTGTCAACTCTACTGCCACGCTTTACTAGGAATACATATTTTCACCACAGGTGAAAGGCAGCACATTCTGAGCCATTTTTACTTCCAGAGTCACTGTGCTGACTCAGGTGCTAATCACTTCCTTTCTGCATGAAACCTTTCCACTTGCCCTTCCTGTCTCCAATCTAAGTTAGCCCTGACTACCAGGCAAATGGCAACAAAAATTATCTTTTTAAACATTAGTTTAATTTATCTGTTCAAAACTGTGTACCCAATTCAGAGAAGTTAAACAAACAATTGTATGTTCTAGGCACTACGTTAAACATATAAACAGATTATAATACAGCTCTTAAGTGTATTAACTAAGAGCCCTTGTAGGAAGTAGTAATGGGAGTATTGTGGTAAGGACCTAACACAACCTAGAGAAAAGGGTAAGTGTCAGTGAGGGATTCCTGGACTTGGCAAACACTTGAGTTTTAACAGGAGTAGAAGTTTGAGCTAAAACCATCAAGACTGGATCATGTCTGCTTTTCTAGCTGCCTCCCCCTAACCTCTTTTAGGCACACTCTGTACTCAGATAACAAAAGCTGTTTGCAGTTCTCTGTACATATCATGCTGTTTCATACCTCCAATTCGTTATGCAGGGGCTCCTCCCTTGACTTTTGACATTCTTCCCTGCCCACCCTCGTTTATTCTTTTTCAAGCCTACTTTTCCTTTATTTTAGTCTGTTTTCTGTGCTATAACTGAATACTTGAGACTGGGAAATTTATAAAGAAAAGAGGTTTACTTAGCTCATGGTTCTGGAGGCTGGGAAGTTCAAGATTGGATGGCCACACCTGGTCAGCTTCTAGTGAGGGCCTTGTGCTGCACCAAAACACGGTGGAAGGCATCACAGGGCAAAGGGGCACATAAGAGAGAGCCAAACTGGCTTTTATAACAAATTCACTCTCATGCTAACCCATCAATCCATTAATCCATGAATAGGTTAACCCATTCATGAGGGCAGAGTACTCATGACCCAATCACCTCTTAAAGGCTGTACCTCTTAATACTGTTATATTAGGTATCAAGTTTCAACATGAGTTTTAGAGGCACAAACATTCAAACTAGAGAATCTTTCAAGGTTCCACTGAGATGTAACTTCCAAGATTATATACGTATCTCAAGTTAGGGTACAAATGATTGCTCTATGTTCTCCAATAACTTGCTCTGATAACTTCCTTTATGGTGTGTATTACAATGCATTGTCCCCTTCCTTAATATAAATTGAAGATGTGATCCATATGATGTTCTATTTCAAACCAGAGCACTGCTTGTGTTCAATAAGTGTTGCTTACAAGCAACAGTCAACCCTACTGAAGCATCAAAAGAATAAAATACTTAAGAATAAACTTGAATCAACTGAATAATTTCTCCTAGCAGATCAAAGTTAATTGTGGCGAGTCAAATTTCTCAATTGTGATCAAACCCTGTGGGTCAAATTCAAATTTTGTTTTATTTACTAGTTTTATTTTTAAGAAAAATTTCATTTCACCTCTCCCAATGCAGAAGCATTTATTTTAAGATACACTACCACCTATTATTGTCAAGCTACTAAGTTATTAAAGCACTGTAATTTGTTATCTGTGTCTCCTGGACATTCCTCATGTCACCAACTCTTACAGTATGATGTCAATGCAAAGATGGCTATTCGTCAAAATGCATTTACCACAACTGCCAATCTTTATGGGTCTTGCTTCAAAGGTATCTTTTTTGCAAATTCTAACATTTCCCTAAAAATCTGGCTTTATTTTTTATTCTTATAGTCTATGAAAGTCACAGAGAAAACAACCACTGCTATTATGAAATTTCAGCCAATACTATGGTTGATATCTACAATTTCTCTCACAAAGTATGCAAGCATTACTTTGAACTGCATCTGATATAGATTGGTAGCCCAGGTCATTATTTGCAAATAAATGAGTCCTGTTTTAGCCACAAAATCCAGTATAAGCATGGCTGTGCTCCAGAGAGAGAAACGTGAGTTGTTGGTTTTGTTGATACTATCCATCAATCAGCTATTCGTTACTTGGAAATTGTTGGTGACCATTATGCCCACAATTTCCAGCCTATTTTGCCAGGTGTTGGTCACCCTGGTTCTTCCATTCACTCTGATTCACAGGCTGCATATAACATTCAGCCTTTCCTCAGTTTCCAACATGCTCAGGTTAACCATAGTTATGCCAACTTCCATTTCGTGTCATCTCTTGGCATTCTTACCCAAAAGCATCTTATCCATGGGGTTCTATTTGAACAAATGTAAAGCAAAGTGCAAGACTGTGACAGAAGTTTGTGGTGATATGTTAAACACATATTTGGTTAAATTTATATGGCATAATTTGGAAATAATGCTTTCAACTTCCTTCTACTTCATAAATCAGAACAATTTCTTGTTAACTAATATGATGTTTCCTTTTATTACATATATCAGAAAAATTTCTTATTAACTAACATATTTTCACTTTTGTTTTTGTATGTTTTGGTACAAATATCCATGGACAAATTATTTAATTGAATACATCTGAAAATGAAATTGTTCAAATTATCCATAAATTTAGCCAATGATGCAAAATACTTGTACACTGAAAACTACAAAATATTGTTGAAAGAAATTAAAGATGAAAATAAATAAAAAGACACCTCATATTCATTAATTAGAAGACTTAATATTGCTAAGATGTCAATACTACCCAAAGTGATCTACAGATTCAATGCAAATTCTATCAAAATCTCAACTAACATTTTTGGGCAGAAATAGAAAAATCTATACTAAAATCTATATGGAATCTCAAAGCATCCAGAATAATCAATACAATCTTGAAAAAGAAGAACGAAGCTAGAGAACGCATACTTTCTGATTTCAAAACTCATTGTGAAGCTACATTAATTAAAATAGTATGATACTGGCATAGGAAATGGCATACAGACCAATGGAATAGAATCGAGAGCCCAGAAATAAACTCTCACATAGATGGTCAAATGATTTTTTATTTTTTTTTTATTTTTGAGACAGAATCTCACTGCCTTCTAAGCTGGAGTGCAGTGGCCCAATCTCAGCTCACTGCAACATCCGACTCCTAAGTTCAGGCGATTATCCTGCCTCAGCCTCCCAAGTAGCTGGAATTACAGGTTCCTGCCACCACATCCAGCTTATTTTTCTATTTTCAGTAGAGACGGGGTTTCACAGTGTTGGCAAGGCTGGCCTCGAACTCCTGACCTCAAAGGAGTCTGCCTGCCTCGGCCTCCCTAAGTGCTTGGATTACAGGCCCCCATACCCAGCCATCACATGATTTTTAATAAAGGTGTCAGGACCATTTAATGGAGAAGGAATAATCTTTTCAATAAATGGTACTGGAAACATTGGATATCCACGTATAAAAGAATGGAATCAGACCCTGACCACCTAATACATGCAAAAATGAACTCAACTTGGATGAAAGACATAGATGTAAGAGTTGAAACTATAAAATTCTTAAAAGAAAACAGAAGAACACTTCGTGATACTGGATTTGGCAATGGTTTCTTGAATATGACACCAAAAGCACAGGCAACAAAAGAAAAAAATTGATAAGCTGGACTACATCAAAATTAAAAATGTTTGTGCATCAAAGGACACAATTTTTAAAAAGTAGTTAACCCTACTGAACAAACATTTTTGGCTCTGTTCAGACCAACAGTTCTCAAACTTTTTGGTCTTAAGACCCCTTTACTCTCCTACAAATTAAGGACTGCAAAGAGCTTTTGTTTATATGGATTGTATCTATTGCAGCTTACTATATTAGAAATTAAAATATTTAATTTAAATATTTTTATTGCATAATTTGTTCATGCATATTTGTACTAAAGCATACTAAAAACAAAACTGAAAATATAATATTAATTAATAGAAAATTGTTCTGATAAATGTTAATATTTAATTTAAATATTTTTAAAATAAATATTTAAAATAAAGATTAGTTAAAATTTAAAATATTTATTACTTCATTTAAAATTATAACAAATTCATTACATGTTTAAATAAGTAACAAATTTTATGAAATTTAACATCATTTTCCAATATACAAGTAATTTTAGTGAAAAAAGTGGCCCTGTTTTACATTTTTGAAATTTCTTTAATATCTAGCTAAATAGAAGACAGTTGCTTTCTCATATCTGCTTCTACATTTGATTTGTTAGAATACATTATTTTGGTTGAGGTAGGTAAAGAAAATCCAAGCTCACACAGTTACACAGTTGGAAAGACAATAATAAATTGAATGTACATTTTAAAATGACTTACAGTGTAATTGGAATGTTTGCAATTCAATGGATAAGTGCTTGAGGGTATGGATGCCCCAGTCTTCATGTTGTGCTTATTTCACATTACATACCTATATCAAAACATCTCACATACTCCATAAATATATACACCTACTGTGTACACCAAAAAATTGAAAAAAAAGGAAAGGAGAATTTAAAAATCTTTTGAGATAAATGTGGATGTTTTTCTTTGATACTACACTCAAATTCAACAAGTAGTACCATTTTAAATGTTATTGCAATTTGGAATCTGAAATCATATCAGTGAACTTTTTATGCTGTTATATTAAGTTAATTGCTCTATTTTATATTTGGAGTATATCTTTTATGCATGAATTGTAATATCATGAATTTTTCATTTAGAAAATATTGGTTCACCAAGTTATCTCTGAGATCTTTCATATGTTGACATATTTCATTATTCAATATTTAAAAACATTCATTAATATAACATTCTCTCATTAAAAAGTCTTTAAGTGTTTGGGAGGTTGAAACAAATTTTAAAAACTCAAATTTTCACTTGAAAGCTCATTTTATTTTTGGCAACAATACTGTCAGCAGTATTTTCTGAATTGGCAGGTTTGCCTTCTTCAAAGTTTGAAATATGTCTGCCAAATACCCATGTCTGAATAACCCTAGTTTATCTGATATCATTTTATGTAAAATAAATTGTATTTTATAAAACAGTGTTTGATTCCACTTGCAACTCAATCACATAGTTATTTTCCTTTAGACAACCACCATAATTTGATACTTCAGTATGCAGCAAAAGTGTTTTATACTAGCTTCCCATTTTTTCACACAGAATATTAAAAATATGTGTACTCGGAGGTCAAGATTTTAAAAATTTAATATTTTTTACTGCTTTACTAAAAACATTCTTAAGTAAAACAGATTTTTTATATGAATACATTTTTTTTCAGTGTCCTGATGAATGCAATAATTATGTTTACAGTTTGGTGCCACTGCCTTGATTTGTGCTAAGGTCCCAGTAGTTTTTACCTTTGCATCATCAGTGTAAATGTCAACATAGTGAAAAGGAAAAATAAATCTTAATTTTTTTTTTTTGAGATGGAGTTTCACTCTTGTTGCCCAGGCTGGAGTGTAATGGTGTAATCTCGGCTCTCTGCAACCTCTGCCTCCCAGGTTCAACTGATTCTCCTGCCTCAGCCTCCCAAGTAGCTGAGATTACAGGAATGCACCACCACACCCGGGTAATTTTGTATTTTTAGTACAGATGGTGTTTCTCCATGTTGGTCAGACTGGTCTCGAACTCCTGACCTCAGGTGATCCTCCTGCCTTGGCCTTCCAAGGTGCTGGGATTGCAGGCATGAGCCGCCATGCCTGACCAAATCTTAATAGTTTTAAAAAGCACTTTAAACCTCAAAAATCCTCTAAAAGGGTCTTGGGAACCTGCAGAGACATGCTGACCACACTTTTAAAAACTGCTGGTTTAAAGAATCCAGGAATTTTGGAACTTCTTAATATCAAACTGACTTCTGAACTCAAAACCACTGACCTTTCCAGTAAAAGATAAAAAGAGATTAAATTGTCTATCTCCCTTGTTTTATATGAGAAGAAATGGAAAGCTGAGGGAAAGATGCAATGACTTTCCCATCACTAACTGGTATTAGAACCTAGACTGCATGACTTTTCACTAACATTTTTACTCCGTAGCTCAATGAGTATGACTCTAACATTACAGATAAAATTATTTAAGAAACGATTCCTTTCTCAAGCCACTAAGTGACAGGTTTCTAAAAATCTACCAGATCATTAAAAAGTCAGGAAACAACAGGTGCTGGAGAGGATGTGGAGAAATAGGAACGCTTTTATACTGTTGGTAGGACTGTAAACTAGTTCAACCATTGTGGAAGTCGGTGTGACAATTCCTCAGGGATCTAGAACTGGAAATACCATTTGACCCAGCCATCCCATTACTGGGTATGTACCCAAAGGAGTATAAATCATGCTGCTATAAAGACACATGCACATGTATGTTTCTTGTGGCACTACTCACAATAGCAAAGACTTGGAACCAAGCCAAATGTCCAATAATGATAGGCTGGATTAAGAAAATGTGGCACATATACACCATGGAATACTATGCAGCCACAAAAAAGGATGAGTTCATGTCCTTTGTAGGGACATGGATGAAGCTGGAAACCACCATTCTCAGCAAACTATCGCAAGGCCAAAAAACCAAACACCGCATGTTCTCACTCATAGGTGGGAATTGAACAATGAGAACACTTGGACACAGGAAGTGGAACATCACACCCTGGGGCCTGTTATGGGGTGGGGGCAGGGGGGATAGCATTAGGGGATATACCTAATGTAAATGACTAGTTAATGGGTGCAGCACAGCAACATGGCACATGCATACATGTGTAACAAACCTGCACGTTGTGCACATGTAGCCTAAAATTTAAAGTATAATAAAAAAAAATCTACCAGATCACTTTTATATTTCCACTTACTAGTAAGGCCAGATATGACTCAGAAGTACAATCTTTAAATCATTCTCTATCATCTGTGTAGGAAGGGACATAAGGATAAATGCCACAAAAATACTTAAATGGATGATAATTGCCAAGGAGAGTGATGAGCAGACATCTCAAAAATGGTCAGGGAAGGCATTTTTGAGAAGATGGCATTTTATTTGAACCTAAATGACAAAACAGAGTCAGGCACAGATCATGACAAGAATGTCTGATGAAGAAGAAAGAAAAAGTCTAAAGGACTTGAGGCAGAGTCAAGTGTAATTGAAAAACCAGAGTGAGCAATTTTGTTGGACAGAGATAATAATGAGGGGGGTGGAGCAAAAGAGGGTGGGATTAAAGAGTAGTAATTAGAGCCCGTCTCTTGAACCATGGGAGTTTAAATTCTGAGTACAGAAAGCTATAACTGTATTTTAATTAATTTAAGCAAGAAAATGAAATATATAGGTTCTAACAGGCAAAGAGACATATCTAATTATGATGTATATTATTCCAGAAGAGTAAAAACTTTAATCTAGAAAGCATGTGGGCTAAGGATTGGAATGCGTTAGGAAATATGATCACCCTCTTTAATGTCTATAGTGAGATGTATAATGGCCCCCTACTGATGTTGGTGCCTCAAGCTCTGAAACCTGTGAATATGTTATGTTAAATGGCAAAAGAGACTTTCACAGAAGTAGTTAAGTTTAAGGACTTTTAAATAAATTATTCTGGGCTATCTGGGTGGCTCCAATGTAATTGCATAAGTCATTGAAAACCGAGTTCTTAGCTGGTGGCAGAAGAGACACGACAGAAGAGGAGCCAGAGAGATTTAAAGTGTGAGATGACTCCACACATGATTGCTGATTTGGAGATGGAAGGGCTAAAGTAATGAGGGATGTAGAAGGCCTTAAAGAGCTGTGAGGGAATCTCTCAGCTGACAGCCAGCAAAAAAAAAAAAAAAAAAAAAAAAAAAAGGCTTCAGCCCTACCACCAAGAGAAATTGACCTCTGCTAACAGCCTGAATAACCTTGAAAATTGATTCTCCCCATCAGTCTTGAAAGACTCAACCAGAAAACTCAATTAAAGTCATTAATGCTTCTCACTTACAGAATGGTAAGATAATGAATGTCTGTTGTTTTAAGCTACTATGTTTCTGGCAATTTATATGGGGTAACAGAAAACTAATGAATATGGTTTGATAAGTAGAGGGGAGTGTAAAAATAATTGCCTTGGTGCTTTCATTATAAAAGTAAAGAGAGCAAAATATGCAATTTTATTTAATTCATCTACCTGAATTGCAGATCATTAAAAAATGAAAAAGAGGTAAAACCTCTATTTCTATAAGACCAAGAAACATCTATAAGTTCAAATCACAAACTAAAAGAATATATAATAGTAAAATTTGCACCAAATCTAGAGATAATCATGAAGGCTGCTAAAAATCTTAAATAAGGTATAGTTTTCTCTAAAAGTATGTTAGTCTGTAGTGAAAGGCCCTATTAGCAATTTTTTTCTAAAGAATCTCAGAATGTTAAGATAAAAATCGGCTAAGAGATCATCAGAGAACAAGTCTATGTGGATTCTGTTTTATTCCACAGGGTGACAATCTAAGCCCATGCCAAGTTTAAAGGATTCATCATTGCACCTGTGCTCAAGTCCTACAATAGCAACATTAACACCATGATAATGAGAAAAATAAAGCAAACAAAATAAAATTGAAAATTTCACATCAAAAGTAGAACTCAAAAGAAAGCTTGAGAAAAATCATTTACAATGCTTGAAATAGAACAAATGGACACAAGAAATTTTAAAATAGATGAAGAAACAATCAAAAGAAATACAAAGCTACCTAGCAGAACTCATGAATGAAATAGGTGGTGACAGTAAATCCACAGAGAAATGAAAGGCATGTAGATTTAATATAGAATTATATTAAATAATCTATATTGGAATATAGATTCAAAGCTGCTAAAAATAGAGTAAGTCATAAGACTACAGAAAATTACACAAAGTTAAATAGTAAAGAACAATGATACAACAGAAAGTAGAGAGAATATGATAAATATGGGCAACAGAAAAAGACACATAATTGGTATTTCTAAAGAAGAAATCTCAGAAGAAGGGCTGGAGCAAGATAGCAGAATAGGACTCTCCAACAATCATCCCCTTTCAGAAATATCAACTTGAACAAATATCTACGTACAAGAATACTTTTACAAGAGCAAAAGAAACCAGGGGAGAAATCACAGTACCCAGTCATAGCACAATAAGAAAAAAATATGTATTAAAGAGTGTAGAAAGGACCATTTTTCATACCCATGTCACTGCACCTCCAACCACAGATAGCACAGTGAGGAGGAAGATACCATCCATTTGAGGGAAAGAGTGAGCATAAGATTTGGACCCCAAAACTAGGCCTACCATTGTAAAACCCAGCACCAGGCAGGCCCCCAGAACTCCAGACTTCAGGCCAGTACCCATGGACTGAAACTCCTGACTTGCCCTGGTGCCAAGGGGAACCCAGCAGCTCCAGGACTTAGGCTTCAGACTCAGTCTTCAGTTTACACTCAGTAGCCTCAGACTTACAGCTTGCCTCAATGCTGTGTCAACCACCGACAACCCAGTCTTCTAGTATGCCCCAGTACCATACAAGCTCCAGTGGCCGTGGGCTTTGGAACCACATCACAAGGCTTGCCTGTTGACTGTTGAGGGGCTTTCTCAGACAAAGTCAGTCTTCAAATACTGTAATAAGTATCTACTTCTTCAAATATGCAAACTTTGATGCATAGCCACAAAAATGAAGAACAATCAGAGAAATATAGCATCACTAAAAAGACAAAATTGCCAATGACTGACTCTAAAGAAATGGAGCTATATAAACTGCCTGACAAATAATTCAAAAAACCGGTTTAAGGAAACTCAATGAACTTCAAGAATATAGAAAAACAATTTAACGAAATGAGGAAACAATAAACCAGAATGAGAAATTTAAAAGCAGATTGAAATAATTAAAACAGACAATCAAATGGACATTTTGGAGATGGAACTATACAATAAAAGAAAGAACTGATAAATGAGATGGAAAGCACCAATACCAGCTTTGATTAAGTAGAAGAATCTGTGAACTCAAAATGAGGTTATTTGAAAATATACACTCTGAGGGAAAAAAGAAAAAAGAATTAAAAGCTTATAGGATTTACGGAACAGCATTCAAGGAGTAAATTTTTGAGCCACAGGAGTTAAAGGAGAAGAGAAAGATGAAATAATAGAAAGATTTTTAGAGAAATAATAGCAAAAAATTTCTAAAGTTTATTGAAAGATTTCAATATTCACGTATAGAAAGGTCAAAGGGCTTTAATCAGATTCAATCCAAACAAGACTACCTCCCCATGTTATAATCAAAGGGTCAAAAATCAAAACAAAGAGAGGATCCTGAAAATAGCAAGAGAAAAGAAGCAAATAACTTACAAAGAAGTTCCAATGTGGCTAGCAGCAAATTTCTCAACAGAAACCTTATAGGCTAGGGGAGAGTATGATGATATATTTGAAGTGATAGAGAAAACTGCTAGCCAAGAATACTGTACCACCTAAAACTGTCCTTCAGAAAATAAGGAGAGATAAATGCTTCTCCAGACAAACAAAGGCTGAGAGAGTTCATCCCTATCAGATCTGACTTACAAGAAATGCTAAAGGGAGTTCTTTAAACTGAAAGAAAAGTATGCTAATCAGTAATGCAAAAATATCTGGAAGTATAAAACTCACTGTTAAAAGTATGTACACAGTTAAATTTAGAATAATACTATACTAGTGGTAAGTAAATCATTTATATCTTTAGTATGAAGGTTAAAGGATAAAACTGTTAAAATAATAAGAGCAACAATAATTTGGTAAGGGGTATGCAGTATAAAAAGTTGTAAATTATGACATTAGAAATTCAAAAGGTAAGGGGAGTAGAGTAAAAGTGTTATTTTTAATTACCAAATTATTAAAAGCTTAAAATAATTTGCTATAAGATTATTTTATAAGCCTCATGATAACCACAAAGCAAAATCCTAGAGTAGACGCACAAAAAATAAAGAGGAAGGAATCAAAACATATAACTGGAGAAAGTCACATAACCACAAAGGAAGACAAAAAGAGAGAAAGGAAGGAAAAAAGGATCTACAAAGCAATTAGAAAGCAATTCACAAAATAGCAGTAATAAGTCCTTATATATCAATCATTAACTCGAACTTAAATAGATCAAAATCTTCAAACAAAAAACAAAATGACTATATGGATTAAAAAAAAAAAGCAAAACCAATAATACGCTGCCTAGGAGAGACTCACTTCACCTTTAAAAATACATGTAAACTGACAGTAAAGTGATATAAAAAGATATACCATGCAAACAGAAATCAAAATTTAACAGTAGTAGCTATACTTATATCAGACAAAATAGACTTTAAGTTAAAAACTGTAAGAAGACACAAGGAAGACTTTATAAAATGATAAAGGGATCAAATCAGCAAGAGGATATAACAAGTGTAAATATATATGCACCCAGCATCAAAAGCAGTTAATCATATAGAGCAAATATTAATAGATTTGAAAAGAAAGATAGACTGCAACAGCCGGACTTGGTGGCTCATGCCTGTAATCCCAGCACTTTGGGAGACTGAGGCGGGTGTATCACAAGGTCAGGAGATGGAGATCATCCTGGCTAACATGGTAAAACACTTTCTCTCCCAAAAATACCAAAAATTAGCCAGGCATGGTGGCAGACGCCTGTAATCCCAGCTACTCAGGAGGCTGAGGCAGAGAACTGCTTAAACCCGGGAGGCAGAGGCTGCAGTGAGCCGAGGTTGCGCCACTGCACTCCAGCCTGGGCGACAGAGTGAAACTCTATCTCAAAAAAAAAAAAAAGAAAAAGAAAGAAAAAAAAGAAAGAAGAAAGATAGACTGCAACACAACCATAATAGGGGACTTTAAAAATCCAATTTTCAGCAATGGACAGATGATCTCGATGGATAATCAGTAAGGAAACCTGAAACTTAGACTACACTCCCAACCATATGATCATATAGACCTAACAGACCTAAACAGAACACCACATCCAATAGTAGCAGAATATACATTCTTCTCAACTGTGCATCTAACATTTTCAAGGAAAGATTATATGTTAGGCCACAAAACAAGTCTTAGCAAGTTTAAGAACTGTATCAAGTATCTTTTCTGACCACAATGGTATAAAACGAGAAACAATAACAGAAAAAAAACTTCATAAAATTCGCGAGTGCAAGGAAATTAGGCAACAGGCTGTTAAAGAAACAGGGGACATTTAAGAAATTAAAAGGAAAATTTTTAATTTTTTTTCAGAAAAACAAATGTAGAAACACAACATACCAAAACTTATGGGATACAGCAAAAGCAATTCTAGTTTATGTCTGTAAAGAGAATAGTGACAGAGAAAGTGATAGAGAAAACTGATAAAGTTTATGTCTATAAACTAGAACTATTGCTATAAACTATAAACTTGCTATACATAAACTATAAACTACTAGTTTATAGCAATAAACCCCTACAGAAGAAGGAAAGTTCTCAAATAAACAACCTAACTTTGCACCTCAAGGCAGTAGAAAAACAAGAGCAAACTAAGCTCAAAGTTAGTAAAAGGAAGAAAAATAATAAAACAATAAAGAAAATAATAAAGGATGAAAAGAAAATAATAAAGATTAGAAAAATACAAAAAAATCAACAGAAGTAAGAGCTGGTTTTTTGAGAAGATAAAAAGAGTTGACAAATCTTTAGCTAGAATAAGAAAAACAAGAGAAGAGTCGAATAAATACAATCAGAAAGGAAATGTTACAACTGACAGAATGGAAATACAAATGATCATAAGAAACTATTATGAACATTTAATATGCCAATACATTGGATAACTTAGGTAATGGATAATTCTTGGGCATATACAATCTACAAAGATTGAACAAAGAAGGTATAAAAACCTGAAAGACCAATTACAAGTAATAAGAGTGAAACAGTAATAAAGTCTCCCAAAAGGGAAAGCCCAAGACTAAATAGCTTTATGGTTGAAATCTACCAAACTTTTAAAGAGGAAGCAATATCAATTCTTCTCAAACTCTTCCAAAAAAAAAAAACCGGAAAAATACTTCCAATTTCATTTTACAATGGTAGCATTTCCCTCGTGCCAAAGACAGAAAGGACATTACAAGAAAAGAAAATTATAGGCCAAGGCTGGGTGCAGTGGTTCTCACCTGTAATCCCAGCACTTTGGGAGGCAAGCAGATCGCTTGAACCCAGGAGACCAGCTTGGGCAACATGGCAAAACCTCTTCTCTGCAAAACACACAAAAATTAGCTGGGTGTGGTGGTGGTATGCACCTGCAGTCCCAGCTACTTGGGAGGCTGGGGAGGGAGAGATCACTTGGGCCCAGAAGGTCAAGGCACTACTGAGCCACGATCACTCCACTGCACTCCAGCCTTTGTGACCAAGAAAGACTCTGTCTCTAAAGGATAAAAGAAAATGATAGGCCAAATCCCTGAAGAACAAAGATGCAAAAATCCTCAATAAAACGCTAGCAAACCAAATTCAACAGCATATTAAAAAGATCATTCTTCATGATCAAGTGGAATTTATCCCAGGGATACAAGACTGGTTTAATATATGCAAATCAATAAATGTGATTGTATTAGTCCATTTTCACACTGCTGATAAAGACATACCTGTGACTGGGTAACTTATAAAGAAAAAGGGGTTTAGTGGACTCACAGTTCCACGTGGCAGTGGCGGCCTCATGATTAGGGCAAAAGGCAAAAGGCATGTCTTACATGGTGCCGGGTGAGAGAAAATGAGAGCCAAGTGAAAGGGGAAGCCCCTTATAAGATCCTCAGATCTCATGAGACTTATTCACTACCATGAGAACAGTATGAGGAAAACCACTCCCATTATTCAATTATCTCCCACCAGATCCCTCCCACAACATGTGGGAATTATGGGAGCTACAATTTTAGATGACATTTGGGTTGGGACACAGCCAAACAATATCAGTGATACATCACATGAACAGAATAAGAACAAAAATCATATAATCATTTCAATAGATGCAAAAAAAAGCATCTGACAAAATTAAACATTTTAAATAATAAAAACTCTTAAGAAATTAGGTATAGAAGGAATTTACCAGGAACATTAAAGGCTATACATAACAAACCTACAGTTAACATCATACCAAACAAGGAAAAGTTGAAAGCTTTTGCTCAAAGATCGGGAATAATACAAGGCTGCCCACTCTGAATACTTCTATTCAACATAGTATTAGAAGTCCGAGACAGATCAATTAGGCAAGAGAAAAAAAGAAAGAAAAGGCATCCAAATTGGAAACAAAGAGGTTTAATTGTCCCTGTTTACATGACATGATCTTATAAGATTTTAAAAAAAACAAAAACCTGAACACTCCACCAAAGGGGGGAAAAAAAACTGTTAGAACTAATAAATGAATTCAGTGAAGCTGCAGGATATAAAATCAACATACAAAAATCAGTAGCATTTCTATACGCTAACATTGAACAATCTGAAAAAGAAATTTTGAAAAATCCCATTGAAAATAACGACAAAACATAATATGCTTAGGAATAAATTTAACCAAGGAGGTACAAGATCACTACATGAAAAGTTTAAAACACTGAGGAATGAAACTAAAGAAAAAAACCAATAAATGGAAAGATATCCCATGTGTATGTATTAGAAGAATTAATATTCTTAAAATGTTCATACTACCCAAAGCAATCTACAAATACAATGCAATCCCTACTAAAATATCAATGTTATTCTTCATAGGAATATAAAAAAATACTAAAATTTGTATGAAACCACAATAGACCCCTAAATAGCCAAAACAATCTTGGGCAAAAAGAGCAAAATCAGAGGCATCACGCTACCTTATTTTGAAAT
This sequence comes from Homo sapiens, assembly GCF_000001405.40. Classification (NCBI taxonomy): domain Eukaryota; kingdom Metazoa; phylum Chordata; class Mammalia; order Primates; family Hominidae; genus Homo; species Homo sapiens. Next base: position 58,373,314 of record NC_000006.12, read on the forward strand.
ACATTTGACCCTTGAACAACACAGGGGTTAAGTGCACAACTGCCCATACGGTCAAAAATCCATGTATAAAATTTGACTCCCCCAAAACTTAACTACTAATAACCTACCATTGACTGGAAGCCACATCAACAATAAAAACTGTCAACTAATACTTATTATCTATATTATATGTATAATATATTGTATTCTTACAGTAAAGCAAACTAGAGAAAATGTTAAGAAAATCATAAGAGAAAATATATTTGCTATTCATTAAGTGGAAGGGTTCATCATAAAGTTCTTCATCTTCATTGTCTTTATGTTGAGTAGGCTGAGGAGGAGGAGGAAGATGAAGAGGGTTGGTCTTTCTCTCTCATGGGTGGCAAAGGTGGAAGAAAATCTGAGTGTAAGTGGACCTGTGCAGTTTAAATTTGTGTTGTACAATGGTCATCTGTGTAATACAAAGCTAAAGTAACCAAAAGAGCATGGTACTGGAATATAAACAAAAACATAGACAAATGAAAAGGAATAGAGAGCCCAGAAGTTAATCCACACATTTACAGCCAGCTGATTTTTGACAAAGATGCCAAGAACATGTTATGGGGAAAGGACAGTCTTTTCATGAAAATGTGTTGAGAAAACCAGATAGCCACATGCAAAGGAATAAAAATAGACCTTTAAATCATACCACATACAAAATCAACTCAAAATCAATTAGAGACTTAAATATAAGAACTGAAACTATGAGACTGTTAGAAGAAAGCAAGGGAAAAATTTCCATGACCTAGGTCCAGACCAAGATTTTTAGGATATGATATCAAAAGCATAGCCACAAGAAGCAAAAATGTACAAGTAGAACATCAAACTAAAAAATTTCTGCACACAAAAGTAACAATCAACAGAGTGAAGAGACAACCTACATAATGGGAGAAAATATATCCAAACTATGTGTTTCAGCCTATTTTCATTGCTATAAAGAAATAGCTGAACCTGGCTAACTTATATATTTTTAAGTTTATTTGGCTCATGTTTCTGCAGGTTGTGCAAGAAGCATGGTGTCAAAATTTGCTTCAAGTGAGGCACTCAGGCTACTTCCACTCATGGTGGAAGGTAAAGGGGGTGCCAGTGTGTGCTGACATCACATGTGAGAGAAAACAAGCAAGAGAGAGAGGAGGGAAGTGTCAGACTCTTTTAAACAATCAGCTCTCACAGGAACTAATCAAGTGAGAATTCACTCATTGCCATGAAGATAACACCAAGACATTCATGAGGTATCCACTCCCATGAACAAAACACTTCCCATTGGCCTCACCTCCAATATTGGGGATCAAATTTTAACATGAGATTAGAGAGGACAAATATCTAAACCATTTCATTCTATACCTGGCCCCTGAAATCTCATGTCCTCACATACAAAATACTATCATTCCATTCATTCCATCCCAATAGTCCCCCAAAGTTTTAACCTATTCCAGCATCAACTCAAAAGTCTAACATAAAAAGTCTCATTTGAGACTCAAGGCAAGTTCCTTACAGTTACAAGCCTGTAAAGTCAAAGTCAAGTTATTTACTTCCAAAATACAATAATGGAACAGACATTAGGTAAACACTCCAATTTCAAAAGGGAGAAATGGGCTAAAAGATAGGGGTAACAGACCTCATGCAAGTCTGAAAGCCAGCAGGGCAGACATTCAATGTTAAAGCTCCAAGATAGTCTTTGACTCCATGTTCCACACCCTGGGCACACTGGTGCAAGGGGTTGGCTCCCAAGGCTTCAGGCAGCCCTGCTCCCCAACATGGCTTTGCTAGGTGCAGCCCATTTGGCTGCTTGCATATATTGTAGTTGAATGCCTGTGACTTTTCCAGACTGAGCAGGTACACTGCTGGTGGCTCTATAATTCTTGGGTCTCAAAAGTAAGGGCCCTGTTGCTATGGCTCCAATATGCACTGCCCTAGTGAATACCCTCTGCAGTGGCTCCACCCCTGTGGCAGGCCTGCACACCCAGGCTTTCCAATACATCCTCTGAAATCTTGGTAGAAGCTGCCAAGCCTCCGTTATTCTTGCATTCTGTGCATCTGCAGACTTAACACCACATGGATGCCACAAATGCTCATGGCTTGCACCCTCCAGAGTGATGACCCATGCAGTACCTGTGTCTCTTTGAGCCATGGCTGGAGGTGGAAGTGAAGTGGCTAGAAGATAGGAAGCAGCATCCTGAGGTAGTGCAGGGCAGCAGTACCCCAGGCCTTGAAGGTTTCTGAAATGCGTTCAGGACCCATTTCCCCTTGTCTTGACTATTAACATCTGGCTCCCTTTTATCTATGCCAATCTCTCTAGTAAATGTTTGCTCCCTAGCACACTCGACTTTCTCTCCTGTAAACACTCTTTCCTTTTCTACCACATGGCCAGGCTACAAAATTTCTAAACTTTTATACTCTGTTTCTCTTTCAATGATAAATTTCAACTTTAGGTCATTCCTTTGTTCCTATATCTGATAGTAAGCTGTTAAAAGTAGCCACATTACTTCTTCCATACTTTGCTTCTTAGAACTTTCTTCTTCCAGGTGCCCTAAGTCATCACTCCTAATCCTTCCACAAAACCCTAGGTCATGCATATAATGCAGCTAAGTTATTTGCTAAGGTGTAACAAGGGTCCCTTTTCTCCAATTACCAATATGTTTCTCATTTCCACCAGAGACATCATCAGCATGGCCTTTACTGTCTATATTTCTGTCAGCATTTTGATCACAACCACTTAAGCAATCTCTATAAAGTTTCACATTTCCTCATCTTATTGCCTTCTGAGATCTCCAAACTCTCCCAACCTCTGCCCACTATCCAGTTACAAAGCCATTTTTCCACATTTCAAGTATCTTTATGGCAACACCTCGCTCCTTGGTACCAATTTTTCTGTCTTAGTCTATTTGTGTTGCTATAAAGGAACCAATGAGTCTGCCAAATTTATAAAGAAACTAGGTTTATTTGGTTCATAGTTATACAAGTCGTGCAAGAAGCATGGTGCCAGCATCTGCTTCTGGTCAGGGATACAGGCTGCTTCCACTCATGTTGGAAGTTGAAGGGAAGCCAGCATGTGCAGAGATCACATGTGAGAGAGGATGCAAGAGAGAGAAGGGGAGGTGCTATGTTCTTTTAAGCAACCAGCTCTCACAAGAACCAAATGAGCAATAACTTGCTCATTACCACAAGGACAGAACCAAGACATTTATAAGAGATCTGTCCCACAATTGAAACGCTTCCCATTAGACCCCACTTCTAACACTGGGAATCAAATTTCAACATGAGATTTGGAGAAGACAAACATCCAACCATAGCACTATACATCTGACAAGAAGTTAATATCCAAAATATTTAAGGAACTGAAACAACTCAATAGCAAATAAACAAATGCTGCAATTTAAAAATTGGCAAAGAAGCTAAATGGATATTTCTCAAAAAAAGACATATGAATGGCCAAATGGAATATGGAAAAATGATCAACATCCCTCATCATCAGAGAAATGCAAACTAAAACCTCTATTAGATATTGCCTTATACTTGTTAGAATGGTGATTATCAGAAAGAAAAAAGATAACAAGCAATAGTGAGGATGCGGAGTAAAGGGAACCCCTTCACATTGCTGGTGGAAATGTATATTAGTATAGCTATTATAGAAAACAATTAAAGATAGAACTACCAAACCTGAAAAAATAAAAAAATAGAACCGCCAGGTGATCCAGCAATTCTACTACCGCGTGTATTTCCAAAAGAAATAAAATCAGTATGTGAAAGAGATATCTGCAGTATATTCACAATAGTTAAGATATGGAATAAACCTGCATGCCAATCAATGGATGAATGTATAAAGAAAAGTGGCACGCATACACAATGGAGTACTATTCAGCCATAAATAGGAAGGAAACCCTGCCATTTGCAACAACATGAATAAACCTGGAGGACATTACGTGAAGTGAAATAAGCCAATCACAAAAATATAACTACCAAATGATCTCACTCATATGTGGAATCTTAAAAAGTTGATCTCATAGAACTAGAGAGTAGAATGGTAGTATTTACATAGTTCTGGATAAAGCAAGAGTGATCCCTATTTTCAACACCCAACTTGTCATTCATTTATAAAGGCAATAGAAACAATTACAAATAAACAAAATTTCTGGAATTATAGTACTGAAGTCATTTTTTAAATTTACTCAATGAAAAAATCAAATTAATTCAAGATGATCAAATAAAGAATTCAGAAACTGGAGCACTATATTGTAAAAGGGTTGAAGATGAACTCTGAATATGTTTGAACACAAGAATACGAAGGATTAATATTGGATTTACAGTAGCTAAATATAATAAAAATGTTGTAATCCTAAATTGAAAACCCACTGGATAAATAACAACAAAAATTCAGAAGTAGAAGAATATAGGCAAAAGATAAAGAAGTACAAACTTATAATTTTATTATATGTCATAGGAGGGAATCAGTTGGTAATGCTAAAGTTTAACCAAATTATTAAGAAACAAGAAGAGGCTATAAACATTCCAAATACAATAAAAGAAAATGCAAATACATGCATATCTACACAAACACACACAGACAAACATGCCTGCACACACAAGGCAAAGAAAATACTGATTTGACTATATAACTTTCAATAATTTAGTAGCATAGACATTCTAAAAGAGTTAATAAAAAGTTTATAGATGCCAAAAGGAATTGTGACAGATTTCACTCTAAATTTTGTAACTAAGTTTACATGAAAATAAGGTAACACCCCAGTGGCTCAAAAAAGCTGAAGCCAGAATGGTAAACTGGCTCTAGAGCCATAACTGCCCTGGATGTTTATGAATACAAGAAACCTACACCCTGGGCACTAATGTCCATGCCTCTTGGAAGGATGGACTCTGAGACTCCTTCACAAAGCCAGGACCCTCAAAAACTGCACTTTCAGTGAAAGATCAGCTACAATTAAAATTTCCCACCAGCAAAGGGGAAGTACAAGTCTGTTTCAGCTTCAGATATTAGGAAAAGAGTATCCAGAGAGAATTCAGAACGACAGGTCTGCCCTCAAATTGGCTCTGGGTTCCCAAACCAGAACATTAACTTAAAGTTATGCAGGGACTTCAGCACCCTGGGAACCACAGTAGATCCCAAAGAGATGCAGGAATGCACCTTCAAGTCAGGCTTTCAGTATACTTGGAAATGAAAATTGGTCAGGAAGAAGTACAAAAATGAAGTTTCCAAAATATATGAGAAAGCAAGATGATGTCAATGAAAGTCAGCGGAAATGAAATCAATAGACTCATAAATATAAATATACCAGCTATTGAAATGATAAAATAAGTATGCAGAAATAACTTTTTAAAAGATTTAAAGAAATAAATCAAGAAATAAAATATTGTTTTTAATAAATACTTTTATAATGTTTATTTGTATCAGGTACTGTTCTACATGCCTCACTTATATATTTACTCATCTAATCCTCAACAACTCTATAAAGTAGATGGTACTAACTTTATGAACAAGGAAATGAAAACTTAGAGAAATTAAGAAAGTTCCCTAAATTTACACAGGTGCAAGTTGTAGTGCTAGAATTCAAATCCTTCAGAGTCTATCGTCCTAAGAAGTATGTGGTAAGCAAGTGTCAAAAATCTGTCAACAATTAACTGACCTGTTTTAAAAATAAAAAAATAGAACTACTAGACTAGAAATATAATTAAAAGTAAAATCTCAGTGGTCAAACTGTAGATTAAACAAAGTTGAAAAAAGAATTTGAACTAGAAGCCAAAGCTAAAATCATTAATCAGATTGTAATGGAGAAAGACAAGGTAATGAAACTGAAAGTTTATGACATGAAAAAATATAATAAGATTTAATCATCTAGTGGTTATCTCAGGAGAGACTAAAGAAGTGAATAATCTATTAAAAGAGATAACAACTGGGATTTGTCCAGGACAGATAAGAGAAAAAAATGTCAAATTGTATGAAAACAAATAAAGATTCAATGGAAATGGGAAAAGGCTAGTAATTAAGCTAGGGCAAAGATGAGGGGTAATGATGGATTCATTATAGTCTTCCCTTTTATTTTATGTATGCTTAAGTTTTCTGATACATTTTTTACAAATAAAAAATAAACATTTAGACACATTATATCATCTTTGATCAAGTAAAAAGTAGCTTCTAACAGCACACAGAGGGAAAAAAATGATAAAATGAGCAATGATTAGATTGAGGGGAAATTTCTCCATAGCAAAACTGAAAGCCAAGACATGTGGTATAATACTTTCAAATTGTTAAGACAAAATAATGGTTAGCAAAGAATTATGCAACTGACACATTTTTATTAAATAGCTATATTTTTAAATGACATTTTTAGATAAGACCAAATGTGAAATCTCGTACCAAGAGACTCTCATTGAAAGAATTTAAACAATGTGAAACAGTGCACTTCAATCAATAAATAATTAAATAAATAAGTGGAGAGTAAAGAAAGCATGTGGATTAATTTATGCATTGACCGTTTAAAACAAAAGTAATAATGTTTACATTAGGAGATAAAAATAGAGGTATAGAATGCTTCTGAAAATAAATGACTGGTTTATAACACATCTCTCATGGAAAACAAGATGAAAATCTGGAAGGAAAGTGAAACATAAGACAGCTGTCTGGGGAGTAACAAAGAATTGAGGGTCCCCCTTAAGGTAGACCTGACATCCCTCCATTTGACAATGTCTAAGTGACTTGGGCCTGAAAGACCAAGCAAAAGCAATGACTTAGTTAAGGAGACAAAAACTGGAGGTCCGTGATACCAAGGCATCCAGAATATGAGAGGCCATTGTCCCAGAGAAAAACAAACAGAGAGAAACAAGCCTAACTTTCCAAATCACTTTTCCTCAGAGGCATTTTTTTAACTCGTAGCACGTGCAGAACAAGCAGATGGGAGGCAAAGCAGAAAGTGGCAGCCAAGGAGCTAAGAATCAAGCAGAAGTTTTGTAGGTCTGATGATACTGGAGAGACAAAATTATAGTTTAGGGCTCACCAAAGAGAAGAATACGCAGTTTGTCAAGCTTTCTATTGTAACCCCTGATGGGCTACACTTTAGAAACCAAAGTTAGAAGCCTTACAAAGGTTAAAACTCAGTGTCAGGCCAAACCCTCTAATCTCTGTTTGCGGTCTATTGCTTTGCCCTAATGCTAACTGCCAAAATAAATCTTTCCTGGAGTAAAGCAAGATCATGAAGAGCCTCTCCAGTTCTTCATTAAAAAAAAAAATACGGCCGGGCGCGGTGGCTTACGCCTGTAATCCCAGCACTTTGGGAGGCCGAGGCGGGTGGATCATGAGGTCAGGAGATCGAGACCATCCTGGCTGACAAGGTGAAACCCCGTCTCTACTAAAAATACAAAAAATTAGCCGGGCGCGGTGGCGGGCGCCTGTAGTCCCAGCTACTGGGGGGGCTGAGGCAGGAGAATGGCGTGAGCCCGGGAGGCGGAGCTTGCAGTGAGCCGAGATTGTGCCACTGCAGTCCGCAGTCCGGCCTGGGCGACAGAGCGAGACTCCGTCTCAAAAAAAAAAAAAAAAAAAAAAAAAAAAAAAAAAAAAAAAAAAAAATCCATGGCATTCAGTTCAAAATAACCAGGCATGCCAGGAGACAAGATCAAATATCTAAAGCAAAAAAATTAAAATAAAAATAAAAACAGACGATGTGTAATGCATAAATTGAAGTTATCAAACATAGACTTTGTTGCCAAACATAGTCAATTCATGAAATATAATTTTTTAAATGTATAATGAGATGAAAATATTTACCAAGAAATTAAAATTCTGAGAAAAAAATTGGAATTTCTAGAACTAAAAAGTATAATTATCAAAATTAAGACCTCAGTAGGTATATTCATATACTTGATGTCTAATATATGTTGTTTAGTATAAAGGAAAAATTGAAGAATGCTTACAGAAGGATACCTCCAAATTTTAAAGAGTTATTTATCCTCTAAACGGTGTCTAGAGAGAAGTGCAGAGGAAGGGGTAGAATTTAATTATACTTTCAACTTTAAACCCTTTATTGTTCGATTTTTTCTCTTCATGAACTGGTATTACTTCTATAAAAAATAATTAAAATTTAATGAATACAGAAAATTAGGTAGTGTTTATTACAGAAGAAATGTAAAACTACACAGTCATTACGAAAGAATATACCTTGCCTCATAATACCTATTCTCAGGGATAACATTTAACACATTTTATTTATTTCTTCCAGCTTTTTGCCATGCATGTTCTTTTTAGCTGTGATTACACAACTAATATGGGAGGCAGAATCCTAAGATGTCCCCCCATATCATTGCCCTCCGGTGTACATACCCTTTATAATTCCCTTCTGTTAAGTTTGGACAGGTCCTGTGAATGTGGTAGGACAGCTGCTCCCTTGATAAGGTTATGTTATATAAACATGACTCCACCTTAGCACACTAAAGAGAGTTTCTCCTGCTAGCTTTAAAGAAGTAAGCTCCATGTTATATGACAAAGCCATATAGTTAGGACCTGAAAGTGGCCTTTAGGAATCCAGAGCAACTTAAGGACAAAGAGACACTTTAGTCCTGCAGTTGCAGGGAATTGAATTCTGCCAACAACCAGTGAGCTTGGAAGAAAACCTCAAGCCTCAGATGGGACTGAAGCCCTAGCCAACACATTGAGATTAGTCTGTTCAAACCATGAAAAGATAAAATGTACCCAGACTCTTAACTCTAACTCCTTACCCATAGAAACTGTTATTTAAGCTGTTAAATTTGTGGTAATTTATTATGTAGCAATAGAAAACTAATATATATTCTATATAAAAAAGTACCATGAATTGATCATGTAATTATAAGCACGAAAGAAATGTAGAAATTTGCAAAAGTAGAAAAGTATAATAACCACTGAGAAGGTAACTGAATCCAGATAATCACATTTGATATTTTGTTGAGTTCATAAGAATTATTTTTTCATCTATAAATACTTTATTATACATCCTTAAAAGGTAAATTATGTTTTTGAAAAATATATAACTACAATACCATTATTTCACCTTTAAGTATTCTGTGGCCTTCCAAAGTATACTCACTGTGATGGTTAGTTTTAAGTGTTAACTTGGCTAGGCCCTAGTTCCAGTTATTCAAACACTAATCAAGGTATTGCTGTGAAAGTAATTTGTAGATGTATTTAACATCTATAATCAGTTAGCTTTAAGTAAAGGAGATAATCTGTAACAATCTGGGTGGGCCTCTTCCAATCAGTTGAAATGCATTAAAAGCAAAACTAAGGTTTCTCTGAGGAAGAAAAAATTCTGCCTCAGGACTGCAGCCCTAGCTCTTGCTGGTGTTTCCAGCCATAAAGCTTGCCCTATAAAGTTCAGACTCTTCAATTCCCGCAATTGCATAAGTCAATTCCTTGAAATAAACAGTATGTGTATGTGTACACATGTGTAGAGTAGATTCTCATTACTTACAGGTTCTATGTTTGTGAATTTGCCTACTTACTAAAATTTATTTGTAAGCTCAAATTCAGTATTTGCAACACGTTTGTGGTCATTCTCAAACGTGTAGAATGGCAAAAAGTTTGAGTCTCATGTACCCAACTAAAATAGAACAAGGTGATGCTCTGCCTTCTTTGTCCATCTCTCACACTGCAAACAAGCATTCTTTGACAATTTATTTAGTTGCCACCATTTTCTTTACATTTTTGTGCATTTCATTGGTGATTTTGCTATTTAAAATGGCCTCCAAGTACAGTGGCAGTGTTGTCTAAAGAAGCTTGTGATGTACCTTACAGAAAAAATACATGCATTAGATTAGGTTCATTTGGGCATGAGTTACAGTGCTGCTGGCTGTGAGTTCAATGTTAATGAATCAGCATAGGTATTAAATAAGGTGCCTTTGAAGAGAAACACACATAAAACAAGAATGTATATTGACTGGTTGACAAAAATGTTGTGACCAGAGGCTTTCAGGAAACTACACTGTATTTTCCCTAGGAGCAATTGTTCATTATTCACTGATTCAATGTTCATAGAAACTTTATAGAACATAACTACAGTGAATAACAAGAATCAACTGAGTGTGTGTGTGTGTGTGTAATCTTACTCATTCTGTTCCTCTGAGGAACCCCAACGCACTCATCATCCACCTCCTGGAAGATTCTGAGCTCTTGATTGAAAATTATTACCAAGACTAAAACACTGAAACAAAGAGTATTCTGTACTCCCATTGAGTAAGAGTTGACAAACTACAGCCAGCATTTGTTTTTGTAAATAAAGTTTTAGTGGAACACAGACATGCACATTCATTTATATATTGCCTATTGCTGCTTGCATGTCCTAATGGCAGAGCTGAGTAGTTGTAAGAGTAGCTACATGGCTTCTAAAGGTGAAATATTTACTATTTGGCCCTTTATAGAGAAAGTTTGCTAACTACTGCATTAGAATATTGAATCATACAAAAAGATGATAAATGTATATACTGAAGTTGATAACAAATATATCTGCCATGAGATGGTTTATCAATCTTTCAATTAAAAAAGTTAATTCAATGGGTTTTTTTAATTTTTGAAGCTATATAAAAATCTTACTAAAATTCTATGGCAGTGGAAGTGGCCACGGAGGTGCACTATGTAGTTCAAATTTTCTAATACTTCTAGAAATTTCCCACTGGGATTAGTTGCTTAGCCATAGCTATCAAGTACAGTAATAGAATAACCGCACTATTATTTTGAATGTTCAACAATGAGGATACAAGATTTTCTCTGAACTGTGCAATGAAGAATATGTCTTCAGGAACACATTTTCTGGTACTGAGAAATAAATAGACACAAATATATAATAGCTAAAAGAGGTATACAAAAGATAGTTTCAACTTCCAACTTGCAGACACCAAAAACCTTGTAATACCACTTTATTCTGGATTTAGCTTCTCTAATTAAGGTTAACTACTATAATTAGAAAGCCATCAGAATCTTTGTCACTTAACATAATTAAGGTTTACTATTCTCTATTGCAAAGCTTTGTGTGGTTTAGGCAGCCCTCTTCCATCTTTAGCTCTGCCATTTGGAACAATTGGTCTCATGATCATAACAGTGGGGGAAAAAGAGGCAAAGGGAGCATGCTGGCTGTTAAATTTCCCCTCCCAGAAGTGACACATGTCACTGCAATCTGCAGTCCACTGATGAAAACTAACTGCAGTAGAGGAAGAAAAATGAAGCAGGGGAACTTAAGGAACAGTCACTGCAAACAAATCATCTCTACCACAGGAACCAAACCAAGTAAGGCCTTTGTAAAGTATTCTTCATCATTTTTACTCAGCCCTTGGACAACTTCAGTCTGCCAACAGCAAAATTATGCAATATGGATCCAAGGCAATTCACTATGTTGGTCCTTTCATATCTGTGATTGATTTTTTCTTCTTTTAATGAATTCAACAAACATTTATAAGTGAATAAAACAAAAAACGATCGGTAAACACAATGCTCATATTCTTGTGGAAGAAGAGAAGAAAGAAATATAGGAAAATGATGCAGTGTGCTAAACATGACAACTACTATGGAAAAAATAAAAAGTAGAGAAAAATAAAGTCAGAGTGTTGGGGCTGCAGGTTAGACACTGTATTAATTTCCTATCACTTCTGTAATAAACTACCACAAACTTAGTGGCTTAAAACAACACAAACTTGCTATCTTATACTTTGTAAGCCAGAAGTCCAAATCTTTTTCACTGGTGTAAAATCAAGGTGCAGGCAGGGCTATGTTCCTTCTGGAGGCTCAAACAGAGAATTTGCTTCCTTTTCCAGATTCTAGGGACTGCCTGCATTCTTTGGCTCATGGTGGCATCACTCCTACATCGGTCCCCATGGTCACATCTCTCAGTCTGACCCTCCCACCTCCCTCTTATGAGAATAATTGAAATTATTTTGGGCCCACCTGAATGATTCAGGATAGTTTCTCCATCTCCAGACCCATAACTTAATCACATCTGCACAAAGTCCCTTTTGAAATGTAAGATAACATATTCACCAGTTCTGGGGATTAGAATACGGAAATCTTTGGGGGGAAGTCATTCTTTAGCCTACCACACACATTAAATAAACTGGTCAGAATAAGCCTCATTGAGGAAGGGATAATTGTACCAAAATTTGAAGGAGAAAATAGAGTTAGTCAAGTGGATCTTTAGGTAGAGGGGCAGCTCTGAGCAATAGGAGCACATTTGTATTAGAAATGTAAAGACACCCATGTGGTTGAAGTGGAATGAATGAGTTTGAGAGGTGTAGGTCATGACATCAGAAAAATAATTAAGGGCAATTTTGAGTAGTGCCTTGTAACTTTTATAAGGACTTTGGTTTTCTCTTTGAAATTGGGAGCCATTAGATAGTTTTGATTATAGGAGTACATGATATTATTCTGGCTGCTGAATTAAGATTAGAGTGCAATGAGACACAGCAGATAGAAGCAGGGAGACCTGTTGGAAGATGTCAAAACAAAAACTGCACCAGATAAAGTTAAGCAGGCAAGGGAGACTTCATTCAATACTACTGAAGTAGAGCTTCTTTGGAGAAATGTTTTCTCAATCCTTTGCCAGTTTTTCAATTAAGTTATTTGGGTTTTTTGTTTGTTTGTTTGCTTTGCTACTAAGTTGCAGGAGTTCTTTACATATTTTGGATATTAACCTTTAATCAGATATATAGTCTGTAAGTGTTTTCTCCCATTTCATAACTTGTTTTTTTATTTTATTATTTATTTTCTTTTCCTGAGCAAAAGCTTTTTAGTTTGACCTACTCTTGCTTGTCTACTTTTGCTTTCTTTCCCTGTGCTTTTGGTGTAATTTCTAAGACATACAATAGCCAACAGTATATGAAAAAGTGCTCAGTGTTACTAATCGTTAGAGAAATGCAAATTAAAACCACAATAAGGTATCATCTCACACCTGTTAGGATGGCTGTTATCAAAAAGAAAAAAAAAAGGACAACAAGTGTTGGCAAGGATGTAGAAAAGAAAACGTGTACAATGTTGGTGGAAATGTAAATTGGTGCACAGCTATCAGCTATGGAAAACAATATGGAGGTTCCTCAAAAAATTAAAAACAGAATTATTATTTGATCCAGCAATCCCACTTCTGCATATATATCCAAAGGAATTGCAATCAGGAGTTTGAAGACATATCTGCACTCCTGTGTTCATTGCATGATTATTAACAAAAGCCAAGATGTGGAAATAACCTAAATGTTCACTGATAAATGAGTTGATAAAGAAAATGTAGGTGAGGGGAGCGGCATGAAGAGGAGATACCACCACCACTGCCATCGACATACTCTTGTCCTATGGGCCACACCTGGGCCTTGCTGACAGGAAGCTTCAGTCCCACAGCTCCACTTGCTGTGGTCTCAGGTTTCTTTGCCTCCAGAAAGAAAAAAATTGATCCCCTGGATTCTGGAAGTTCTTTTAAGGTCTAAAATTAGGCGCTTATTTCAAATTTGAACATGGCTAATCGAGGAGCAAAAAGACTCAACGGGCCAAATACTGGAAATAAAATATGCCAGTTCAAACTAATACTTCTGGGAGACTCTGCTATTGGAAAATCAAGCCAGTCTTCATTTTGTAAAAGGCCAATTTCATGAATTTAAAGAGAGTACCATTGGTGCCTAGATGCGGCCAAGATGGCTGATTAGAAGTAGCTACAGACTGTGGCTCTCACAGAGAGGAATGAAAACAGAGAGTAAATTCAGCATCTCCAACTGCAATATCCAAGTTCTTACATCAGGACTGACTAGGTGGACAACTCGACCCACAGACAATGAAGAAAAGTAATGTGGGGTGATAGCCCACCTGGGAGCAGCATGGAGCCAAAGGAATCCCCACCGCCAGCTAAGGGAAGTGGTCAGTGATTGTGTGACCCTGCCCATGCTTCTCCCACAGATCTTTGCAGCCTGTGGATCAGAAGATCCCCTTGTGAGTCCATGCCACCAGGGCCTTGGGTCCCATACACAGAGCTGTGCATTCTCAGCAGAGCAGTTGCTCAGACTCACATAGAGATCCAGGAGTTTTACAGACTCTGGTGCTGGGAATCCCAGTAAGGTGAGAGATCCATCTGTACATTCTTCTAGGAAAGTAGCTGAATCCAGGAAGCCAAGCAGCATTGTTCTGCAGGCCCCACTTCCACAGCACCTCACAAGTTAAGACCCACTGGCTTGGAATTCCAGCCAACCAGCACAGCAGGCTGGAGACGTCTGAGACAAATGAGTTCCTGGGGGGAAGGGCAGTCACCATTTCTGAAGTTAGTTTGACTCAGCCATTCTAGCCTGCTGGCTCCAGGGAGTTCAGGTGGTCTAGACAAGGAGGAGTCCCCACAACACAAACCATCCTTCCTCATTGGGGGGTGCCTCCCTGTGGGAATTTCAATGACTGCAGCCAGGGATAGAGGAACTCTGATCTCTCCCTGGGATGGAGCCCCAGTGGGTAGGAGTGGCCAATGTCTCTGTGAGTCCTTGCTCTCAGTCAACTGCTCTGCTGACTCTGTGGCTGAGTGGACTTAGCTGTTCTTGTATGCTTGGCTCAGGGAGGCCAGGTGGTCCTGATGAGGAGGAGTCTCCCACAACACAGCACATCTGCTCTACCAAAAACCAGGCAGACTGCTTCTTTAAGCAGGTCCCTGACCCCATCCCTCCTGACTGGATGAGACCTCTCAATGGGGGTCTCCAGACACCTTCTACAGGTGCATCCAGGCCAGCAACAAGTTAGTATCCCACTGGAACAGAGCTTCCAGGGAAAGGAGCAGGCTACTATCTTTGCTGTTTCATAAGCTTCACAGGTGATATCTCAAGGTAAGGGAAAAACTGAAGCAACTAGGGTCTGGAGCGATCCCCTAGCAAACCACAACAGTCCTACAGAGGCTGACTGTTAAAAGAAAAACAAACAGAAAACAACAACATCAACAAAAAAGACCCCACAAAACCCCATTCCTTTGAATGAGGTTTTTTTTGGGAACCTCAAAAATGAAGGTAAATAAGCCTACAAAGATAAGAAAGAATCAATACAAAAATGCTGAAAATTCACAAAGCCAGAGTGCCTTTTCTCCTCCAAATGACCACAACACTTCTCCAGCAAGTGCACAGAACTAGTCTGAGGCTGAGATGACTGAATTCACAAAACTAGGCTTCAGAAAGTGGGTAATAACAAACTTTGTTGAGATAAAGGAGTGTGTTGTAACTCAATTCAAAGAAGCTAAGAATCATGATAAAACAATACAGGAACTGATAACTAGAATAGCCAGTTTAGAATAAAGCATAGCTGACCTGATGGAGCTGAAAAACACAACACAGGAAAATCACAATGCAATTACAAGTATCAGCAGCAGAATATACCAAGCAGAGGAAAGAATATCAGAGCTTGAAGACTATGTTTCTCAAATAAGACAGGCAGACTAGAGAAAAAGGAATGAAAAGGGCTAGGTGCAATGGATCATGCCTGTAGCCCCAACATTTTGGGAGGCTGAGGGGGTTGATCACTTGAGATCAGAAGTTTGAGACCAGCCTGGCCAACATGGCGAAAACCCTGTCTCTACTAAAAATACAAAAATTACCTGGGCATGGTGGTGGGTGCCTGCAATGCCAGCTACTTGGGAGGCTAAGGCAGGAGAATCACTTGAACCCAAGAGGCAGAGGTTGCAGTGAGCCACAATTGGGCCACTAAACTCCAGCCTGGGCAGCAGAGTGAGACTCCATCAAAAAAAAAAAAAAAGAATAAAATGAATGAACAAAACCTCTGAGAAATATGAGACTATGTAAAAAGATCAAACTTACAACTAATTGGGGTACCTGAAAGAGACAGGGACAACGAAACCAAGTTGAAAAACATATTTCAGGACATCATCTAGGAAAACTTCCCCAACCTAGCAAGACAGGCTAACATTCAAATTCAGAAAATCCAAGGAACTCCAGTAAGATAATGCACAAGAAGATCAACCCCAAGACACATAATCATCTGATTCTCCAAGGTTGAAATGAAAAAAAAAAAAAAAGTTAAGGACAAGCAGAGAGAAAGGCCAGGTCACCTCCAAAGGGAAGCCCATCACACTAACAGTGGACCTCTCAGCAGAAACTGTACAAGCAAGAAGAGATTAGGGGCTAATATTTAACATTCTTTAAAAAAACAATTTCCAACCCAGAGTTTCATATCTGGACAAACTAAGCTTCATATGTGATGGAGAAATAAGATGTTTTTCAGACAAGCAAATGCTGAGGGAATTCATCACCACCAGGCCTGTCTTGGAAGAGCTCCAGAAGGAAGCACAAAATATAGTTAAAAAAAAAAAAAAAATTACCAGCCACCACAAAAACACACTGAAGTACACAGTGAAACTATAAAGCAACCACATAAACAAATCTGCAAAATAACCAGCTAGAATAATGATGAATGAATCAAATTGACACATAATACTGACCTTAAATGCAAATGGGCTAAATGCCCCAATTAAAAAACACGGAATGGCAAGCTGGATAAGGAGCCAAAACCTGTCAGTATTCTGTCTTCAAAAGACCCAGCTCATGTGCCAAGACACACATAGGCTCAAAATAAAGGGATGGAAGAAAACTTACCAAGCAAATGGAAAATAGAAACAAGCAGAGGTAACAATCATAGTTTCTGACAAAACAGACTTTAAGCCAACAAAGATTTTTGAAAAGACAAGAAGGGCATTACATAATTGTAAAGGGTTTAATTAAACAAGAAAAGCTAACTATCCTAAATACATATATTATTTCTCCTGAAACATCAGATTTTTTTCAACTTGGTTATTCGGGTATTTAGTTAATATAGAAGACATTTATGTAAATTTTATGTTTACTCTATTGATTACTTCTTTGAAAATAGAGAAAATCACCTTCAGTATCACCTCTCTATTCTATCTGTCTCCCATTATTTTGTGTTTGTTTTATTCTCCTTCTTTGGGGGATCCTCTCAAGTTTATCCTTCAAGTAAATAATTAACGTAATGTAATGTAATTATTTCCACATTGTTGTTTCTGATTTTTATTATTCCACTGCTATTGCATTTTAAGTTCCTTTAAATATTTCTCTCATTTCATCTGTAGCAGATAATGCAACTCCATTTTGAATGCTATTCAGCCATATTGACTTCTGATTAACCCCTATTTTGGGAATATCTCTAAGATTTCTCTTTTATTATCCTGTGAAAACTGACATTGTTAGTTTAATAGGAATAGTGTTGAATCTGTAGATTGCTTTGGGCAGTGTGGCCATTTGAACAATACTGACTCTTTTGATCCATGAGCAAGAAAAGTTTTTCCATTTGTTTGTGTCTTCTATTATTTTTTTCAGCATTGTTTTGTAGATCTCCTTGTAGAGATTTTTCAACTCCTTGGTTAGATGTGTTCCTGGGATTTTTATTCTTTTCTTCCACATTCAATTTTTGTACATTGATTTTGTATCATGAAACTTCATCATTTTTCAGTTCCAGGAGGCTTTTGGCAGAGCTTTTAGGGTTTTCTAGGTATAGCTTCATATTGTAAGCAAATAGGGGTAATTTGACTTTTGCTTTTCCTATTTGGATACCTTTTCTTTCTTTATCTTGCCTGATTGTTCTGGCTAGGACTTCAAATCAGAAAAGACTTTTCTAAAATTCCTATGGAACCAAAAAAGAGCCCAGATAGCTAAAGGAATCCTAAGCAAAAAGAATAAAGTCAGAGGCATCACATTATCTGGATTCAAATTATACTATAAGGCAACACAAAGCAAAATAGCATGGTACTAGTACAAAAACAGATACATAGAACAATGGAACAGAAAAGAGAACCCAGAAATAAAGTTGCAGACCTATAGCTATTTGATCTTTTCACAAAGCCGACATAAATAAGCAATGGGGAAAGAATTCCCTATTCAATAAATGGCACTGGGATAGCTGGCTAACCATATGCAGAAGAATGAAACTGGACCTCTACCTTTCACCATACAGAAAAATTAACTCAAGCTGGGTTAAAGATTTAAATGTAAGACCTCAAACTATAAGAATCCTAGAAAAAAAAAACCCAGAAAATACCATTCTGGATATCGGCCTTGGGAGAAATAACTTATGACTAAGTTCTCAAAAGCAATTGCAACAAAAACACAAATTGACACATACAGCCTAATTAAATTAAAGAGCTTCTGCACAGCAAAAGACACTATCAACAAAGTAAGTAGATAAACTACAATTTGAGAGAAGATATTTGCAAACTATGCATCTGACAAACGTCTAACATCTAGAAACAATAAGAAATTTAAATAAACAGGCAATAAACAATCTCATTAAAAATGGGCAAAAGACATAAACAGACACCTCAAAAGAAGACATATATGCAGCCAAAAAACATATGAAAAAATACTTCAACATGATTAATGATCAAAAATATGCAAATCAAAACCACAATGAGACACCATCTCATAACAGTAAGGATGGTTATTATAAAAAATTCAAAAACTAACATGCTGGTGAGGCTGTGAAGAAGAGAACACTTGCACACTGTTGATGGAGATGGAAATTAGTTCAGCCACTGTGGAAAGCAGTCTGGAGATTTCTCAAAGAACTTAAAACAGAACTACCCTTTTATCCAGCAATCCCATTACTGTGTATATATCCAAAAGAAAAATAAATCATTCTACCAAAATGCACATGGACTCATATATTCATTGCAGCACTATAGACAACAGCAAAGATATCAAATCAACCTAGGTGCCCAGCCATGGTGTGCTGGATTAAGAAACCACAGTACATATACACCATGGAATACTACATAGTCATAAAAAAATGAAGTCATGTTGCTGCACCAATATGAAAGAAGCTGCAGGCCATTGTCCTAAGTGAATTAACACAGGAACAGAAAACTAAATACCACATGTTTTCACTTATAAGTGGGAGCTAAACATTGGGTATCATAAACATGAAGATGGGAAAAATAGACACTGGAAACTACTAGAAGGGAGAAGGAGGGTGGTGGGCAAGTATTGAAAACTAACTATTGAGTATTATGCTCAGTACCTGGGTAATGGGATCATGGATACCCAAACCTCAGTATCGTGCAGTATGCTCATGTAAGAAACCTGCACATGTACCCCCTGAATCTGAAATAAAAATTGGAAAAACAGGATTTCTACTTTATCTACTACTATCATAAATTTTGCCCTTATGTCAAAACAATCTTTGCCATAAATCCTTCCATTATGCAGATTCATACAGCATGATTGTCTTTCCCTGAGAGATCGACTTCAATTCTCCTACACATTTCTTCTCTGCAGTATATAAGCCCTGGGTCTGAGAATAAGCGTGTGGAGATCCACCATCTTGTCTTGCCACAGCACAAGGGGTGGCTTCCGTTTGTAGGTCACCATTATATGTTTCTTTCTGAGAAACTGGGTTTGTCAGTCCCTTTATTCAGCCTCTCAGCATCCTCGACCTTTAGGGGCATGTTTGCAAGGATCTGCTCATTGTGAATTATTTTCAGTCAACCCCTTCTTCTAATCCTCTGTATTTCTTTTTCAACATGTTTCTCCTGTTTCATAGAAAACATTCTTCTTTCACCCTATAGAGAATGGCAAACAGTTTTCATCAAAGTTGCTTTGGATTCTGGAATAAATCCATTGCTAAGATTCATCCTACTTCAGCCTCTTCAAGATAATGTTCCATTTCCCTAAATTTAAAGTACTTTTTCTAGACTCTCCTTGTTGGTTACATTCTCTTTACTCCTTATGAGGGGAAAAAGCTCTCACACTTGGTATTTTTCAAACTTATAATCTTGGCTTAATTTATGTCCATGCAGTACACAGTCCTTGTCCAAACCCCTTCTTAAATCTAAAGCTAAATAGCAGGATGCTGTTCTCACCTGTTAGTCCAACCCCCAATGTCTAGTAGATTTTCTGCCAATATGATTTTTGCTACACTGTGATAGGTTCTTTCCTAATCCTAGTGTTTTGCTCTCTGACGTGCTAGAAAGATGTATCTAAGGATCGATAATGCACCACACCTGTCCCTACCCATCACATAGCACTCTGCTTATGAGAACTTCACAAACTAAGATGCAGTGCTCCATGCTCAGGTCATGTTCTTCAAGAGACATTATGAGACATTGGAAAAGACTTATCAGGATCAGCTGGCCACACTGGAACCAATAATCCTATGCCTAATGTTTAACTTGGGAAAAATTTTTAGACCAGTGTGAGGTTGTTTCCATTTCCAATTGCTGTTTCTTCTTAGGTTCTTTTCTCTCTGGCTCTTGTCCACCTGGATCATATTCTATGCCAGAGGCTTTAATTCCTATGTGAAAAGTCTCTTACCTTTTTTTATGATCATCAATGATTCTGTCACAAATATTGCCAGAACTGAGTTTGAAAATATTTTATGTCTCTCTTCATCATTTATCACTTATCATCCTGAATTGTAGGCTTTTGAGAAGAAGAATAAAACAAGATATGTGTTTAAAAACATTAATCTGGAGGAAGCGCCAAGATGTCTGAATAGGAACAGCTCCAGTCTACAGCTCCCAGTGTGAGCGACGCAGAAGATGGGTGATTTCTGCATTTCAATCTGAGGTACCAGGCTCATCTCACTAGGCAGTGCCAGACAGTGGGCACAAGACAGTGGGTGCAGCGCATCCTGCACAAGCCAAAGCAGGGCAAGGCATTGCCTCACTCAGGAAGTGCAAGGGGTCAGGGAGTTCCCTTTCCTAGTCAAAGAAAGGGGTGACAGACAGCACCTGGAAAATCGGGTCACTCCCACCCTAATACTGTGCTTTTCCGACAGGCTTAAAAAACGGTGCACCAGGAGATTATATCCCGTACCTGGCTCAGAGGGTCCAACACCCACGAAGTCTCACTGATTGCAAGCACAGCAGTCTGAGATCAAACTGCAAGGCGGCAGTGAGGCTGAGGGAGGGGCGCCTGCCATTGCCCAGGCTTGCTTAGGTAAACAAAGCAGCCAACTGGGTGGAGCCCACCACAGCTCAAGGAGGCCTGCCTGCCTCTGTAGGCTCCACCTCTGGGGGCAGGGCACAGAAAAACAAAAAGACAGCAGTAACCTCTGCAGAATTAAATGTCCCTGTCTGACAGCTTTGAAGAGAGCAGTGGTTCTCCCAGCATGCAGCTGGAGATCTGAGAACGGGCAGACTGCCTCCTCAAGTGGGTCCCTGACCCCTGACCCCCAAGCAGCCTAACTGGGAGGCACCCCCCAGTAGGGGCAGACTGACACCTCACAAGCCTGGGTACTCCTCTGAGACAAAACTTTCAGAGGAATGATCAGACAGCAGCATTCGCGGATCATGAAAATCTGCTGTTCTGCAGCCACCACTGTTGTTACCCAGGCAAACAGGGTCTGGAATGGACCTCTAGCAAACTCCAACAGACCTGCAGCTGAGGGTCCTGTCTGTTAGAAAGAAAAGTAACAAACAGAAAGGGCATCCACAGCAAAAACCCATCTGTACATCACCAACATCAAAGACCAAAAGTAGATAAAACCACAAAGATGGGGAAAAAACAGAGCAGAAAAACTGGAAACTCTAAAAAGCACAGTGCCTCTCCTGCTCCAAAGGAACACAGTTCCTCACCAGCAATGGAACAAAGCTGGATGGAGAATGACTTTGACGAGTTGAGAGAAGAAGGCTTCAGACGATCAAACTACTCCGAGCTACAGGAGGAAATTCAAACCAAACGCAAAGAAGTAAAAAACCTTGAAAAAAATTTAGACGAATGTATAACTAGAATAACCAATACAGAGAGGTGCTTAAAGGAGCTGATGGAGCTCAAAGCCAAGGCTCAAGAATTACGTGAAGAATGCAGAAGCCTCAGGAGCTGATGCGATCAACTGGAAGAAAGGGTATCAGTGATGGAAGATGAAATCAATGAAATGACATGAAAAGGGAAGTTTAGAGAAAAAAGAATAAAAAGAAACAAACAAAGCCTCCAAGAAATATGAGACTATGTGAAAAGACAAAATCTACCTCTGATTGGTGTACCTGAAAGTGACCGGGAGAATGGAACCAAGTTGGAAAACACTCTGCAGGATATTATCCAAGAGAACTTCCCCAATCTAGCAAGGAAGGCCAACATTCAGATTCAGGAAATACAGAGAATGCCACAAAGATACTCCTCAAGAAGAGTAACTCCAAGACACATAATTGTCAGATTCACCAAAGTTGAAATGAAGGAAAAAATGTTAAGGGCAACCTGAGAGAAAGGTTGGGTTACCCACAGAGGGAAGCCCATCAGGCTAACAGCAGATCTCTCGGCAGAAACTCTACAAGCCAGAAGAGAGTGGGGGCCAATATTCAACATTCTTAAAGACAAGAATTTTCAACCCAGAATTTCATATCCACCCACACTAAGCTTCATAAGTGAAGGAGAAATTAAATACTTTACAGACAAGCAAATGCTGAGAGACTTTGCCACCACCAGGCCTGCCCTAAAAGAGCTCCTGGAGGAAGCACTAAACATGGAAAGGAAAAATCGGTACTAGCCACTGCAAAATTATGCTAAATTGTAAAGATCATCAAGGCTAGGAAGAAACTGCATCAACTAATGAGCAAAATAACCAGCTAACATCAAAATGACAGGATCAAATTCACACATAACAATATTAACTTTAAATGTAAATGGACTAAATGCTCCAATTAAAAGACACAGAGTGGCAACTTGGATAAAGAGTCAAGACCAATCAGTGTGCTGTATTCAGGAAACCCATCTCACGTGCAGAGACACACATAGGCTCAAAATAAAGGGATGGAGGAAGATCTACCAAGCAAATAGAAAACAAAAAAAGGCAGGGGTTGCAATCCTAGTCTCCGATAAAACAGACTTTAAACAAACAAAGATCAAAAGAGACAAAGAAGGCCATTACATAATGGTAAAGGGATCAATTCAACAAGAGGAGCTAACTATCCTAAATATATATGCACCCAACACAGGAGCATCCAGTTTCATAAAGCAAGTCATCAGTGACCTACAAAGAGACTTAGACTCCCACACAATAATCATGGGAGACTTTAACACCCCACTGTCAATATTGGACAGAACAATGAGACAGAAAGTTAAAAGGGATACCTAGGAAAAGAACTCAGCTCTGCACCACGCGGAACTCATAGACATCTACAGAACTCTCTCCACCCCAAATCAACAGCATATACATTTTTTTCAGCACTGCACCACACCGATTCCAAAATTGACCACATACTTGGAAGTAAAGCTCTCCTCAACAAATGTAAAAGAACGGAAATTATAACAAACTGTCTCTCAGACCACAGTGCAATCAAACTAGAACTCAGGATTAAGGAACTCACTCAAAACCGCTCAACTACATGGAAACAGAACCACCTGCTCCTGAATGACTACTGGGTACATAACGAAATGAAGGCAGAAATAAAGATGTTCTTAGAAACCAACAAGAAAAAAGACACAACATACCAGAATCTCTGGGACACATTCAAAGCAGTGTGTAGAGGGAAATTTATAGCACTAAATGCCCACAAGAGAAAGCAGGAAAGATCAAAAATTGACACCCTAACATCACAATTAAAAGAAATAGAAAAGCAACAGGAAACACATTCAAAAGCTAGCAGAAGGCAAGAAATAACTAAAATCAGAGCAGAACTGAAGGAAATAGAGACACAAAAAACCCTTCAAAAATTAATGAATCCAGGAGCTGGTTTTTTGAAAGGATCAACAAAATTGATAGACCACTAGCAAGACTAATAAAGAAGAAAAGAGAGAAGAATCAAATAGACATAATAAAAAATCATAAAGGGGATATCACCATCGATCCCACAGGAATATAAACTACCATCAGAGAATACTACAAACACCTCTATGGAAATAAACTAGAAAATCGAGAAGAAATAGATAAATTCCTCGACTCATACACCCTCCCAAGACTAAACCAGGAAGAAGCTGAATCTCTGAAAAAACCAATAACAGGCTCTGAAATTGTGGCAATAATCAATGGCTTAACAATCAAAAAGAGTCCAGGACCAGAAGGATTCACAGCCGAATTCTACCAGAGGTACAAGGAGGAGCTGGTACCATTCCTTCTGAAACTATTCCAATCAATAGAAAAAGAGGGAATCCTCCCTAACTTATTTTATGAGGCCAGCATCATCCTGATACCAAAGCTGGGCAGAGACACAACAAAAAAAGAATTTTAGACCAATATCCTTGAAGAACATTGATGCGAAAATCCTCAATAAACTACTGGCAAACCAAATCCAGCAGCACATCAAAAAGCTTATCCACCGTGATCAAGTGGGCTTCATCCCTGGGATGCAAGGCTGGTTCAATATACGCAAATCAATAAATGTAAGCCAGCATATAAAGAGAACCAAAGACAAAAACCACATGATTATCTCAATAGATGCAGAAAAGGCCTTTGACAAAATTCAACAACCTTCATGCTAAAAACTCCCAATAAATTAGGTATTGATGGGAGGTATCTCTAAATAATAAGAGCTATCTATGACAAACCCACAGCCAATATCATCCTGAATGGGCAAAAACTGGAAGCATTCCCTTTGAAAACTGGCACAAGACAGGGATGCCCTCTCTCACCACTCCTATTCAACATAGTGTTGGAAGTTCTGGCCAGGGCAATTAGGCAGGAGAAGGAAATAAAGGGTATTCAATTAGGAAAAGAAGACGTCAAATTGTCCCTGTTTGCAGATGACATGATTGTATACCTAGAAAACCCCATTGTCTCAGCCCAAAATCTCCTTAAGCTGATAAGCAACTTCAGCAAAGTCTCAGGATACAAAATCAATGTACAAAAATCACAAGCATTCTTATACACCAAGAACAGACAAACAGAGAGCCAAATCATGAGTGAACTCCCATTCACAATTGCTTCAAAGAGAATAAAATACCTAGGAATCCAACTTACAAGGGACGAGAAGGACCTCTTCAAGGAGAACTACAAACCACTGCTCAATGAAATAAAAGAGGATACAAACAAATGGAAGAACATTCCATGATCATGGGCAGGAAGAATCAATATCGTGAAAATGGCCATACTGCCCAAGGTAATTTATAGATTCAATGCCATCCCCATCAAGCTACCAACGACTTTCTTCACAGAATTGGAAAAAGCTACTTTAAAGTTCATATGGAACCAAAAGGAGTCCACATTGTCAAATCAATCATAAGTCAAAAGAACAAAGCTGGAGGGATCACACTACCTGACTTCAAACTATACTACAAGGCTACAGTAACCAAAACAGCACGGCACTGATACCAAAACAGAGATATAGATCAATGGAACAGAACAGAGCCCTCAGAAATAATACCACACATCTACAACCATCTGATCTTTGACAAACCTGACAAAAACAAGCAATGGCAAAAGGATTCCCTATTTAATAAATGGTGCTGGGAAAACTGGCTAGCCATATGGAGAAAGCTGAAACTGGATCCCTTCCTTACACCTTATGCAAAAATTAATTCAAGATGGATTAAAGACTTACATGTTAGACCTAAAATCATAAAATCCCTACAAGAAAACCTAGGCAATACCATTCAGGACGTAGACATGGGCAAGGACTTCATGTCTAAAATACCAAAAGCAATGGCAACAAAAGCCAGAATTGACAAATGGGATCTAATTAAACTAAAGAGCTTCTGCACAGCAAAAGAAACTACCATCAGAGTGGACAGGCAACCTATAGAATGGGAGAAAATTTTTGCAATCTACTCATCTGACAAAGGGCTAATATCCAGAATCTACAATGAACTCAAACAAATTTACAAGAAAAAAACAAACAACCCCATCAAAAAGTGGGTGAAGGATATGAACAGACTCTTTTCAAAAGAAAACATTTATGCAGCCAAAAGACACAGGAAAAAATGCTCATCATCACTGGCCATCAGAGAAATGCAAATCAAAACCACAATGAGATACCATCTTACACCAGTTAGAATGGCGATCATTAAAAAGTCAGAAAACAACAGGTGCTGGAGAGGATGTGGAGAAATAGGAACACTTTTACACTGTTGGTTGGACTGTAAACTAGTTCAACCATTGTGGAATTCAGTGTGGCGATTCCTCAGGGATCTGGGACTAGAAATACCATTTGACCCAGCCATCCCATTACTGAATATATACCCAAAGGACTATAAATCATGCTGCTATAAAGACACATGCACAGGTATGTTTATTGCTGCACTATTCACAATAGCAAAGACTTGGAACCAACCCAAATGTCCAACAATGATAGACTGGATTAAGAAAATGTGGCACATATACACCATGGAATACTATGCAGCCATAAAAAGTGATGAGTTCATGTCCTTTGTAGGGACATGGTTGAAGCTGGAAACCATCATTCTCAGCAAACTATCACAAGGACAAAATACCAAACACCGCATGTTCTCACTCATAAGTGGGAAATGAACAATGAGAACTCACGGACATAGGAAAGGGAACATCACACACTGGGGCCTGTTGTGGGGTGAGCGTGGTGGGAGAGAGAGCATTAGGAGATATACCTAATGTTAAGTGACGAGTTAATGGGTACAGCACACCAACATGGCACATGTATACATATGTAACTAACCTGCACATTGTGCATGTGTACCCTAAAACTTAAAGTGTAATAAAAAAATAAGGACCCATGTTCAATTATTGGGGTGGGTTTCCCCAATATCTGGTGCCCACGTTGTTTTTTCTTTTTCCCAGGTGCATGTGGAAACCTGATTCCCTTTGGTAGGTGCAGAGAAATGTTATCGGTTAGGTCCTCAGAGAGGCTTGTTCAACTCCCTCATGACTGGTGAGCAGTCTGTGTATGGTCCAGGTTAACTATGGGTCACGTGGACTCTAAAAATTATACTTATCTCTTCTATATTAAACTCCAGTTAAAACATAAAAGGGTTCGAGTCCCCATGGAAAATATGGTCACTCTATTTAGGGCAGTGGTAAAATTCTGCCCTTCGTCTCCTGAAAAAGGAACCTTAAATGCAGACCTATTAAAACAGGGAAGGGTCCAAGTAACCATGGAAAATATAGTCACTCTATTCAGGGCGGTGAAAAAATAATGTCCTTGGTTTCCTGAAAAAGGAACTTTATATGGCAAAGTATGGGATCGTGTTGGTGCAGCATTCCAGGAACTGGTCTCAACAGGGAATTTTGTTCCCATCACTGTTTGGGGTGGTTGGGAATTGTGCATGCTGTCTTGGTGGTGTGCCAATCCCATGATCCCCTGCAGTAGTCACAGTTTTTTGCCTTTTCCTCAGTTTCTCTGACTTTTCCTCAGCCGTCCTCTCCCACATGGCCTTCGTTTTCTGATCATCCTCTCCCTTCACCTACTCCTCCTCCTCCTGTTGAAAATTCACTGTCTAACTCCAGTGGCTTTGGCTTAATGTTAGCGCCTGCTTATCTTATTTCTTTTCACAAAGAGCCGGTACTTGTAGTTCCCACAGCCCCAAGTCACACAGCCCAGGACCATATATATATGCTAATTCTTCTCTTTTCAAACCTCCAGAGTAAACTAATGGCTCCAGGACCAAACTACAATTCGCCTATAATTCTGCAGGTCCTCCCCCATCCACTTCAGACCCTCACCCTCGTGTCGTTTTTGTTCCTCAGCCAGTCAGTTTGCCATCCACTCAGCCTGCTTCTCTGTACCCTTCTTCACACATGCACACCAGTAATCACCAGTATACTTCTGCTCCTCCAATACCCCTTTCTCACATTCTCATTCCTGTCTGACCCCCTCACCCTCAGTTTCCCTTATCTACACATGCTTTTCCTGTCACTTCTATGCTGACTCCATCCAGATGCCTACTCTTGAAACTTCAATGCAACACTTATTATGCCAAAACAAAGAAACAAGTGGATTAGACGTGTGGACTTATCCAGTCATGCTAGACCCTCCTAACTTCCAAGGGTTACAAACGTGTCTCTATGTACCTCTTAATCTTACCTTTTTAAAAGAATTTAAGGATGCTTGTACTCAGTATGGTCCTACTTCTCCTTATGTTAAAATGGTATTACAATCTTTTTGTACAGAGATCACTTTACTTATTTTAAACTGGGACCTTTGGGCAAAAGCTGTTCTGACCCCATCTCAGCATTTACAATTTCGTACCTGGTGGTTAGAAGAGGCTCATTTGCAGGCTCAGCTAAATTGGACTAATGGCATTCTAGTTACTCAGGCTCAGCTCACAGGCTCCGATAATTTCTTTGATACTTATGCCCAATTAAACTTTGATGCTCTTACCATGGAACAAGTAACAAAGGTGTGTATGAGAGCTTGGGATAAATGACATGCCCCAGGCCAACCTCCTGTTTCTTTTACTACCATTAAGCAAGGTCACACTGAATTGTACCCTGATATTTTTAGCAAAATTACAAGATGCTGTTGAAAAATCTGTCTCTGATGAGTGTGCTGAAGGTATTCTCCTTTGTATGTTAGCTTTTGAAAATGCATACCATGAGTGTAAAATGGTCAAGCATTCTGTCCAATGACAAAATTTGCCTGATCATGAGGTGTTGCCTGCATATATTAAAGCTTGTGAAGACATTGGATCAGACACCCACAAAGCTATCCTGTGGGCACAAGCCATGAAGGATACCAATCAAACTGGCTCCACTAATTCTTTTCTTGGAGCCTGCTATAATCATGGTCAACTTGGTCATACTCAGAAAAATTGCACTGTTAAAAACTTAAAAGCTGCCAAGCTGGCTCAACAAACATGGCCAAATTCTGCTGCTACTACTAGTCCACGTGGCAAGGGTAAACACAGGGCTAGTAATTGTCACTTTAAGTATGATATAAATGGAAACCCCCTACCACAAAACCAGGGAAATGGGAAGCAGAGTTTGTCCCAGGCCCCAATATCAAATGAGATGCTTCAGACTCAGACCAACATTACATCCAACTTCAGGCAGTCCCAACAACCCCCAGCACAAACAAATTTACCTACAGCCAACCCAGATGGGTCCCAGCCTCTCCCTCTGTCTCAGTACAATGCTTGTCCACCTCCATGGTAGTGGGCAGGGTGGTCGATCTCTGTAATACTATTCCTCTAAAGTTACTACCTAACTAACTCTTTGCCTTTAATTATCCCCCAGGGGTCACTGGTCCTTTGCCTCAAGGTTCAGTGGGCCTGGTGTTAGGAAGGGCATCCACCTCTGCTAAAGGAATACCATTCATACTGGTCTCATTAATTCTGATTCTGTTGATGACATTAAATTAATCGTGTCTGCCAAGTTTCCTGTTTCCATTCAGGCCAGTGAGTCAATTGCTCAATTGCTTTTACTACCTAATATCATTTTAAAGAAAGGAGATAAGATGAGTGGCCCTGGGATGGGCTCCAGCAGTGAAAAGGCTGCTTATTGGACTAATGTAATTTCTAAACAACTGCCCACCTGCACCATATACATTCAAGGAAAAAGGTTTGAGGGTCTAGTAGATACAGGGGCTGATGTTTCTGTGATTTCCTCTACTTTATGGCCTTCCTCCTGGCTTAAACATCCCACTAACATGGGACTAGTAGGTGTTGGAAAAGCTAAGGAAGTGTATGAGAGCACATTTATCTTGTCTTACACTGGCCCTGATGGTCAAAGTGGTACAATTCAGCCCTATATCATGCCAATTCCCATTCATCTCTGGGGTAGAGATTTATTGGTACAATGGGGGGCTGAAATTAATAGTCCATATAACTCTTATAGTGCTCCCAGTCAGCTTATGATAGAAAACATGGGGTTTGTTCCTGGGCCAGTCTCAGTCCAAAGCATGAAGGGATTACTAAACCCCTCCCAGTTACTGTAAAAGAAAACAGGGAAGGTTTAGGTTATCCTTTTCAGTGGCGGCTGCTGCCATGCCTCCTGACCCTATCCCTTTACAATGGAAATCTGAGACACCGGTTTGGATTCAGCAGTGGCTGCTCTCTAAACAAAAACTGAGGCTTTAACTCACTTGGTTTCTGAACAGTTACAACTTGTAAATGTGGAACCTTCTCTTTCCCCCTGGAATACTCCTGTGTTTCTAGTAAAATGAAATCAGGCAAGTAGCGGATGGTAACTGATTTAAGGGCCATTAACACTGTAATTAAACCTATGGGGTCCATCCAACATGGCATGCCTGCCCTTGCTTTAGTACCTAAAAATTGGCCTCTCATAGTTATTGATCCTAAAGATTGTTTTTTCATATTGCTTTACATAAATTGGATTGTGAAAAATTTGTTTTTACTGTACTATCTATTAATAATCAGGAGCCTGCACCTTGTTATCAATGGAAAGTACTTCCTCAGGGAATGCTGAATAGCCCTACAAACTGCCAGCATTATGTTGGACAAGTGCTTTCACCAGTTCGAGCCCAATTCCCCCAGGCCTATATTATTTATTATATTGATGATATTTTAATTGCTGCCCCCAACTGATAAAGAATTAATTGTTTGTAATCAAATTTTGAGCCGCTGTGTTACAGAGGCTGGATTACACATTGCTCAGGATAAAATTCAACAGACCACTCCTGTTCAAAATTTAGGAGTGGTGGTCAATAAACAATGTATTCAACCTCAAAAAGTTCAAATTAGGAGAGATTCTTTGAAAACTTTAAATGACTTCAAAAACTTTTGGGTAACATTAATTATTTAAGACCTACTTTAGGTATTCTGACCTATAGGCCTCAATGTGCTCTCAAATATCCCTTTGCAGAGTCTACAAAAACAGTGTTTCCAAACTGCTGATTGAAAAGTGAGGTTTAAATCTGTGAGATGAGTATACACAACACTAAGTGGTTTCTCAGATATATTCCTTCTAGTTTTTAGCCTGGGGTATTTACGTTTTCACCATTGGCCTCAATGAGATCCCAAATATCCCTTTGCCAATTGTGCAAAAACAGTGTTTCCAAACTGTGGAATGAAAAGAAAGATTTAACTCTGCAAGATGAATGAACACATCACAAAGTGGTTTCTCAGATAACTTCCTCCTAGTTTTTATAGGGATATTTGATTTTTCACCAATAACCTCAGGGAGCTCCCAAAAGTCCATTTGCAGAATGGACAAAAACAGGTTTGCAAACTGCTGAATCAAAATAAAGTTTAACACTATAAGATGAACGCGCACATCACAAAGCAGTTTCTCAGAAAATTTCTTTCTTATCAGAAGATATTTTCTTTTTCACCATAGGCCTCAATGCACTCCCAAATATTCCTTTGCAGATTTTACAAAAACAGTGTTTCCAAACTGCTGAGTGAAAAGAAAGGGTTAACTCTGCTAGATGAATGCACACATCACACAACGGTTTCTCTGATAGCATTTTTTTAGTTTCTATCCTGGGAGATTCTCTTTTTTCACCACTGGCCTCAATGAGCTCCCAAATGTCCATTTGCAGAATGGACAAAAACAGTTCTTCCAAACTGCCATATCAAAAGAAAGGTTAAACTTTGTGAGATGAATGCAGAAATCACAAAGTGGATTCTCAGTTAGTTTCCTTCTAGTTTTTATCCTGGTATCAGTTAGCTTCCTTCTAGTTTTTATCCTGGTATATTTGCTTTATCGACACTGGCCTCAATGAGCTCCGAAATGTCCATTTGCAGAATGGACAAAAACAGTGTTTCCAAACTGCTGAATTAAAAGAAAGGTTTAACTTTGTGAGATGAATTCACAAATCGCCAAGCAGTTTCTCAGAAAGTTTGTTTCTAGTTTTTATCTGAAGATATTTTGTTTTTCACCATAAGCTTCAATGTGATCCCAGATGTTATTATGCAGATTCTACAAAAATAGTGTTTCCAAACTGCTGAATGAAAAGAAAGGTTTAATTCTGTGAGATGAATGAACACATCACAAAGCAGTTTCTCAGATAGCTTCCTTTAGTTTTTATCCTAGGGTATTCATTTTTTGCCATTGGCCTCAATGAGCTCCCAAAGGTCCATTCATAGAATGGACAAAAACAGTGTTTCCAAACAGGTGAATCAAAAGAAAGTTTTAACTCTGTGAGTTGAATACACAAATCACAAAGCAGTTTCTCAGCATCATTCTAGTCTTTATCCTGGGATATTCACTTTTTCACCATTGTCCAGAATGAGCTCACAAATGTCCTTTTGTAGAATGGTCAAAAACAGTGTTGCCAAACTGCTGAATTAAAAGAAAGTTTTAACTCTGTGAGATGAATGCACACTTCACAAAGAAGTTTCTAGGAAAACTTCCTTCTACTTTTTACGTGAAGATATTTTCTTTTTTACCATAGGGCTCAATGCACTCCCAAATATCCCTTTGCAGATTCTACAAAAGCAGTGTTTACAAACTGAAGAGTGAAAAGAAAGGTTTAAATCTTCCAAATGAATGCACACATCAAAAAGCAGTCTCAGATAGCTTCCTTCTAGTTTTTATCCTGGGATATTCATTTTTCTCCATTGGCCTCATTGACCTCCCAAATGTCCATTCACAGAATGGAAAAAAAAAACAATGATTCCAGACCACTGAATCAAAAGAAATGGTAAACTCAGAGATGAATGTACACATCAAAAAGCAGTTTCTGAGGAAGCTTCTTTCTAGTTTCTATCCAGAGGTATTTTCTTTTTCACCATAGGCCTCAATGCACCCTTTGCAGATTCTACCATAGACCTCAATGCACCCTTCTCAGTTATTTTCTTTTTCTTTTTCGCCATAGGCCTCAATGCACCCTTCACAGATTCTACAAAACAGTGTTTCCGAAACTGCTAAATGAAAAGAAAGGTTTAACACTGCAAGAAGAATGCACACATCACAAAGCAGTTTATCAGAGAGCTTTCTTCT
Source organism: Homo sapiens (assembly GCF_000001405.40). Classification (NCBI taxonomy): domain Eukaryota; kingdom Metazoa; phylum Chordata; class Mammalia; order Primates; family Hominidae; genus Homo; species Homo sapiens. Next base: position 58,406,078 of record NC_000006.12, read on the forward strand.
TTTTTTATCCTGGAATATTCCCTTTTTCACATTGGCCACAATGAGCTCTCAAATGTCCATTCTCAGATTGGACAGAAACAGTGTTTCCAAACTGCTGGATCAAAAAAAAGATTTAACACTGTGAGATGAATGTGCACATCACAAAGCAGTTTCTCAGAAAACTTCTTTCTACTTTTTATCTGAAAATATTTTCTTTTTCACCATAGGCCTCAATGCACTCCCAAATATCCCTTCACAGATTCTACAAAAACAATGTTTCCAAACTGCTGAATGAAAAGAAAGGTTTAACTCTGCAAGTGAATGCACACATCAAAAAGTGGTTTCCCAGATACCTTCCTTCTAGTTCTTATCCTGGGATAAAACTACTCTTTTTCGCCTTTGGCTTCAATGAGCTCCCAAATATCCATTTGCAGAATGGAAGAAAAAAGTGTTTCCAAAAAGCTGAGTAAAAGTAAGGTTTACCTCTGTGAGAAGAATGCACACATTACAAACAGTTTCACAGAAAGCTTCCTTCTATTTTTTATCTGAGGATATTTTCTTTTTCACCACTGGCCTCAAAGCACTCTCATATGTCCCTTCACAGATTCTACAAAAACAGTGTTTCCAAACTGCTGAATGAAAAGAAACTTTTAGCTTTGGGAGATGAATGAACACATCAAATAGCAGTTTCTCAGATAGCTTCCATCTGGTTTTTATCCTGGGGTATTCTCTTTTTCACCACTGGCTTCAATGAGCTCCCATATGTCCATTTGCACAATGGACAAAAACAGGTTTCCAAAGTGCTGACTCAAGAGAAAAGTTTAACTCTGTGAGATGAATGCAAAAATCACAAACCGGTTTCTTAGAAAGCTTCTCTCTTGTTTTTATCTAAAGATCTTTTCTTTTTCACCATAGGCCTCAATGCCTTCACAAATATCCCTTCACAGACTCTACAAAAACAGTGTTTCCAAACTGCTGAGTGAAAAGATTTAATTCTGCGAGATGAATGCACACATCACAAAGTGGTTTCTCAGATAGTTTCTTTCTAGTTTTTACCTTGTGTTCTTTGCTTTTTCACCATTGGCCCAATGAGCTCCCAAATATCCATTTGCAAAATGGAGAAAAACAGTGTTTCCAAACTGCTGAATCAAAATAAAGGTTTAACTATGGGAGATGAATGCATACCTCACAAAGCAGTCCCTCAGAAAGCTTCTTTCTACTTTTTATCTGAAGATATTTTATTTTTCACCATAGGCATCATTGTGCTCTAAAATATCCCTTCACAGGTTCTACCAAAACAATGTTTCCACACTGCTGAATTTAAAGAAAGCTTTAACTCTCAGATGCATTCACACATCACAAAGCAGTTTCTCAGAAAGCTTCTTTCTAGATTTTATCTGAAGATATTTTCTTTTTCACCATAGGCCTCAATACACTCCCAAATATCCCTTCACAGATTGTACAAAAAGAGTTTTTCCAAATTGCTGAATGAAAAGAAAGGTTTAACTCTGTGAGATGAATGTAGACATCAAAACGTGGTTTCTCAGATAGCTTCTTTCTAATTTTTATCTGAAGATATTTACTTTTTCACCATAGGCCTCAATGGGCTCCCAAACGTCCCTTTGCAGAGTCTTCAAAATCAGTGTCTCCAAACTGCTGAATAAAAAGATAGTTTTAATTCTGTGAGATGAAGGCAAACATCACAAAGCAGTTTCTCAGATAGGTTTCTTCTAGTTTTTATCCTGGGATATTCGCTTTTTCACCATTGGCCTCAATGAGCTCCCAAATATCAGATAGCAGACAGGGCAAAAACAGTGTTTCCAAACTGCAGAATCAAAAAATGGTTTAATTCTGTTAGATGAATGCACACATCACAAGCAGTTTCTCAGAAAGCTTCTTTCTAGTTTTTTATTTATTTTTTTATTTATTTATTTTTTATTATTATACTTTAAGTTTTAGGGTACTTGTGCACAATGTGCATGTTAGTTACATGTATACATGTGCCATGCTGGTGAGCTGCACCCACTAACTCGTCATCTAGCATTAGGTATATCTCCCAATGCTATCCCTCCCCTGCCGCCAACCCCACAACAGTCCTCAGAGTGTGATGTTCCCCTTCCTGTGTCCATGTGTTCTCATTGTTCAATTCCCACCTATGAGTGAGAATATGCAGTGTTTGGTTTTGGTTTTTTGTTCTTGCGATAGTTTACTGAGAGTGATGATTTCCAATTTCATCCATGTCCCTACAAAGGACATGAACTCATCATTTTTTATGGCTGCATAGTATTCCATGGTGTATATGTGCCACATTTTCTTCATCCAGTCTATCATTGTTGGACATTTGAGTTGGTTCCAAGTCTTTGCTATTGTGAATAATGCCACAATAAATATATGTGTGCATGTGTCTTTATAGCAGCATAATTTATAGTCCTTTGGGTATATACTCAGTAATGCGATGGCTGGGTCAAATGGTATTTCTAGTTCTAGATCCCTGAGGAATCGCCACACTGACTTCCACAATGGTTGAACTAGTTTACAGTCCCAACAACAGTGTAAAAGTGTTCCTATTTCTCCACAACCTCTCCAGCACCTGTTGTTTCCTGACTTTTTAATGATTGCCATTCTAACTGGTGTGAGATGGTATCTCATTGTGGTTTTGATTTGCATTTCTCTGATGGCCAATGATGGTGAGCATTTTTTCATGTGTTTTTTGCCTGCATAAATGTCTTCTTTTGAGAATTGTCTGTTCATGTCCTTCACCCACTTTTTGATGGGGTTGTTTGCTTTTTTCTTGTACATCTGTTTGAATTCATTGTAGATTCTGGATATTAGCCCTTTGTCAGATGAGTAGGTTGCGAAAATTTTCTTCAATTTTGTAGATTGCCTGTTCACTCTGATGGTAGTTTCTTTTGCTGTGCAGAAGCTCTTTAGTTTAATTGGATCCCATTTGTCAATTTTGGCTTCTGTTCCCATTGCTTTTGGTGTTTCAGACATGAAGTCCTTGCCCATGCCTATGTCCTGATCTGAAGATATTTTCACCATAGGCCTGAACATGCTCCTAAATATGCCTTTGCAGATTTTACAAAAACAGTGTTTCCGAACTGCTGAAGGAATAGAAAGGTTTAACTCAGTGAGATGAATGCACAGGTCATAGAGTTGTTTCTCAGATAGGTTCCTTCTAGTTTTTATCCTGGGATATTCCCTTTTTCACCATTGGCCTCAATGAGCTCCCAAATGTCTGTTCACAGAGTGGACAAAACCAGTGTTTCCAAATTGTGGAATCAAAAGAAAGGTTTAATTCTGTGAGATGAATGCACTTATCACAAAGCAGTTTCTCAGAAAGCTTCTTTCTAGTTTTTATCTGAAGATATTTTCTTTTTGACCATAGGCCTCAATGCTCTCCCATATATCCCTTCACAGATTCTACAAAAAATGTGTTCCCAAACTGCTGAATGAAAAGAAAGACTTAACTCTGCAAGATCAACGTGCACATCACAAAGCAGTTTCTCTGATACCTTTCTTCTAGTTTTTATCCTGCGATATATTCCTTTTCACTAGGGACCTCAATGCGCTCCCAAATATCCATTTGCAGACTCTACAAAAACAGTGTTTCCAAACTGCTGTGTGAAAAGGAAAGTTTAACCGGGGGAGATGAATGCACATATCACAAAGCAGTTTCTCAGATAGCTTCCTGAAAGTTTTCATAGTGGAATACTTGCTTTCTCACCATTGGCCTCAATCAGCTTCCAAATATCCATCCACAGAATGGACAAAAACAGTGTTTCCAAACTGCTGAATCAAAAGAAAGATTTATCTCTGTGAGATGAATGCAAATATCTCAAGGCAGATTCTGAGATTGCTTCCTTCTAGTTTTTATCCTGGTATGTTCTCTTTTTTGGCATTTGCCCCAATGAGCTCCCGAATGTCCATTTGCAGATGGTTAAAAACCGTGTTTCTGAACTGCTAAATTAAAAGAAAGGTTAAACTATGTGAGATGAATGCACACATCACAAAGCAGTTTCTCAGAAAACTTCTTTCTGGTTTTTATCTGAAGATAATTTCTTTTTCACCATAGGCCTCAATGCGCTCCCAAATATCCATTCACAGATTCTACAAAAACAGTGTTTCCAAACAGCTGAATGAAAGAAAAGTTTAACTCTGTGAGATGAATGTATACATCACAAAGTAGTTTCCCAGATATCTTCTTTCTAGTTTGTATCCTGGGATATTCTCTTTTTCGCCATTGGCCTCAATGAGCTCCAAAATATTCATTTGCTGAATTGACAATAACCGTTTTTCCAAACTCCCAAATCAAAAGAAAGGTTTTAACACTTTGAGATGAATGCACACCTCACAAAGCAGTTTCTCAGAAGGCTTCTTTCTGTTTTTTTTTCTGAATATATTTTCTTGTTCACCATAGGCCTTAATGCACTCCCAAATATCCCTTCGTTGTTTGTACAAAAACAGTGTTTCTAAACTGCTGAATGAAAGGAAAGATTTAACTCTGCAAGAAAAAACACACATCACAAAGTGGTTTCTCAAATAGCTTCCTTCTAGTTTTTATCCTGGGATAATTTCATTGTCACCTTTGGCCTCAATTAGCTCCCAAATATCCATTCACAGAATGGACAATAACAGTGTTTACAAACTGCTGAATCAAAAAAAGTTTGAACTCTGTGAGATGAATGCACACATCACAAGTAATTTTCTCAGAAACTTCTTTGTAGTTTTTATCTGAAGATACTTTCTTTTTCACCATAGACCTCAATATGCTCCCAAATATTCCTTTGCAGATTCTACCAAAACAGTGTTTCCAAACTACTGAATGAAAAGAAAGCTTTAACTCTGTGAGATGAGTGCACACATCATAATTCGGTTTCTTAGGTAGGTTTCTTCTAGTTTTATCCTGAGATATTCACTTTTTTACCACTGGCCTCAATGAGCTCCCAAATGTACATTTGCAGTCAGGAGAAAAACAGTGTTTCCAAACTGCTGCATCAAAAGAAAGGTTTAACTCTGTGAGATGAATGCACACATCACAAAGTAGGTTCTCCAAAAGCTTCTTTTAGTTTTGATCTGAAGATATTTTCTTTTTCACCTTAGGCCTCAATACTTTCCCTATTATCCCTTTGTAGATTCTACAAAAACCATGTATCCAAACTGCTGAATGAAAAGAAAGGTTTAAAGCTGTGAGATGAATGCACACATCATGAAGCAGTTTGTCAGATAGGTTCCATCTACTCTTTATGATGCTACATTTGCTTATTTGCAATTGGCCTCAATAAGCTCCCAAATGTCCATTCACAGAATGGACAAAAACAGTGTTTATAATCTCCTGAATCAAAAGAAAATTTTACCTCTGTAAGATGAATGTATACATTGCAATGCAGTTTCTCAGAAAGATTTTTTCTACTTTTTATCTGAAGATATTTTCTTTTTCACCATAGACCTCAACATGCTCCCAAATATGCCTTCGCAGATTCTACAAAACAGTGTTTCAACACTGGTGAATGAAAAGAAAGGGTTAACTCTGTGAGATGGTTGCACACATCACAAAGCAATTTCTCAGAAAGCTTCTTTCTTGTTTTTATTTGAAGATATTTTCTTTTTCACCATAGACCTCAATGGGTCCCCAAATATCCCTTTGCAGATTCTACAAAAATAGTGTTTCCAAACTGCTGAACTAAAAGGAAGGTTTAACCTTTGAGATGAATGCACACATCACAAAACAATTTCTCAGATAGCTTCCTTCTAGTTTTTTTCCTGTGATATTCACTTTTTCACCTTTGGACTCAATGAGCTTGCAAGTGTCCATTTGCAGAATGGACAAAAACTGTGCTTCCAAACTGCTGAATCTAAAGAAAAGTTTAATTCTGTGAGATGAATGTTCACACCACAAAGCAATTTCTCAGAAAACTTCTTTCTAGTTTTTATCTGAAGATATTTTCTTTTTCACCATTGGCCTCAATATGCTCCCAAATATCCCAATGCAGACCCTACAAAAAAAGTGTTTCCAAACAGCTGCATGAAAAGAAAAGTTTAACTATGTGAGATGAATGCACTCATCACAAATCAATGTCTCAGATGGCTTTCTTCTAGTTTTTATCCTGGGATATTCACTTTTTCTTCATTGGCCTTAGTGAGCTCCCAAATGTCCATTTGCAGAATAGACAAAAACAGTGTTTTCAAACTGCTGAATCAAAAGAAAGGTTTAACTCTGTGAGATGAATGCACGCATCATGAAGCAGTTTCTCAAAATGTTCTTTCTACTTTTCATCTGAAGTTATTTTTTTTCACCATAGGAGTTAATGCACTCCTAAATATCCCTTCGCAGATTCTGCAAAAACAGTGTTTCCAAACTGCTGAATGAAAAGAAAGTTTTGTCTCTGTGAGATGAAAGCACACATCACAAACGGTTTGTCAGATAGCTTCCTTCAATTTTTTATCCTGGGATATTTGCTTTTTTGCCCTTGGCCTCAAAGATCTCCCAAATGGAATGGACAAAACCAGTGTTTTCAAACTGCTGAATCAAAAGAAAAGTTTAACTCTGTGAGATGAAAACACACATCACGAAGCAGTTTCTCAAAAGCTTCTTTCTACTTCTTATCTGAAGATATTTTCTTTTTCACCATAGCCCTCTGCCAAGACCAGCTCATTCAGGGAGACCCTAACCCAGTGGTGCTAGAGGAATTAAAGACACACACACAGAAATACAGAGGTGTGAAGTGGGAAATCAGGGGTCTCACTGTCTTCAGAGCTGAGAGCCTCAATCAGAGATTTACCCACATATTTATTAACTGCAAGCCATTCATTAGCATTGTTTCTATAGATAGTAAATTAACTAAAAGTATCCCTTATGGGCTATGAAGGGATGGGCAAAATTAAAGGAATAGGTTGGGGTAGTTAACTGCAGCAGGAACATGACATTAAGGCACAGATTTCTCATGCTGTTTGTGGCTTAGGAAAGCCTTTAAGAGGTTTTCCATCCTGGGCAGGCCAGTTGTTTCTTGCCTTCATTCTGGTAAACCCCCAACCTTTCAGTGTCAGCGTTAGTGCCATCATGACCATGTCACAGTGCTTATTGTTTATGGCCAGTTTTGGGGCTAGTTTATGGCCAGATTTTTGGGGAGCTTGCTCCCAACATGTACCCCTTCTTTGATTTTGAAATTGATAAAAGCAAACGCAGCTTTGTCATGGTGAGCTGCTTCTCACAGGAGTCAGGGTCTGCATCTGCAGACTATACAAAGACAAGCAATATAGATTAAAAGTACAATCATCTTTGAAATCACAGAGCTACCAAGTGTTTTTATCCATTTTAATGGATGACTTGCTGCTACTTTGTCTGCAGATCTTTAAGCACTCCATTTCCTGGCATTAAAGTCACGTGTGCCTGGAATGCTTTAAATATTTGTTCTTTTAATTTTGCTATATCCAAAAACAAGTTTGTAGAGTGTCCTTCTAGATTTTTTTTATTATTTCCCTAATTTTGATCTTATTAAGAGCATCTAATAGTTTCTACAAATCCTTATATTAAGTTCCTTAGTGCGGGCCATATCATTTGAGGATGAGCTGCCACTATACCTTCATGGTTCCAGATAATAGGAAGTTTTGTCATACTTCTTATCATATCTATCATCTGACTGTTTTGTTCAGGTCATCTGAACATTGTGTGGCCGTGGCACGTAGACTGAGATGTGCAATTCAAACTAAACATCCCCTTAGGGGACCAATTAATAATGATTCCATAGGAATCATAGGAATCGTTATGCAGTGCCTCTGCCTGTTCTGCAATGCAAATCTTCCTAAACAAGTATGTTCATTTTCTCTAACTGGGTCCAATCCTGTTTACAAATAGGTTTTTGAGGGTGGTATGCCTCAATATAGGAGCCAATTTATTATGGTAAATACCGAGATCAGAAAGCATGTGTAACTGTGTCATAGAATGATTGCCTCCAGGCATTATTGCCAGCCAAGATTGATAAATATGCCCAATAAGTATAATCGTTCTCTGTGTCAGCCCTTATTGAAGGAATACCCATGGCAATGGTGATAACTGCTATCATAGCTACCATTAAATTATTCATTGTGACTGGTTGTCCCACTTTCCTCAAGTTTTCTTCTGCCATCTGTGACAGCTTCTTAATCTGTCCCCAGGAGGGTGGCTGTGTTCAGTGGGTGTTGCTCATGACAGTTGGTGTCCTCCTCAGCATCATTCTCAACATGGCTGCAACCGGGGGGTCCTCAGGATCCTCCTGGGGTCTCTTTCTCAGCATCCAGCTCACAATAAAGTTTCAGGTTTCTTGATGGTATCCAGATTGTCTGTTGATTTTGGCCTGGAGAAACACAAGCATAACTTCTACCCCAACTTATTATTTTACCTGTTTCCTAACTTTTCATAATCGGATCTCTCCACCAAATCAGTTGTTCTGCTTCTGTCTTTGCAGCTGGTTTCTGTAGATGCTGTTCAGCTGCTGATAGCATCTGGCCTTTGGGCAGGCTCAAAAAATTAAAGTTAATAATTCTGGATTCAGTGGCATCTGCAGGGTTCCATATTCTCTTTCACCCCCTTTCTGGTTTTACAACTGCTGTTTTTGGGAGAGATTCATTCTTTCCATTATGGCTTGTCCTTGAGAACTGTATGGGATACCAGTAACATGTTTAATATTCCACATAGAGAAAAATGTAGCTAGAGCTTGGCTAGTATAGCCTGGGGCATTATCTGTTTTAATAGTAGAGGGAATGCCCATCACCACAAAACACTACAAAGGGTGACATTTAACACTGGCAGAAGACTCTCCTGATTGGCAAGTAGCCCAGACAAAGTGAGAAAAGGTGTCCACACATACAGGTACTTAATATAGTCTCCCAAACGAGGGAACATGTGTGATATCCATTTGCCTAAAAGAATTAGGTTCCAATCCTCGAGGATTAACTCCTTCTATGAAAGATGAGGAATGTACCATTTGGCAAGTTGGGCATCACTGGATAATAGCTTTAGCTTCTTTCCAGGTAATGCTGTATCTGCATTTGAAGCCAGAGGCATTAACATGAGTTAAATTGTGAAAGTGTCCAGCGTTAGATATTGCATTAGTGACTAGGTGATCAGCCACTTGATTCCCTTCAGTCAAAAGTCCTGGAAGAGGTGTATGAGCCCTAATATGAGTGATGTACAAAGGGTGCATTCTACTTCTAAATGCTATTTGCAATTTGGTAAATAAAATCATCAGTTGTTCATCTGTATGAAATCCTAACTGAGCATTTTCAATTAACTGTGTGGAATGAACCATGTATGAAGAAACAGAAATCACATCAATAGGCATATCAAAAGCAGTCACCTCAATTACAGCAAAAAGCTCTGCTTTTTGAGGCGTCTGGAAAACTTCACTTTTTGAGCTAGAATAAGAAGCTTTACCATTACTAGACCCATCTGTAAAAACATTCTCAGCAACTTCAATTGGTTTAAATTTAGTTATTTTAGGGAGAATCCAATTGCTTAATTTCAAAACCTGAAACAGATTTGTTTTAGGAAAATGGTTATTGAGAATACTCCCAAAGTCAGCTAAATGGGTTTGCCAAGTAAGACTACTGATAAAAGCTTGATGTATTTGTGTCTTCCTGAGAGGGACATTAATTTTTCCAGGATCATATCCATGTAATTTAACAATCTGGGTTCTCCCAATTCCTATCATAGTAGCAATTTGATCTAAATAAAGAGTTAGAGTTCATGAATTGGTATGTGGAAGAAAAAGCCACCCTACTGAGTCCTGCTCTTGGAAAATAACACCAGTAGATGAACGTGGAGTTGAAAAAATTAGCAAGTCTAGAGTCTTCTCTGGATCTATTCTACTTATTTAAGCTTTATGGACTTGCTTTTCAATCAGCTGTAACTCGACCTCAGCCTCCTTTGTTGATTGCTGAGGGCTAGTGAGACTAGCATTTCCTCAAAGGATAGAAAACAGATTACTCATGGCATAGGTAGGAATGCCTAGTACATGTCATATCCAATCAATGTCCCCTAGTAATTTTTGAAAGTCTTTAATGTTTTCAATTGATCCGTACATATGTTTACTTTCTGTGGCTCAATGGTAGTGTCATTTACTGATGTCACCAAGTAGGAGTAGGGAGTAGTAATCTGAATTTTGTCAGGAGCTATAATTAAACCAGTGTGAGAAATCAAATTTTGCAAGTGATCATAACATTGGAGAAACATTTCTTGAGTGGGGGCAGCACAAAGTACATCATCCATATAGTGAATAATGTAACATTGTGAAAATTTTTTATAAGTAGGATCAATAGCTTGCCCTACATACCTCTGGCAAATTGTTGGATTGTTTAACATGCCTTGTGGCAACACTTTCCAATAATAATGCTTAGCAGGCTGCAGGTTGTTTACTGCAGGAATTGTAAAGGCAAACCATTCACAATCTTGCTCAGCTAAGGGGATAGTAAAGAAACAATCTTTTAAATCTATGACAATTAAAGGCCAATGTTTTGGAATTATAGCAGGAGAAGGCAATCCTGGCTGTAATGCTCCCATAGGTTTTATTACTGAATTCATGGCTCTTAAGTCAGTTAACATTCTCCATTTACCTGAATTTTTCTTAATTATGAAAACTGGAGAATTCCAATGGGAAAATGTTGGAGCTATGTACCCATTTTCTAATTGTTCAGTAACTAATTTCTCTAAAGCCTCCAGTTTCTCTTTACTTAGCAGCCATTGTTCTATCCAAATTGGCTTATCTGTTACCCATTTTGAAGGTATAGGTTTTGGAGGCTTAACAATAGCTGCCATAAAAAATGCTATCCTAAACCTTGGTGGGAAGTTTGTCTTTCCATTTGAAGTTGTTCTTTCTAACTTTGCAGATATTTTCTAGTCCCATACCAGGGACATACCCCTTTTCATGCATTATATGTTGACTTTGAGGGCTATATATTTGTTCTGGAATTAGAACTTTTGGTCCCCATTGTTGTAATAAATCTCTTCCCCATAAATTTATAGGTACAGAAGTTATAATTGGTCGAATAGTCCCAGTTTGTCCATCGGGCCCTTCACAGTGCAAAATATAACTACTTTGATATACTTAAGGGGCTTTATGAACTCCAACTATGTTAAATTGAGGGGGTTGAATTGGCCACATGGACAGCCAGTGCTGTAGGGAAATGATTGAAATGTCTGCTCCTGTATCTACCAAATCTTTAAATTTCTTTCCTGAATAGTTATTTCACAGGTAGGATGTTTATCAGTTATTTGATTTACCCAATAAGCTGCTTTGCCTTGTTTATTTGTGCTTCCAAATCCTTCTGTTCATTTAATTTCACTTTTTCCCATTCCCACATACAGTGTTATCAGGAGCTGTGCTATGCCCTCTTCTGGCTCTGTTTTCCAGGCAACAGAAGTAGATATAACAATTTGAATTTCCCCATTGTAATCTGAATCATTGACTCCTGTATGTATTTGTACCCCTTTTAAACTTAAACTAGACCTTCCTAGACGTAATCCTATTGTCCCTACTGGCAAGGGTCCACAGACTCCTGTTGGGACCTTTTGCAGGGGTTCCCCAGGCAGAAGGCTCGCAGTTTTTGTGCAGCATAAATCTACTGCAGCACTACTGGCTGTGGTGGGAGACAGACATTGTACAGGGGTGAGGGAATGGCCTGAGCTGGAAATGCCCCAGTTTAGAATGGGGCCTAGGGTGGTCCCCTAATGGCATTTCCCAAAATTGGGTTCCCATCTTTATCAAACTTAGAATGACACTGATTAGCCTAATGTTTCCTTTTTTACATTTTGGACATATTTCTGGCTCAAGAAGTTTCTTTATTCCCCTATCTGGTGGCCTGACTCACTGATTTTTTCTACATTCTTTTTCAGTATGACCATGCTTCCCACAGTTAAAACAAGCTCCAGGAAATGAAGTATTTTCTTTATCGACTCTCAGTTCTGCCACTGCCTGTGCCAACAAAGTAGCTTTATACAGATTACCTCCGATACCATCACAGGCCTTGACATAATCAACTAAATGTGCTTTCCCTCTGATAGGTCGCAGAGCAGCCTGGCAATCGGGATTAGCATTCTCAAAAGCTAATAACTGCAACACTATAACCTGAGCAGCCGAATCTGCAATCATCTTTTTAAGAGACTCCTGTAACCAAGCTATAAAATCAAAGTATGGTTCTCTTGGTCCCTGTTTTATAGCACTAAAGGAAAGGTGTTGTTCTCCACCTGAAATGATTTTTTCCCCAAGCTCTAATGCACACTCCACTAAGCTGTTCTATGGCATCATCTTGCATGACCACTTGTGCATCTAAAGCAGCACAGATGCCTGTCCCCAAAAGCTGGTCTGCAATTATATTAATTTGAGGTTCAGCCTGCGCATTGTAAGCAGCCTGAATGGAAGCTTCATCTGGCCACCAAGTTTTAAATTGTAGCAACTGAGCAGGAGCTAGACAAGCTCAAGTAAGAATGTCCCAGTCAGTAGGAATCATCTGACTGGAAACAGCAACATTCTTTAACAGTCCCATTAAAAAAGGAGAACCTGATCCATACTGATTTATAGTTTATTTAAATTCTTTGAGTAATTTAAAAGGAAAAGGCTCAAATGTATCTGTAATATTTCCCTGTTTATCTGGGGTGTGTATTCTAACAGGGAACTGCCAAGCCTCTAAATCACCCTCTCATCTAACTTGCTGAATTCCTGCCTGGATGGAACTAAGAGCAGTCACTCGAGCTACTGCTCAAACAGTCACTGGGGCAACTATATTCACCCAGTGTCCTCTGGGAAATAAAGATCTGTAGGGTCTTTTTCTTCAAAATAATATGGAGGGGGTGCCAAAGGTTAGGGATGAACCTCTCCCTCCTTTGCCACTTTAGCTTTAGCTGGTAAATAAATCTGGTCTTTAACCTCTTCTGTTACTTCATTATACTCTCCTTCCTCCTCATCATCAGTGTGAAAAAGTTCCAAGGTAGAATGAACCAGACCCCACACTTGTCCCATTGTTACACTGATGCTTCTGAGATACCCTTCTTACTCACCATGGGGATTGCTTTAAGAGTACTCATGTGTCCTCCAGCTAGTTCCACATTCTTCAACTGTTGATATGGCGACCAACCTGGATTCGAGGCCCCATGAACGAGTGTCACTTGCTGAGACCAGCTCAGTCAGGGAGACCCTAACCTAGTGGTGCTAGAGGAATTAAAGACATACACACCGAAATATAGAAGTGTGAAGTGGGAAATCAGGGGTCTCACAGTCTTCAGAGCTGATAGCCCCCTACAGATATTTACCCACTTATTAACTAACAGCAAACCAGTAATTTGCATTGTTTCTATAGATATGAAATTAACTAAAAGTATCCCTCATGGGAAATGAAGGGATGGGCCAAATTAAAGGAATAAATGGGGCTAGTTAACTGCAGCAGGAGCATGTCCTAAGGGCACAGATTACTCATGACATTGTTTGTGGCTTAAGAATGCCTTTAAGAGGTTTTCTGCCCAGGGCAGGCCAGGAGTTCCTTACCCTCATTCCAGTATACCCACAACCTTCCAGTGTGTGAGCTGCAGCCATCATGAATATGTCACAGTGCTGCAGAGATTTTGTTTAGGGCCAGTTTTGGGGCCAGTTTATGGCCAGATTTTGGGGGTCTTGCTCCCAACAGGCTTCAATGTGCTCCAAAATGTCCCTTCACAGATTCTACAAAAAGAGTGCTTCCAAACTGCTGATGGAAAAGCAAGTTTTAACTCTAGGAGATGAATGCACACATCACAAAGTGGTTTCTCAGATAACTTCCTTCTAATATTTATCCTGGGAAATTCACTTTTTCAGCTTTGGCCTCAATGAGCTCCTAAATGTCCATTTGCCAAATGGACAAAAAGAGTGGTTCCAAACTGCTGAAACAAAAGAAAGGACTAACTCTGTGAGATGAATGCAAACATCACAAAGGAGTTTCTGAGAAAGTTTCTTTCTAGTTTTTATCTGAAGATAATTGCTTTTTCACCATAGGCCTCAGTGTCCTCTGAATTATCCCTTTGCACATTCTACAAAAACAGTGTTTCCAAACTGCTGAATGAAACAAAGGTTTAATTCTGTGAGGTGAATGCGCACATCACAAAGCAGTTTCTCAGATAGCTACCTTCTAGTTTTTATCCTGGGACATTCGCTTTTTCACCATTGGCCTAAATGTGCTCATAAATGTGAATTTGCAGAATGGAACAATACAGTTTCCAAACTGCTGAATCAATAGAAATGTTTAACTCTGTGACATGAATGCACACATCACAAAGCAGTTTCTCAGAAAGCTTCTTTCTACTTTTTATCTGAAGATATTTCCTTTTTAACCACAGGCCACAATGCGCTTCCAAATATTCCTTCATGGATTTTACAGAAACAGTGTTTCCTGACTGTTGAATGAAAAGAAAAGTTTAACTCTGTGAGGTGAATGCACACGTGACAAACGGCTTCTCAGATAGCTTCCTTCTAGTTTTTATCCTGGGATATTCTCTTTTTTGCCATTGGCCTCAATGAGCTCCCAAATTTCCTTTCACAGAAAATATTAAAACAGTGTTTCCAAACAGCTGAATAAAAAGAATGGTTTAACTCTGTGAGATGAATGCACACATCACAAGGCAGTTTTTCAGAAAGCTTCATTCTACTTTTTATCTGAATATATTTTCTTTTTCACCATAGGCCTCAAAGTGCTCCCAAATATCCCTTCACAGATTCTACAAAAAGAGTGTTTCCAAACTGCTGAATTAAAAAAACTGTGAGATGAATGCACACATCACAAAGCGGTTTCTCAGATAGCTTCCTTCTAGTTTTTATCTGGGAAATTCACGTTTTCACCGTTGGCCTCAGTGAGTTCCCAGATGTCCATTTGCAGAATGGATGAAAACAGTGTTTCAAAACTGCTGAATTAAAAGACAGGTTTACCTCTGGGAGATGAATGCATACATCACAAAGCAGTTTCTCAGAAAGCTTCTTTCTACTTTTTTCTGAAGATACTTCCTTTTTCACCAGAGGCCTCAAAGTGCATCCAAATATCCCATTGCAAATTCTACAAAAACTGTGTTTCCAAACCGCTGAATGAAAAGTAAGGTTAACTCTGTGAGATGAATGCACATGTCACTCAGCAGTTTCAGAGATAACGTCCTTCTAGCTTTTATCCTGGAATATTCACTTTTTCACCATTGGCCTTAATGAGCTCCAAAATGTCCAGTCACAAAAAGGATAAAAGCAGTGTTTCTGAACTGCTTAATTAACAGAATGGCTTAACTCTGTGAGAGGAATGGATACATCAAAAAGCAGTTTCTCAGAAAACTTCTATCTACTTCTTATCTGAAGAAATTTTCTTTTTCACCATAGGCTTCAATGCACTCCAAATATCCCTTCACAGATTCAACAAGAATAGTTTTTTCAAACTGCTGAATGAAAAGAAAAGTTTAACCCCATGAGACGAATGCACACATCATAAAGTGGTTTCACAGATTGCTTCCTTCTAGTTTTCATCCTAGGATATGTGTATTTAGCCATTGGTCTCCATGAGCTCCCAATTGTCCATTCACAGAATGGACAAAAACAGTGTTTCCAAACTGCTGAATCAAAAGAAAGTTATACCTCTGTGAGATGAATGCATACATCACAAAGGAATTTCTCAGAAAGATTTTTCTAGTTTTTATCTGAAGATATTTTCAATTTCACCCTAGGCCTCTATGTGCTCCCGAATATCCCTTCACATATTCTACAATAACAGTGTTTCCAAACCATTGAATGAAAAGAATGGTTTAAATCTGAGAGGTGAATTGTCCCTTCGCAAGGCAATTTCTCAGATAGCTACCTTATAGTTTTTATCCCGGGTTATTCACGTTTTTGCCATTGACCTCAATGAGCTCCAAAATTTCCATTAGCAGAAAGTACAAAAACAGTGTTTCCAGACTGCTGAATCAGTAGAAAGGTTTACCACTGTGAGATGAATACACACATCACAAAGCAGTTTATCAGAAAGCTTCTATCTCCTTTTTATTTGAAGATATTTTCTTTGTCACTGTAGCCTCATTGCACTCCCAAATATCCCTTCACAGATTCTACAAAAGCAGTTTTTTCCAAACTGCAAAATGAAAAGAAAGTTTTACCTCTGCTAGATGAGTGCAAACATCATTAAGCAGTTTTTCAGATAGCTTCCTACTAGTTTTAATCCAGGGATATTCTCTTTCTTGTCATTGGCCTCCATGAGGTACAAAAGGTCCATTTACAGAAAGCACAAAAGTAGTGTTTCCAGACTGCTGAATCAAAAAAAGTTTTAACCCTTTAGATGCATGCACACATCACAGAGCCATTTCTCAGAAAGTTTCTTTCTAGTTTTAATCCAAAGATATTTCCTTTTCACAACAGGCCTCAAGGCACTCCCAAATATCCCTTCACACATTCTACAAAAGAGTGTTTCTCCAAACTGCTGAATCAAAAGAAAGGCTAACTCTGTGAGATGAATGCAAACCTCAGAAAGCAGTTTCTCAGATAGCTTCCTTTTAGTTTTTATCCTGGGATATTCCCTTTTTCACCATTGGCCACAAAGAACGCCCAAATGTCCATTCCCAGAAAGGACAAAAGCAGTGTTTCCAAACTGCTGCTTCAAAAGAAAGGTATAACTCTGTGAGATGGACACATCACAAAGCAGTTTCTCAGAAAGCTTCTTTCTAGTTTTTATCTGAAGATATTTTCTTTTTCACTATAGGCTTCAAAGGGCTCCCAAATATCCCTTCAGAGAATCTACAAAAACAGTGTTTAAAACTGCTGAATGAAAAAAAAGGTTTAATTCTGTGAGATGAATACACACATCACAAACCAGTTTTTCAGAAAGCTTCTTTCTAGTTTTTATCTGAAGATATTTTCTTTTTCACCATAGGCCTCAATGGACTCCCAAATATTCCTTCACATATTCTAAAAAACAGTGTTTCCAAACTATTAAATGAAAAGAAAGGTTTAACTCTGTGAGATGAATGCCCAAATCACAAAGTGGTTTCTCTGATAGCTGCCTCTAGTTTTAATGCTGGGATATTCGCTTTTTCACCTCTGGGCTCAATTAGCTCCCAAATGTCCATTCGCAGAAAGGACAAATGCAGTATTTCCAAACTTCTGTATCCAAAGAAAGGTTTAACTCTGTGAGATGAATGCACACATCAGAGAGCAGTTTATCGGAAAGATTCTTTCTAGTTTTTAATCTGGAGATATTTCCTTTTACACCATAGGCCTCAATGTGCTCCCAAATATTCCTTCTCCAATTCTACAAAAACAGGGTTTCCAAACTGCTGAATAAAAAGAAGGGTTTAAATCAGTGAGATAAATGTACATATCACACGGCAGTTTCTCAGATAGCGTCCTTCTAGTTTTTATCTTGGGAGATTGGCTTTTTCGCCTTTGACCTCAATGACCTCCCAAATGTCCATTCCCAGAATGGACAAAAACAGAGTTTCCAAATTCCTGAATCAAAAGAAAAATTTAACTCTGTGAGAAGAATGCACACATAACAAATTAGCTTCTCAGAAAGCTTCTTTCTACTTTTTATCTGGAGATATTTTGTTTTTCACCATAGGCCTCAATGCCCACCAAAATATCCCCTTGCAGATTCTACAGAAGCAGTGTTTCTAATCTGCTGAATGAAAAGAAAGGTATAAATCAGTGAAATGAATGCACATATCACAAAGCTGTTTCTCAGATAGCTTACTTCTAGTTTTTATCATGAGATATTACTTTTTCACCATTGGCCTCAATGATCTGACAATTGTCCATTTGCAGGATGGACAAAAACAGTGATCAAAAGAAAAGTTTAACTCTGTGAGATGAATGTACACATCACAAAGCAGTATCTCACAAATCTTTCTTTTTTTTAATCTGAAGATACTTTCTTTTTCACCATAGGCCACAAAGTGCTCCTAAGTATCCCTTCGGAGATTCTACAGAAACAGTGTTTCCAAACAGCTGCATGAAAAGAAAGCTTTAACTCTGTGAGGTGAATGCAAACGTCCCAAAGAAGTTTCTCAGATAGCTTCTTTCTAGTTTTTATCCTGGGATATATGCTTTTTCACCCTTGGGCTCAATGAGATCCCAAATGTCCTTTTGCGGAATGGCAAAAACAGGTTTCCAAACTGCTGAAACAAAATAAATGTTTAACTCTGTGAGATGAATGCATACACCATAAAGAAGTTTCTCAGAAGGATTCTTTCTAGTTTTTATCTGAAGATATTTTCTTTTTCAATGTAGGTCTCAATGCACTACCAAATATCCCTTCACAGATTCTACAAAAAGAGTGTTTCCAAACTGCTTAATAAAACAAAAGGCTTAACTCTGTGACATGAATGCACACATGAAAGTGCTTTCTTAGATAGCTTCCTTCTAGTTTATAGCATGGGATATTCACTTTTTTGCCATTGGCCTAAATGAGCTCCCAAATGTCCATTCACAGAATGGACAAAACAGTGTTTCCAAACAGTTTAATCAAAAGAAAGGCTCAACTCTGTTAAAACAGTGTTTCAAAACTTCTGAATAAAAAGAAAGTTTTATCTCTGCAAGATGAATGCACACATCACAAAGTGGTTTCTCAGCTTCCTTCTAGTATTTATTTTGGGATATTTTCTTTTTCACTACTGGCCTCAATGAGCTCCCAAATGTCCATCCACATAACGGAAAAAAAGATGTTTACAAACTGCTAAATGAAAAGAAACGTTTATCACTGTGAGATGAATTCAGACATCACAAAGCCATTTGTCAGAAAGCTTCTCTCTAGTGTTCCTCTGAAGATATTTTCACCGTATTCCTCAAAGTGCTCCCAAATATCCCTTCCCAGATTTAATAAAAACAGTGTTGCCAAACTGCTGAATGAAAAGAAAGGTTTAATGCTGTGAGGTGAATGCAAACATCACAAAGCAGTTTCTCAGATAGCTTCCTTCCTGTTTTTTATCCTGGTTTATCCACTTTTTTGCCATTGGCCTCAATGAGCTCCAAAATGTCCATTCACAGAAAGGACAATAACACTGTTTCCAAACTGCTGAATCTAAAAAAGATATAACTCTGGGAGATGAATGCACACATCACAAAGCAGTTTCTCAGAAAGCTTCTTTCCACATTTTAACTGAAGATACTTTCTTTTTCACCATAGGCCTCAATTTGCTACCAAATATCCCTTCACAGTTTCCACAAAAACAGCATTTTCAAACTCCTGAAAGAAAAGAAAAGTTTAACTCTGCGAGATGAATGCACACATCACAACACAGTTTCTTAGATAGCTTCCTCCTAGCTTTTATCCTGGGATATTCACTTTTTCACATTTGTCCCCAAGGAGCTCTCAAATATCCACTCACAGAATGCACAAAAACAGTGTTTCCAAACTGCTGAATCCAAAGAAACTTTATGAGATGAATGCACACATCACAAAGCAGTTTCTCAGAAAGCTTCTTTCTACTTTTTATCTGAAGACATTTTCTTTTTCACCCTAGGTATCAATGAACCCAAAAATATTCCTTCGCAGAGTCTACAAAAACAGTGTTTACAAACCGCTGAATGAAAAGAAGGTTTTAACTCTGGGAGATGAATGCTCACGTCACAAATCAGTTTCTCAGATAGCTTAATTCTAGTTTTTAACCTGGGATATTTACTTTTTTGCCATTGGCCTCAATGAGCTACCAAATGTCCATTTGCAGAAAAATTAAAAAAAAAAACAGTGTTTCCAAACTGCTAAATGAAAAGAAAAATTTAACTCTGTGAGACAAATGCGCAAATCTCAAGCGAGTTTCTCAGAAAGCTTGTTTCTATTTTTTACCTGATGATATTTACCTTTTCACCATAGACCTCAATGTGGGTCCAAATATTCCTTTGCAGATTTCACAAAAAACAGTGTTTCCAAATGGCTGAAGGAAAAGATAACTTTAACTCTGTGAGATGAATACCCACAGCACAAAGCAATTTCTCAGAGAATTTTCTTCTAGTTTTTATCCCAGGATATTTGCTTTTTCACAATTGACCTCAATTAGCTCCCAATTGTCTTTTCCCAGAATGGACAAAAACAGTGTTTCCAAAATGCTGAATGAAAAGGAAGGTTTAACTCTGTGGGATGAATGCACACATCAAAAAGTGGTTTCTCATATAGCTTCCTTCTAGCTTTTATCCTGGCATATTCAGTTTTTCACCAGTGGCCTCATTCAGTTCCCAAATGTCCATTCACAGAATAGATAAAAACAGTGTTTCCAAAGGGCTGAATCAAAAGAAAGGTTTAACTCTGTGAGATGAATGCACACGTCAACAAAGCAGTTTCTCAGAAAGCTTCTTTCTACTTTTTAACTGAAGATATTTTCTTTTTCACCAGAGGCCTCAATGCACTTCCAATATCCTTTCACAGATTCTTCAAAACTGCTGAATTAGAAGAAAGGTTTAAGTGTGCCAGATGAATGCAAACTTCACAAACGGGATTCTCAGATTGCTTCCTTCTAGTTTTTATTGTAGGATATTCTCTTTTTCACCATTGGCCTCAAAGAGCTCCCAAATGTCCATTCTCAGAATTGACAAAAACAGTGTTTCCAAACTGGTGAATCAAAAGAAAGATTTAACTCTATGAGATGAATGCACACATCACAAAGCGGTTTCTCAGAAAGCTTTCTACTCTCAATCTGAAGATATTTTCTTTTTCACCATAGCCCTCAATGCCCTCCCAAATTTCCCTTTGCATATACTGTAAAAACGTTTCCAAGCTGCTGAATGGAAAGAAAGGTTTAACTCTGTGAGATGAATGCACACCTCTCAAAACATTTTCTCAGATAGCTTCCTTGTATTTGAGATATTTGCTTTTTTGCCATTGGCCTTTATGAGCTTCCAAAAGTCCATTTGCAGAATGGACAAAAACTATGTTTCCAAACTGCTGAATCAAAAGAAAGCTTCAACTCTGTGAGATGAATGTGCACATCAAAAAGCAGTTCCTCAGAAAGACTCATTCTACTTTTAATCTGAAAATATTTTCTTTTTCACCATAGCCTTCAAGGCACTTCCAAATATCCCTTCAAAGATTCTACAAAAAGAAGGTTTCCAAATTGCTGAATGAAAGTGAGCTTTAACTCAGTGAGATGAATGCAAACCTCACCAAGTGGTTTCTCGGATCACTTTCTTCTAGTTTTTGTCCTTTGACATATGCTTTTTTGTTATTGGCCTCAAAGAGCTTCCAAATGTCCATTTGCAGAATGGACAAAACAGTGTTTCCAAACTGCTGAATCAAAAGTAAGGTTTAACTCTGTGAGATGAATGCGTACACCAAAAAGCAGTTCCTCAGAAAGCTTCTTTCTACTTTTTATCTGAAGATATATTCTTTTTTACCACTGGCCTCAACATGCTCCCAAATATCCTTTCACAGATTCTAGAAAAACAGTGTTTCCAAACTGCTGAATAAAAAGAAAGGTTCAACTCTGTGAGATGAATGCACACATCACATAGCAGTTTCTCAGACAGATTCCTTCTAATTTTCATCCTCAGATGTTCACTTTTTCACCATTGGTCTCTATGAGCTCCCAATGTCCATTCGCAGAATGGACAAAAACAGTGTTTCCACAATGCTGGGTCAAAAGGGAGGTTTAATTCTGGAGATTAATGCACACATCACAAAGCAGTTTCTCATATAGCATCTTTCTAGTTTTTAGCTGAAGATATTTTCTTTTTCACCATAGGCCTCAATGTGCTCCCTAATATCCCTTCGCAGATTTGACAAAAACAGTATTTCCAAACTGCTGAATGAAAAGAAAAGTTTTACTCTGCAAGATGAATGCACACAACCAAAAGCATTTCCTCCAAAAGCTTCTTTCTACTTTTTATTTGAAGATATTTTGTTTTTCAGCATAGACCTCAATGTGCTCCCAAATATGCCTTTGCAGATTCTACAAAAACAGTGTTTCCAAATTGCTGAATGAAATGAAAGTTTTAACTCCGTTAGATGAAGGCACACATCAAAAAGCAGTTTCTCAGATAGCTTACTTCCAGATTTTATCCTGTGATATTTACTTTTTTGCTATTGGACATATGAACTCTCAAATGTCCATTCTGTGAATGGACAAAAACAGTGTTTTCAAACTGCTGAATCAAAAGAAACCTTTAGCACCATGAGGTGAAGGCACACATCATAAAGCAGTTTCTCAGAAAGCTTATTTCTAGTTTTTATCTGAAGGTATTTTCATATTCATTGTAGTTCTCAATGCCATCCCAAATATCCCCTTGCAGTTTCTGCAAAAACAGTGTTTCAAAACTCTTGAATGAAAAGAAAGGTTTAAATCTGCAAGTTGAATGCACACATCACAAAGTGGTTTCTCAGATAGCTTCCTTCTAGTTTTTATCCTGGGATATTCCCTTTTTTGCCATTGGTTTCAATGAGCTCCCAAATGTCAATTTGAAGAATGAAAAAGACATGTTTCCAAACTGCTGAATCCAAAAAAGTTTAACTCTGTGAGATGAATGCACATATCATAAAGCAAGTTTCTCAGAAAGCTTCTTTCTCGTTTTTATCTGAAGATATTTTCTTTTTCAACATAGTCCTCAATGCACTACCAATTATCCTATCACAGATTCTACAAAAACAGTGTTTCCAAACTGCTAAATGAAAAGAAATTTTAACGCTGGGAGATGAATGAACACATCAAAAAGAAGTTTTTCAGAGAGTCTCCTTCTAGTTTTACCCTGGGGTATTCACTTTTTTGCCATTATCCTCACTGAGCTTCCAAATGTCACAGAAGGGACAAAAACAGTGTTTCCAAACTGCTGAATCATAAGAAAGTTTTAACTCTATGAGACAAATGCACACATCACAAAACCATTTCTCAGAAAGATTCTTTGTACTTTTTAGCTTTAGATATTTTCTTTTTTGCCATAGGCCTCAATGCGCTCCCAAGTATCCCTTCTCAGATTCTACAAAAACAGAGTTTCCAAACTACTGAATGAAAAAAAAAGTTGAGGTCTGTGAGATGAATGCACACATCACAAAGCAGTTTTTCAGATTGCTTCCTTCTAGTTTTTATCCTGTGATATACTCCTTTTCAATGTTGGCCTTAATGATCTCCCAAATGTCCATTCACAGAAAGCACAAAAACAGTGTTTCCAAACTGTGGAACCAAAAGAAAGTTTTAACTCTGTGAGATGGATGCACACATGACAAAGCAGTTTCCCAGAAAGCTTCTACCTACTCTTTATCTGAAGATATTTCTGTTTTTCACAATGGGCCTCAATGTGCTCACAAATATTACCTCACAGATTCTACAAAAGTAGTGTTTCCAAACTACTGAGTTAAAGGAAAGTTTTAAGTCTGTGAGATGAATGAACACCTCACAAAGCCCTTTCTCAGATAGCTTCCTTGTAGTTTTTATCCTGGGATATTCGCTTTGTCACCACTGTCATCAATGAGGTCCAAAATGTTCATTTGCAGAAAGGACAAAAACAGTGTTTCCAAACTACTGAATCAAAAGAAAGTTTTAACTTTGTGAGGTGAATGCCCCCATCACAAAGGAGTTTCTCAAGATGCTTCTTTCTGGTTTTTATCTGTACATATTTTCTTTTTCAAACTAGGCCTCAATGAGCTGCCAAATATCTCTTTGCAGATTCTACAAAAACAGTGTTTCCAAACTGCTGAATTAAAAAAAAAGTTTTACTCTGTGAAATGAATGCACACATCACAAAGCAGTTTCTCAGAAAGCTTCTTTCTAGTTTTTACTGAAGATATTTTCTTTTTTACCTTAGGCCTCAACACGCTCCCAAATATCCCTTCACAGATTTTGCAGAAAGAGTGTTTTCAAACTGCTGAATGAAAAGAAAGTTTTAACACTGTGAGATGAATGAACACATCACAAAGCTGTTTCTTAGATATCTTCCTTCTAGTTTTTATCCTTGGATATTCTCTTTTTTGCCATTGTCCTCAATGAGCTGCCAAATGTCCATTCATAGAATTGACATGAGCAGTGTTTCCAAACTGCTGAATGAAAAGAATGGTTTAACTTGATGAGGTGAATGCACACATCACAAAGAAGTTTCTCAGAAAGTTTCATTCTACTTTTTCTCATAAGACATTTTCTATTTCACCATAGTCCTCGATGTTCTCCAAAATATCTCTTCACAGATTTTACAAAATAATGTTTCCAAAATGCTGAATGAAAATAAAAGTTTAACTCTGTGAGATGAATGCACACATCACAAAGTGGTTTCTCAGTTAGTGTCCTTATTGTTTTTATCCTGGGATATTTGCTTTTCCATCATTGGCCTCAATGAACTTTCAAATGTCCATACACAGAATGTATAAAAACAGTGTTTCCAAACTGCTACCTGACAAGCAAGGTTAAGTCTGTGAGATTAATGCAACCATCACAAAGCAGCTTCTCAGAAAGCTTCTTTCTACTTTTATATGAAGGTATTTTCTTTTTCAGCATAGGAATCAATGTGCTTCAAAATATCCGTTCGCAGATTCCACAAAAACAGTGTTTCCAAATTGCTGAAAGAAAAGAAAGGTTTAACTCTGTCAGATGAATGCACACATCACAAAGCAGTTTCTCAGGTACCTTCCTTCTAGTATTTATCCATTGATATTCACTTTTTGGCCATAGGCCCCCAATGAGCTCCCAAATGTCCATTTGCAGAATGGACAAAAACAGTGTTTAAACACTACTAAATCAAACTAAAGTTTCATCTCTGTGAGATGAATGCACACCTCACAAAGCTGTTTCTCAGATAGCTTCTTTCTAGATTTTATCTGAAGATATTTTCTTTTTTACCATAGGCCTATATGAGCTTGCAAATTTCCCATCACAGATACTACAAAAAGTTTTTCCAAACTGCTGAATGAAAAGAAAGATTTAACTCCGTGAGATTAATGCTCACATGACCAAGCAGTTTCTCACATAGATTTCTTTTAGTTTTCATCCTGGTATATTCACTTTTTTGCCATTGGCCTCAAGGAGATACAAAGTGTCCATTTGCAGAATGGACAAAAACATTGTTGCCAAACTGTTGAATCAAAGGAAAGATTTAAATCTGTGAGATGAATGCACACATCACAAAGCAGTTTCTCAGATAGCTTCCTTCTGGTTTTTATCCTGGGATATATGTTTTTCCACCATTGGGCTCAATGAGATCCCAAATGTCCATTTGCAGAATAGACAAAAAGAGTGTTTCAAATTTGCTGAACCAAAAGAAAGGTGGAACTCTGTGAGATGAATGCTCACATCACAACACAGTTTCACAGAAAGTTTCTTTCTACTTTTTATGTTAAGATAAATTCTTTTTCACCATAGGCCTCGATCCACTCCAAAATATCCTTTTGCAGATTCTATAAAAACAGTGTTTCCAAACTGCTGAATCAAAAGAGAGATTAAACACTGTGAGATTAATGCACACATCTGAAAGTGGTTTCTCAGATGGCTTCCTTCTAGGTTTTATCCTGAAATATTCACTTCCTCATCATTAGGTTCAATGAGCTACAAAATGTCCATTCGCAGAATGTACAAAACCAGTGCTCCCAAACTGCTAAATCTAAAAAAGATTTAACTCTGGGAGACGAATGCACACATCACAAAGCAGTTCCTCACAAACTTCTATCTTCATTTTATCTGAAGATATATTCTTTTTCACCATAGGCCTCATTGTGCTCTAAAATATCCCTTCACAGCTTCTACAAAAACTGTTTCCAAACTGCTGAACGAATGCATTAACTCTGCGAGGTGAACGCAGACATCACAAAGCAGTTTCTCAGAAAGCTTCT
Organism: Homo sapiens; assembly: GCF_000001405.40. Lineage (NCBI taxonomy): Eukaryota > Metazoa > Chordata > Mammalia > Primates > Hominidae > Homo > Homo sapiens. Next base: position 58,431,812 of record NC_000006.12, read on the forward strand.
TTCTACTTTTTATCTGTAAATATTTTCTTTTTCACATTAGGCCTTAATGCACTCCCAAATATCCCTTTGCAGTTCCTACAAAGACAGTGTTTCCAAACTGTTGATTGAAAAGAATGATTTAACTCTGCAAGATGAATGCACACATCAGAGAGCAGTTTCTCAGAAAGCATCATTCTAGTTTTAATCCCAGGATATTTGCTTTTGGGCCATTGACCTCAATAAGCACCATTCTGTGAAAGGACAAACACAGTGTTTCCAAGCTGCTGAATTAAAAGAAAGGTTCAACTGTGTGAGATGAATGCACACATCTCAAAGCAGTTTCTCAGAAACCTTCTTTCTAGTTTTTATATGAAGGTATTTACTTTTTCACCATAGGCCTCAATGCGCTCCCATATATTCCTTCACAGATTCTACAAAAACAGTGTTTCCAACCTGTTGAATGAAAAGAAAAGTTTAACTCAGTGAGATGAGTGCACACATCAAAAAGTGGTTTCTCAGGTACCTTCCTTCTACTTTTTATCCTGGGTTATTCACTTTAACCAATGAGCCCCCAAATGTCCATTTGCATAATGGACAAACACCTTGTTTCCAAACAGCTGAATCAAAAGAAAGTTTTAACTATATGAGATGCATGCATGCATCAAAAAGCAGAAGTGCTTTTGCAGAAACTACCAAGGGATATTTGGGAGCACATTGATGCCTATAGTGAAAATGCAAATATCTTCAGACAAAAAGTAGAAAGAAGCATTCAGAGAAACTTCTTTGTGATGTGTGCATTTTTATTACAGAGTTTAACCTTTCTTTAGACTCAGTAGTTTGGAAACACTGTTTTTCTCCTTTCTGCAAAAGGGCATTTGGGAACTCATGGGGGCCAATGGCAAAAAAGTGAATATCCCAGGATAAAAAATAGAAGGAAGCTATCTGAGAAACCGCTCAGTGATGTGTGCATTCACCTTGCAGAAGTAAAGTTTCCTTTTCATTCAGCAGTTTGGAAACACTTTTTTTGTAGAATCTGCGAAGGGATATTTGGAAGCATGTTGAGGCCCATGGTGAAAAAGAAAATATCTACAGATAAAAAGTAGAAAGAAGCTTTATGAGGAACTGCTTTGTGATGTGTGCTTTCATCTAGAGAGTTCAACATTCCTTTTGATTCAGCAGTTTGGAAACATGGTTTTTGTCCATTCTGTGAATGGGCATTTGAGAACTCATTCAGGCTAATGGCAAAAAAGCTAATATCCCAGGATAAAAACTAGAAGGCAGCTATCTGAGAAACCACTTTGTGAGGTGTGCATTCAACTCATGGAGATAAAGTTTCCTTTTCATTCAGCAGTTTGGAAACACTGTTTTTTTAGAATCTGCAAAGGGACATTTGGGAGTGCTTTGAGGCCTATAGTGAAAAAGAAAATATCTTCAGACAAAAAGTAGAAAGAAGCTTTCTGAGAAACTGCTTTGTGATGTGTGCATTTATCACACAGAGGTAAACTTTCCTTTTGATCCAGCAGTTTGGAAACACTGTTGTTGTAGCATCTGCAAAGGGATATTTAGGAACACATTGAGGCCTATGGTGAAATAGAAAATATCTTCCAATAGAAACTAGACAGAAGCATACTGAGTAATTGCTTTGTGATGTGTGCATTCATCTCCCAGTGTTAAACGTTTCTTTTCATTCACCAGTTTGGAAACAGTGCTTTTGTCCATTCTGTGAATGGGCATTTGGGAGCTCATTGAGGCCAATGGAGATAAATGGAATAGCCCAGGATAAAAACTTCAAGGAAGCTATCTCAGAAACTATTTTGTGATGTGTGCATTGATCTTGCAGAGTTAAAACTTTCCTTACATTCAGCAGTTTAGAAACTGTTTTTGTAGAATCTGCAAAGAGACATTTGGGAGCATTTTGAAACCTATGGTGAAAAAGAAAATATCTTCAGATAAAAACTGAAGGAAGCTTTCTGACAAACTGCTTTGTGATAGGTGCTTTCATCTCATGGAGTTAAACTTTTCTTTTGATTCAATAGTTTGGAAACATTGTTTTTTTTCATTCTGTGAATGGATATTTGGGAGCTCATTGAGGCCAAGGCAGAAAAAGGGAATACCCCAGGATAAAAACTACAAGGAAGCTATCAGAGAAACAGCTTTGTGATGTTTGCATTCCGCTTGCAGAGTTAAACCTTTCTTTTTATTCAGCAGTTTGGAAACATTGTTTTTCTAGAATCTGCGAAGGGATATTTTGGAGTGCTTTGAGAACTACAGTGAAAAAGAAAATATCTTAAGGTAAAGAGTAGAAGAAGTTTTGTGAGAAACTGCTCTGTGGTGGCTGTATCCATCTAACAGAGTTAAACATTATTTTTGATCCAGCAGTTTGGAAACACTGATTTTGTAGAATCTGTGAAGGGATATTTTGGAGCACATTGAGGCCTATGGTGAAAAAGAAAATATCTTCAAATAGAAACTAAACAGAAGCTTTCTGAGAAACTGCTTTGTGGTGTGTGCTTTCATCTAACAGAGTTAAATGTTTCTTTTGATTCAAGAGTTTGGAAACAGTGTTTTGTCCATTCTGCAAATGGACATTTGGGAGCTCATTGAGGCCAATGGTGAAAAAGGGAATATACCAGGATAAGAAGTAGAAGGAAGCCATTTGAGAAACCACGGTGTGAAGTCTGCATTCATCTTGCAGACATAAATATTTCCTTTCATTCAACAGTTTGTAAACACTTTTTTTGTAGGATCTGCAAAGGGATATTTTGGAGCACTTTGAGCCCTTGGTGAAAAAGAAAATATTTTCAGATAAGAAGTAGAAAGAAGCTTTCTGAGAAACTAATTTCTGATGTGTGCATTCATCTCACATAGCTAAACTTTTTTTTTATCCATTAGATTGGAAACAGTATTTTTGTCATTCTGTGAATGGATATTTAGGAGCTCCTTTAGGCTGATAGAGAGAAAGCGAATATCCCAGGATAAAAACTGGAAGGAAGCAATCTGAGAAAACCCCTTTGTGACGTTTGCATTCATCTCACAGAGTTAAAACTTTCTTTTCATTCAGCAGACAGGAAAATATGTTTTTGTAGGATCTGCTAAGGGATATTTTGGAGTGCATTGGGGCCTATGGTGAAAAAGAAAATACTTTAAGATAAAAAAGTACAAAGAAGCTTTCTGAGAAACTGCTTTCTGATGTGTACATTTATCTCACAGAGTTAAACTTTCTTTGGATACAGCAGTTTGGAAACACTGTTTTTGTCCATTCTACGAATGGGCATTTTGGCACTCATTGAGGCCAATGGTGAAAAAGCAAATTTCCCTGGATAAAACCAGAAGGAAACTATCTGAGAAATGGCTTTGTTATGGGGGCATTCATCTCACACACCTAAACCTTTCTTCTCATTCAGCAGTTTGGAAACACTGTTTTTGTAGAATCTGTGAAGGGATATTAGGGAGCGTATTGAGGCCTATGGTGAAAAAGAAAATATCCTCAGATAAAAAGTAGAAAGAAGCTTTCAGAGAAACTGCTTTGTGAGGTGTGAACTCATCTCCCAGTGTTAAACCTTTCTTCTGATTCAGCAGTTTGGAAACCCGTTTTTGTCCATTCTGTGAATGGAAATTTGGGAGCTCATTGAGGCCAGTGGCAAAAAGATGAATATCCCAGGATAAAAACTAGAAGGAAGCTATCAGAGAAACAGCTTTGTGATGTCTGCATTCATCTCACAGAGTTAAATCTTTCTTTTCCTTCAGCAGTTTGGAAAAACTGTTTTTGTAGAAACTGTGAATGGATATTTGAAAGCTCATCAAGTTCTATGGCAAAAAAGAAATTATCCTCAGATAAAAAGAAGAAAGAAGCTTTCTGAGAAACTGTTCTGTGATGTGTACGTTCATCTCACAGAGTTAAACCTTTCTATTCATTCAGCAGTTTGGAAACACTGGCTTTGTTATTTCTGTGAAAGACATTATGGAGCTCATTGAGGCCAAAGGCATAAAAGTGAATATCTCAGGATAAAAATGAGACTATCTGAGAAACCACTTTGTGATGTGTGCATTCATCTTGAAGAGTAAAACGATTCTTTTCATTCAGCAGTTTGGAAATGCTGTTTTTGTAGAATCTGTTAAGGGATATTTCCGAGTGCCTAGAGGCCTATGGTGAAAAAGAAAATATCAGATAAAAACTAGAATGAAGCTTTCTGAGAAACTGCTTTGTGATGTGTGAATTCATCTCATAGAGTTAAGCCTTTCTTTTGATTCAACAGTTTGAAAAGACTGTTTTTGTCCATTCTGTGAATGGACATTTGGGACCATACTGAGGCCAATGGAGAAAAAGCAAATATTCCAGGATAAACACTAGAAGGAAGCTGAGAAACTGCTTTGTGATGTGTGCATTAATCTTGCAGAGTTAAACCTTTCTTTTCATTCAGCAGTTTAGAAACACTGTTTTTGTAGAACCTCCAAAGGGATATTTGGGACCCCATTGAGACCTATTGTGAAAAAGTAAATATGTTCTTATAAAAACTAGAAAGAAGCTTTCTGAGAAACTGCCTTGTGATGTGTGCATGTGTCTCACAGAGTTAAAACTTTCTTTTCATTCAGCAGTTTGGAAACACTGTTTTTGTGGAATCTCTGAAGGGATATTTCAGAGCACATTTAGGCCTATGGTGAAAAAGAAAACATCTTCAAATAAAAACAAGACAGAAGCTTTCTGAGAAACTGCTTTTTGATGTGTGCATTCAGCTCACGGTGTTAAACTTTTCTTTTCATTCAACAGTTTGGAAACAGTGTTTTTGTTCATTCTGCAAATGGACATTTGGGAGTTCATTGACACCAATGGAGAAAAGCAAATATCCCAGGATAAAAACTTCAAGGAAACTATCTGAGAAACTGCTTTGTGATGTATGCATTCATCTCACAGAGGTAAACCTTTCCTTACGTTCAGCAGTTTGGAAACACTGTTTTTGTAGAACCTGTGAAGGTATATTTGGGATCCCCTTGAGGCCTATGGTGATAAAGTCAATATCTTCTTATAAAAACTAGAAAGAAGGATTCTGAGAAACTGCTTTGTGATGTGTGCATTCATCTCACAGAGTTTAACCATTCTTTACATTCAGCAGCTTGGAAACACGGTTTTGTAGAATCTGTGCAGGGATATTTCAGAGAGCTTTGAGGCCTATGATAAAAAAGAAATATCTTCAAATAATAACTAGACAGAAGCTTTCTGCGAAACTGCTTTGTGATGTTTGCTTTCATCTCACAGAGTTAAAATTTCCTTTGGTTTCAATAGTTTGGAAACACAGTTTTTGTTCTTTCTGCCAATGGCCATTTAGGAGATCATCGAGGCCAAAGGAGAAAAAGCAAATATCTCAGGATAAAAAATTCAAGGAAGCTATGTGAGAAACTGCCATGTGATGTTTGCATTCATCTCACAGAGTTAAACCTTTCTTTTCATTCAACAGTTTGGAAACACTGTTTTTGTTGAATCTGCAAAGGGATATTTCAGAGCCCAAAGCGTCCTATGTTGAAAAGGTAAATATCTTCATATAAAAACTAGAAAGAAGCTTTCTTAGACACTGCTTTGTGATGTGTGTATTCATCTCACAGAGTTAATCCTTTCTTTTGATTCAATGGTTTAGAAACACTGTTTTTGTCCATTCTGCAAAGGTATAATTGGGGGAGCATTGAGGCCTAATATGAAAAAGAAAATATCTTCAGATAAAAACAAGAAAGAAGCTTTAAGAGAAACTGCTTTGTGATGTGTGGCTTCATCTCACAGAGTTAATCCTTTCTTTTGACCCAACACGTTGGAAACACTGTTTTTGTCCATTCTGCAAAGGGATATTTAGGAGCACCTTGAGGCCTAAGGTGAAAAAGAAAATATCTTCAGATAAAACTAGAAAGATGCTTCTGAGAAACAGCTCTGTGATGTGTGCATTCATCTCACAGAGTTAAACGTTTGCTTTCTTTCAGCAGTTTGGAAACACTGTTTTTGTAGAATCTGCAAAGGGATAATTTGGAGCCCAATGAGGCCTATGGTGAAAAAGGAAATAATTTCAAATAATAACTAGACAGAAGGTTTTTGTGAAACTGCTTTGTGATGTCTACTTTCATCTCACAGAATTAAAATTTTCTACTTTTCCAACAGTTTGGAAACACTGTTTTTGTCCATTCTGTGACAGGACATTTGGGAGCTCGTTTAGGCCAAAGAAGGAAAAGAGAATACCCAAGGATAAAAAATACAAGGAAGCCATCTGAGAAACGGATTTGTGAGGTGCACATTCATCTAGCTGAGTTAAACCTTTCTTTTCATTCAGGAGTTTGGAAACCCAGTTTGTGTAGTATCTGCAAATGGATATTTGGGAGCCCATCGTGTCCTTTGGTGAAAAAGTAAATATCTTCATATAAAAACTAGAAAGAAGCGTTCTGAGAAACTGCTTTGTGATGCGTGCATTCAACTCACAGAGTTAAACCTTTCTTTTGATCCAGCAGTTTTGAAACACTGTTTTTGTAGTATCTGCAAAGGGATATTTTGGAGTGCATTGAAGCCTACACTAAAAAAGAAAATATCATCAAATAAAAACTAGACAGAAGCTTTCTGAGAAACTGTTTTGTGAAGTATGAATTCAACTCACAGAGTTAATCCTTTATTTTGATTCAACAGTTTTGAAACACTCTTTTTGTCCATTCTGCAAAGGGATATTTGGGAGTACATTGAGTCCTATGGAGAAAAAGAAAATATCTTCAGATCAAAAGTAGAAAGAAGCTTTCTGAGAAACTGCATTGTGATGTGTGCATTCATCTTATGGAGTTAAAACTTTCCTTTGTTTCAACAGTTTGGAAACACTGTTTTTGAGCATTCTGCCAATGGCCATTTGGGAGATCATTGAGGCCAATGAAGAAAAATTGAATATCCCAGGATAAAAACTTCAATGAAGCTATTTGAGAAACCACTTTGTGATGTGTGCATTCATGTCACATAGTTAAACCTTTCCTTACATTCAGCAGTTTGGAAACACTGTTTTTGTAGAACCTGTGAAGAGATATTTGGGAGCCTATAGCATCCTATGGTGAAAAAGTAAATATCTTCATATAAAACTTGAAAAAAGCATTCTGAGAAAGTCCTTCATGATGTGTGCATTCATCTCAAAAAGTTAAACCTTACTTTTGTTCCAGTACTTTGGAAACACTGTTTTTGTAGAATCTGCATATGGATTTTTCAGAGTGCATTCAGGCCTACGGTGAAAAAGAAAATATCTTGAAGTGCAAACTAGACAGAAGCTTTCTGAGAGGCTGCTTTTTGATGTGTGCATTCATCTCACAGAGTTAATCCATTCTTTAGTTCAAAAGTTTTGAAACACTGTTTTTGTCCATTCTGGGAAGGGATATTTGGGAGCCCATTGAGGCCTATGGTGAAAAGAAAATATCTTCAGATAAAAATTAGAAAGAACCTCTCTGGGAAACTGCTCTGTGATGGGTGCATTCAACTCACAGAGTTAAAAGTCTCTTTTGATCCCGCAGTTTGGAAACTGTCTTTGTAGTATCTGCAAAGGGATATTTGGGAGCCCATTGAGGCCTATAGTGAAAAAGAAAATATCTTCAGATAAAAACTAAAAAGGGGCTTTATGAGAAACTGCTTTGTGATGTATGCATTCATCTCACAGAGTTAAAACTTTCTTTTTATTCAGCAGTTTGGAATCACTTCTTTTGTAGAATCTTTGAAAGGATATTTCAGAGTGCATTGAGGCCTATGTAAAAAAGGGAATATCTTCAAATAATAGCTAGACAGAAGCTTTCTGAGAAACTGCTTTGTGATGGGTGCATTCATCTCACAGTGTTAATCCTTTCTTTTGATTCAACTGTTTTGAAAAGCTGTTTTTATTCATTCTGTGAAGGGATATTTGGGAGCGCATTGAAGCCTATGGTGAAAAACAAAATATCTTCAGATAAATACCAGAAAGAAGCTTTCTGGGAAACTGCTTTATGATGTGTCATTTCATCTCACAGAGTTAAATATTTCTTTTCATACAGGAGTTTGGAAATACTCTCTTTCTCCTCTCCATTCTGTGAATGGACATTTGGGAGCTCTTTGAGGCCAGTGGAGAAATAGCGAATATCCTAGGATAACAATTTCAAGGAAGCTATCTGAGAAATGGCTGTGTGATGTGTGCATTCATCTTGGAGAGTTAAAACTTTCTTTACATTCAGCAGTTGTGAAACACTGTTTTTGTAGAATCTGCAAAGGCATATTTGGGAGCCCATTGAGGAAATGGTGAAAAAGTAAATATCTTCATATAAAAACTAGAAAGAAGCTTTATGAGAAACTGCTCTTTGATCTGCGCATTCATCTCACAGAGGTAAACCTTTCTTTTCATTCAGCAGTTTGGAATCGCTGTATTAGTAGAATCTATGCAGGGATATTTCAGAGCACATTGAGGCCTACTGTGAAAAAGGAATTATCTTCAAATTATAACTAGACAGAAGCTTTCTGAGAAACTGCTTTGTGATGTCTGCTTTCACCTCAAAGAGTTAAAACTTTCTTTTGTTTCAGCAGTTTGGAAACACTGTTTTTGTCCATTCTATGAATGGACATTTGGGAGCTAATTGAGGCCAAAGAAGGAAAAGCAATTATCCCAGGATAAAAACTACAAGGAAGCCATCTGAGAAACTGATTTGTGATGTGTGCATTAATCTCACAGAGTTGAACATTTCTTTTCATTCAGTAGTTTTGAAACCCTATTTTGGTAGAATCTGTGAAGGGATATTTGGGAGTACATTGAGTCCTATGGTGAAAAAGTAAATATCTTCATATAAAAACTAGAAAGAAACCTTCTGAGAAACTGCTTTGTGATGTCTGCTTTCATCTCACGTAGTGCAACCTTTCTTTTGATCCAGCAATTTGGAAACACTGTTTTTGTAGAATCTGCAAAAGGATATTTAAGAGCACATTGAGGCCTATGGTGAAAATGAAAATATCTTCAAATAAAAACTAGAGAGAAGCTTTCTGAGAAACTACATTGTGATGTGTGCATTCTTCTCACAGAGTTAAACCTTTCTTTTCATTCAGTAGTTTGGAAAGACTGTTTTTTTAGAGTCTGCGAAGGGATATTTGGGAGTGCAATTAGACCTATTGTGTAGAAGAAAATATGTTAAGATAAAAAGTAGAAAGAAGGTTTCTGAGAAACTGCTGTGTGATGTGGGCATTCACCTCACAGACTTAAACTTTTCTTTTGATCCAACAGTTTGGAAACACTGTTTTTCTAGAATCTGCAAACGGATATTTCAGGGCACATGGAGGCCTATGGTGAAAAAGGAAATATCTTCAAATAATAACTAGACAGAAGCTTTCTGAGAAACTGCTTCGTGATGTGTGCTTTCATCTCACACAGTTAAAACTTTCTGTTGTTTCAACAGTTTGGAAATACTGTTTTTGTCCATTCTGCCAATGGCCATTTTGGAGATCTTTGAGGCCAAAGGAGAATAAGGGAATATCCAAAGATAAAAAATTCAAGGAAGCTACGTGAGAAACTACTCTGTGATGTGTGCATTCATCTAGCACAGTTAAACCTTTCTTTTCATTCAGCAGTTTGGAAACCCTGTTTTTGTAGAATTTGTGAAGAGATATTTGAGAGCCCATTGATTCCGATGGTGAAAAAGTATATATCTTCATATAAACACTATAAAGAAGCTTTCTGAGAAACTGCTTTGTCATGTGTGCATTCATCTCAAAGAGTTAAACCTTTCTTTTGATCTAGCACTTTGGAAACACTGTTTTTGTAGCATCTGTGAAGGGATATTTCAGAATGCATTGAGGCCTATGGTGAAAAAAATATATCTTCAAATAAAAACTGGACAGAAGCTTTCTGACAGACTGCTTTGTGATGTATGCATTCATGTCACAGAATTAATTCTTTCTTTTGATTCAACAGTTTTGAAACCCTGTTTTTGTCCATTCCTCTAAGGCATATTTGGGAGCACATTGAGGCCCATGGTGAAAAAGAAAATATCTTCAGATAAAAGCTAGAAAGAAGCTTTCTGAGAAACAACTTTGTGATTTGTGGTTTCATCTCACAAACAGAAACATTTCTTTTCATTCAGCATTTGCAAACACTGTTTTTGTCCATTCTGCGAATGGACATTTGGGAACTCATTGAGGCCAGTGGAGGAAAAGTGAATATCCCAGGATAGAAACTTAAAGGAAGGTATCTGAGAAACTGCTTTGTGATGTGTGCATTCATCTCACAGAGTTAAACCTTTCCTTACATACAGCAGTTTAGAGATCCTGTTTCTGTAGAACCTGCAAAGGGATATTTGGGAGCCTTTGAAGCCTATAGTGAAAAAACAAATATCTTCTTATAAAAACTACCAGGAAGCTTTCTGAGAAACTGCTTTGTGATGTGAGCAATCATCTCACAGACTTAATCCTTTCTTTTGATCCAGCAATTTGGAAACACTGTTTTTGTAGAATCTGCAAAAGGATATTTCAGAGTGCTTTGAGGCCAATTGTGAAAAAGGAAATATCTTCAAATAATAACTAGACAGAAGCTTTCAGAGAAACTGCTTTGTGATGTGTGCTTACATCTCACAGAGTTAAAACTTTCTTTTGTTTGAACAGTTTGTAAACACTGTTTTTGTCCATTCTGCAAATGGGCATTTGTGAGGTCACTGAGGCCATAGAGGAAAAGTGAATATCCCAGGATAAAAACTACAGGGAAGCTATCTGAAAAACCCATTTGTGATGTGTGCATTCATCTCACAGAGTTAAATCTTTCTTTTCATTCAGCAGTTTGGAAACCCTGTTTTTGTATAATCTGTGAAGAGATATTTTGGAGCCCATTGAGTCTGATGGTGAAAAAGTAAATATCTTCATATAAAAACTAGAAAGAAGCTTTCTGAGAAACTGCTTTGTCATGTTTGCATTCATCTCACAGAGTTAATCATTTCTTTTGATTCAACAGTTTTGAAACACTGTTTTTGTCCATTCTGTAAAGGATTATTTGGGAGCTCGTGGAGGCCTATGGTGAAAAAGGAAATATCTTCAAATAATAACTAAGCACAAGCTTTCTGAGAAACTGCTTTGTGATGTGTGATTTCATCTCACATATTTAAAACATTCTTTTGTTTCAACAGTTTGGAAACACTGCTTTTGCCATTCTGCCAATGGTCATTTGGGAGATCATTGAGGCCAATGGAGAAAAAGGGAATATCTCAGGAAAAAAAACTTCAAGGAAGCTATGTGAGAAAAGTTTTGTGATGTGTGCATTTATCTCCCTGAGTTAAACCTTCTTTTGATTCAGCAGTTTTTAAACACTATTTTTGTAGAAACTTCGAAGGGATATTTCAGAGCCCATTGGGTCCTACGGTGAAAAAGTAAATATCTTCATATAAAAACTTGAAAGAAGCTTTCTGAGAAACTGTGATGTGTTCTTTTGTCTCACAGAGTTAAGCGTTTCTTCTCATTCAGCAGTTAGGAAACACTGTTTTTGTCCATTCTGCAAATAGAAATTTGGGAGCTCATTGAGGCCAATGGAGAAAAAGAGAATATCCCAAGATAAAAACTTCAAGGAAGCTATCTGAGAAACCACTTTGTGATGTGTGCATTCATCTTGCACAGTTAAACCTTTCCTTATATTCAGCAGTTTGGAGCCACTGTTTTTGTAGAATCTGTGAACAGATATTTTGGAGCACATTGATGCCTATGATGTAAAAGAAAATATCTAAAGATAAAAAGTAGAAAGAAGGATTCTGAGAAACTGCTCTGTGATGGGTGCATTCACCTCACAGAGTTAAACCTTTCTTTTGCTCCAGCAGTTTGGAAACACTGCTTTTGTAGAATCTGTGAAGGTATATTTTGGAGCATATTGAGGGCTATGGTGAAAAAGGAAATATCTTCAAATAATAACTAGACAGATTCTTTCTGAGAAACTGCTTTGTGACGTGTGCTTTCATCTCACAGGGTTAAAACTTTCTTTTGTTTCAACAGTTTGGAAACACTGTTTTTGTAGAATCTGTTAAGGAATATTTTGAAGTGCTTTGAGGCCTATGGTGAAAAAGAAAATATCTTCAAATAAAAACTATAAACAAGCTTTCTGATAAGCTGGTTTGTGATGTGTGCATTCAACTCACAGAATTAAAACTTCCTTTTGATTCAACAGTTTGGAAACACTGTTCTTGTCCATTCTACAAATGGACATTTGGGAGATCATTGAGGCCAATGCAGAAAAAGCGAATATCACAGAATGAAAACCACAAAGAAGCGGTCTGAGAAACCGCTTGGTGAGGTGTGCATTCATCTCACACTGTTACACATTTCTGTTCATTCAGCAGTTTGGAAACACTGTTTTTATAGAATCTGTGAAGGGATATTTGGAGCGCATTGAAACCTATAGTGAAAAAAAAATCTGAAGTTAAAAAGTAGACAGAAGCTTTCTGAGAAACTGCTCTCTTAGGGGTCCATTCACCTCACAGTGTTGAACCTTTCCTTGGTCCAGGAGTTTGGAAACACTGTTTTTGTAGAATCTGTTAAGGGATAACTCAGAGTGCAATGAGGACTATGGTGTAAAAGAAAATATCTTCAAACAAAAAGTAGAGAGAAGCTTTCTGGAAACTGCTTTGTGATGTGTGCTTTCATCTCACAGAATTAATCCTTTCTTTTGATTCAACAGTTTTGAAACAATGTTTTTGTCCATTAGGTGAATGGATATTTAGGTGCTCATTGAGGCCAATGGAGAAAAAGGGAATATCACAGGATAAAAACTCCAAGGAAGCTATCTGAAAAGCAGCTTTGTGATGGGTGCATTCGTGTCACAGAGTTAAACCTTACTTTTCATTCAGTTGTTTGGAAACACTGTTTTTGTAGAATCAGTGAGGGGATATTTGGGAGTGCATTGAGACCTATGGTTGAAAAAGAAAATATCTTTTTTTTTTTTATTATTATACTTTAAATTTTAGGGTACATGTGCACATTGTGCAGGTTAGTTACATATGTATACATATGCCATGCTGGTGCGCTGCACCCACTAACTCGTCATCTAGCATGAGGTATATCTCCCAAAGCTATCCCTCCCCCCTCCCCCAACCCCACAACAGTCCCCAGAGTGTGATGTTCCCCTTCCTGTGTCCATGTGAACTCATTGTTCAATTCCCACCTATGAGTGAGAATATGTGGTGTTTGGTTTTTTGTTCTTGCCATAGTTTACTGAGAATGATGATTTCCAATTTCACCCATGTCCCTACAAAGGACATGAACTCATCATTTTTGATGGCTGCATAGTATTCCATGGTGTACATGCGCCACATTTTCTTAATCCAGTCTATCATTGTTGGACATTTGGGTTGGTTCCAAGACTTTGCTATCATGAACAGTGCCGCAATAAACATACATGTACTTGTGTCTTTATAGCAGCATGATTTATAGTCCCTTGGGTATATACCCAGTAATGGGATGGCTGGGTCAAATGGTATTTCTAGTTCTAGATCCCTGAGGAATCACCACACTGACTTCCCCAGTGGTTGAACTAGTTTACAGTCCCACCAACAGTGTAAAAGTGTTCCTATTTCTCCACATCCTCTCCAGCACCTGTTGTTTCCTGACTTTTTAATGATTGCCATTCTAACTGGTGTGAGATGGTATCTCATTGTGGTTTTGATTTGCATTTCTCTGATGGCCAGTGATGATGAGCATTTTTTCATGTGTTTTTTGGCTGCATAAATGTCTTCTTTTGAGAAGTGTCTGTTCATGTCCTTCACCCACTTTTTGATGGGGTTGTTTTTTTTTCTTGTAAATTTGATGCCAATGCCTTTCTTCACAGAATTGGAAAAAACTATTTTAAAGTTCATATGGAACCAAAAAAGAGCCTGCATTGCCAAGACAATCTTAAGCCAAAAGAACAAAGCTGGAGGCATCACACTACCTGACTTCAAACTATACTACAAAGCTACAGTAACCAAAACAGCATGGTACTGGTACCAAAACAGAGATATAGATCAATGGAACAGAACAGAGCCCTCAGAAATAACGTCACATATCTACAACTATCTGATCTTTGACAAACCTGACAAAAACAAGCAATGGGGAAAGGATTCCCTATTTCATAAATGGTGCTCAGAAAACTGGCTAGCCATATGTAGAAAGCTGAAACTGGGTCCCTTCATTACAACTTATACAAAAATCAATTCAAGATGGATTAAACACTTAAACGTTAGACTTAAAACCATAAAAACCCTAGAAGAAAACCTAGGCAATACCATTCAGGACATAGGCATGGGCAAGGACTTCATGTCTAAAACACCAAAAGCAATGGCAACAAAAGCCAAAATTGACAAATGGGATCTAATCAAACTAAAGAGCTTCTGTACCACAAAAGAAACTACCATCAGAGTGAACAGGCCACCTACAAAATGGGAGAAAATTTTCACAACCTACTCATCTGACAAAGGGCTAATATCCAGAATCTACAATGAACTTAAACAAATTTACAAGAAAATATCTTAACATAAAAAGTAGAAGGAAGCTTTTTGAGAAACTGCTCTGTGATGGGTGCATTCACCTCACAGATTTAAACCTTTCTTTGGATTCAGGAATTTTGAAACACTGTTTTTGACCATCCTGTGAATGGGCATTTGGTAGCTGATTGAGGCCACTGGCAAAAAACAAATATCCCAGGATAAATATTAGAAAGATGCTATCTGAGAAACCACTTTGTGATGTGTGCATTCATCTCACAGAATTAAAACTTTCTTTTGATTCAACAGTTTTGAAACATTGTTTTTCTCCATTCTGTGAATAGATATTTGGGAGTTAATTGAGGCCATTGGAGAAAAAGGGAATATCCCAGGATAAAAACTTCTAGGAAGATATCTGAGATACTGTTTTGTGATGTGTGAATTTTTCTCATAGAGTTAAACCTTTCCTTATATACAGCAGTATGAAAAGAGTGTTTTGTATATTTTTCAAAGGAATATTTGGGAGCCCACTGAGGTCTATAGTGAAACACTAAATATCTTCATATAAAAACTAGAAAGAAGCTTTATGTAAAACTTCATGTGATGTGTGAATTCATCTCACAGAGTTAAAATTTTCTTTTCATTCAGCATTTTGGAAACACTGTTTTTGTAGAATCTGTGAAGGGATAATTAGGAGTGCATTGAGGCCTACGGTGAAAAAGTAAATATCTTCAATTAATAACTAGACAGAAGCTTGCTGAGAAACTGCTTTGTGATGTCTGCTTTCATCACACAGAGTTAAAACGTTCTTTTGTTTCAACAGTTTTTAAACACTGCTTTTTCCATTCTGTGAATGAACATTTTGGAGCTCTTTGAGATCAATGGAGGAAAAGCAAATATCCCAGGATAAAAACTATATGGAAGTAATCTGAGAAACTGATTTGTGATGTGTGCATTTATCTCGCACATTTAAACTTTTCTTTTCATTCAGCAGTTTGGAAAACCCTTTTTGTAAAATCTGCAAAGCGATATTTGGGAGACAATTGAGTCCTACGGTGAAAAAGTAAATATCTTCACATAAATACTGGAAAGAAGCTTTCTAAGAAACTGAAACACTCTTCTTGTAGAAGCTGCAAGTGGATATTTGGACCTATTTGAGGCCTTCGTTGGAAACGGGATTTCTTCATATAACTCTAGATAGAAGAATTCTCAGAAACTCCTTTGTGATGTGTGCATTCAACTCACAGAGTGAAACCTTCCTTTTGACAGAGCAGTTTTGAAACACTGTTTTTGTAGGATTTCCAAGGGGATATTTAGAGCGCCCTGAAGCCTACGGTAGAAAAAGAAACATCTTCATATAAAAACTAGACAGAATAATTCTCAGAATCTGCTTTGCGATGTGTGCGTTCAACACACAGAGTAAAACGTTTCTTTGGATAGAGCAGTTTTGAAACACTCTTTTTTCAGTATTTGCAAGTGTATATTAAGAGCGCATTGAAGCCCACGGTAGAAAAGGAAATATCTTCACCTAAAACCTAGACAGAAGCAATCTCAGAAACTAATTTGGGATGTGTGCATTCAACTCACAGAGTGGAACTTTCCTCTTTATAGAGCAGTGTTGAAACACTCTTTTTGTAGAAACTGCCAGTGGATATTTGGACCTCTTTGAGGCCTTCGTTGGAAATGGGATTTCTTCACATATCCCCAGACAGAAGAATTTTCTGAAACCTCATTGTGATGTGTGCGTTCATCTCACCGAGTGGAGACTTCCTTTTATTAGAGAACTTTTGAATCCCTATTCTTGTAGGATTTACAAGTGGAAATTTAGACCACTTTGAAGCCTATGATAGAAAAGGAAACATCTTCATGGAAAACATAGATAGAATCATTCTCAGAAACAACTTTGTGATGTGTGCGTTGAACTCACAGACTTTATCCTTTCTTTTGGTAGAGAAGTTTTGAAACACTCTCTTTGTAAACTCTAGGAGTGGATATTTTGAGCCCTTGGAGGCATTCTTTGGAAAAGGGAATGTCTTCACATAAAAGGCAGACAGAAGTGTTCTCAGAAACTGCTTTGTGATGTCTGCGTTCAACTCACAGAGTTTAACATTTCCTTTGATATAACAGTTTAGAAACACTCTTTGTAGAATTTGGAAGTGTATATTAAGAGCGCTTTGAGACCTATGGTAGAAAAGTAAATATCTTTCCATAAAAGCTGGAGAGAAGAAATCTCAGAAACTCCTTTGTGATGTCTGCATTCAACACACCAAGTGGAACATTCCTCTTGATAGAGCAGTTTGGAAACAATCTTTCTGTAGAATATGCTAGTGGATATTTGGACCTCCTTGAGGCCTTCCTTGGAAAGGGGATTTTTTTCATATAAACCCATACAGAAGAATTCTCAGAAACTTCGTTGTGATGCGTGCATTCAACTCACCGAGTTAAACATTTCTTTTGATTGAGCAGTTTCCAAACACTCTTTTGTAGAATTTGCAAGGGTACATTTAGAGCGCATTCAGTCCTATGGTACAAAAGGAATTATCTTTCCATAAAAGCTAGACAGAAGCAATCTCAGAAACTCCTTTGTGATGTCTGCATTCAAGTCACTGAGTGGAATATTCCTCTTGATAGAGCAGTTTCGAAACACTGTTTCTGTAGAATCTGCAAGTGGATATTTGGATCTCTTTGAGGCCTTGGTTGGAAAAGGGAATTCTTCCTATAAACCCAGACAGAAGAAGTCTCAGAGACTACTTTGTGATTTGTGAATTCAACTCACAGAGTGGATCCTTCCTTTTGATAGAGCAGTTTTGAAACACTGTTTTTTTAGTATTTCGAAGCGGATATTTGGAGCGCCTTGAAGCCCACGGTAGAAAAGGAAATATCTTTCCATAAAAGCTAGACAGAAGCAATCTCAGAAACTCCTTTGTGATGTCTGCATTCAAGTCACCGAGTGGAACATTGCTCTTGATAGAGTAGTTTGGAAACACTGTTTCTGTAGAATCTGCAAGTGGATATTTGGAACACTTTGAGGCCTTCGTTGGAAACGGGATTTCTTCTTATAAACCCAGACAGAAGAAATCTCAGAGACTTCTTTGTGATGTGTGAATTCAACTCACAGAGTGGATCCTTCCTTTTGATAGAGCAGTTTTCAAACACTGTTTTTATAGTATTTCCAAGGGGATATTTGGAGCGCCTTGAAGCCTATGGTAGAAAAGGAAATATCTTCCCATAAAACCTAGACAGAAGCAATCTCAGAAACTACTATGTGATGTCTGCATTCAACTCACAGAGTGGAACATTCCTCTTGATAGAGCAGTTTTGAAACCCTCTTTCTGTAGGACCTGCGAGTGGGTATTTGGAACTCCTTGAAGTCTTCGTTGGAAACGGGATTTCTTCATATAAACCTGCAGAGAAGAATTCACAGTAACTTACTCCGATGTGTGCATTCGACTCACAGAGTGGAACATTCCCTTTGATAGAGCAGTTTTGAAACACTGTTTTTGTAGAATTCCCAAGTGGATATTTAGAGCACTTTGAAGACTCTGCTAGAAAAGGAAACATCTTCATGTAAAAACTCGATAGAATCGTTCTCAGAAACTGCTTGTGATGTGTGCGTTCAACTCACAGAGTTTAACGTTTCTTTTGATAGAACATTTCTGGAACCCTCTTTTCGTAGAAGAAGCACGTGGATCTATAGACCAATTGAGGCCTTCGTTGGAAACGGGATTTCTTCATGTTACTCTAGATAGAAGAATTCTCAAACACTGCTATGTGATGTTTGCATTCAAGTCACAGAGTGCAACATTCCTCTTGACAGAGCAGTTGGGAAACACTCCTTTTGTAGAATTTGCAATGGGATATTTGGACTTCTTTGAGGCCTTCGTTGGAAACGGGATTTCTTCGTATAAATCTAGACAGAAGAATTCTCAGAAACTTCTTTGTGATGTGTGCATTCAACTCAGCGAGTGGCACCTTCCTTTGGATACAGCAGTTTTGAAACACTGTTTTTGTAGTATTTCCAAGCGGATATTTAGAGCGCCTTGAAGCCTATGCTAGAAATGGAAATATCTCCCCATAAAACCAAGACAGAAGCAATCTCAGAAACTAATGTGTGATGGCTGCATTCCACACACACGGTGGACCATTTCTCTTGATAGAGCAGTTTTGAAACACTCTTTCTGTAGAATCTGCAAGTGGATAATTGGACCTCCTAGAGGCCTTCGTTGGAAACGGGAT
This sequence comes from Homo sapiens, assembly GCF_000001405.40. Lineage (NCBI taxonomy): Eukaryota > Metazoa > Chordata > Mammalia > Primates > Hominidae > Homo > Homo sapiens. Next base: position 58,450,463 of record NC_000006.12, read on the forward strand.
TTCTCCATCTAAACCTACAGAGAAGAATTCTCAGTAACTTCATCGGATGTGTGCATTCGACTCACAGAATGGAACATTCCCTTTGATAGAGCAGTTTTGAGACACCGTTTTTGTAGAATTCCCAAGTGGATATTTAGAGCACTTTGAAGTCTCTGCTAGAAAAGGAAACATCTTCATGTAAAAAGTAGATAGAATCGTTCTCAGAAAGTGCTTAGTGACGTGTGCGTTCAACTCACAGAGTGTAACGTTTCTTTTGATAGAGCGTTTCTGAAACACCCTTCTTGTAGTAGCTGCAAGTGGATATTTGGACCTATTGGAGGCCTTCTTTGGAAACGGGATTTCTTCATGTAACTCTAGATTGAAGAATTCTCAGAAACTCCTTTGTGATGTGTGCATTCAATTCAAAGAGTGAAACCTCCCTTTTCACAGAGCAGTTTGGAAACACTGTTTTTGTAGGATTTCCAAGGGGATATTTATAGCGCATTGAGCCTACGGCAGAAAAAGAAACATCTTCCTATAAAAACTAGACAGAATAATTCTCAGAATCTGCTTTGTGATGTGTGCGTTCAACTCATAGAGTAAAACTTTTCTTTTGATAGAGCAGTTTTGAAACACTCTTTTTGTAATATTTGCATGTGTATATTTAGAGCGCATTGAAGCCCACAGTAGAAAAGGAAATAACTTCACCTAAAACCTAGACAGAAGCAATCTCAGAAACTACTTTGTGATGTGTACATTCAACTCACAGAGTGGAACTTTCCTCTTTATAGAGCAGTGTTGAAACACTCTTTTTGTAGAAACTGCAGGTGGATATTTGGACCTCTTTGAGGCCCTCGTTGGAAACGGGATTTCTTCCTATAACCCTAGACAGAAGAATTTTCAGAAACCTCATTGTGATGTGTGCGTTCATCTCACAGAGTGGAGTCTTCCGTTTGATAGAGAAGTTTTGAAACCCTGTTCTTGTAGGATTTCCAAGTGGATATTTAGACCACTTTGAAGCCTATGATAGAAAAGGAAACATCTTCATGGAAAACATAGATAGAATCATTCTCAGAAACAACTTTGTGATGTGTGCGTTGAACTCACCGTCTTTAAACTTTCTTTTGGTAGAGAAGTTTTGAAACACTCTCTTTGTAAAGTCTACAAGTGGATATTTTGAGCCCTTGGAGGCATTCTTTGGAAAAGGGAATGTCTTCACGTAAAAGGCAGACAGAAGTGTTCTCAGAAACTGCTTTGTGATGTCTGTGTTCAACTCACAGAGTTTAACATTTCCTTTGATAGAGCAGTTTAGTAACACTGTCTTTGTAGAATTTGGAAGTGTATACTAAGAGCGCTTTGAGTTCTATGGTAGAAAAGGAAATATCTTTGCATAAAAGCTAGACAGAAGCAATCTCAGAAACTCCTTTGTGATGTCTGCATTCAACTCACCGAGTGGAACATTCCTCTTGATAGAGCAGTTTGGAAACGCTCTTTCTGTAGAATCAGCTTGTTTGTATTTGGACCACCTTGAGGCCTTCGTTGGAAACGGGTTTTCATCTTATAAACCCAGACAGAAGAATTCTCAGAGTCTTCTTTGTGATGTGTGCTTTCAACTCACCGAGATAAAGATTTCTCTTGATAGAGCAATTTGGAAACACTCTTTTTGTAGAATTTGCAAGGGTACCCTGAGAGTGCTTTCAGGCCTATGGTAGAAAAGGGAATATCTTTCCATAAAAGGTAGACAGAAGCAATCTCAGAAACTGCTTTGTGATGTGTGCATTCAACTCACCGAGTGCAACATTCCTCTTGATAGAGCAGTTTGGAAACATTGTTTCTGTAGAATCTGCAAGTGGATATTTGGACCTCTTTGAGGCCTTCGTTGGAAACGGGATTTCTTCCTATAAACCCAGACAGAAGAATTCTCAGAGACTTCTTTGTGATGTGTGAATTCAACTCACAGTGTGGATCCTTCCTTTTGATAGAGCAGTTTTGAAACACTGTTTTTGTAGTATTTCCAAGCGGATATTTGGAACGCCTTGAAGCGTATGGTAGAAAAGGAAATATCTTCTCATAAAACCTAGACAGAACCAATCTCAGAAACGACTTTGTGATGTCTGCATTCAACTCACAGAGTTGAACATTTCTCTTGATAGAGCAGTTTTGAAACCCTCTTTCTGAAGGATCTGCAAGTGGATATTTGGACCTCCTTTGGGTCTTCGTTGGAAACGGGATTTCTTCGTATAAATCTAGACAGAAGAATTCTCCGAAATTTCTTTGGTTGTGTGCACTCAAGTCACAGAGTGGAACCTTCCTTTGGATAGAGCAGTTTGAAACGCTGTGGTTGTAGTATTTCCAAGCGGATATTAGAGCGCCTTGAAGCCTATGGTAGAAAAGGAAATATCTTCCCATAAAACCTAGACGGAAGCAATCTCAGAAACTACTGTGTGATGGCTGCATTCCACACACACGGTGGAACATTTCTCTTGATAGAGCAGTTTTGAAACACTCTTTCTGTAGAATCTGCAAGTGGATAATTGGACCGCCTTGAGGCCTTCGTTGGAAACGGGATTTCTTCATGTTACTCTAGATAGAAGAATTCTCAAACACTACTATGTGATGTTTGCATTCAAGTCACAGAGTGCAACATTCCTCTTGACAGAGCAGTTGGGAAACACTCCTTTTGTAGAATTTGCAATGGGATATTTGGACTTCTTTGAGGCCTTCGTTGGAAACGGGATTTCTTCGTATAAATCTAGACAGAAGAATTCTCAGAAACTTCTTTGTGATGTGTGCATTCAACTCAGCGAGTGGCACCTTCCTTTGGATACAGCAGTTTTGAAACACTGTTTTTGTAGTATTTCCAAGCAGATATTTAGAGCGCCTTGAAGCCTATGCTAGAAATGGAAATATCTCCCCATAAAACCAAGAGAGTAGCAATCTCAGAAACTAATGTGTGATGGCTGCATTCCACACACACGGTGGACCATTTCTCTTGATAGAGCAGTTTTGAAACACTCTTTCTGTAGAATCTGCAAGTGGATAATTGGACCTCCTAGAGGTCTTCATTGGAAACGGGATTTCTCCATCTAAACCTACAGAGAAGAATTCTCAGTAACTTCTTCGGATGTGTGCACTCGACTCACAGAATGGAACATTTCCTTTGATAGAGCAGTTTTGAAACACCGTTTTTGTAGAATTCCCAAGTGGATATTTAGAGCACTTTGAAGTCTCTGCCAGAAAAGGAAACATCTTCATGTAAAAAGTAGATAGAATCATTCTCAGAAAGTGCTGAGTGATGTGTGCGTTCAACTCACAGAGTGTAACGTTTCTTTTGATAGAGCGTTTCTGAAACACCCTTCTTGTAGTAGCTGCAAGTGGATATTTGGACCTATTGGAGGCCTTCTTTGGAAACGGGATTTCTTCATGTAACTCTAGATTGAAGAATTC